>NC_000001.11:30803835-31428835 GCF_000001405.40 Homo sapiens
ACTGTCCATTTCCAAAGCTCAAGTTCTTACCCACAACTTACACTCACTTTCTCCCTCCTCCAGCAGACACTTCACACGGCCTCTCCTCACCAGGCCTTAGCTGAATTCTTACTTGAAAACGTCCCGACCATGCCCTTCTCAGGCCCCCTGACAACAGAGTCAAGGCCATGACCCCAATCTCTGCAGGGGGAGCTTTGGTGAAATAAAAAGGAGCCTCTCTCTCCTCTCCAGAAGCAGAGGGCCCCCCAGACCTTTGTCCCAACCTGGGCTGTGAATCACACACCCCCTGCCTCTGCAACCAATTTACTCTGGGCTTGGGGGAGTCCTTTAAGAGCTCCAAGCTTCCATTTCCTCATCTGTGAACTGAAATACAGGTTGTGTATCCCTTATCTGAAATGCTTGGGACCAGAAGTGTTTGGGGTTTTGAACTTTTTTGGATTTGGGGATATTTGTGTTGTACCAATTGAGCACCCCTAATCTGAAAATCAGAAATGCAAAATGCTCCAATGAGTATTTCCTTTCAACATCATGTCGGTGCTCAAAAAGTTTCCAATTCTGGAGTATTTTAGATTTCAGATTTTCCCGTTAGCGACACTCAATCTATAATAGTATCAGGGCCCCAGGGCTGCTGGGGGCACTCCTGTCACACTCACGAGCTCACTCCATGCTAGTTCCCTTCCCTAAACCTCCCAATCTATAGACCTGGCCGTGGGGGGTCTCCCGCTCATTCATTCACTCAGCAGATCTCTGGGCATGGCTGATCTGTGCTGGGGCCTGAGCTTGGAAGAGGAAACAGCAAAGAGGGCTGGTTAAGAGGCTACCTCTGCAGGGACTGCTTTGCCACTTAAGTGCTGTGTGACCTCAGGCAAGTCATTTCACCTGGCCGTGCTTCCATTTGTCTTAGTAAAATGGGGATAGGCATGCTGCCTGCCTCCAGGGTTATTGAGAAAACTGAAAATCAGGCAGGTAAAGTCTTAGCACGGTACCCAGCACATAGTAAGCCCTCAGTGATGACAGCTATTAGGATATTATTGAGGAGTTTTCAAAGTCTGATGGGGAGAGGGGACGGCTAATCAAATAATTGTCATACAATAGGATCACTGCTAACGCCAGCGCAAACCAGGCATTGGGGGCACACAGGGGAAGGAGTAACTAGGCCTGCCAGGGGAAATCAGGGAAGGCTTTCAGGAGGAGGTGCCACTTGAAAGCTAAGTAGAATTTTACCATGACGATGAGAGGAAGAGCTTTCCTGGCAGGGGGCACAGCGGTTAGTTACAGAAGCTCAGAGACTCTTGGAGGCACAAGGAGATGCTTACTGATTGTGTCTGGGGAAGTTTCAGGACACAGAGCTGGGAAGGTGGGTGGGAGATGATGGCAAACCACCTTGCTGGCCTATCTGGGGGGATTGGGACCCCCACTCTGGGGCAGCAGAGAGGAGGAGAGAGACAAGATCCAATTTGCCTTTGGGAAAGATGACCCAGGTGGAAGGTCCGGGAGGGTGGCACAGGGGCAGGACAGGAGGCAGAGACTGAGGAGGCTGCACCTGATAGGGGACCCAGGGCAAAGGTTGGGGGCAGTCTTCAGACTATGTTCCCAAGACCCTGGCCAGGAAGGAGGTGCTGGGGCAGGCTGGGGTGGGGTGGAGTGCGGGTGACCGTGACCTCAGTCAGCCGGGACCAGAACTGAGGCGGGGGTGGGAAGGGGGCTGCCGGCACACTGAGTCACTTGACTTATTGGATTTCTGAGAGATTGCTCCCCTCCCCCTTGCCTCGGCAGCCAAGGCTACTCCATTAAAGCTTCACCGTCAGTCAACCTAGGCCCAAGAGCCCAGGTGCGAAGCAGGAATAGGCTGGGCAGAGACAGAGAGATCCACGACCTTGGGACTTCTCAGAGTCAGCCCTGGAAGGGCTGGTGCTCAGGGCTGACCAGGCAGGGAGGCAAGAGGGGGAAGTGGTTAGGGGTGTGGACACTGGAGCTGGCCAGACTGCTTCAAATCCCAACTCTACCCTTAGCAGCTGTGTGACCCCAGACCACTTCTTTAACCTCTCTGTGCCTCAAATGGGGATTATTGACATGCCTACCTGAGACAGAGGGTTGTTCTAAGGATGATTAAATGAAACCTGTCAAGTGCTAGGCAAGACGCAGGCTCTCAGTGGGAGACAGGTGCTCCTGTTGGTGTTGAAGGTGGACTTACCTAATGCCCCAAGCCCTAACTCAACTCTCAGCCTTCAAAGTCTGCTTCGAAATAAAATCCAAGCTCTTCACTCATCATTAAGCCATTCACATGGGATGCTGTTTCCCTCTCCAGCCTCTTCTGCAAGCCCACCCCTGTTCCTGCCATTCTGAGCCTCCAATGCCAATCCTCCATCCGGTTTCACACCTCCACGCCTTGACTTGTGCTGGTCCTTCTGCCGGCAGAAGGGTTGGGGTTGGGGTTTACCTCACCTGGTTCCCTCGTCTCTCTGATAAACTCCTTGTTTCTACAGTGACCTCAGCTAACATAACCAAGGAAGCAGGAGGTGCCCACCTGACAGATGAGGAACTCGAGGCTCAATAATGAGCAGCTGTCCAAGACCACTCAGGCAAGAAGCAGAGATGAGAACTCAGGTCAAGCCTGCCCTTTGCCAAGCTCACGGCCATGCCTGACCTACCTCACTCCCATGGGGGCCTGGGGCTCACCAGCCTCTCTGAAGCCCTGCCCAGTTCTGTGGCTGACAAAACAGACACACATTCTTCCCTTTGCTGGGAGAAGCCACACAGCATCAGAGAGACTTCCCGTCCAGCCTCAGCTGCCCCACGTTCTGGCTGTGGGACCTCAAGCAGGTTATGAGTAAACCCCGTAAGCCCCAGTTTGTAAGTGGAAGGAATGGCCGAGGGGTTACCATGCCCAGGATTATGTGAGTTTAGTGGAGGCACAGAGCAGGTGGCATCATGCTTGGCTCCCCAAACGGGAGCTGATGTTTTATTCCTCATCTGCATAACTGTTTAAGATGGACATTCCCCCATCTTACAGATGAGGATACTGAGGCTCCAAGAGCAGAAATGGCCTGGCCAAGTCACACACATAGTGACAGAACGGGATTCAAACCATTGCTTTCAGCACCAGGCTCAACACCTTCCCCCGAAGGACTCCCAAACTAGTCCTCGAGATGCCAAGCAAAGAAACAACCCCCAACATTTATTGAGCACTTACTGTGTGCCTGTTCTACATCCTTGAACTAACTCATTTAGTTTCACAACAATCCTAATGCTTGCGCTATGATTATTCCCAGTTTGCAGAGGCGGGAACTGAGGCTCGGAGCGCCTAAGGTTCAGTGCCCTCCCCAAGGTCACACGGCTGGTGAGAGGCTGGGTCGGGACCAGAATGAGAGCTGGCTGACTCCCGACCTCGGGTCCTAGCTGCAGGCTAGGAGTGAGGTCGGGTTGGGGGTAAATAATCCGGGGCGAGGCGACAGGGCCGCGCTGGGTGGGGCAGAACCCGAGCCTGGGGGCCTCACGGAGACACCCGCCCCTGTCCAGCCAGCGGATCCGGACTGTGGGATGCTTCCCACCCCGCCCCCGCCCCGGGCCGCCGCCCGCCGCCCCTCGCCGGGGTTAAGCTCCAGCTTAGCGGGTCCCAAGGGCTCCCCGGGGCGCGCCCCGGAAGCCGCAGCCGCGCATTTCATTATTGCCTTGGCCGTGGCCTCGGGTGCCTTCCCGGAGCCTCTCCGTCTTCTCCCCACTCAAATATCACCTCCCCGGGGACATCTCTTCATTTCTTCCTCCCCTCGCTGCGCTCTGCGGAGCCGGGCATCCTGCCAGGCCCTGCCTCGGGCCCTGCGCTTGGCCCGGGGAGGCCTCTCAGTAAACAGGCAATTACCCCGTGCAAAGTGTGCCCTTCAGTAATAAGATTAATGAAAATAATAGCTCACATTCGTGCCATGCTTCCAGTAGTCACTGTGAAGAAAGCTCTACATAAATTAACTCATGCAGACCCCCCACAACCCTCCGAGGAAGTACTCTACTGGACAGACAGGGCAACTGAGGCCCGAGGCCATGCTCTATTAAATGGCGCATGCCCACGCAGGGGACATTTCCAGAGTCATCCATGCTGAAGAAAAAAGGACAGCTGTCATTTCGAAGAACGTGCTTCATTTTTTAACCTCACCACCCTCTGAGTACCAAAGAAAGTTAAACCCTCTTTTTCACCTATTAAATCAGGAGGGAGATATAACCAGAGTGATTGCCACTCCATCTTCTCAGGAGGTGGGGGAGGGGGAAGCTGGGCCTTGAATCTGGAGCTAAACTTTCTGCCAAAGCCCCTGCATGCCTCCAGGTCACAAGCCTCCCTGTGCCACAGGAGCACAGACAGGGAGGTATCAGGACAGGCTCCCTAGAAGAGGTGATATTTGAACTGGGTCTTGAAGGATGCGTAGGAGTTGCCTACGCACATGCAAAGGTCAGAAGCCCTGGGGACAAGTCCTGATTATCCCTCTTAACTGCTGGGTGACTTTTACTCTCCTCCTCACTTAGCCTCAGTTTCTTTATCTGCCAAGTGGAAATAATCGTCCTGAGGTTGTCAAGATTGCATGAGATTATGGAAGTAAAAGTGCTTGGTGAGCTGTCACTGTGGGGGAGGAGGAGGGTTGCTGGAGCACTGACCACCTGCTGCCTGGAATGCAGCTCTTCATGGAAATGACTCCTCTGCTCATGAAAAATAAGATGAATGATACCCTGTTCTATCAGGAAACTGAGGCCCAGTGGCCCTGTGAGATTAAAGAACTTGACCAAGATCACACAGCAGAAACTGGAAGGGTCAGGCCAGGTGTGGTGGCTCACACCTGTAATCCCAGCATTTTGGGAGGCTGAGGCAGGTGGATCACCTGAGGTCAGGAGTTTGAGACCAGCATGGCCAACACGGCAAAACCCCGTCTCTACTAAAAATACAAACATTAGCTGGGTATGGTGGTACAGGCCTGTAATCCCAGCTACTCAGAAGGCTGAAGCAGGAGAATCACTTGAACCCAGGAGGCGGAGGTTACAGTGAGACGAGATTGTGCCACTGCACTCCAGCCTGGGCAACAGAGCGAGACTATCTCAAAAAAAAAAAAAAAAAGAAAGAAAGAAAGAAAGAAAAGAAAAAGAAACTGGAAGAGTCAGGATTTGAGCTAAGATTCATGTGACTGCAAAGATATGGCTTCACTGTTTCAGCTCTCATGATGACCTCATATACCATTGGGTTGACCCATCACCACCTTTCCCTTGTCATTGCACACTGAAGCAGTGTTGTTTTGCATTCTTATAAATAACATTCAACTGGACATCTTTGTGCACAGACTTTTTCCATAGTTTATATTATTTCCCTAGGACAGATCCTCAAATAAGATTACTGGTTCCAGAAATAGGAACATTTTTATGGCTTTCAATAAATATTTTCCAGTTGCTTTCAAAGGGGTTCCCAATTCGCAGTTCCACCTGCAGCGTATAAGAGAGACATTTCACTAGATCCTCACCAGTTACTTTTTTTTAATCCCCTAAATGTACAAGATGACAGTGGTATTGCATAGGTGTGCTGGCTTTATTGTTATTATTACCAATGAAGCTGAGTGTTTTTAAGGGCTGGAAAGAGGGTCTGTATCAGAAGTCACGGGACCCCTGAGAGAGACCTGGAGTCGATATGAAGGCACTCGGAGTAGAGAGCATTCGTTTCTGGTGGAGAAAATGAACGCATGGCCAGGACAGTCGGAGGTTGCTCTTTCTGGAGCACTCTTTCTGGGCTTCTCATGAGATGGCCAGTTCTTATCCTTCAGCTGTCAGCTCAAATCAAACATCAGCTTCCAAGAGAGGCCCCCCAACCCGCACCGTCTAAAGGGGCCACCTACCAGGCTCTCTCTGAGTCATTATCTTCGGAGCACTCAGCATACTTGAAGTGCTTATTCATTCATTTCCTGGCCTGTTTTCTGCCTCTGCCTCTAGAACACGAGCCCTTGAGAGCAGGGATCTTTCTGCTTCAACTTCTAATGAATTTCCATTGCCTAGGACAACGCTTTTCATTAATTAATTAAGTGTTTCCATGTGTGGGTCATCTTGCCGGCCAGCAGTGCTATTGCTGTCTGCATCACATTCCAGAGATGGAACAGGCCTCTTTTCCTGCATCCCCAAGTCTGCCTCCAACACCCTTACCCAGGGCACGTGTGCACATAGCTGACTCTCATGAAGTTTAGGGCCACAAGAAGTCTTTACACCATCATAGCACTCAGCCCGCCTTCCCCGCATTCAGGGCTCTGCTTCCTTAGAACTCAACCTCCCTCTCCTCTCTTACCAACCTCTGGAGACCCACAAAATATTCCTGCTCCACCAAAGGCCACCCACTCCAGGTCCCCTGTGGAGCCGCAGCTCCGGAAAACCTGCAAAGGCTCTGGAATATCCATTGTCCCCCTTGTCTCCCACTGGGTTCTGTGCAGCAAAGGAAGTTGTGCAGAATTTTATCTCCCTGAGACATGAATTACACCACCACCCCCCATCCTCTGCCTTAGAAGCAGAGTGGGAAGTGGAACAGACTGTTTGGGTTTTTAATAATACATTTTTTTCTCTCTATTCTCAAACCATGTCAGTCTACAGTAACCATCCCATGGTAGTATTTCTCCCTTGGAGCCTCCAAGGAGTCTCTTGGGTGCACAGAAGCTGTCTCTCTGGTTTCCAATGGCAGGTGCGACCTTCCTCCTTGTCAGTTCCCCCATGGGCAAGGCCCCAGTGACTTGCTGGAAGCCACTGGGGAGGCTCCGTTGCCAATGCCACCAAGATCACCAGCTGGTACTTCCTTGGGTGAGCGTGAGTTGGGATGACAGCCTCCTCAGGGGCCCCCGGGAAAGGAGTTCTGTTGGGTTCAAATGAGTTTCCCTATTCCAAAGGAGAAATGACTGTTACTTTTAAAATACAGATTGACCCGGATGAGTGGTTAAAATTGCAAGGCAAAGCGAAGAAGTGATTCGGCGCTAATGAGTATTGATTACAGAGAGGAAGCTGGTTAATTGAGTGAGTTGGTAAGTTGGTTGCCAGGGTAACATCTCACTTGGAATAACATCATCCTCACAGTGGGCACATACTGCATCTGGGTAGAGACTAGACTGAGAAGATGAAACATCAAAATGTTGGAAAGTACTGGAGAAAGGAAGTTTAAAGTCTTCCCCGACATAACCAAGGCTATTTTCCTTCTACCAAGAAGATATCCGCACACGAGCCTGAGAACAGAGCCTCTCTCTGCGTTCCATCCATCGTGCGTAGATGCAGGAGAGAAAGCTGAGGCACCGGTCTGTGGTCAATACGCAAGCAGCACATCACCTTTCCACTAGCTAGAAATGGTGGGCGTGGGAGGAAGGAACCATTTTCCTGAGGTTTGAATGAAAAGCCAAGCTTTATTTGCATAGACAGTAATAACAGTTGAGCTTAGAAGAAAAGGGACAGTGTCTGCCTAAGGTTTACATTTCCTCACATTTTGCTTTATGTTTGACCATATTAAAGCTGAAAATAGGCTATTAGAAAGACCAGAGCAAAACTGATGTCCCCATCTAGTAAATATTCAGAACTTTAAGGCAGGTGGTTTCTTTACTAACTTTGCTGTTTTTGTCTTATTGATATAGCCTTAGCCTTCCTTCATCCTCAATTATCTTTACTCTATTATATTCATATAATTTGGTAAGCCACCTCAAATTATTTTTGGAATGAAATGAGACTGTAAGTAATTCTGAAATGTCTAAAAGGTGTTGTAAAAGCAAGTAAATTTTTAATAGAAAAAAAAATTTTTTTAGAGTCTTGCTCTATCACCCAGGCTGGAGTACAGTGGCACAATCTTGGCTCACTGCAACTTCCACCTCCTGGGTTCAAGCAATTCTCCTGCCTCAGACTCCCAAGTAGCTGGGATTACAAGCACGCACCACCATGCCTAGCTAATTTTTTTTTTATTTTTAGTAGAGACGGGGTTTCACCGTGTCAGCCAGGCTGGTCTCAAACGCCTGACCTCAAGTGATCTGCCTGCCTCAGCCTCTCAAAGTGCTGGGATTACAGGCATGAGCCACCACTCCTGGCCGCAAGTCTTGAGGTTTATATCTCACCTTTTAGTTATGCCTACCTGGAGTAGGCATTCCTGATACACCTGTTAATAGTGTTCACCTGATTGCAATGAATAAACCCCAGAGTCAATATCTAAAAAGATATTAAACCTCTATCTGCAACTACCAAGGGAGTGAAACTGTCACAACGCCTGTAAAAAGTTGAGAGGTTGTTTTTCTGAATGGGTGGCATCTGCTTATAGCCTCTGTGGGATGGTTAACAAAAAATAGCTGGGCTCTATCTGCGTGAATTGACATGGATGAGGTGTGATTTAATTATGACCATCAAAATCATGCTGGATTATCACACATCGGGCCGTGAGCAGCTGTCCTCCATTTCCTCTGAGGACAGCAAAAGACAGGAAAGCAACCAGCAGCAGCTCTGTGTCAGAATTCTTAATGCACAGACAACAGTTGAAATAACTTCACTTGTTTTTATTGTTGCACAACAGACTTAGCACCTTGGTGACCAAAATTCCAGGTATTTCTCTATGCACACACACAGACAGATGTTTTTTCTAATAAAATTGAGTTACATTGTGCCTTTTTGAAACTTGTTTTTTTATTTACTTAATATGTCATAAATATCCACACCAATAAGTTACCTTCTTCATCATTTTAAAGGCTATCTAGAAATCCATTCCATGAATGGACCATCTTTTATTTATTCAAGTATTTTTGTACATCTAGGTAGAGGGGTTTTCTTTGTTGGCCTTTTTTAGGGTTATTTTGGAGGGCGTGTTATTATAAACTCCAAAACATCTTTGCAACTATATCGTTGGCACATCCATGATTATTCCCTTTGAATAAATTCTAAGAAGAGAAATTTCTGGGTCAATTTGTATGCAAATTGTAAAGCTTTTCATAGATATTTCCAAATTGCAGAAAGTTTCTAAAATCCAATTTACGTCTAGAAACCATTTTTTCAAGATAATTATTTTAAGTAGACATAGAGAAAAATCAGAAAATAATATGAGCAAAAGTATAAAAGTCAAAATCACTCGCAGCCTCACTGCCCAGGTATGACGTCTGCTACAACCTCCTCTCCCTGTGTCTGTGTCTCTGTCTCTCCCTCGCCCTCTCTTGCTCTCAAGCTCTTTTTGTCTCTCTCTGACTCTGTCTGTCTCTCTTGTTTCTCTAGCTCTCTGTGTCTCTCTCTGTCTCTTTCCCTCTTTTTCTCTCCTGTATCATCTATCTTTATTTATTTATTTATTCTTTTTTTTTTTTTTCCCAGGCTGGAGTGCAGTGGTGTGATCTTGGCTCACTGCAGCCTCTGCCTCCCAGGTTCAAGCAATTATCCTGCCTAAGCCTCCTGAGTACCTGAGATTACAGGCGCCTGCCACCACGCCTGGCTAATTTTTGTATTTTTAGTAGAGACGGGGTTTCACCATGTTGGCCAGGCTAGTCTCGAACTCCTGACCTCAGGTGATCCACCCACCTCGGCCTCCCAAAGTGCTGGAATTATAGGCATGAGCCACCGCACCTGGCCTCCGTATCTATCTTTCTTGTTCTTGTTCTCTGTCTTGCTCTGTCTCTGTCGCTACCTGCCCACCCCCACCTTGTTTTCCTTTCTCTGTCTCACTCTTTCTGTCTCTGCCTCTGTCTCTCTCTTTGATCAAAACTAGGGTCACCCCTCACACGGAGTTTCATAGCCTAGGCAGCACTAATAATATCTCACACTCGGGCAGAGCTTGGGGACTGGCAGGGCATATTTCACATGTTATTATTACCTTTCCCCAGGTGAGACCCTAAGGCTCCATGAAGCCAGTTGTTGTGCCTTGCCCAATGCCCACAGCTCATAAGTGTCTCCAAGTCCAGGACATTCAAGGCTCCAAGCTGTCCCAGTCACCTTCAGAGACATACCCATGCCCCTGATGCACCTGCACGGACCCACATGTGCTGTTTCCCTCGGGGGCCATGTGGTTACAAGGTCAGTCAGGCAGCTCAGCTAAGACAAGGGCTTGGTATAAGCCCCCAGGCTGTCTCCAGGAAGCCCAGGGTCCTACCAGGATGAGGATGGGGACAGGGAAGGAAGCTGCCTCTTGCCTCCCGCTCTGGGCCACAGCCTGCATCCACATCCGCCTGTCCCCAAATGTCTGCTTCTTTCATCTCTCGACACCCCCCTTCACCTGCTTCCTGCACATTGCTTACCATCCAAATCCCACACCCCATGACCTCTACCCTCTTCTTCTCTCTCCTCCCTTTTTATGGGGAACTCATCTGTCAGGCCTTGGCCTCCACCCTCAGTCCAGTGGGGCTGTTCCTCCTTGGACCCCTCGAAGCACCCTCTTCTGACCCCTGGCCTAACGTCCCCACACAGGTTCTAATGGCCAAACTGGCAAAGTTCCTGCTGTTGCCCTCACCTCCAAGGCTGGTGCTCCTGGACTCAGGGTGTGTTCCAGGTGCCTGAAGCATGGCCCACACCAGAAAAAGGTAAGCACAGGTGTGTTCCTGGCTCCAACAGCCCTCCTCCCCTCCTCTCCTCTCCTTTCTTCTCTTTTCCTTTTCCTCTTTTCTCCTCCCAGCTGCTCTTCCACCCCTCCTTTCCCTTCCTCTTATCCTCCCATCTCTGTCTACACTTCCTCCTTTGATCTCACCAAGCCCCATGGCTTTAGTTGTCATGTCTACACTGTCAATAACCAAATTTGTATCTGCTCCCAGGCATCTTGGACACAACACATCCCAAAGCAAGCTCTGGATCTTCTCCCCTGAAAAAGCCAGTTGTCTAGCATCCCACCCCCAGCACCATCTGAGTCTCCCCATCCCAGTAAGCAACATCATCACCCACCTGGTCGCTCAAGGCAGAAAAGAGGAGCTATCCTTTCTGCCTTCTTGTTTCCCACCCGCTACTTACAAGTCCCTCAGCGAAGTCTGTCTACACTGTGTCCAAACCAGTCAAGCTCGGAAGCTTCCCTCCCCGGCCATGGCCAGCACCATCTCCAACCGGGACAACTGCATGTCCTCCTGGCCCCGTCATGCCCCTCTGCTACCCGATCCCCATACAGCATCCAGAGGGAGCTGCTTCTCACATGTGAGGTCAACTCACTCTCCTGCCTAGCACCCTCTGATGGTTTCCACTGCCCTTAGAATAAACCATGCCCCCTATCCCAGCCCACGAGGCTCTGCGTGATCGGGCCCCTGCCTGCCTCTCTGGCTCGTCCCAGGCCTCTCTCCCCCTCACTCACCACCTCAAAGCTCCTCTGACCCTTCTGCCTCTGAGGACACACCAAACCCATTCCCACCTCAAGGCCTTTGTCCCTGCCTGGGTCTCTCTTCCCTCTCGTAGCTGGCTCTTCCCATTATGCGGCTCTCTCATCCTTGTGTGTCATTTGCTCAGAGAGATTGTCCCTGAGCACTCATCCTCTTTAAGAACATCGTCCCCACCCATCACCCTCTATCTCAACACTCTACTTACAATGCGTTGTATTATTATTTGCTCTTTTTACCCATCTCCCCCAGTAGGTGCTCTGTAAGGGCAGAAACCAGGTCCTCACACCATCGGTGCATGATAAAAATTAACTGACCAAATAACACGGTGGTACCCTCTTCAAGGCAACTTCGGAGTCAGACATGCCTACGTTCTCCTTCCTGCTCTGCCACATGTGTGACCCTGGACAGGGTCCTCCATCCTCTTGGCCTCAGTGTCTTTGCCAGCAAACTGGGAATAAGAATCCTGTGTCATGGGGTTGTCATAAGGGGGAAATGAGATGACGTAAGTGCAGTTCTTAGCATAATAAATGCATTCAAAGCAAATAAAAAGTGCTCAGTAAATGCAGATATTATTAAGCATATTTGTTGGATGAACAAGCAATCCCATAAAGCACGTGTTTAGAGACGTGGAACCCAAGACTCCGGAAGAGGGAGCGACTTGTTCCAGGTTGCGTGGCTACAAAGTGTCAAGTCAGGGTCACCTCCCAGGCCAGTCCGAAAGCAAGCCTCAGGGCCTGGAGATCCTCTGAAACAGGGCGTACCTGGGGCATGGTGTGCACATGGTGGAGTGAACAGATCAGAACTCAGAGAATAGCTGGGCCAGGGAGAAACAGAGTGAAGAGAATGCAGCACCAGGACCAAAACAGACCAGGACACCGAAACAGAATGGGCAGGACATTGAGCAGCAGCCATGTAAAGACTTGCTCTCAATTTGCCTAAATATGAGAGAATTGTGGGTCTCTGTGTCCTGGATTGATGCGGGATCCTGAAGCCACTCAATGGCCTCTGCATGCCAGAATCCCATCCTGCTGCCCTTCAGGACTCTCCCTGCCCCTGCCAAGGTGGAGGGGTGGGTGCTCAGACAGCAGAGTGACCACCCGGGCACCTCCTCGGGATGCTGCGGCCAGGGGACGCAATGCATCAGCAGGTGGGCTGGGGTCCAGGCCCATCCTGGAAAAGGCCGGCTGCAAGTTTCCATGGAGCCCGTCGCCATGGTAACCAAGCCTCCGCGGCAGGACTCCAGCAGAGCCAGGAAAGACAAGCTCCTTTCTTGTCCATATCCCAGGAGCCTGCAGGAGGGGGGCGGAGGGAAGTGGGGACAATCAGGCTTTCTGAACCAGGATGGGGGTGGGGGCAGAGAGAAGCGGAGGCTGTCTTCCTGCTCAATGGGTCAGCTATAAACTGCCAGAACGTGGCACCCTATTTCACGCCTCTGTGATTTGCTCGTGCTCTTCTCTCCCCTGGAATGCCCTCCCCCACCCTTGTCTCCCTGGAGCGCTCCCAGCTGTCATCTGTGCCTCACTGACCCTTCTGGGCAGAGTCAGTCCTTCCCTCCTCTGGTCACCTTTCACATATCCCCAGGGTGTCTGGCTCACCCACAGGCTTGGGGCGTGTGGTGGTGGTAAGAGCACAAGCTCTGGAATCAGGGAGATCTGAGTCACATCCCAGCTCTGCCATGAACATGTCAGTGACTCTAAGTAAGCCACTTATCCTCTCTAAGCCTCTACTTCCTGCTCAATGGGTCAGGACTCACTGAGCTCAATGCTCAATGGGTCATTCCTCATCTGCCATCTTCCAGCTGTGTGATCTTGAGTAAGTTTCCAAACCTCTCTGAGGCTCAGTTTCTTCTTCTGAAAAGTGAGGTGATGTCCGTGAGGTGCTTGATGCACACCTTGCATGTAATAAATGTCACTGATTGTTCTCATGTGTAGTGAGCGCTTCCTCTCTGCCCCCTGGGGAGTGGACTTCCAGTCCCTGCCAGGCCTGGTTTATCCCCGAGCTTACACTCAGGCTCCCAACCCCTATACTAAGCCCTCCCCTCTGCCAGGAGTCCTGGCCTGGCATTGTCCATGCCTTTCAGAGTAGGGTCTTTGAGAGGCACGAACTTTCCCTGCCCAGAGCAGGGACTGGCACACCACACAGAGCTGACATTTCCAGTCTGACATCTGAGAGCAAGCATTGTGAAGGAGAATAGATTCCACGAGAGCTTCCTGACAGCAGGGTCAGCCTTTGGGCTGCGTGTGTGTGTGTGTGTGTGTGTGTGTGTGTGTATGGCTGTCAGCAAACGCTCTAACATGCACACACAAACACATATGTGTACTCATGTCCTCACAAATTCACACACACACACCACACACAAAACTGACCTGGGAAAATGCAAAGATGTCCCTGATCACTGTGGTCCATGTCCCGGAGACCAGCCCATGACCCCATTTCTTCCCAAACTCCTCCCTCTGGAGCCCAACCCTGAGGCTCTCTGTTGTTTATGGAGCAGGTGAGGGATGACGACATGACCCTTCCTGGTCTCATCATCCGGGGACTCAACTGGGGGAAGTGAAAAGGCCAGGTCACCATCCGGACAACTGGTCTACCTATCCACAGGTCTCCAAGTCCACCTGTGGCATTTGGATACCTGGGATCATGCAGTCAGCATCCTTGCCCCCACTGCTGCTGAGCAGGCCCAGCTATGGACTGTCAAACTGCCCACACCCTGCTGCTACCTCCCTTTGAGTTCCCTGGCCCAGGCTAGGGTCTCAGACCCCCCAGCCCCTTTGTTCCATCCTGGGCATCAGAGTCCACAAGGTCAGGCCATATGCCCTGTCTCCCTGGTCTCCAAACCATCCTGAGATGCAGGCAGGGGAGGTGGTCACCTCCTTCAAACCTTGAGGCTGATCAATGCCAGCTGACATTTATTGAGCACTTACCCTATGCCAGCCACTGTGCTAAGCACCATACCTGTATTTCTTCCTCCACCCTCATAATAACACTCTAAGGGAGGTGATCTCATCATCCCCACTTTGCAGATGGGGAGACTAGGCACAGAGGTGTTCAGAAGCACAGCTAAGAGGGTGTTCCAATGGGAATTAAAACTCAGGCATTCTGGATGCACGGCCCAAACTACATTGTGTCTACTCAGCCACACTGACCTGGGCACAGCTAGAATGTGAGGGGACTCAAAAAGTGACATCCCAGTTCCCCTCCTGAGTTTAGAACATGCCGGTGACAGTCAGATGGTGGGCAGAATAATGCCAGCTCCATTCATTCGTTTGAGAAATATTTACTGAGCACCTACTATGTGCCTGCACTAAGCACTGGGGATCTCGCAATAAAAAAAGAAAACAAAAAAAAAACCTTGGTCCGATGGAGTGATGATTTTGGTGGGAAAGACACAATAAACAAGGTAAGTAAATGAAATAAAATGTGTTAGTAGTAAGTGCTAAGGAGAAGAAAAGCAGGGAAAGGGGAATGAAATGTCAAGGGGTTGGTGGGGGGAGGGGGTGTTGCAATCATAAGAAGCCAAGAGCGTGATACTTGAGTTAAGACCTAAGCGGCTAAGTATGGTCATGCATTCATCTGGAGGAAGAGCATTCCAGGCAACGGCCGTGAGGCAGGAGCTGGCCTGAGGAGCTCAGAATCAGCACAGCCATTGTAACTGGAATGGAGTGAGAGGGAGGGGCACAGGGGAAGTAAAGGTTAGAAGAGGCCAGAGGGGACCGGGATCGAGATGGTGAGAGCTCTCCAGGTTGCCATGAGGAATCTGGCTTGTGCTCAGGTGAGTTGGAAAGCCAGTGATGTGAAGTGATGTCACAGACAAAGCTGCCTGGAGGAGGCGGCTTTAGCCAAATGGGCTTGTGAATACCCCCGCCCCTGAATTAGACTCATCCTCTCTGTCCCTGGCAGTGCTGGACAAGCACAGACCTCCCCAGGGGGCAAAGCCAGCCTGCTGAGCTCAGCTGCTACTGAAGAACCACCCAGAACATAAGCCCCTCTGCAGGCAGGCTGCACTGAGGACATAGGCTATGCCCAGTGGGAGGCAAGCTGAACAGGTCCCTCACCCCACACTCGCCCATCAGCTCCGTGGGCAGGAGTCAGGGAGGGACAGAGAGAGGCCAGGCATGTTCGTGGTGGATGCCTTTCCACATTTGGTTATTAAAAGGCAAGAAATGAGTCTGGTCCAGGCATCTGAAGGCGGGGAGTCTGTCTCAGGCTGAGCATGCACAGGCTTTGATTCTTCATTAATGTCAGCATGGCCACCAACTCCCTCGACAAGAATAACAACCCCTCATGTCTGCAGAGAAGTATACATTCTGTCATGTGCTTCCCAGTTGAAGGAGGAGAAACCAAAGGCCCACAGTCCCAGAGATAAGTGGTGGAGCTGAGGTTTAAGCCCAGGTCTGTCCCACTCCATGGCCAGTGGCTCTTCCATATACCCCAGCTGATAACTAGGGTAGCATTAGCATTTCAGCTGCGCCAGCAGCACTATCTATATTTGGAAGTTGTATGGGAAAACTTACAAGATGAAAGACCTTTTAAGGTATGTGCATTTTTACCACAATAAAAGTATAAATACAGCAATAATAAAGAATAGTAAATATAAAATAGTACCCTGTTGTCTACATTTATCAGTAATCTTGTGTTGTTCACAATGATGGTGGCTACCGTTTGGAGTGCTGACTCCGTGCTAGGTGCTAGGTGCCGCGCCAAACACTGTGCATCTCCCTACCGACGTGTGGGGCAGGAGACCCCTGGGAGACATCTCCCCTCATTTTCTAACCTTTGAGTCTGCAACTCTCAGATGTTTCTTGGGATACCTTAGAGGACCAATGATCTCAAAGAGCTTTCCCTTCCCCATGCCTCTCTTCTTCCTTACAACATCTGGACAGAGGAGCAGCTGGGCTCCCAGAGGAAGCGCAAGACCTGCAGCCCCTCCACTGACAAGGTCAGGGCTCAGGGTCTCAAACAGAATCCAAGACTCTTTCTCTGCTTGGCCAAAGGTCAGAGGAATTAGCCTTGGAGTAACTAGTTTATGAGGCCTTGGACAGGTCACGGGAGTTCCTCATTCTAGCAAATGGAGGTGAGTTATTGGTATTAGGTTGCTCTGAGGTCTAAATATGAGAATACATATAAAGCAGCTGAGGATAACAAAAGGTATGGTTATTAGGGGGCAGGAATTGGTCCCTATTCATGTCAGGGAATAACAGAATGCAGCTTACAGCAGTGGTTTTCAAAAAAGCACACATTGTCCTTTCAGCCACTAGATTGCTGGTTCTCAAGCTTTAGCCCCTGGGGGAGGGGGAGCTGTTGAAACAGACTGCTGGCCCCACTCCCCTGGAGTTTCTGATTCTGCAGCTGCTCTGGCGTGGGGCCTGAGAATTTGCATTCTCAGACGTTCCCAGGTGATGCTGATGCGGCTGGTCTGGAGTCCAGGCTTTGAGAAGCACTGCCCTTGATCACCAGTTCTCAACTGTGGCTGCACCTTAGCGTGGATCAGGGGGATGCCTCAGCCAGCTCTGAGTCCTGGGTCACACTCTTGGAGATTCTGAGGGTACAGCTCCGACACTGGGAGTTTTCCAAGCTCCCAGTTGATTCTAATGTGCAAGCCCAAATTGAGAACCGCTGCCCTGAGTAGAGGGAGGAGAGCTAAACGGGCCTCCTCGTTGAGTGGGCCCGCCTGTAGCATCTGCCACAACCACCAGCCACTAAGAGCAGGCAGCTGTGGGGAGGGGTTTGAGAAAGCCCTATCATTGCTAACAATAATAAAAGCTAACATTTCTGAAACGTTCACATGGGCCAGGCACTTTCTTCAATACTTTATATCTAATAGTTCATGAAATCCTCATAACAACCCCATGAGATGATAATGGTATTATTTGCAGTTTACATTTCAGCCTGATATACAAGGAAGTCGGGTCACTTATCAAAGGTCAAACAGCCAGAAAGCAATGGAGTCAGGATTTGAAAACAGCATACCCACCTCATTTCTTTTTTTGAAACAGAGTCTCGCTCTGTTGCCCAGGCTAGAGTGCAGTGGAACCATCTTACCTCACTGCAACCTCCACTTCCGGGTTCAAGTGATTCTCCTGCCTCAGCCTCCGGAGTGGCTGGGACTACAGGCACATACCACCACACCTGGCTAATTTTTGTATTTTTAGTAGAGACAGCATTTCCCCATATTGACCAGGCTGGTCTCGATCTCCTGACCTCAAGTGATCTGCCCGCCTTGGCCTCCCAAAGTGCTGAGATTACAGGTGTGAGCCCCCACACCTGACTGGGTCCTAGTTCTTGACCACTGGGCTAAGCAGAATGTATTTATGATTAATTATTGTGAAATTAAAAAAAAGGTTTTGTGGGAGAAAAACTCATTTTGTGTCTACTCTTTGCTCTGGAAGCTTTTCAGGGGCATTGGGCCAAATATGATACAATGCTGACTTTAAAATATCTGATTTACCTTTTCCAAAGCACATTTGCAGATGTGATCTTATTTTGACAGCCCCAACAACATGATCTCTCTCTACCACTCTTCCCTCAACCCCTGCTCCAGTGAAATAAACAACTTCACCATTCATTTCAACTCACCCAACATTTACTAAGTATGTACTTTGTGCCAGCCACCAGGCTACAGCTTGAGGACATAGAGATGTCAAGACCGTGAGACTCAGAGAGGCAGTGACCTGGCCAGGGGTGAGTTAAAGGCAGAGCCTGGGCCCGGCTCATCTAATGCTCTCATCTTGGAGGAGCTGAGGGATGAACAGGAAAGGAAGGTGGTCCTGCAGGAGCTGCAACAGTGTTCTTGCCTGCTTTGGGACTGGCATGGCCTCTGATGGCTCCTGGAGAAAAGACTCCAAGTTGGGAGCTGGCAGGAATTAGAAGAGGGGCATGAATGCCCAGGCTTAGAGCAAGAACTTATGAGCTCCTGCTCAGACAAAAACCTTGGCCCAGCTCCTTCTGGCCTCCACGTACCCTCACCCCTTCTCTACCCCCAGGCAGGCAGCTTTCCTATCTAAAAGGGCAATTACTCCAAGCAACCAGGAAGGCCAGAACCAGGGGACAAATTTCCCAACATGACTCTGGTCTGGACTTTAACCTTCAAATGACAGTCTATTCACAATCCTTGTGTCTGTTCACAATGTTAACATGTAAATGTGAACATAGTCAATAACCACAATTTTTGTTACCCTGTTAGGGCACATCTCTTTTTTTAACCATATCCAGAGGCCTTAAAAAACAGAAGTGGTCCAGGTCACTCTCCACCTCTGACAGGCTCTGCTGAGAGATCAGGGGACAGTGGCCCAGAGAGGAATGACTTGCCCGAGGTCACACAGCAAGCCAGTGTCAGAATCCACAAAAACCCAGGACTTCTGACTCCTACCCAGGTCTCCTTGGGGTTCAAAAAGACCCCCTCACCAGAGAAACCTGCTCGTAAATGTCCCAGTTCTTTCTTTTTCCTTTATTTATTTATTTATTTATTTTTTTTTTTTGGGACGGAGTCTCGCCCTGTCGCGCAGGCTGGAGTGCGGTGGCGCGATCTCGGCTCACTGCAAGCTCCACCTCCCGGGTTCACGCCATTCCCCTGCCTCAGCCTCCCGAGTAGCTGGGACTACAGGCGCCTGCCACCACCCCAGCTAATTTTTTGTATTTTTAGTAGAGACGGGGTTTCACCGTGTTAGCCAGGACGGTCTCGATCTCCTGACCTCGTGATCCACCTGCCTCGGCCTCCCAGAGTGCTGGGATTACAGGTGTGAGCCACTGCGCCTGGCCATGTCCCAGTTCTTAAGCAGCTCATGTCTACTTACAGCGTCAGCCACCACCTTTATGCAGGCCACCCCAGCCCAGACCTCTCCCACCCAGCCCCACCCAGAGGTCTCACAAGCATCTCAGATGCTGAGGCTCCAACTCTGAACTAACCACCTTTCCCTTGAAATCTACCCCACCCGTATTCCCTCTCCCCCAACCTTTAGTTGCTCAAGCCAGAAACATAGGTGTTACCCCAAGCAGATTCCTCTCCATCACCCCCACAACCTCCAGTAAACCAGTAGGGCCCATCACTTCTACCTGTCCTTTACCTTTCTTGAACCCATCCCTTTTCCTCTCCCTTCCACCACCACATGAAGACGACCTCATCATTTCAGCCCTCATCCATCAGAACCTCTCCCCTTCAGTTCACGCTTTTCTTCGACAAGTGTGTGAACACTCACTGTGGGCCTGGCACTCTACCCTGGGCTGGGGTGCAGCATTGAGCAAGACAGCCAAGATTCTGTCACCGGCATGACTGCACGAAAACCACTTTGACCACACTTCTCCCTTGCTCTGATCCCTGGGTGGCTGCAAACTGCCCCTGAGTTCAAGTGCAAACTCCCTCATGCAGGTATTCACATTCCTGGACCTTCCAACCACCCCTGATCCTTCCAGATGGGTCTGTCATTGTGCCCTGCCCAGGCTGATCCAAACAAGCTTTTGGCCATCCTCCCAAACACCAGCTCAAAGACCCCCTCCTCCACAAAGCTTCCCTGCCTGAGTCAAGCACCCCACCTGGCAGGGTGAGTTTTGCCTTCTTCTGGAATCCCATTGAAACCCAGGATTTGTGTGCCTGCCTCCCAGACTGGGCTGTGATTCCAGGCGCTCAGGGGACTGAGCCATCGCCAAGCCCAGAACCTGGCACTGATGGGCATCAATGTGTTGTGTTGATGGATGGACAGACAGAGGGGTGGGTAGAGCAAAGTCCAACTGCCCTTTTCATTCACTCGGCCCAGTGCCTATGCCTTTGTAGTTTTCTGGAAGTCCCTCCAGCTGTCTAACCTCCCCTGCTGGCATTATGGAAGCTCATGCCCAATTGTTCTCTAAATCTGTCCCCTTCCCTTCCCCAAAGCCCAGACCGTCCTGCCTTTCCCTTGACTGGGCAACAAGTCAACAAGAACAAAGGTCTGGTGAGGCCAACCAGGGAAAGGCCAGCCCGGGCCTCTCGGGATCTCAAGCCCTCGGCCTGTGTGTGTGCCAGAGCTTCCCACAGACTCGGGAAGAAGGTGCCGGAGGCTTGCCGGGCGGCCTTGCGGTTTGAAGCAGTGAGTCACCTTCTGGCTGCAAGTCAAGGAACTCTCACTGCGCCCTTGTTTGGACAAGACGAGGAGGCGCACTCAGAGTCAGAGACCCCGGGGCAGAGACAGGGGCAAGAAGAAGGGGCCACCGAGACCCCAAGAGAGTCAGGGAGACAGACGCACCAAACGACCGACACAACCAGGGACAGGTACGGCACGCAGAGAGAGAGGAGAAGGACAGAGGTAGCCAGCCCAGAACTGAGAGGGAGAGCGGGGAGCGCAGGGAGAGGAATCGCGCCGCCGGTGTAGACAGCTGGGCTCCCTGCGCATGCTCTGTCCTCCCCCTCGCGGCTCCCACCGCAGGCCCGGACCCAGAAGTGGACAAAAATGGAGCCAATGGGCTTCCAGACCGGGACATTACCTCACCAGCACCGGCTGCCATTGGCCGGCGCCCCCGCCGGGGCGGGCTGTTGCTATGACAGCCCAGGCCGGCGTTGCAGAGGGATGTTCGGAGGAAGCTCCGGGCGGGAGAGCCGCGTCCACTCCTCTTTCCAGACTATGATGGGGCCCAGGGACCCCTCCCCTCCGACTGAGCCCCATAGACCCCCTACTCAGGCCAGAAGGGGAAAGCTGAGCTCCTGCTGGCCCAGGCATCAGAATTCCTGTAAAGACGCCCATTCGGCCCTCTCCCTCAACCTGGCCCACAGTCCCTTGCCAAGACCACCCCGCCCCCACAACCTGGAACCACACACTCATCCATACACCCTGCAAACAGCAATGAGCACCCTCCAGCATCCAGGTGCACCTGGGCTCTGCAGACGCAAAGATGAGTCCACCTCCACCCCTGCCCTCACAAAGCCCCCCACCCCCACAGTCTGATCAAGCAAGCAGTCCAGGAGAAAATGGCAAGGCAGTGTGTTAAGGATTAAAATAGAGGGAGCACGGAGGTTGTGGGAACACAGAGGAGGGGTCCCTATCCAACCTACCGAATCAGGAGGACTGCTGGGAGAAAGGGATACAGAGCCAGGACCTGAAAGAGCCAGATGAGGAACGGTGGGGAAGGGATTCTCAGCAGAGGGGACAGCCTGCGCAAAGACTGGAGGCAGTAAAAAGCAAGGAACACTCGAGGCACTATGGCAGGAAATTAGATGGTGGGGTTCGGGGTGTTGGAGAGGAGGAGGAGTTTAAAGTAAAGCTGAAAGGGGAAGCAGGAACAAGATCCCAAAGGGCTTGAATGTCGTGCTAAGGGATCTTGGACCACATTCTCAGGCAGTTGGGGGATGGAAGGGGAGAGGGCTATGATTAGGTTTGCATTTTAGGAAGATCTCCACTCTTGCAGCTGTGTGGAGGATGGGCTGGAGGGGACTAGGAGACCAGTCATTGCAGGGACTGGGGAAAGTCAGGGCAGGGGGGACTAAGGCTACCCGAGCTGGAGTAGAGATGGAGAGACCCAAACTCAGGAGGAGGTGTAAAGGACGTGGAGCCATAGTTCAGGTGACTGAGGAGATGGCACCAACTCACCTGGGAGGCTCTGAGGGCTTCTCTGGCAGCCAGATAGGATCACCGCTCTCCTTCCATATGATATTTGTGTCAGCTTGTGTATGCAACTTTCGTTTCAAGAATCATGCTGCATTGAAAAGATGTCTATCTCTTTTCACATCTCCCCACCCTCTACACACACACACACACACACACACACACACACACACACAGAGGCTGTGATTCACCTCCGTTCCCAGCACTCAACACAGAGCTTCATCCCAAGTACGCTTCCACAAATCCAAACCCCCATCAGCCCCCTCCCCATTACCCTTACCCCAGCCTCCACCCACCCCTCCCAGCCTCTGCACTTCCTTTCCAACCTCCATGCACCTGCTTCCCATCTCTTTAGTCATGTCGTAGCCACCACCTAGGAGCTGGGACTGCCCCCCTGCTCACCATGTCTGCCCTTCCTATCACCCCTCAGCAGGGAGGAAAAGTTGCCTATCTGTTGGGTCAGATTTCTGAAGACTGATGAGGCCCATTTTCTGGTAAGCGGGGTCATTACAGTGCAATCATTGGGTTGTTATGAGAATTAAATAAGGTTTGTTGCCTGGCACATGTAACTATCCAATCAATCAGCTATAGTAATGGCATTATTATGGGTGTTAGAGGAGGATGGAGAGGGCTGGTGAGGACTCCAGTGTGGCATAGCCCTGCTTTGGGATACCGGTGTTTGCTTCACTCATTACAGAGTGGTGTCTTGACTTCTCATTTGTCACACGTACTTGTTATTCACTCTCTCGAGGAAAAACATGAAACAAAGTAGATGGTGGGACAAGAGTCCTGGGTTTTTATTTTTATTATTATTATTATTATTTTTGAGACAGAGTCTCACTCTTGTCACCCAGGCTGGAGTGAAATGACATGATCTCAGCTCACTGAAACTTCTGCCTCCCAGGTTCAAGCAATTCTCCTGCCTCAGCCTCGCGAGTAGCTGGGATTACAGGTAGGTGCCACCAAGCCCGGCTAATTTTTGTATTTTTAGTAGAGATGGGGTTTTGCCATGTTGGCCAGGCTGGTCTCAAACTCCTGACCTCAAGTGAACCACCTGCCTCGGCCTCCCAGAGTGCTGGGATTACAGGCATCAGCCACCATGCCCAGCTGAGTCCTGGATTTTTGTCATAATACCACATGAATACCGTCAAACTCTCACGGAAATCCCTGATGCAGTGGTTACAGATGTCCTCTCCCAATGAATCAAGACAGGACAATTGAGTGGCTTCTTAAATGTCAAAAGAATCAACTCAGATCTTCCAATTAAGGAACCTTCAGGATGTCAGAGCTGGCAATGCCCTTAGAATCCTCTTATTCAACCTTTGGTTTGACATATGAGGAAACTGAGGGCCAGAGAAGGCAAGTGACTGCTCAGAGTCACACAGTTGGGTTGACCAGCAGAACCAGAGTCTTTTTAGGCACCCAGTTTCCCCCTCACTGCACTTTCCCAAATCCGGTCTGTCTTGCAACTGAACAGTGACTAGAACCTCCTCTAGCCAGGGCACATGTAGGCCCTTCACATACTGTTACATTAAACATTCACGACAGCCCTGCAGGATGGCTATTGTTAATCCTATCTGAAAGGTCCAGAGAGAGAAAGTATCTCCTCCAAGACCACACAGTGTTACTGAATTGAACCCAGGCCTGTCAGGTTCCAAGGCCCATGTTCTTGGCATAGCAATGTGTTGACTCTAGGACTGCTCAGGTGGTTTATTTAGAACTTGTGGGCATCAGAGTGATTTGCCAATATAATCACTAAAAGAAGAGGTGAATCTGCTACTTGATGAAAACAAAAGAGGGCCTAGAATCTTCTGCACATCAGTGCTTCATGTACCTGCCCTGTTGTGTGGAAGCGCTCCTCTAAAAGCAGTAGGAGTCAAAGGGTTATGCCCCATCTGAGGGTATAGAAGAGAACCAGCTAGGCTTGGGCATATTTTCTGAGTGAGGCACCACCACCCAAGTTCTCTGAGTAGAGGGTCCTCGGAAGGAGACACAGGAGAGTGTGTTTTTATTTTTATTTTTATTTTGAGATGGATTCTCATTCTGCTGCCCAGGCTGGAGTGCAATGGCATGATCTTGGCTCACTGCAACCTCCACTCCCAGGTTCAAGCGATTCTCCTGCCTCAGCCTCCCAAGTAGATGGGATTACCAGTGTCTGCCACAATGCCCAGCTAATTTTTTGTATTTTTAGTAGAGACACGGTTTCACCATGTTGGCCAGGCTGGTCTTGAACTCCTGACCTCAAGTGATCTACCCACCTCCGCCTCCTAAAGTGTTGGGATTACAGGCTAGAGTATGTTTTAATGAGGTCTCTGCATGAGTATGGATCTTGAAGTGATCATAGGTTCAGGATCTCTTGCAGAAAGGGCCAAGTGGGTGATATCTATAAGGACAAATCAACTGCATTAACTTCATTGTCACTGGAGGCTCCCACAGCACAGTGCCCTACAGCCTTTTCCAGCCTTTGATGGAGGAAGGGCAGTGTCCCTCAGCACTGGAAGAGATGCCATCCTTTATAGCAAAAAAATGGATTGTTCTACATCTTCAAGAGGTTCTATTTCTAGCTCTAGAAAACACTATGACTGTTGATCAGCAAAAAATTTTGCTGTATCTGGCTCTGGAAATATCTCTGTCCTTGGCTCTGGAAAATGTTCCAGAGACATTTATAGTCCCACAACATTGTTGGCTCTAGGGAAAACTCCATGGCTCCAGAGGACTTTCTGCTCCTAGTTTTGGAATTCTGCAACCTGTTTCTGGAAGACCCTTCCTCACCGGTTTTGCACTGTCCTGCCCTCCTGGCTCCAGATTATCCAATCCCATTTCTGGAGGACACTCTGACTGTGAAGCCAAAGAACTCTCTATACATGGCTCTGGAGGGCTGATTCTCTGTAAAGATGGAGAACCACTTGACTGGCCTGGAAGACTGACTGTCCATACTCTTCTTCCAAGATCTGGACTTGACATCCCTGGCCCAAAAAGATTGACTATATAGGGACCTGAAGGGCCTCTCTAGCTGACATGCTGTAATATCATATTTCACAAGTGCTGTCTTGACCCAGTTTTGAGATCCTGGCTAAAACCTCTCAATTCCTCCTTGTGGGCACTTTGCTCAGCCTACACCTTAACCCCTCCAAACTCTAGGCATGGAGCTGTCTGTGCCCCTGGATCTAGACAACTCTTTGGAATAACCTTCATTCCTGGCTTCTGGAGTAGGAGGGGGAAATTTGGATAGATTGGAGGGATGGGAAGGTAAGAGGAAGCACGGAATGGTTGCTGTGGCATCTGTTCTGATCAGCAACCTGAGCTGGATTTAAGTTCCATGGTCACAGGTTAGCGGCCACAATTGTTCAAATTTCATTTACATGAGCAGCCTGATGAGGTTCTGGGTTCAACAGGAAGAACTAATTTTGGTTCTGCAGTGCATGAGGCCTAGAGTGGGGGAAATGGAAGCTGTTCTCCCCATAGCTGTTGACCCCAGCAAGGTTCATGGAGTCTGAAGGTGAGGCATACTGGCCAAGATGTGCAGCATGATGGGCCCCGGCCAAGCCACTTTATGGCCAAAAACATGGACAAGCGGAGCCAGGGCAGAAAAGAGGGCACATGACAAAATTCCCATGAGGTCTGCAGTCAGGGCCATTCAAAGGCCTTTCTTACCGTGCCAAACACCCATACCCCATTCCTGGCCTTCTACATTCCTCCTGGAATCACCAGCCCTAGAAGTTTAAAAATTGCATCTCCCGGCCAGGCACAGTGGCTCACACCTGTAATCCCAGCATTTTGGGAGGCCGAGGCAGGCAGATCACGAGGTCAGGAGTTCGAGACCAGCCTGACCAAAATGGTGAAACCCCACCTCTACTAAAAATACAAAACTTAGCCGGCCATGGTGGTGCATCCCTATAATCCCAGCTACTCGGGAGGCTGAGGCAGGAGAATCGCTTGAACCCGGGAGGCAGAGGTTGCAGTGAGCCGAGATCGCACTACTGCACTCCAGCCCGGGTGACAGAGTGAGAGTCTGTCTCAAAAATAAAAAAAAATTACATTTCCCAGATATCCTTCGAGTTGGATTTCGACTGGGTTCTGCCAGTGGGATGTATCCATGCGAGATTCTGGAACTAACATCAGAGAGAGTCCAAGCTTCTAACTTTTATCAGCGGCAGTGACAATAGTCAAGCAGCATTGATGGTGAGTACAGGCTTGTGAGCCCAAAATGACATCACATTTCTTTTTCACTCCACTGGTCCTTCCAACGTTTCTATAACCAATTCCCTAAATTAAATCACTTTGTCTGATGTACCTAGAGTGGTTTCTGTTTACCTGACACTTATCGAAGATTTATGAGTGCCTACTGTGTTCTAAGATGTTCTAAGAACTAGGACTGTGAGACTGAACAAGAGTGGAATAGTGGATGGGGTCAGAGAGATTGGCAGAAGCAAAGCCATACAGGACCTTTTAAGCCATAGGAAGAAGTTTGGGTTTCAGTCTGATTTCAATGCTAAGAGCCTCTTATTCAGGGAAGGGAAGGATGTGATTTATGACTTGGGCTCTATGACAGATGAAGTCTAGCAGGCTGTAATAGAAAGGAGGGAGAGAGGGGGCTATTTGAAGACTTCAAGCTGGAGATGACAGACTGAAGCTGGTGGGGAGGGGTTTACTGTTATAACATTAGGGTCTGATGATGGTAGGACGGACACACTGACCTCTGATGAGATGAAAAGCAGAACTCTATTACTTACAGCATCAAGTGGGAGAAAGTTGCCATGCGGGGCCGTGTCCCTACATGCAACCCCCTGGTTGCACCCAGGACAGGGGAACAGCAAGCTGGAATGTAGGAGGCAGCTTCTCTATGGCAAGTGGAGTGGGGTTAGCAGGTGTAGGGGCTTCCTGTGGGTTGGGAATTTTGAGTGATTTCACAGACCCAAGGAAGAAGTATTCATCCCTTGATGTTTAGCAAATAATTCCTGGAAGTTGTGTGTATTGTTGTGACCCAAGAGTGTTAGAGCCCAGTAAGGAAAGGGGTTGGGGTGCAGGCTGAGCAAAGTGCCCGCAAAGAGGAATTGAGAGTTTTTCGCCAAGATCTCAAAATTGGGTCAAGAGAGCCCTTGTGAAATATGGTATAACAGCGTGCTAGCTAGAGAGCTGTGGGCGTGATCAGGATCTGCTTTAGAGGTAGAGCTGACGGGACTTCCAATGGACTGGACGTGAGAGAAAGAGGAATCTTGACCATGGACTTCCAGAATCAGAGGGCTCTGATTTTGAAACCATGCTTCTCATCAGATACAAATAAAGATGTTTGATAACTTTTTTTTTTTTTTTTTGAGACGGACTCTCACTCTGTTACCAGGCTGGAGTGCAGTGGCGGCATCTCGGCTCACTGCAACCTCCACCTGCCAGGTTCAAGCAATTCTCCTGCCTCAGCCTCCCGAGTAGCTGGGACTACAGGCACAAGCCACACACCCAGCTAATTTTTGTATTTTTAGCACAGACGGGGTTTCACTATGTTGGCCAGGATGGTCTCGATCTCTTGACCTCGTGATCCGCCCCCCTCGGCCTCCCAAAGTACTAAGATTACAGGTGCGAGCCACTGCGCCGGGCCGTTTGATAATCTTTTAAAAACTTATTCAAATAAATGAAGGGCTAACAAGATAGTAAGAAATAACCAGGGCTAGCTGGAAGGAAATATATAAGAACCCAGAGAGGAAAACGATCATAGAAGCCACTTTTGCCCTGAGAACACTGACCAAGAATAATGAAGAACAGGCACAAACAATATCAAAAATAAAGGGTGGGTGCATCACCACCGATGCTATAGACATCAAAAAGAAGAGAATGTGGGCCGGGTGCGGTGGCTCACGCCTGTAATCCCAGCACTTTGGGAGGCCGAGGCGGGCAGATCACGAGGTCAGGTGATCGAGACCACGGTGAAATCCCGTCTCTACTAAAAATAGAAAAAATTAGCCGGGCGTGCTGGCGGGCGCCTGTAGTCCCAGCTACTCGGGAGGCTGAGGCAGGAGAATGGCGTGAACCCGGGAGGCGGAGCTTGCAGTGAGCCGCGATTGCGCCACTGGACTCCAGCCTGGACAACAGAGCGAGACTCCGTCTCAAAAAAAAAAAAAAAAAGAGAAGAGAATGTGATGAAAAACTGCATGCCAATACATTTGAAATTTTAAATCAAATAGGTAAATCCTGAGAAAAATATAGCTTACTAATACTGACTCAAGGTAAAAAGAAAAAAAAATGCTACAACCACTTTGGAAAAGAGCTTGGCTTTTTCTAGGAAAGCTGAAAACTTTCTGTGACCAGCAATTATAGTCCTACGTATATACCTTAAACAAATTCATGCATATGTGTAATCATTAAAATGTGTAGGACTACTTTTAGAAGTACAGAAGCACTGTTAATAATAGCTGGGGCTGGACACAGTGGGCCGGGTGCGGTGGCTCACGCCTGTAATCCCAGCACTTTTGGAGGCCAAGGCAGGCGGATCACAAGGTAAGGCGTTCAAGCCTGGCCAACATGGTGAAACCCTGTCTCTACTAAAAATACAAAAATTAGTTGGGCGTGGTGGCGGGTGCCTGTAATCCCAGCTACTTAGGAGGCTGAGGCAGGAGAATCGCTTGAACCTGGGAGACGGAGGTTGCAGTGAGCCAAGATCGCACCATTGCACTCCAGCCAGGGCAACAGAGTGAGACTCCGTCTCAAAATAATAATAATAATAATAGCTAGAAATTGGAACAACATAAATATTCATTAAGAGTAGAATGTGGCATATATAGTATAGTGAAATAATATGTAACAATTGAAATGTATGAACTACAGCTATACATAACAGGATGAGAATTACAAGTATAATATTGAAAGAAAACATGAAGATGCAAAAAAAAAAAAGTATTCTGCAATTCCAAAAATATAAAGTTCAAATATAGGCAAAACATATATATATGTGTATATATATATATATGTATATATATATATATATGTGTGTGTGTGTGTGTGTATATATATATATGTGTGTGTGTATATATATGTGTGTATATATATATGTGTATATATATGTGTGTATATATGTGTATATATATGTGTATATATGTGTGTGTGTGTGTATATATATATATATATATATATGATTTATGAGAAGTTTTTGAGTGCTGGCAATGTTATTTCTTGACCTGAATGGTAGTTACATGAGTGTTTATCTTTATTTGTTAAATTATGCATTTATTTTCATGTACTTTCTGTATATAATTTCTGTTTTATGATATAAAAAGGGTTCCAGAGAATGATTAAAAGAATGGAGCTAGGCAACTGGATGAATAATGGTGCCAATTTCTGATTTGGAGAGAGTTTCAAAAAAGGAGTGGGAAGTGGGAAGATGGGGAATCCATAAATGAGATATTCATTCTTGCCATATAAATTCTGGCATGCCCGTTGGACATTCAAGAAAATATCTCAAGCCTGTAATCGAGGATTGAGTCTCAGAGGAGAGGCCCCAACTCTCCATCTCAAATGAGTGGAAGGAGGTATTTACAACAGGCATAGCTGGCAAACAGCTTACATCCAGAATATATATAAAGAACTCCTGCAAATGAGTAAGAAAAAGATAGACAACCTTGTAGAAAATTGGGCAAGAGACTTGAGCACATTAGGTTTTAATGTAAGAAATTACACAACTGGGTCATTGTATGGGAATGAAGTGAAACCCAGTAGCTTTGAATCCCCAAGCTACTGGGGCATCAAGAGACGGGTCATTGCAAGGAAAGGATGTAGGATGCAGAAAATTGAAACATGTATTATTGGTTAACTCCTAGACAAACGGCAAGAGTTTAGAAAGTACCAGTGACGTGCCTGATAGAATCTCACCACAAGATGGAAGCCAACTCGTCAGAAGCCTGGAAAGCCCACCCAGCGTGGGACCTCTGTGGGTCCAGGATCTTGGAATGGTATCCCATGGTTCAATCTTCTGGATTCAACCACATAAATTTACCCCACCCATGTCGTGGACCCAAGCTTCCTACCATGTATACTTAGCTTAAATGCAAGATAGTACTATTTTGTTCATCTTGATTGGAGTGAGAAATGAATAGGTCCATGCACATATATTTCTTTTACCACAACAAGATGATGAAGAAATAAATCCATAATATCGATACTTTTGTATAAGTTGTGTTTACAGTTGCGGTAAGAAATTTTATAATTGTTGATTTGCTTTATATAATTTCTGCTTGCTTTTTATGATATTTAAAACAAAATCTAAGCAACAAATTTTATGTCTGATTAGATTTACAGAAGCTGCTTAAGTGCTTAGGGATAATTTGTTCATCATATTTGTAAGTCTCCCTTGTTAGGTGTTTGAAGTGTTTGAATTGGCTAAATTAAATTTGTAATTGTAGTTTGAAATATCTAAAGGAATTTTCTTAATTAAGTGTTTAAATGATGTTAAAAGTTTGTGGGAATTTAATCTATCAAATTTATGAGTTAATTGAATATGAATCAATGAACAAGTAAATGTGATCTTGCTTTTATATAAAAACTACTAAGTTCATAAATAAAATACAAAGATCCATAAGTTGAGAGGAAAAGCAAAAGAGCCAGATTCTAAGATCTATAACTTAAAAAAATTAAATATTGATTGAAATGTAAGTCATTGCAATTATCCCCACTAGCTGAAATCTCACATCTGAGTGCTTACACACAAAACAAAATGTTACCCTGAACATACTAAACAAATAAAAAACCACGTGGTAATTACTATACACATGCTCACTGCTGGAAGCATTCATACTGCACTCAAATCCAGGTGGGAGAATGCAGCGTGTGCTACAGGTGAATCTCGGCTGTTCTCTTATGGGGATCAGGTCTTTTTCTTAATTATCTTCCACGGATTTTTCTTCCTTTACCCAGAGACCTGGAGGCCCTCCCAGCCCAGGTCCAATTCAGATGGATACATACTTAACATCACTAACCTATTGATTTGCTTGTTTATTTACACTGCAGCACATGTTTGTTGTGGTGCAGAAGGAAAACCTCCTTCACATCTTATACTGAATAATATCAATGCACAGAAACCTACCCACTGATTGTTTGCTTAGGGTTAAGTTACTGGGTGATTTTAAAATAATAACAATGTTTTTATTTGCTTCCATTAAAACGCTTTGTTTTAGGCAGAAGTCCTTGAAAGGTTGCTAGATAGGTGTTAACAATGCTTTTGAGATATTTGAGTTCATTTGTTGGGAGTTGGGTGGGCCCGGAATGCCATAGACTCAAACATTTTTCCTTCCAACACATCTTCGGGAACAGATTCAGTTGATGTGGTGGAAATTCTTGTACTTCCCTTCTGGGCACAGAGTGCTTCTCAGAGAGAGAAGGAAGGCTTTGCTTCTCTCTTGTCACTGGAACATTTAATTTCCTATTTGTTTTTCATCTCTGTCTGGGAAATCTCCAGGGAGGACGATTGATTTGCCAAGAGGTGTCTTCTATTCCAAGGCCTTGGCCAAGTCACCATATTTACACCATCAGAACCTCACCTAGCCCCTTCAACAAAGGATGTAATTGTAGATATTGAGAAATGATTCCACTCTCCCTGCTTGAAGGACTGGCTTTGGGGCAGCTTTCTGAAGGCCAAGCTTCAGTTCATAGGATGTTAATACATGTCTGAGCAGATGAGGGTATTAGTTGTGCCATCCATGTTTTAACCCTTGATTTTACAGTGTGGAAACTTGAGGGTCACGGGAGGAAGCCAGGCCTTCCCACGGCACCCTGTTAAATACTGTCAGACCCCAGTAGGCTAGGCCTTGCTTCTCCTCACTGCCTCTATTGTATCTTACATTTATTTTATATATATATATATATATATATATATATATATATATATATATATATATTTTTTTTTTTTTTTTTTTGAGACAGAGTCTCACTCTGTCACCCAGATTGGAGTGCAGTGGCACGATCTCGGCTCACTGCAACCTCCGCCTCCCGGGCTCAAGCGATTCTCCTGCCTCAGCCTCCCATGTAGCTGGGACTACAGGTGCGTGCCACCACGCCCAGCTAATTTTTGTATATGTATATATATAGAGAGAGAGAGAGAGAGACAGGGTTTCTCTCTTGTTGCCCAGGCTGGAGTGCAATGGCGTGATCTTGGCTCACTGCAACCTCCACCTCCCAGGTTCAAGCGATTGTCCTGCCTCCAAGTAGCTGGGACTACAGGCATGCACCACCATTCCTGGCTAATTTTTGTATTTTTGGTAGAGACAGGGTTTCACCATATTAGCTAGGCTGGTCTCAAACTCCTGAACTTGTGATCCGTCCGCCTCTGCCTCTCAAAGTGCTGGGATTACAGGCGTGAGCCACCACGCCCGGCCTGTGTCTTACATTTATTAGAAGGCTTCAGACCAGACACAGAGGTTCACCCCTATAATCCCAGCACCTTGGGAGGCTGAAGCGGGCAGATCACTTGAGCTCAGGAGTTCAAAACCAGCCTGGGCAACATGGTGAAACCCCGTCTCTACAAAAAAAAAAAAAAAAAAAAAAAATTAGCTAGGTGTGGTGGCATGCACCTGTGGTCCCAGCTACTCAGGAGGTTGAGGTGGGAGGATTGCTTGAAGCCGGGAGGTGGAGGTTGCAGAGAGCCAAGATTGTGCCACTGTACTCCAGCCTGGATGACAGAGTGAGACCCTGTCTCAAACCAAAAAAAAGAAACAAGAAAACTTCTACCTTTTAGTTTCCATGCTGGGGAGCTTTGCACACATGGCTATATTATTGCCATGTGTCAAACGAGGATACTAAAGCCCAGGTCAAGTAACTTGTCCAAGGATCCCAACATGATTCTGATGATACCAAAGTCCTTATTTATTCCAAAATCTAGGTTTATTGACTGCTACTTATTTAGAGCACCTGAACAAGTTACCGAGAATTTACCAACATAAAGATGAAAGGAGGAGAAGTTAACACTGGTCGACAACAGAGGCCCCAAAGTCCATTACATGCATAGGATTCATGCAGATAACTTGATTGCAGACTTTTGTTTTCACAATAGTAAAATCACTCAATGAGTTTTCACTCTGACCTTGGGGGCCTAGAACTTGATCATCTTTGGGGGTTGATTTATCGGCTGAGACACTGTGAGATTTGTCACACTCTGTCTGGAAGCTGCAACCAAGGAGAGAGAGGTTTGATATGGTCTCAGTATGAACGGAGGTCCTGAAGTGTCAAGCAGCCCGAACACCAACATCCTTTGCCTGTGAAGGAGATGCCATTCTCGACTCTTGAATGAGAGATGATCCTTCATCTTGAAAATTTTCTTTACCTACCTCTGGAAAAGTCTATGACTATGAATTGGGGTTGTGAACCCCAAAAATCTGAGACAGGTGTCAGTTAATTTATAAAGTTGATTTTGCCAAGGTTGAGGACACATGCCCGTGACAGCCTCAGGAGGTCCTGGTGACATGGGCCCAAGGTGGTCAGAGCACAGTTTGGTTTTATACATTCTAGGGAGACATGAGATATGAATATATGAATATATGTAGGATGAACATGGGTTCAGTCTGGAAAGGCGGGACGACTCGAAGCAAAGACGTAAGACTTGAAGTGGGGAGGGGGCTTCCAGGTCACAGGTAGTTAAGAGACAAATGGTTGGATTCTTTTGAGTTTCTCATCAGCCTCTCCAAAGGAGACAATCAGTTATGCATTTATCTCATTGAGCAGAAGGGTGACTTTGAATAGAATGGGAGGCAGGTTGACCCTAAGCAGTTCCCAGCTTGACTTTTCCCTTTAGCTTAGTGATTTGGGGGCCCCAATATTTATTTTCTGTTTCTGGCTTAAGAAAATTCTCAATCCCAGCTCTGGAAAATGTTATTCTTAGATCTGAGAAAACTTCTATTCAGGGCTCTGGAAAACCCTCCATCCCAAGGTGTAGAAAACATTTCTTGTGACTATAAAAATACTCTGCCCAGGGTTCTAGAAAATACAATGCCCCAAAATCTAGAAAATCTTTCATCATGAGGTCAGGAAAACCCATTGCCCTTGGCTGTGGCACATTCCCTACCCCTATATCTGTAGATGTCTGAGCCCAGTGGTGTAATGGTAAATGTTTAACAACAAGCTCTTGGCAGGAGGAGAGGAGCTGCTTGTTGGTGGTGTTTGCCAATTTACACTCCCACCATGACTGACTTCAAGTTATCGGTGTGACATCACTGAAAGCAGATTTAGAAGACAATGGCTGCAATTGCCTCCTACAATCACCAGAATGAGCCAGCTGCATCATGTTACCATTTAAGCCCCCTGAGAATGGAGGACTCTGATCCATGACTGTGGCAGATTCTGAATCCCTGGGTATGGAAGACTCTGAGGTCCTGAGTCTGGAGAAATCACAGCTCAGAAGTCTGAAGGACTCCCAAGGCCCTGGCATGGAGGACTCCAAGCCATGCACACGGCTAACCCCGTATCACTTGATTTATGGCATCCTCTCTCTAAACCAATGAGGTCAACTCAAAGACTTAAGAGGACATGAAAGGCAAGAATGCTCTGAAAAACTGACATTCCTAATGGCCTAATAGGTCCTGACAATATCTTAATAGCTCTAATAACACATATATATTTAAAGCATTTCCTCCGATCCGGGAGACCTAGAATTTGATCACCCAGTAGGTAAGGCTCATTTCCTAGCTGACACATGAATGGACATGGTGTTTACAGGCATTTTGACATACTGTGAGCAGAGGGGTCCCCAGAAGATGGAACAAGGCATGATGAGTAGTTGTGATGGGATATCATGGTGACTTTGGAGGTCCTAATATGTTGCGTAGACAAGTAACAGGCTAGTGGGCCTAACTCAGATGGAGGCATCTGTATCAAGGACAAATTTATGTTTATAACTTCATAGTCCCTGGAGGGCTGGCCATGACACTTCCTGGTTTGGCAGAGAAAAAATCTGTGCCCTTGGAACCAGTGGAGATGCCCCTGTGTGCTGAGCAAAGCGACAATTCCATCATACCGAGCTTAGAAGACACCCTGTGTGTGGACTGTGAAACCCCCACCCCAGCTCTGAACAATGCCCAATCACAAGCTCTGGAAAACACACAGTCTACTGTTTTAGAAAGTCTAGAGTTCTAGCCCTGTCTCTGGAAAACACTGTCTGCCTCCCCCCAGGAGAAGCTTCCCAAGAATCCTGGCCCCAGAGGACTCTTGATTTTGAGGAAGACCCAAGGGATGCTTCATTCCTGCCTCTGGAAAACATTTGGTCTCTGACTTTGGAGGGATCCTTCTGACAAATGTAGGAAAAAGCACTTTGTAAAACTAAAAAGCTCTGCCTGGCATGCGGCAGATGCTCAATAAATGTGTGTGGAATGAAGGAGTGGTCCTGGGAGATCTTTGCAAACTGCAATGCACAGCACGATCCTCAGATATTATTCTTACTGTGACTAAATAAAGCCGTTGTCAGGGTATTATGGGAAACTCCATATTTCTCCCTAACGAGATCTTTTTTCTTGTGAGTTCTCACCAGCCCGAGAGCATAGGGCCTGGCTCACAGTGGGCATCAATAAACGTTTGATAGATGAATGGATGCATGGATGGATAAATGAGGGCTGCATGGATGGATGAATCGCTGTGTGGATGATGAGTGAATGGAAGATGGAAGGAGTGGCTGGCACATTTGCCTACTCAACAGCCACCCCCCTCTTCCTCTGCCTTCTTCCTTGCTAAATGAATCCCAATTTTATTCAAGTCTCTTGCAGCTTAGGAGAAGCCTGTGCCCTCTCCACAGGCAATACATCTTGTTGAGTTTAAGGCCATCAGGATGGTCTCTTTTCCCTTGCCAGACAGTTGTTTAGGAATAGTCATAGGATGCAATTCTGGCCCAGGAGATATGAAGGGAAGTCTACTGGGGACCCTCCAGGAATATTTTCCTCATTAGAGGAACACAAACAGGAGACATTCCTTCTTCTGCCTTCAAACACTAATGTGTGAGGATAACATGCATAGAGACGGTGCAGCCATCTTGCAACCATGAGGAGATGAGAGAGAAGACAAACGCCTGACATTCTCAGGACCACACAGCAAACATGCAGAAAGAGGCTGGGTCCTTGAAGCTTGTCATTGAACCACTGAATTAACCAATGTGTGTGGGTGGGCATCTGGATGAATGAATGATGGATAGGAGGATGGGCGGGTGGATGGATGAATGGATGGGTTGGTGGGTAGATGGGTGGATGGGTAGATGAATGGGTGGGTGGATGGATGGGTGGGTGGATGTGTGGTTGGGTGGATGGGTGGATGGATAGGGAATAGATGGGTAGACAGGTGGGTGGGTGGATGGATGGATGGATGGGTAGATGGATAAGTGGATGGATGGGTGAGTGCGTGCATGTGTGGGTGGGTGGATGGGTGGATGGATAGGGAATGGATGGGTGGATGGGTAGGTGGATGGGTGGGTGGATGGATGATGGATGGATGGGTAGATGGATGAGTGGGTGGATGGGTGGATTCTTGAGGGGATTGGATGTGTGGATGGATGGATGAATGGACGAATGGATGATTGGGTGGAGGGATGGATGGATAGATGGATGGATGGATGGATGGATGGATGGATGGATGGATGGATGGATGGCTGGATGGATGGATGGATGGATGGATATTTGTGGGAGATGTGAGGGTAGATGGTTGGGGTGAATACACGGAGATATATATATATATATATATCTCCACATATATAAAATATAAAGGACTAACAATAGTATTATTGTCTTCCTCTGAAGAGCACTCACTCCAAAGCATTCAAGGTCAGAACTGGCTGAGGACAATTGAGCTTTTCCAGTACTTTCCTCCAACCCTCATGCTCCGTCCTACTTCATGTGCCCTGGGCCCACCTGTCAAGGCTGATACCTGCCTTCAGTGCCTGTCATCTGGAAAGTCTTGTGCCCTGCTGACTCTCGTGCAGGGCCTTGCCCTGCCAGAGAAATGTTTGGTCTGTAAAGAAGCTCAGGTAAGACAGCCTGGCACAGTGGACTCAGATGGTCTTGAGTCCAAATCCTTGCCCTGCCTCTCATGAGCTCCCTGTCCATGGGTAGCCCCCTAACCCACCTGAGCAGCCTTCTCATCTATAAAAGGAGAACAGAGTTCCATTAGCGGGTCTGCTATGAAGATCCAAGCACCCAGCACCGTGTGAAGCCCCCAGTATGCCCTCAATAAATGCTGAGTCCTTCTGAGTTCCTTTAGCCAGCTCAGCCACAGTTGGGCAAGCATGGGCTGTGGCCAGGCAGCAGCCTACATACAAATGCAAAGGAGACCTGACCTCTGCCCCCTCCAACCATTCTGCTGCAAAACGCTGTCTCGAGGCATTGTTCCTTGGAGCCAGCCACAGGGCTCGCGGAAGGACTAGAGGAAACTGAGCAAACCTCAATTGCTTCCTCCTTTCTTGTGCCACTGGATATGGCAGGGCGGATCAGCAACTGGGAACCTTAAGAGCTTGCAGGTTGAGAGCTGACAGAGTGGACAGCTGGCTTAGCAGGCTGGCCCTGGGCCAGGCCAGGGTTGCAACCTCACGTCCTGCAGCTTCCAGCGCCCTCTTGGACAGAGACAGATGATTCCAGCTCTCCAAGTCCAATTCTGCCTCTCCTTGGGATATTCCCTAATGCCTGAGATCACCGCCATGTCCTATTACCTCCTCCACTCTTTACCCTCAAGATGTTCATTATCTGTCCTCTTGTTCCTCTCCTTTCCTCAAGCTCACTTGTGGATCTGACTGCTGTACTGCCCACGGCACCTGCTGCACCAAGCCTTCCCTCCCCACAGGCCCCATGCATACGCTGTTTTCCCTGGCTTATTTATTCCTCCCTGCCTTGTCCCTCATCTGTTAAGACTCACCCTAAGTGTCAAGTGTGCCAGGAAAACCTTCTGGGTTCCCACCTGGGTCAGGACCACACACAGGACTCTGAAGCCCTGCATTTACTGCACGTGTCACACTGTCTTTCTGGATCGGTCTCCCCAACTAAACTGAGCATTCCTTGACATAAGAGATCATATCTCATGGATCTCTGCAGCATATAAAATGGTGCCCCATTCATTCTTTCGTTCACTGAATGTGTATTCTGATGCATCCCAGTGGTCCTCTCTTTATTGTGGACATGTGACCGTGCAATGATGGTGACAGTGCCTTTAGCTTATCCTTGGTCCCGCATACTTTTCAAAGCCCTTGAACTCTCTCCTCTCATTAGTATGAAGCTCTCAAACAGATTGATTCTTGGCTCTGAGAATGATTAACTGTCTGTTCTCGGGCAAGTTACTGAACCTCTCATGAGCCTTAGTTTCCTTACGGTCACTCATTGATTCGACAAACATTTATAAAGACTCTACCGGAGGTTCTGTCCCAGGGGATACCAACTACTGGGGATACCAACATGAGTCAAAAATTGTCTTGGCCTTTGCAGAAATCTCAGTTCAGACAAAGACAGCTTTGGACAGTTCAACCCTCAGGACAGTAAAGACCCCACCAAGGGCTGGGGAGTGGGGTATGGAGAGTCATTTGATCCACCCAGAGGGCCCTAGGAAGATTTCCAGTGACACCTTGGTCAAGCCTTGTTTGGAGGATTAAATGGTATCTCATTTGTGATCCACAAAAGGAACTCCACAGCATGTGTGAAAAGTCTCAGCACAGCGTCAAGCACAGGGTGGGTGCACACTGAGTCTCAGCTTTCCACGCCACCCAGGAAGGGGGCATGACAGACTGCAAGCCAGCCCAAGGCCCTATCCTCGCTCCTCAGATGCCCCCACAGGCTGGTCTCTCCTCTCACGGTGGCTGGGATACCTGTTGGAACACAGACCACCTCCGACCCCAGATAGCTCTCATGAGACGCTTCATAATCAAGCTTCACTCTGAGTTTGATAAATAAAGGTAATTGTAGGATAATTAGACTCTATTCTCTTCCAACATCGTAATTGGCATGAGATGCGTGATCCTTTCTTGCACATCATTTTGCCAGGCGTATTTGAAGCTTTCCGTCTTGGCCTCCTCACACAGTGCAGAAAGAGTAATGGCTCAGAAGCCACTGCTGTGAGAGGCCGGAAGCCAGCAGGCAGCCCCTACGTGGCCCCTGACTAATCACTGTAGATGCCTCCTGTCACATGCTGGGAGGGTTCCCAAGTAGATCGTGCCCTTGTCACCACCATCATCAATCACATGGTCATAATGCTCCCCAGAGTGCCTGCGTAAGAGAGAAGCACATGACTTTTGGAATCTGAGGATCCAATTTCAAATCCCAGCTCTGTCACCAACTTGCTGTGTGACCTTGGACAAAGTGCTCACCCTCTCTGAGCCTCAGTTGCCCCAAGTAGGAGTGATTATCCTTAATACAATCAAATAAGACAGCACATATGACAATGCTTCCTAACAGACCAGGCAGATAGCACCTGAGTGCTTCCTACCCCTACTGCCAGCCTCTACCCACATAACTGGCAAAGCAAAACCTGAACAAAGAGGAGGGAAGGACAAACGTGAAGATGAGCATACCCTTCTCCTGGTATATAGGGAGCTTGGAATTACGCACTAGGATCCAGATGCACAAAGGGAAAGCAAATGCAAATGTAGCTTCCTCATACTTCTTACACATGACCTAATCTCACGCTCCAACCTCCATCCCACTGATGGGGCATAAAGGTAGAAGACAGGACTCTTATTTTTTTTTTTTTTTTTTTGAGATGGAGTCTTGCTCTGTCTCCCAGGCTGGAGTGCAGTGACACGATCTCGGCTTACTATAACCTCCACCTCCTGGGTTCCAACGATTCTCCTGCCTCAGGCTCCCGAGTAGCTGGGATTACAGGCATGTGCCACCACACCCGGCTAATATTTTTACTTTTAGTAGAGACAGGGTTTCCATGTTGGGCAAGCTGGTCTCGAACTCCTGACCTCATGATCCACCCGCCTCAGCCTCCCAAATTGCTGTGATTACAGGCATGAGCCACCGCACCTGGCCGAAGAGGGGACTTTTAATTGGCAAGTTCATCACCAGTTAAGCAGGGCTCTGTCCCCTCCAGTTTAATATGGTCTCTCTGGTGTTTACACCATTGCCTTGGGTGAATGCTCAATGTTTCAAGATTTCTCCCCCTTCCCATTTCTCCTCCAAATATGGCAGCCTAAATGTGAGGGTGATCTGGCTGTGACATCTGTCACCCTATTGATCGCAGGGTTGATTCTGCTGATCTGGCTGGCTAGGCGGGTGTCCCCTTCCTCCCTCACCGCCCTTGTGCATTCCTCCGGAAGCTGCACACTCAGTCTAAGAGGACAACCATCCTCGATAGAGGACTGTTCTTCAGTCAAGGGTATATGAGTAGCTGCACTCTTCTTCTGGAACCTTCCAACAAGTTCTCAAGGTCCAAATATGGCAGCCAGGAAAGGGGCAAATGGAGGAACCTGGGAGTCTCCTGGGAGCAGTGGGTGGGGTCTCCTGTCGCTGTGTTACACACCTGGTCCACGGTGGCACCCATTCAAGGCCCCTCTTCCTGCTCCTCTCAGCACTGGCCACAGTGCATCAGCCACGGAATGGGTCTCACCAACCTGGTCCTGAGCCAGCCTCTCCTGCTGTGGCCCAGGAAGCCCCCCTTCCCTCCTGGCCACAAAGTGCCCCGCTCTGCTGGCCTCTTGATCCCAGGCGCATGCTGGAGTTCTGGGCCTCCTGTGCACCCAGCCCAGGTCATGAGGACCCCCCAGTGCTCAGTCAACCTCACGTAACCAGCTCCCTCTTTCTACCCACGTTGTGTTTTCACCCCCACAATCCCGCCTCCTTCCCCACACTGGATAAGTGGTAAGGTGGATGTTCTAGGACTCAGTCTAGTGTTTCTAGTATCTGTGGACTCATCCCCACCAGGGGCTGATGCCCGGGAGGGAGGGCCCTCAGGGCTTTCCTTGGGACCCACACTTGTCCTCACCCTGGCCCCTCTTCACCAGAATCCTTGTCTCCCCCGCTGTGCCCACAGACACTCCTACCCTCTGCTCGCTTATCTTGTCCAGTAGGAATGTCCCTTTCCATCTCCTTCATCGTTTCCACACTCCTCCTGTGATCTCAGACTCTGCCAGGCAGGGCTCTTGATATGCAAAGACGGCTTTGGAGACTTAGAAAGCCTTTCCCCTCTCTCAACAAAGCCTGGCTTTCAAGACCATTATCTGGCTAAAGACTGCAGGATCCTATTCCGTCAAAAGCTGAACATCAATTCTTTCCTTTTGTACTCCTGATCCCCAATCCTATTGCTCTATAAGACCCTGGGTGCCTCTGGCTGAAAAGGAAGAGAGTGGCATAAAAGCAGTTTAGAAACACATAGGTACAGTAAAAATATCTATCATTCCTGTTACACCAGACTCTCTGGATGTCAGCGCACAAAGAGACCTTGGAAAGAACCTCACCCTTCCTCTTCCCCCAGCCACGTTAGAGGCCCAGAGAGGGCAAAGATGGGGCTCAGCCCAGCGGCTGAGCAGGAATGAGAAGACATGGTCCCTGATGCCTGGCCAAAGCCTCTTCCCATGATGCCTCCACTAGGGAAGTGGGTGCAGGCCATTCCTTTGTGAAGCACCCTGCGTCTGAGCACTTTCCAGAACTCTGTGAAGCAGGGATGAAGCCTGTCTTGCTCACCAGTGCACCCCCATCATTGAGCCCAGGGTCTAGAATGCAGTGACAGGGACGTCTCAGCCCGTGTTCCCACTGCTCCTGCATGTTACTTCACTGCTCCATGTTCCGTGCCAGTCATGTCAAAGGTGTTTGAACCAGAGCAACTCCATCTTGAATAGGGACTGGGCAAAACGAGCCTGAGACCTACTGGGCTGCATTCCCAGACAGTTAAGGCATTCTAAGTCACAGGATGAGAGAGGAGGTTGGCACAAGATACAGGTCATAAAGACCTCGCTGATTAAACAGGTTGCAGTAAAGAAGCCGGCTAAAAACCCACCAAAACCAAGACAGTGACGAGAGTGACCTCTGGTCATCATCACTGACTGCTACACTCCCACCAGAGCCATGACAGTTTACAAATGCCATGGCAACATAAGGAAGTTACCCTGCATGGTCTAAAAAGGGGAGACATGAGTAATCCATCCCTCGTTTAGCACATAATCAAGAAATAACCATAAAAATAAGCAACCAGCAGCCCTCCGGGCAGCTCTGCCTATGGAGTAGCCATTCTTTATTCCTTTACTTTCCTAATAAACTTGCTTTCACTTTACTGTAGGGACTTGTCCTGAATTCTTTCTTCCACGAGATCCAAGAACCAGTGTTGGGGTCTGGGTCGGACCTCTTTCCTCTAACAGTCACAGTGAATTCCTCTATCCAGGCATCTCAGAGGCACTCCCTGTCTGCACCTGTGTTCACGGGGCTGGTTGCCACCTGACATGGAATCTTCCTGCCTGCCAGCCCCTTGCTCCACCACCAGGTGCTGTGGGGCGTCTTTACCGACCCTGCTGTCCTCAGCTTCAGTCCACCACGGTCTCTCTGAGCCTCAGTTTCCTCACCTTCTCCATAACGGTTTGACTGGTTGTGGCTTTTAGACATTTTTTAGCAGCAGAAAAACAGAGCTTCTCTTTGATAAGCAAGGAGATGGGGTCCTCCTGTAATGCCTGGAAAATTGAGAGGTAGGCATACACATCTGTGTAATTTGAATCAGTGGTTTTGGCTTCACAGCTCCCCTAAAGCACAGATGCACAGAATTTGAAAATCAACTAGATATTTCCGCAGGGTTCTTGCAACACCAACTTGATTAAAATTTAAGACTCAGACAGTCTAGACACAAATAAGTAAAAACTACATCAGCTACAAGCAACAAAATTAAAAACAAACAAAAAAAACTGAGCTTTAAATCAGAGGGATGTTCTCCCCTAACAAGAAGTCCAGGAGAAGGCAGACCCCGGGCTGGGAGAAGCATACCCCAAAGCCATTGGGCACCCTCCTCGCTCCACTCAGCCGTCTTCCACCTGTGGCTTGTTCCTCAGTTTCACGGCTTCCTCCTCAGATTCGTGGCCTCAGGACCACAAAGTGGCTGCTCTGGGGCCAGCATCTTGCCTGCGTTCTGGGCAGGAGGAAGGGGACTGGCAAGGAGCCAAAAGCCTATAATACCCCTGGGTGGCCTCCAGACTTTCCTGAAGACACACTCAGTGAACCTGCTCAGATTTCATGGGCTAGAATGTGTCATGTGGCATCCCAATAAACCAGGGAGAAGGGGAAAAAAAACAGTTTTGGTCTTTTAGTCTGGGCGCCTTTTGCCACCATGAAGAAAGTCTGGGCTCTGTGAGTAAAAATGAAGAGGGTGGCAAGCAACTGGGTCCACCCCAGGGGGCCTGAGGCCAGCCCCAGCCTGCCATTAACCTGTTGTGTGGTTTGAGGCATGTCCCTTCCCCTCTCTAGCCTCAATTTCCCCATTTCAAAATGGGAGAACTGGGCCAGATGCTATGGGACTTTATTCAGCTTTGACTGGCTGGTGCAAATCCTGACGCTGCTACCTATGAGCTGTGTGACCTGGGGCGGCTATTGGACAAACCTTTGGCTCAGTTTCCTCATCTGTAAAATAGGGGTAATCGTGGAGCTGCCTCATAGGGTTCTGAGGACTGGATGGGCTGTTACTTGTAGGGCGTTCAGCAGAGTCTGACAGGAAGGCACAGACAAAAGCCATCAGTGACGCTGTTATGCTAAGCTCTGAGAGTCCACGAGTCCTGAGTCCTGCTTCTGCGCGCCTCTGTGTGCTGGGTGACCTGAGGCAGGTGCCTTCCCCTCTTGGGGCCCAGCAGGTCTGAGAGTTGCCTTCAGAAGCTGGGCCTGGCTGTGACAAGAGAGTGAGTCCCTTCCTGGGCTGGGAGGGGGAACAGGAGCGGACGGAGTCAGCCGGTTTCCTGCAGCCGGGGCAGTGACCTGGGCAGCAGGGACTTCCTGTTTCCCAGAGGGAATCCGGGCCACTGCATCCAGCCCCTCCCTCCCCTCCCTGCAGCTCCCCTCTGTAATGGAGGAAACTTGTCGCTGGGGCAACCTTCCCTGCGTCATCTCCCGGGGCGGGCGGCCCTGTGTGGGTGAGAGAAGCACCAGCAACAATCGCCCTTTGTCTCCAGCTCAGCTGCTCCCAAAGCGCTTTCTGACCTTGCCCTCGTCTCAGCCCTGAGAGTCTCATGCCCATTTTCCAGATGAGGAAACTGTGGCCCAAGGAGGTGAGGTGACTTGCCCCAGGTCATAGGTCACAAGGCTGGTGAGAAGTAAGGCTGGGATTAAAACCTGAGTCTTCTGAAAACATGGGCCAGCTTCATCTGGGGCCCTCGGCACCCAGTGGACCCTCAGTCAGGGCCCCCGAGACACTGTCAGAGCCTGGAGCTTGACTTTTCAGTGCCCTGATGACCTAGGATGTGATCCTCGGCCACTGTCGCCTCCCCAGCTGGAGCCCTGAGGAAGGAGGCTTGGGGTCTCCTGCAGGACCCCTTTGTCTTTAACATGCACACACCATCCGGCTTCGTGACACTTGTCCCTGGGGACACAGAGACCAGCCAGACCCACTCTGCAAAACCTGGGCACAAACAACTTTAACTCAAGGTGGCCAGTCTGACATGCCACTGGCTAGGAGCAGAGGCTTTGCATCCCCGGGTGCAAATCCTGACCTTGGTACTTGCCGGCTGTGTGCCTTAGGCTAGTGACTTAACCTCTCTGAGCTTCTGTTTCCTCGTCTATGAAATAGAGGTCATGTTAGTTCCCTAGTGCTGCCATAAACAAACTGCCACAAACTTGTTGGCTTAAGACAACAGATATTCAATCTCTCCTAGTTCTGGGGACCAAAAGTCTGAAAACAAGATTTTTGGCAGGGTTGGTTCCTGCCATGATTTTTGGCAGGGTTTGCTCTGGGGGAAAATGATGTGGATGATTCTCTCCTAGCTTCTGGTGGTGGCCAGAGATCCTTGATGTTCCTTGGTTTGTGGCTGCATAACTCCCATCTCTGCCCCCGTCTTTGTCTTCCCTCTGTGTAGGTGTGTATCCAAATGTCCCTCTTCTTATAAGGACATTGGTCAGTGGATTAGAGCCCACTACAATCCACTGTGACTTCGTTTTGACCTGATTACATCTGCAAAGACCCTATTTCCAAATAAGGCCACATTCACAGGTACAGGGGTTAGAATGTGAGCTTGTTTTTCTGGGGGACACAATTAGACCCACAACACTGTTATGGGTTGTGGTGCAGATCTTACAAGTAATTCATCTAAACCACCCAGCCCTGAGTCAAACTCACAGAAAGTCCTCAGACAGTAGATGCTGTTATTCTCACTTTGATTCTCCCACCCCAGCAACCAGCCCCAGCTTTGACTGTCTGCCTGGTGTCCAGCCCCTCCAGGTCTGAAATCCTGACTTGTGCCCCCAACCTCCCAAAGGCTGCACTAATAATAAGAGCCTTTTTTTTTTTTTGAGACAGGGTCTCACTCTGTCACCCAGGTTGGAGTGCAGTGGTGTAACCCCAGCTCACTGCAGCCTCCACGTCCCGGGCTCAAGTGATTCTCCCACCTCAGTCTCCCGAGTAGCTGGGACTATAGGTGCACACCACTATGCCCAGCTAATTTTTGCCTTTTTTGTAGAGACGGGGTTTTGCCATGTTGCCCAAGCTGAAGAGCTCATATCTATTGAGCACTTACTGTATGCCAGGCGCTGTCTAGGCACTAAACAAATATCATCTCATTCTGCCCTGATAACAATCTTGCGAGGTAGCAACTATTCTTACCTTCTTTCACAAAGGAGAAAACAGATTCAGAGAGGTTTAGCGATTTACCTGGGGACACCAGCTAGAAAGCAGCAGCACTACTCAAACCTAGTGGGTCTGGCTTGGAGCTTTTAACTCTATAGCCTTCCTGCCTCTCGAACAGCAGCCCCCAAGCACGGACCACCAACCCACCTCCGTGCCTGCTTCTCCTCTTGCCTGTCGCTGCAACTGTCCCCAAGCACCTTTCTCCGGGGTCCCACCTGACCCCTGTCTCTGATTCTCCCACTGCTGAGCCTGTCCAGGCCCAGGGCTCAGCCGTGCTGCTGGGCTCCAAGGAGAGACTACATTTTTTTTTTTTTTTGAGATGAAGTTTCACTCTTGTTGCCCAGGCTGGAGTGCAATGGCGCAATCTCGGCTCACCGCAACCTCCACCTCCTGGGTTCAAGTGATCCTCCTGCCTCAGCCTCCTGAGTAGCTGGGATTACAGGCATGCGCCACCACACCTGGCTAATTTTGTATTTTTAGTAGAGACGGGGTTTCTCCATGTTGGTCAGGCTGGTCTCAAACTCCCAACCTCAGGTGATCCGCCCGTGCCTCGGCCTCCCAAAGTGCTAGGATTACAGGCATGAGCCACTACACCTGTCCAGGAGAGACTACATTTTAAGTGGCACAGCTGGAGGAGAGGACCCCAGTCCAGGCAGGAAAACAGCACAGGGGTGGAATTTGGAAAGAGTGAGCAGTGGAGCCGCAGGAAGTGGATGCTGGGCAAAGAACGGCAGGAGATAAGATGGGAAGGCAGGTTGGAGCCTGGTTGTGGGGAGCCCTGAAGGCCACACGAAGGTTTCTGATTGGGACCCTGCAGGTGACGGGGCACATGGGAAGGGGATGGGAGCAGGGCAGGGACACGGTCAGGCTAGTATGGAAGAAACCCTCCTCCAGCACCGCAGGCTGGGCGGGGTGGCAGAGAGCACCTGGAGGCAGTCCCCAGAGAGAAAGCTGTCACAGACTTGGCTACAGATGAGGGGCTTGTGGGCTGATGTTTCCCGGATGTAGCTGGGCTGAGGCCCTGCTAGGCCCCTGCAGCCCTGCATGTGTGCAGACCCCCCATGTGCTGTCTCATCACCAGGACAGTCCCCAGCCTGGTGGCCATGTGTGTCCTCATGAGTTAGATGGATGTTCTCATTAGTTAGCAGGTGTAGAGGTGACCTGAGAGCAGGGGCCCCATCTGGCCTCCACGCCATCCTGAGCTGAGTCTCCCCAGAAAAGGACAGATCACTGTAATAGCTAAAATCACATTTACTGAGCAGTGACCATGTGCCTGCTGCTGTTTTAAGCATTCACTGTGGATTAATTTCTTTACTCTGATGACCAACCCTGTGAAGCAGGTGCAATTATTATCCCCATTTTATAGATAAGAAAACTGAGGTTAGGAGAATTGCTAAGGTCACATTTGCTAAGTGCTGGGGCTGGACTTGGAGCACACACCCAGGTCCAGAACAAACTCTGTGCACCTGGGAGGGGCTGAGAGCTGGAGTTGGACAGATTTGGGATGAACAAAAGTCAGTGTAGCTGTGACTCTGAGTGCCGGCCACAAAGGAGAGGTAGCATCTCAACAGGGGCCAGACAACCCCGAGGACGTGGCTCCAACCCCCATGCCTGTCACTACAAAAGCGCCTCTGCTCAGTCTCCCCAACTTAGACATCATCCCCAGGTAGGAGGTCCCCAAATGACTAAGATTATGTTTCTGCTATACTCAATGAAATGAGGGCTCAAAATAGAAATCCAGGTCAGTGATAAAAAAGAAAGTTATATTTCTTATACATCCATTTTGTGACTTCATACCTGATACGCTATCATTGAACCCATTGTACAGATGGGGAAATTGAGACTTAGAATAAGCAGTGAAGATGAGTGTGGATGACCTCCAGGGCCCCAGCGATGAGCTCACACTTCACTTATTCAGTTTGAGTAAACCTAGTATACAGTGGAACAAACTGGGGCTTGATACCTTGACAGTTCCTAGGTTCCAATCCTGTCTCTGTCCCTTGGTCACTGTTGAACAAATTGCCTCTCTGAACCTCAATTTCCATGTCTGTGAGATGGACTAGTAATGCCCTCCTTCATTAATTTGCTCCACATACATTTATTGAGCATCTACTATGTGGCAGGCACTGTACTAGGAACTGGGGATACAGGAATGAATAGACTTTTGGGGGTATGTCAGGATCTACCTGATAAATGATGGGCCACTCCCTCTTCTTTCCCCATCCTGTGGGTGTGCCCCACAGCACCTGCAGGGTATAGTAATATAAATAACTGCCCGGGCATGGTGGTTCACGCCTGTAATCCCAGCACTTTGGGAGGCCAAGGCGGGTGGATCACCTGAGGTCGGGAGTTCGAAACCAGCCTGACCAACATGGAGAAACCCTGTCTCTACTAAAAATACAAAATTAGCTGGGCGTGGTGGCACACGCCTGTAATCCCAGCTACTAGGGAGGCTGAGGCAGGAGAATCGCTTGAACCCGGGAGGCGGAGGTTGCGGTGAGCCGAGATCATGCCATTGCACTCCAGCCTGGGCAACAAGAGCAAAACTCCATCTCAAAAAAAAAAAAGTAATATAAATACCTGTCATGGTGGCTCTAAGATGCCATGGCTAGAAGACTGCAGTGCTCATGGAGTGTTGTCTGAGAAGGGAGACAGCTGGATGAGGCTCCAATACCTCTGTGTTTTCCAGAACCAATGGCCTACAGGGCCAGCCTGCTATCCTGCTGCCAGAGGTGTGGCCTCAGGAGTGGAAATGGAAGTTGCATGGCGAGGCTGGCTCTTAGCCACTGCTTGTACACAGGAAAACATTCTCATGTGAGGAGGGGAAGTCCCGGGAATCCACCCCAGCCAGGCTGCCTGGGACAAGGGCTCCCAGCCTGCCATCTGAATAGTAGCACCATCCAGAGCCAGCCCTGGGCAGGGTTATGGGAGGCAGGGGTGTGTGTGTGCTTGTGCGCGCGTGTGTGTGTTTGTGTGTATCTCTGTGTGGGCCTATTTCTGTGGATCTGTAACTCTGTGGATCTGCGTGTGTTTACGGTTGTATACCTCGATATTACCAAGTCCCAGAGGGGAGGAGTACCCCAGACTGTCCTATACACACAGTCACACTGAGGCAGGAACACATAATTCATATATAAAGACCACACACAGACACACAGACAGACACATATGCATATACTCAAACATCCACGGTCACAGTCACACCACACATCCACAGTCTTCTAGGTGCATAGATTTATAGGTATACACAGACACACACCCGTAAGCACAGACACACACAAACATGCCTTCACACAAGGACATATAGAGAGACACAGGCAGATACCCAAGGGCTGGTGGGACCAAGGCTCAGGGAGGGAGGCCGGAACAGGAGGTGATAACTAAAGGCAGGCAGTACACACACGAGGGCTCCCAGCCTAGGAGGACATAGTTATGCGGGTCCCTCACTGGAGCACAGGGTGAGATGTACCTGGAGAGAGGGCCATAGCAGGAACGTTGGGCCCAGAGGAGGGAGCACCCAGCTCTGTTGGACCGGGGTGAGATCAGGGAGGACTTCCCAGACCCAGTGACAGAGTGTGCTTTAGAAAAGAGCCTAGGCCGGGTGTGGTGGCTCGTGCCTATAATCTCAACACTTTGGGAGGCCATGGCAAGAGGATAACTTGAGCCCAAGAGTTGGAGACCAGCCTGGGCTACACAACAAGACCCTGACTCTACCAAAAAAAAAAGTTCTTTAATTAGCCAGGCATAATGGTGCACGCCTGTGGTCCCAGCTACTCTAAAGGCTGAGGCCAGAGGATCATGTGTGCCCAGGAGTTCAAGAACAGAAGAGAAGGAAACCAACAGAGTAGAGAGGGTAAGAGTCCCAGCTGATCCAGGTGCTCCTGAGCCGATACCATCCCATGCCTGCCAGGGGTGAAGCCGGTGCAGCCCATTTTTCATGTATTCTGGTTGGGTTTCTGGTACCGAAACTAGAAGAGACCTGACTAGCACAGTCCCCTTCTTCATTATTTCTCCCATCTGTCCTTGCCCCATCACCATCGCCTACACAGCCCCCTCCCCACCATAGGCTCTGTTCCACCTACCTCTCCCTCCTCCCCAAATCCATCCTCCAGAGCCCCTGCCTTCCGCCTTCAGTCCTGCATGACCAACCCTCCCCAGAAGGGGCTGTCCTGGGCTCTACTGGCAGCTGAAGGTCAGATTTCACAAGAGGGGCCTCTGGGTTGTATTCAAGGCTGGAAGCTCTGGAAGTAATGGGAAGAGAGAGTGGCTGCAGGCAGCCCACAAGGCTTGGCTTCAGGCCTGGGTAGAGAACCTAGCCTTCTCTCTGTTAGCAGGCACCAATAGAGCTGGCCTGCCCTGGGTCAGGCTTGGGTACCTCTGCCCCATTTGAAAGCATCAACCCCTTCTCTAGTCTCTCGGCCTCCAGTCTCTCTCCCCTCCAACCCATCGTGCATTCTGTGGCCAGAGAGAGCTTCCAAAAACGCAAATCTGACAATGTCACTGCCCTCCCCACAGAACTCTGACAGCTCCCTGTGCCCTAGGAGATAATAGCCTTTAGTCTGGTTATTAGCTAGGATATAGGTTGAGCTTCTAAAGCAGAGACCCAAAATAACTCTGGCTTAAAGAAGAGAGAAGTTTCTTTATCCCTCATATAATAATTTACATATCAACCATTAAAGGCTGGTGCTCCTTGGCATAGGGGACCCAAGTTCCTTCTGTCTTGTTAAGCTGTTGTCATTCCGTGTTGCCCTCATTCACATGTTCAAGATGGGACCACCTGCACCTTCCGCCAATGGTAGGGGAAAAGGGACGGGGCAGGCACACCACTATCAAAGGGAAACAGCCTACACTTCTGCTCGCATCCTATTGGCCACGTTAGTCACATGGCCCCACCTGGCTGCAAAGCACGCTGGGAAACGTAGTCTTTCTTCCAAGCTTCCATGTGTTATGGATATGAAAGGAAAAACAGATATCATTGCAAAGCCAGCAGTCTCTGCCACATCCTGGCATTTGGGGTTCTTCATATCTTTGCACATGCTGTGCACCACTGCCCACCTCCCTCTTTCTACCTCCTGAGTGCCTGTTCATTTGTAAAGACTCAGCTCAGGCCGGGCAAGGTGGCTCACACCTGTAATCCCAGCACTTTGGGAGACTGAGGCGGGTTGATCACTTGAGGTCAGGAGTTCGAGACCAGCCTGGCCAACATGATGAAACCCCATCTCTACTAAAAATACAAAAATTAGCTGGGCGTGGTGTGCGTGCTTGTAATCCCAGCTACTCAGGAGGCTGAGGCACAAGAATCGCTTGAACCTTGGAGGCGGAGGCTGTAGTGAGCCGAGATCACACCACTGCACTTCAGCCTGGGCGACAGAACGAGACTCTGTCTCAAAAAAAAAAAGACTCAGCTCAAATGGCCCCTATTCTGGGAAGCCTTTCTTGACTACCACCTCCCCAGCCTGGAGGAAGAGTCTTCATGTTCATTGATGACATGGTGTCATGTGTAAGGAAGGATTCATCTCCCCCCCTAGATTGGAAACAACGTCAGGACAGAGACTGCAACTGATTCAATTCTGAGTCCCCCTGACCAACACCAAGACTGAAATGGATGGGCATTTGGAAATACAGAATGAATGAATGAAAAAATGAGTGAGTAAATGAACTATTTGAATGAGAAAATATTAACTGAGAAGTGATGATTGATTGAGTGAATGATTGTTGGCCCAAGGAGACACCTGAGCATTGATGGTGCACTGATTAGACAGGCAGGACTTCCCTGGGGGTCTTATCTCCTCATAGGCAGGTACTTCTGCCGGAAATGCTCTTCCCTTTGGTGACTGTCTAGCTCCTGCTCAACCCTTACATCTCATCTTAAATTCACCTTCTGAGAGAGGGCTTCCTTGCCTCACTCCTCCCTCACTCCAACCGCACTCTTCCCTCCTGCACAGTCCACAGACCACCGTCCTTCCACTGAAGCACTCAGAAAAACTGACACTAAGTATATGCCATGTACTAGTTTGTCCATGAGACTAGGAGCTCCATGAGGACAGGGTCAGGTCTGTCTCTCCCACTGTTGTGTCCCCAGCCTGGCACAGTGCTGGACAGAGTAGCTGTCCACTAAAAGTTAAATGAGAACCCAACTTCTTAGAGTGCATCTAAAAGGATTGACATTTGGCCCCAAGAAGGGCCAGGATAATGTTTGTGGCATAAATGTGTAGGTGGCAGCCTCAGCTCTGCCTGGCGGGTGGCACTAGGAGTCTGTGCCCAGAGGTGGCCTGGCTGAGGGACCTGTGGGGACAAGAGACAAGCAGAAAAACTGCCCACAAGCATCTGATCACAGAGCCGTGGGTACGGTTGGCTATATAGAGAATAACCAAGGGTTGGGAGCCACACTTTCACCTTGACTGCTGGAGAGAGAGGGGCTTGCTGGAAAGTGGGAGACATTGTGATGCAGATGGCAAGTTACTTAACTGCTGTGTGCCTCCGTTTCCTCATGCAGAGGGAGTTAACAAGAGCACCTTCCTCATGGCATTGTCGTGAAGACTAAAAGATTAACCCATGTAAAGTGCCAGGGCTTGGTTCACTGTCAATGTTTGCAGATCACATGAAGGGGCAATAAAAATATCTGTGCTCCCAGGTCAGACAGAGCCCTTGCTGAGCCTCAGTTTTCTCACCTGTAAAGTGGGACCACCAATATTTAACCCCAGGGGCTTGGAAAGATGCAGTGAGACAAGGCTGTAAGGGGATTGGCACTGTGCCTGGCACCAGGGAATCCTCAACCCTTCCCCTGAGACAGAGAGAAGAGTGGTGGGTGTAGAGAATGCCTGCCTGCCTCGCCTGCCATAGGCACGAGCCTGGTGAAGTGGGGAGGCCCCCTGGTGACTAATCTCGTTAATAGTAATCATCACCCTGGTTCTCATTAATATAATAACACTGGGCTCCCAGCCGCCGCCTGGCTCCAGCGCTGGCTCCTCGGTGCCTCTCATCTCTGCCTGGCGGGGGGCTCTGCAAACACTCATTACACTCCAGTCCCTGGGGAGGCCGCCAGGAGAAGCAGCTATTCCAGGCACACAGCTCAACTCTGGGCCGCAGGCTCTGTTTTTAATAAGCACCATCGTACACACTCGAGCACACACACACACTCACATGCACACACAGGTGCTCACACACACAATTGTGCAGCACTTTGCAAGCTCTTCACTGACCATTAATTATAATTGCTCACAATGACTAAGCCTTATGTGATAACAATGATCGTGGATGCCTGCTAAACACTTCCACTTGCCAGGAACAGTTCTAAGTGCTCGCTCCACTTGTATTAACCCATCTCATCTAAATGAGCATTCCTGTTGTTTCCATTTTGCAGCTTCGGAAACTGAAGTACCCGAAGGTTATGAGACTTACCCCAAATCACCGACCCGTGGAGCCACAGAGCTAGGATCCGAATGTTTAACACTGTCTCAAAAGATATTAGTTCCTCAAGTCAATCCTCATGGTGATTCCGTCCTTATTCTCCCCATTGCACCAGTGAAGATGTGGGCCCAGAGAAATGATGTCCTTTACCCAGGAACACACAGTCAGGGAGGCCTGACCAGAGTGGCGGCCTTACCACTCCCCAGTGGTGGAAGTAGGAAGGGAAATACTATTTCCCTTTTAAAATGGGAGAAACTGAGCCCCAGAGAGGTTACACAGGGATTGGTGGAGCCCTGGCCCCCTCTTCTTGCCTCCCACCCTCACCCCCACCTCTCATCCTCCCACCCTTACCCCCACCTTGGAGACCTTAATTAAGACACAGACCAGCTGGCTTGGCCATGGGGGACTCAGTGTCAGAGGCCCTCAGGCCACCTGGGGCTCCCTCCAGGCCACTGATGTTCTGTGCCACCACCTCCTAGCTGCATGTCCCTGGACAAGTCACATCACCTCTCTGGGCCTGGTTTTCCTCAAAATGGGGAAAAAAGCTGACACTTAGGGAGCATTTACAATGTTCCAGGCCTATTCTATGTACATTCCACATAGTATCTCTCTTTTTTTCATCTTTTTGAGACAGAGTCTCACTCTGTCACCAGGCTGGAGTGCAGTGGCGCAATCTCGGCTCACTGCAACCTCCGCCTCCCGGGTTCAAGCGCTTCTCCTGCCTCAGCCTCCCTAGTAGCTCAGAGTACAGGTGGGCGCCACCATGCCCAGCTAATTTTTTGTATTTTTAGTAGAGACAGGGTTTCACCATTTTGGCCACTATGGTCTCGATCTCTTGACCTCAGGATCCAACCACCTTGGCCTCCCAAAGTGCTGAGATTACAGGCGTGAGCCACTGCACCCACCTTCCATGTAGTATTTCATTTTGTTCTCACCACAACCCCAGAAGGAAGATATTAAAAGAGTCTGTGGTTTTTTAAGATTCTGTTATTCTATAGAATAGAATTCTGATTCCCACAGAGTCTGTTATGAAAGATTCCACGATCTTAGAAAGATTCCATTATTCTGGGATTCTCAGGTACTGGAAGTTTCCATCATTTTATAGATCATGGTGTTAAAGAATTTAATGAAATGGTGATTCGTTGCACCTCAAGGGCAAGAGGCAATTTGTCAGCCCTTGGACAGCCTTAAAGGCCACCACTGTCCACCCCCTGCCCCTGTCCCCTCCCTCAGCTATGATATCAGAGCCAGCCAAGGCAGAACAACCTGTCTCTATGGCACGGCCTTGAGTGTAAGGTCAGTGAGGACTGTGGAGACCGCCAGAGCGCTTGGTGGGTGACTCGGCGGACAAAGGGCTCTGTGCACCCGCCTCTGCTGTCCTGGCTGGGCCTCACACACAATGGAAGGACCTTTCGAAGCTGCACCCAGCCTGCCCCCTCCCTCAGCAAGAGACACCCAGAGATGCAGCTGAGCTCAGTCTCAGAGCAGGCCCCCTCCCTGCTCAAAAGGTCCACAGAGAGGAGGTGGGAAGGACAGGTCACAGAAAGGGAAGAGTGTCCCCACTCTTTCTTAGCTACCAATGGTTCCCACCTCTCTACCTTTGCCCATGCTGTTCACCCTGCCTGGCATTCCCCTCTCCCTCTACAAATCCTTCAAGAGCCCCCTCAAGTCCTACTTCCTCCAACAAGGCCTGCCCAGTTATTCTACCCCACCCCCACCCCATTTCCTCTTTCTCCAAAGTCCTGTTGGGTGGTTTTGGGGGCTCACATGGGGCTCAGAGACTCCCGTCTCTCCTTTCCTGTCTGTCCTCCCTGCTACCACCAGAGTGATCTTCCTGGAACACAAATGTGGACTTGTCACGCTCTTTCTACAGATGCAGACTCAGAAGTGTGGTATGCAAAACTTCCCAACTCAGGCCCCATTCTTTGTGTCTGGCTTCAATTTCTGCCTCAAATCCATGCGCTAAAGCTTGGCCAGATGAAGTGGGGATCTGCCCTCCAGACACATGGTCACGTGGGCAGCCCTTCTGAGACTGGAACAGCTGAGACCCTGCCTTGATCGCAAGACACAGGCACTGAGGGTCTCCTTCCCCACCCAACTTCACACACACACACACACACACACACACACACACACACACACTCTTAGGCCGCCACCAGGGAGCCCACTGGGCTTGCAATGGTGTGTGTTAGTACCATGGACAGTGCTGGGAGAGGGCAGGCTCTGAAGGCTGTGAAATCCACTGACTCAGGGGCATGCATGTGTTTCATACAGCAGGCATTTGTTGAGCACCAGCTGCATGCCCCACCCCTGCTGGGTGTTATGGAAAATTCCAGAGGAAAAGACATGTCACTGCCCCCAGGGGCCTTAACAGCCTGGCTGGGGAACAGATAGCCCTGCCACCAACCTCCCACCTACCTCCCTGCAGACTGCCACAGCCATTTGTACAAACCACAAATTTGACCATATCTCTCCCCCCTTTTTTTCTCTTGAGATGGAGTCTTAATACATCACCCAGGCTGGAGTGCAGTGGCATGATCTCGGCTCACTGCAACCTCCGTCTCCTGGGTTCAAGTGATTCTCCTACCTCAGCCTTCCCCCCAAGTAGCTGGGATTATATGTACACGCCACCACGCCCAGCTAATTTTTGTATTTTTTGGTAGAAACAGGGTTTCACCTTGTTGGCCCGGCTGATCTCAAACTCGTGACTGCAGGTGATCCACCGCTTCGGCCTCCCAAACTGCTGGGATTACAGGCATGAGCCACCGCTCCTGGCCCCATATCTCTCTCTCAAAAGCTCCATGGGACACACACACACACACACACACACACACACACACACACTCATACACACACACATACATGCACATCAATTGCTTATAAGATGATAAACTCCAAACCATTAAGCATGTTAGTCAAGGCCCTTTCTGACCCAGCAGGCCCAGCCACCCTCCTGCCCTCACCACCATCCCCACCCTCATGAGCCCAATACTCCAGCCCTACTTGACTTCCTTCATTCCCCAGACATGCAAGGGCGCTTTTCTCATTTTTGTCCCCTAATCTAGAGAGTATTTGCCCTTCTTCTTTTTCACAGAGAACTCCCACATAGACTTCAAAACTCAAACCAAATATTTCCTCCTCCAGGAAGCCGCAAAGTTAGTTGTTCCCTCCTCTGCATGCCAAGAGGCCTTGTACCTGTCTCTATGTCACTTGGCATATTGAATTCTGAATTACCATGCATCCCTCATGTCAAACAGAAGTTAGCTATATTTGTCTAGGCCTCTTAGGAAAGGCGTGGTGGTTGCCAGAAGTGGAGGGGCTTTCTAAGAACTGTAACTCATTAATCACTATGTCAGTAATAGTTGTATTTGACAACTTCAGATTTTCTGGAAGCCTAAAAATAATGTCAAAGCTGTGCTTTGTATGCTACTTTTTAACTCTAGAAGCCTGTCTGTCTTATCTTTGAGAAGAGAGAGCATTATTTATTGTGTCGACCATATGCCCAATAATTGTTAGAATATGATTAAATAAAACATAGCCTCTAGCAGATCAATGCAGACATCAGATCCAGCCCTCCCCCTTCAACGTTATCAATGTTCTCAGGTATCTGACTCCACATCTGTGTTCCCCATGCCAGGCTGTGAGTTCCCTGAGGGCCAGGACTGTGTGTCTTTTATTTCCCTGGCACCTAGCATGGTGTCTGGCATACCGTAGGTATCCATCAGTATTGGGAGACTAACAAACTAGAAAGAATCACATGGGCTCCGGGGTCAGATTGCCTGGATTCAAATCCTCATTCTGCCACGTACTGGCTCTATAAGTTTATACACAGTTTTAACCTTTCAAAGGGGCCTCTATTTTCTCACCTGTAAAATGCACATATTACTAGTATGTGCCTCATGGAGTTACGGTGATCTCTATGACACTGCGTAAAAAGGACCAGGCATACAGCCTGCCCGCTAGTAAATACCTCATAAAAGGTCATTGTTACGGTCACTTGTGTTGGGTTGAATTGTGCGGTTTAGGCTTAAGCACAACAGGAATTCAGAGAAAAGAGACGGCACCTTCACCAATAATCCAAGATGACTTCGATCATCCAGGTCAGTATTTACTGAGTACTTTCTATGTACCTTGAATTAATGATGAAACCTCATGGCAATTCTATGAGGTGGGTACTATGATTATCCCCATTCTATTTCCAGAAGCAGCCAGGTAAAAGGGGTCAAAAAACTTGCCTGGGATCACCTAGCCAGTAAGCAGAAGAGTCAGGAGTCAAACCAGGGCAATTTGGCTCCGGAGTGGAGCTCTTCACTTGCATGCCACAGAGCCAACCTCAAGGAAGCTGGAGGCTCAGCTGGACTTTGCAGGACAAGCCACAAGACAGAGGCACCTCTGCTGGGAAGAAGGACCAAGGACTTCCCGTCATGCACTTCCCATGATCCAACTCAGGGTTTCTCCGGAAGGCCTGCATCCTTCTCTATTCTCTCACCCCTGCGTTTCCCACCCTGCCAGCCTCCCTCACCCCCTTCTTTCCCTTCTTCTTCCTGTTGTCCAGGTCTAAGAGTTCATCCTGGCCAATGACTGGGAGCTCCCAGAGCAGGTGATGTTGGAGTAGGGGTTTGAAGGATCCGTAGGAATTTGCCAGGAGAAAGTGGAGGAGAGGTCAAGGTTGACTGTACAGTTGTCTCCCTACATTCTCGGCATTCTGGGAGTCTCCATGCTTCAGTTTCCTCATCTGTAAACATGAGAGTAATGAGTACCTACTGCTTCTCAGGGTTTTAGTAAAGATTAAATAAGCTACTACATGTACAATAATTTTATTTAATAAACACTCCTGTAGTGCTTACCACATGCCAGGCACTGTTCTAAAGGCCTCACACTATTAAAAAGTGCTTAGAGCATGCCTGGCACACGGTAAGTCCAACACATGTGTCTTCTGCTGTTATTATTACAGTCATGCTCCACATAACAATGTTTCAGTCAACCACAGATCACATATACAGAGGTGATCTCATAAGATTATAAGGGAGCTGAAAAACTCCTGCCACCTGGTAACAGCATACACTGGTGTGAACAAACCTACTGCACAGACCATTGTATAAAAGTCTAGCACAGGGCTGGGTGTGGTGGCTCATGCCTGTAATCCCAGCACTTTGGGAGGCCGAGGAGGGCAGATCATTTGAGGCCAGGAGTTCAAGACCAGCCTGGCCAACATGGTGAAACCCCATCTCTACTAAAAATACAAAATTAGCCAGGTGTGGTGGCGTGTGCCTGTAATCCCAGCTACTTGAGAGGCTGAGGCAGAAGAATTGCTTGAACCCAGGAGGCGAAGGTTGCAGTGAGCTGAGATCATGCCACTGCACTCCAGCCTGGGCAATTGAGTGAGACTCCGTCCCAAAAAAAAAAAAAAAAAGTCTAGTACATATGATTATGTACAGCACATAATACTTGATAATGATAATAAATGACTATGTTACTGGCTTATTTACTATATTATACTTTTTATCACTATTTCAGAGTGTACTCCTTCTACTTATTAAAAAAGTTAACCGTAAGACAGCCTCAGGCAGGTTCTTCAGGAGGTATCCAGAAGAAGGCACTGTTACCACAGGAGATGACAGCTCCGTGCATGCTATTGCCCCTGAAGACCTTCCAGTGGGACAAGATCTGGAGGTAGAAGACAGTGATACTGACGAACCTGACACCGTGGAGGCCTAGGCTAATGTGCGTGGTTGTGTCTTAGTTTGTAACAAAAGAAGTTTAAAAAGCAAAAATACAAATTAAAAAATAGCTAGAATAAGGACATAAAATGTTTTGTAGAGCTATGCAATTTTTTTTTTTTTTTGAGATGGATTCTCACTCTGTCGCCCAGGCTGGATTGCAGTGGTACGATCTTGGCTCACTGCAACCTCCACGTCCCGGGTTCCAGCGATTCTCTTGCCTCAATGTTTTACTTCAATAATACAGGTGCGCACCAACACGCCTGGCTAATTTTTGTATTTTTAGTAGAGATGGTAGAGTAGAGTAGTAGCCATGTTGCTCAGGCTGGTCTCGAACTCCTGACCTCAGGTGATCTGCCCATCTCGGCCTCCCACAGTACTGGGATTACAGGCCCGAGGCAACACACCCGGCCTGCAATGTGCTTTAAGCTACGTGTTATTACATGAGTCAAAAAGGTAGTTTGGGTTTTTGTTTTGTTTTGTTCTTTGTTGTTTTTTTTTTGAGAGAGAGTCTCACTCTGTCGCCCAGGTTGGAGTGCAGTGGCACGATCTCGGCTCACTGCAAGCTCTGCCTCCCGGGTTCACGCCATTCTCCTGCCTCAGCCTCCCGAGTAGCTGGGACTACAGGCACCTGCCACCATGCCTGGCTAATTTTTTGTATTTTTAGTAGAGACAGGGTTTCACCGTGTTAGCCAGTATGGTCTCAATCTCCTGACCTCGTGATCCGCCCACCTCGGCCTCCAAAAGTGCTGGGATTACCGGTGTGAGCCACTGCACCCGGCCAATTTTTGTATTTTTAGTAGAGACGGGGTTTCACAGTGTTAGCCAGGATGGTCTCAATCTCCTGACCTCAGGATCCACCCGCCTCAGCCTCCCAAAGTGCTGGGATTACAGGTGTGAGCCACTGCACCTGGCCTAAAAAGTTTTTAAAAATTAAAAAGTTTATAAAACTTTGAAAAAGTTATAGTAAGCTAATTATTATTGAAGAAAAACATTGTATAAATGTAATGTATGCAGTGTGCACTGACAGTCCTGCTAGCTCCAACCATGGCAAATGCCATATACACATGCATCATTTTTTAATCTTTTATAGAATATTTTATTGTTCCTTTTATTTATTTATTTTTAGAGACAGGGTCCCACTTTGTCACCCAGGCTGGAGTGCAGTGGTGTAATCATGGCTCACTGCAGCCTCAACCTCCTAGGCTCAAAAGTAATTTTCCTGCCTCAGCCTCCTGAGTTGCTGGGACTACAGAAATATACCACCACACACAGCTAATTTTTCTTTATTTTATTTTTATATATAGAGAGGCTCACTATATTGCCCAGGCTGGTCTCAAACTCCTGGTCTCAAGCAATTCTCCCACCTCAGCCTCCCAAAGTGCTGGGATTATAGGCATGAGCCCCTGCGCCCAGCCTCTTGCATTTTTTCTAGGTTTGGATATGTTTAGATACATAAATACTTGCCATTGTGTTACAGTTGCCACAGTGTTCAGTAGAGTAGCATGCTGTGCAGCTTTGTAACCTAGGAGCAATGGGCTGTACCGTATAGCCTGGGTGTGCAGCAGGCTGTCCCACCTTGGTTTGTGTAAGGACACTCTATGATGTTCACGAGGTGAAATCGTCTAACAACATGTTCCTCAGAACACATCCCCGTCATTAGGTGACGCATGTCTGTACTGCAGTATCTTTGGTATCTTCATTTTTAGTGCTGTGCACCTGCTGTGTGTCATTGTGCTGGACACTTAGGTCTGCCCACTTTTTGGGTCCTCACAAATCTCTGCAGCGATCATCACTGTGCAAATGACACAGAAGAGGAAGCCAAGGCTTGGGGGGTGGGGAGGAGGTGAAGGGGCTTCCCCAGGATGACCTAAGAAGAACTAGCTGTGGCTAACTGTGAATGACACCTGTATGCCCCCAAACCCATGCCCTTTCCTTACAGCATGCCGGTAAGACTATTTCAATATTTCCAGCAAGACAAGATAAAGGTCTAGACTTGGCCAGAGCCTTGAAAATGGGCAGGGGTGGGCAGTGAGGGTAGGGGATGGTGATGAACAAACCTAATGTCCTCCAAGGTGGGAGGAGTAATCCCCAGCCAGCCCATCTCCCAGGACTGATGTGAATGGCAAGCAAGACCAAGGACTTCCTGAACAGTGCTTCATGAGCTGAAACACATGGCTCACTTGGGAAGGGCTGCTTTTGCTACTTTCTCTGGCAATGGACAAACACCTCTGGAGGAGGGAAATAGCTAAAGCCACGCGTCAGTCATGACAATTTCATGCAAATTATTTCAACAGAGCCATTCATAAGAGTCAGTTTTCATAAAACGGGAGGGAACAGGGTCCATGAAGGCACTGACCACTTGGAAGTGGATGACGTAGAGCCGAGGAAAATAGGGCATTGCGGGAGTTCACAGGCAGGGGTTGGGCGAGTGGCCAGGGCCCTAGACTTGCAGCAGGGGAGCCAGCTCTGCATTTCCTGGGGGTGCAACCTCAGGCCCCTCTGGGAATTGCTTTCTTTTACTTTTTTTTATTATTTTATTTTATTTTATTTTATTTTTTTTTTTGAGATGGAGACTCGCTGTGTCGCCCAGGCTGGAGTGCAGTGGCACAACCTCAGCTCACTGCAACCTCTGCCTCCCAGGTTCACGCCATTCTCCTGCCTCAGCCTCCAGAGTAGCAGAGACTACAGGTGCCCGCCACCTTGCCTGGCTAATTTTTTTGTATTTTTAGTAGAGACTGGGTTTCACTGTGTTAGCCAGGATGGTCTTGATCTCCTGACCTCGTGATCTGCCTGCCTCAGCCTCCCAAAGTGCTGGGATTACAGGCGTGAGCCACTGCACCCGGCCGCTTTCTTTTCTTTTAAAGCACTTTATTATGGAGAATTTAAAATGTAAACTTAGAGTAGATAGAATAATATAATGAAGCCCCTATGTGCCCATCACTCAGCGTCTATAACGATCAACTCAAGCCCCAACTTATTTCCTCCATTCCCTCACCCACTCCTCCCCATATTATTTTGAAGTCAATTCCAGACACCCTGTCACTTCATCTACAAATATTTCAGTCTGTATCTCTAAAAGGTAAGGATTCATTTAAAAAAAAAAAAAAAACCATAACTACAGGGCCCTTATCACATCTAAGAGCATTGACAATGAATCCTTAATAACAAATATTCACTCGGTCACTTGAGCCCAGGAGTTTGAGACCAGCCTGGACAACATGGCAAAACTATGTCTCTACAAAAAATATGAAAATTAGTCGGATATGGTGGCGAGCACCTGTAGTCCCAGCTATTTGGGAGACTGAGGTAAGAGGATCACCTGAGCCCGGGGAGCTCGAGGCTGCCGTGAGCCATGATCAGACCACTGCACTCCAGCCTGGGCGACAGAATGAGACCCTGTCTCAAAAAAAGAGAAAATATATATATAAAAATATATATATTTATGTTTTTACTCATTCACTCAGAGTTCAATTTCCACTTGCCTCATAACTGGAGCATTTTAAAAATATAATTTGTTCGAATCAGGATCTGAATCAGGTTCCCACATTGATTAGTTAACATTTCATTTAAGCTTATCTATAAATTCTCCATCTCTCTCTTTTTTTTGTCTTCCTTATAATTTATGTGTTGAAAAAAAACTGGATTGTTTTTCCTATAGAGTATCCCACAGTGTGGATTTTGCTGATAAGGCCAATGTGTTTATTGTAAACACATTGTTTATGATAAAATGGGGGTAATAATTGTCTCCAAGAATTAAATAAGATAATGTCTATGAATGAACGACGATAATTGGAAGGCATCCCACAAAGGTTGTGTGTTAATGCTTCGTTAGAGGCTTTCAAACTCCTAGTGCTCCTGTTGTTCTGGTGATATAACTGAGGTTCAGAGAAGCTTAGTAACCTGCCCACCCTCACAGCTAGCTCTTGGTAGGGAGGAGACAGCAGAATCCCACCGCACCTTCCAATTGCTCTAGGGCTTTGGGATTCTGCTGTTTGAGCCTCAGTTGCTCCATTTGCAACAACAGGCCAAGAGACCAGACCTGGGGCTTAAATGAGCTAACATGATACCTGGTACCTGGCATAGTGCCTCACCCTATTCCTCTTGCTGTCTGCCCTCTCTCATCCCTACTGGTTATCTGGTGGTGATAAACCTAGATCCTCGTGCTCTGAGCCCACCCTCAGGCCGGCAGAGGCAGGGTGGGCGGCCCTGGAAGCTGAGCACACTCTGTTCTCAGGGAAGCTTGGGCTGGGTGGCTGTGACCTCTTGGGCTGCAGGAAACAATCAGCTATTCTTCCTCCTTCCCTCTTGATTCTGTTGCTCATATCTTGGGTGAGGGGGCCCAGAGGGAAGTGCTCCAACTTCCAGCAGTGCCCAGCCTATCTGTGCCCAAATACATGGTTTCCAGGCTCTGCCCTTGGCTCTAACAAGCCTAAGTCATAGTTCATACTAGAGCTGACCCTGATAGTTTGATTTCTACCCAAGCTCAGTATCACTTGTTCAATCAATAGGCAGTGTGCTGGGCCCTGCAAATAAGAATAACAGTAATAACAATACAACAACAGCAGTAATAATTGCCCACATTTGTACAGCACCTACTCTATGCCTGCCATAGTTCTAAGCACTATGCATATGAGGCCAGTACTAGTATTGCCCCCATTTTACAAGTGAGGAAACTGAGCACTGAGTTTGAATTGTTCACCCAAGGTCACATAGCTAGTCACTGACAGAGCTAGGATTTGAATAAAGGTTTGCCTGGTAAAACGTAGGTGCTGCAAAGAGAAGAATAGAAATCCAGCTACAGATGGGCATGTATGCCATGCTTCATGCCTCCAAATACCAACCTTATTGTCCTCATTTGCCTTCAAGGAAATCGAGGCTCAGAGAGGTAGAGCAAAGAGTCTGCTTGACTTCAAGACCATGCTCTTTCTACTCCTCCAAGCTGAAAATAAAATCACATCACTAGAACTCAAGAGAGAAGGGGAGAAGGGTAGGAGGGAGACGGCGGGCTGACAGCACTCAGAAGATGGGGCATTGCCTTCTGAAGCTTCCTGAGTGAACAGCCACTCATGCTTGGCTTTGAATCTTGGTAAACCAACCCCTCACATCATAGCAGGTGTCTAACTGGCCCACTCCTGTGAGGACCTCCCAGTGGCAGGTCTGGCCCCTTCACCCCATTTTATAGCTGTGCAGACTGAGGCTCCAAGGAGTCAAACTGTCTGAGGTCCCACAGTGAGGCCCCGGGCACCAGGGCTCTGTCCCTGAACTGCCTAGCAGTGAGGGGCAATCTTGGTGGGGCTTGGAGGTGGCAGCTGAGAAAGAATGACCCCCCCCCTCCCACAACCACCGCCACCACCACAGACCAGTGTCATCACACAGTCACAAGACTCTGGTTATCAGCTATCTCCCGGATAGACTGTACATGCTCTAGGGAGAGGGGTCGGGGCTGTTGTGGGGACCCCTCGGCTCCCAGTTCCAAGCACAGAGCCAGGCACAGAAACTTCATTGGAAGGAGGGAGGGATGGGTAGGATGGTGTACCAAAGCCATAGGCCTCGGGCTCCAACCCACTCCCAGGGCCAACAGCACCCTGCCTATCACATATTAAGAAGAAATTTCTTTCTTTTTTTTTTCTTGAGACAGGTTCTCACTCTGTCACCCAGACTGGAGTGCAGTGACGCAATCTGGGCTCACCACAACCTCTGACTCCGGGGTTCAAGTGATTCTCCTGCCTCAGTCTCCCAAGTAGCTGGGATCCTGACCCAGGCACCCACCACCAAGCCCAGCTAATTTTTGTATTTTTAGTAGAGATGAGGTTTCACCATGTTGGCCAGGCTGGTCTCAAACTCCTGACCTCAAATGATCCACCCACCTCGGCCACCCAAAATGATGGGATTACAGGCATGAGCCACCACGCCTGGCCAAGAAGAAGAAATTTCTAGAAGAAATATTTGTAGGACATGTAGAGCTTTCCCTCGAAGGAGGGAATTTTGTGACTGTTACACCCATACCTGGGGGCTGTCCCATTGCAAGGGGCAGAACAATCTCGTGTGCCCCCAGGGCGTACGAGCACTGGAGATGGGCAACACTGGAAAGACAGATTTCAGCTGAAATTAGTAAGTACTTCCAAATAGGCAGGGTGGCCTACTGGCCATCGGGACACACCCAGCTGGCTGGGACAGGACTTATGCCAAGTGGGGGCTGGAAAAGGGATTTCTACACCAAGGAGGGCCCCAAGGCTGGCCCAGCTCTATGACCCTGTGATGTCAGGAGTCGGCCTGTGATGATTCTGGGTCACATTCTCCCATCCCAAGGTTCTATTCTGTTCCAACGCCATCATCAGAGCCCCTGTGAGCTACGTGTTGACTGTGGCAGGTGCCGTGCTGAGCATTCTACCTCATGCAGTCCTCACAACATTCCACGTAGGGGATATTCTGACCCCATTTGACAGATGGGGAAACTGAGACTCACAGAGGTCAAGTGGCTTGTCCAGAGTCAGCGCTAGGAAATGTCAACACCTGGACTTGAAAACAGACTTCAGACTTAAAAGCCATCTCGTCTCGTCTCGGCTGCTCTGATTCTGGTATCCTGTGGTACCAAGATTTTCTCTGTGGCCTAAAGCCAGAGTTCCCCTGGGGGTGAACCACAGGCCCCTCTCACCACTGCCTGGCCCCTCCCAACCACAGCCCCCATCCCAGCCTCACCGCAGCGGCTCCGTGGTTTCCTGGACACTCTCAACCAACAGCAGCTTTTACCATAATGGTTCCCACAAGGGGCTGTTGGTCAATTTTCCCTGCTTGGTTCTCAATTTCTTTGATGGGGGAAGATGGCTGGGGCCCAGGGTGCGGCCATGGGCTGCCCTCCCCAAATGACCATATTTATCTCATACTCTGGACACGGCACATCATTTCAGCTTAATTTTATTTCCTCTTATAAATGGGCACAGCACAGGAAGTGTTAAAAAAACAAACAAACAAAAAAAAAAAAAAAAAAAAAAAAACAAAAACAAAACCAGTTCCTTCACAAGGCTGGAACAGGAGAGTACCCGCAGTGGGGCAGGCGCCTTGGTCTCTTTTTTCCACTGTCTTTTTCTTTTGTTTTTCTTATTTAAGGTTTTGGCCATGAACTCAGGACAGGTATGGTTAATAAACAGGTTACAGGGGAGAGAAGGGGCAGGGAAGGCCTGGGGGAGGGAATGGCAGACCCCCACCCACCCCAGGCAGGTTCTGTACAGGAGAAAGGACTCACAGGAGGGAGGGACACTGTCTTCAGGGGGCTCTCTGGAGCCACGCTGCCTACGAAAAATATTTACATGCATTTGCCACGCTGAGGCCAGGGTCACTGTGGTGCCAGGCAGGCACCTGGGGGATGCTGGGGCCATCGGCTCTCAGATGGCAACTCCCAGGGCCCAGTCTCGATGCCTCTGTAAATCTGTACAGTTTGCGGGCTTCTATTTACAGGCAAGAGGCCTGGGGAGGCAAGTCCAGGGTTGTAGTTGTTGGGAGAAGAAATCCAGAGAACACAGGAGGCAGCCACTCCTACCCCATGAGGCAGAGGGTCTGCTCCCTGTGTCCAGGGGCCCCCACCAGGAGGCCTGACAGGCGGCTTTGCCAACCCCAGGGGGGTTTGGCCCACACACCCTAAGCCCTGCCCAGCCCTGGTTGCCACCCACATGCCTCCAGCGATCAAGGGGACCAGTCTTTCAGGCAAGGCCCCCATCTGGCCTCCTGGCCTCCTGGAGACAGGGTCTGGGCTCTCCAGGTCCTGGCCTGCCTCGTGCTCTGGCAGCCAAGGCCCCAGAGGCTCTCAAGCCACAGAAGCTCCCTCTCATTTGGAACTCCCTGTGCTTCCAGCAAATGCCAAAGCCCCTCAGAACACTCCATCACAGGCAGGGGTAGGGGGACATGAGGGCCCTGCACCCACATTGCACCTGGGAGAGCCTAGCTGGTCCTCACTGAACTCTCTTGGACTGCCTTGCCCCGGTCAGGCCGGCCAGGGCAGATTTGGGCTGGTCAGACTCCTCATCCTCAGGAGGATAAAGCCTGGACATCTGCCTTGGGTCCAGGGATCCATGAACAAGGCCCCTGGCCTCTTCTCTCAAATGCTAAGGACACAGAGAAGAGAAGCCAGTGCCTGGAGCCCAAGCCCCAAATCAGAAGCCAACCCCTGGGATGTGAGGAGCCAGGCCTGCCGGGGCCACCCCCACCATTGGCTCCAGCCCTACTGAGAAACTGCACCCACTGTTGGGTCTCCCACCTGGGGTCCAGCATCTTCTGGGGCTGGGGGCCCAAGCCCTTTTCTCCTCTATCCTCCCTGGTTTCTCAGCCTCGGCCTGCCCAGGCCGTCTCACCAGAGCTGTGCTCTCCAAGACAGCAGCACCCCAGGGAGCAGGGTAGGGAGGCTGAGCCTTGTGGTCTGTGGCCCCAGGACCCAGCCCTTCTGCTCCAAAGATGACTGAGGCCAACCCGCCCCCTCCAGATATCAGGGGCCCCCCATGCCCACTCTTCTAAGGCTGGGTCCACCTGGCTTCCTCACAAGCCTCTGGGCCCTGTGAAGGAGGGTTTTGGGACTGGAAGATGGAGCCCAGCCTGGAAAAGACAGGCTGTGGGACAGCCCCTGGAACCTCCCCCTCACTGCCTACACACCGCTACCCCTCATCCTGCAGAAATCTGCTGCCAGGGCATCTTGAAAAGGGCCCTGAAATAAAACCTGCCTTCCTGACTTGAATCTGGGATGTGGGTGAGGGGTGGGGGTGTGAGTGCCAGCCAATCGCAACTCACACCACATCCCTTTGGCTCCAAGAGGCCCCCTGCCAAGCACACCCTCCCCAAAAGATCTGTGACCCCACATTTAAAATACCGATGGAAATAGCCCTACTTGCTAGGTAACAAAGGAAGTAACCCCTCCCCCACTATCACCTGGTCTCATCCCTCAAACCCTGACCTCGGGGCCTGAGGGATCTGCAGGGGCTGCTTCCAGCCATGGCCCCTGAAGCTGCAGCCAGAATTGTTTGGCCAAATAGGTGAGGGGGTGTCCACAGGGAGGGCCTCTGGGCAGGTGGGCTGAGGTTGGCCTGCCAGGCAGAGGGCAGAGGGTGCGGAGGGCCCGCCCTCACAGGCACTTTGGAGACTTGTGTCCTGGGAGGCAGAGTCAGCCCCCTAGCTCAAAGCAGGAAGGGGACACAGGGAGATAAAGGAGCCCAACCACATGCCCCCTCCCTGCCCTGGGCCTTCCGTCCTGGGAGACCCAAGACCCCCCAACAACCTGGGGCCAAATTTCCTTCCTCAGCCTTAGAGGAGCCCCCAGGCTCCCAGCTAGTGGGGGTCTGGCCCCAAACCTCCCCCTCTGCCAGCTGCGGTGGGGAGGAAGCAGGTAGGGGTGAAGCCAGGCCCACCTGCATGCAATGCCCTAAAAGGGCTGTGGCCCCACACTTTTTCCGAGAAAGGCAAGGGCCTGCCTGTTTCCCTCCAGCATTGAGAGCAGGTCATGTGGAGTGAGACTGTGCATCCACATGGGATTGTGTCTGACACTGGCTGGGGTTGGCGGCTGCATGGTTGGTGTGGGCACCATGGCATGGGACTGAGTATGACGGGGCAACTTAGGGGGACCCAATATGGGCTGATTGTTCTGGCTCGATTCCACCCTCCCCAGTAAGCCTGAAAGCTGGAGACAATGTGTGTGGTGCCAGAGTGTGGGTGTATTTGGGGTAGGAGGAGGCCACACTGTCACTGTCATGTGACCATGACTAGTGACTTGCATTGCAGTACGTGTCTGGGGGTGTGTAAGTGATGCATGAGGATAAACATTCTTGGAAGGACGCGTGTGTTCTGTGATATGTCTTGATTGGCTGGGCGGTCAGGATTGCGTATGGTTTTGTCATTGCATGCTTTTGTCTTGTGTGTGACTGAGTGAAAATATGGTGATAGTGTGGGCAATGGTGTCTGTGCAGAGTCCCCTCATAGGAGGGACATCAGAGCAGCCCCTCCTCACCAGTGGCTGCCCCAGCACCCTCAGGAAGCTGTTTCTTGGGGGAAGATGCAGAAAGAAATGAAGTCTGGGTACATGTGTACTTGGCAGGCAAGAGGAGAGATTCAACAACCCCAGAGAGACCAGGACAAAACAGGCTGGTGACAAGGGACACCCTCTCACCCAGCTAGAGAGAGGCCCTGGGATACGAGCAAGAGGTTGCAGTGTCTAGATGATTTCAAGGGCTGTGTTTACCAAATGTTTGTCCTGGAAACCAGCCTGAGTGCCTCTCTGCCCCAAAAAGGAGATCTCAGTGAGCACTGTGGGTGCCAAGTCAGGGCTCAGGCTCATCTCAAGCCCCACCCTTTCTTCCACCACCAGCCAATCAGGAGCTTTCTTCCTCCCATCCATCTGACATGAGGTCCTGAAGCCCCAGACTGGTGGCAGGGATGAGGGGAACAAGAGATGAGCTCGTAAGGGCACAGTCTGGGGCAGATGGCAGCAGCCCCTCTTCCTCGGGGAAGATCTGTGTGAGGCTGGCAGCCTGGGCAGACCTTGGGAGAGAGGGCAGAGAAGAACTGGGGCCAGGTTCCAGGCCCAGTCCCAGGCTTGGGCTGGTGGGGCCAGGCTGGGGACTGGACAGCAGGGTGGTGTTGAGGCTGCAGGGAGGCACTGTGGCTCCACTAGGCATAGAACTCCTCCTGCTTGTCAGGCTTCTGGTATGTGACGCTCGCCTGCTTGGGTTCCTCCAGCGTGTAGCTGCCCTCATCCTTTTTCTTCATACGATAGATGAGCAGTGTGACCAAGAAGGCAGCAAAGAGGGCGCCCACCACCCCGCCCACAATCACAGCTGTGGAAGAAGAGGGCACAGGTCAAGGCCCAGAGGCAGGGTAGAACCAGGGCAAAGGGTCCTCAGGGGTGGGGGCCAGGGTGAGGAGAGGGCTGGGAGTCCCAGATCTGAGTTGGAGTGATGATGGAGTCAATACTACTACTACCAGCACTGGGTACCATCATAGGCCTTCACTGGCTGCATTCTAATCGCCCAACACACTAACTCACTGAACCCTCACACCAGCCCTATGAGGGAGGGGTCATCTGAGGGCTTCATCAAATTTAAAATGCCACCACTCATAAGATGCCCCAGTATTTTATAACTGCTAGGAAAGAAAAAGCTCTGCTAACTAAATATGACATACCCCAACTACAGAAGACTTAACATGTGAACAGATGTGCCTCTTAGAATTGATTAAGGGCAAAATGACTATCCCCATTCTACCGATGAAGAGAAGGAAGACTGGAGAGGTGAAGTACCTTGCCTTGAGTGCAAAGCCAGGATTTGAACCAGGAGTCCACAGACTCCCTAGATGCGGCCAGGGCAGGTCCACAGGGACTGGGGTCAAAAACTGGGGAAGGTCAAGCTGAAGGATGGGTCAGAGATTAGCATCTAGGAAGTAAGGTCCCAGGGGGTCAGCCAGTGTGGCCCAGGAAAGCAGGGATCAAAGTCAGAGTCCACAGAGGGGTCAGAGGACACTGAGGGAAGACCTAGAGATGGACATGAAGTCAGGGTTGGATATTGGGAAGGAGGAAAGTTGGGAGGAGCCAGAAGGCAGGTCCTGGGGGGTTGAGTTCTCAAGTTTCCTTCCTATCTGGCTCCTAGGAAACCACGCCCTGATCTCCTTTCTGGGTTCCTAGAGGCAAACTGAGGCCCAGCCAGCTGTCTCACTCTGGTATCCTCCCAGGCTCCCCTTGGCCCAGACCCCAAGCCTCACCTACGAGCACCTCCTTCCGCTCCAGGATACTCTTCTGAGGCAGCTGAGCAGCTGAGCTGCCCGAGTCGATGGCATTGTCCAGGAGGCCAGGGCCCGGGCGGGCACCCTTGGGCAGTGTCCCAGGTGGAGATGATGCCTTGGCCGCAGCCCCTCCCACAGCTACCACCTCATTGGCTGTGTCTGGTTGTGTGGTCTCTTCTTCTGGCAGCTCGAAGTCTCCACTGGGCCCCCCACTCACCGGAACCTCTGGCTCATCCCGGATTGTGGTCAGGAAGGTCTCTGGAGTTGGGGTCTGCAGAGAGGGTGGCATGAGCCCAGGACAACCACACATGCATGCATAACCCCCCACCACCATCCTACTGCCCTGGGGGGCTAACACTTAGCACTCCCTACATGCCAGGCACTGTGCTACACACTATCCCCATGAAGGAGTGTAACAATGCCCCCAGTTTACAGAGCAGGAAGTCAGCTCAGAGCATAAATGACCTGCCCAAGGACACACAGCTAGTAAGTGGGGGACAGAACTAAAATTCAGATCTATCTGTCTCCACAGTCTGTGTTTCTAACCACTAACACACTGCCTCTGTTCTTGCTCTGGACATCCTGTCCCCCTCATGTCCCCTCCAGCTGCCTTAGTAACAATCCTTGGGGGATTCCTGCCGAGAAGCTGTTTGGGAACTGCTGGGTGCAGATGCTATGGATGTGGGCCTGGTCCCAGTCCATGCCTAAGGCAGGGGAGCATTCTGTAGCCTGGAGGCCAGTCCAAGAGCACAACCTGCAGACTATGATGGCCTCAGGGGCAGGTGTCCCGGAAACCAGCTCAGTGACTGACAATCTCTAGGGCTCCCACCACTCGGAGGCAGGATCAGAGCTGGGAATGATGAGACCAAAGTGGGGGCTGTGGGAGCCATCAGAGCAGGGATGTCGCTACTTCAAAGGTGGGCATGGAAAGGCAGGCCTGATGTCCAGGCTGAAAAGAGGCTGCAGCAGTGCCCCAGCGTACACAGCGTGCACAATGGCTCCTCCAGCAACCTGGGCCCTGTGCACCTTCTCCTGGGCTCCGTGCCCCATCACTGTTTCCCCTTCCTGCTTGGCCAAGTCTGTGTGAAAACACCAGGCTGCCCCAGCTGCTTGAGGAGGCAAGGGAAGGGCCTGCATCCTGCTAGAGCTGGCTGGGGAGTCAGAGGGACTGACACTGACCCCAAGGCAGCGCCACGGCCCAAGGGCCTTCCACAGTGAGGCCAGCTGCAGAGGGCTCTGGCACCCAGTCCATGTTCCCACCTCTCCATCTTACTTAGTGCACCCAGCTGGGACCAGACCACCTCTCTCATGTCCTTGGGATTCATCCATCCCTGGCACTCCTGACATCTTCATCCTCTTCCCATCAATTCCCCTGCCCCATCCAGAATATCCCAAATGCACACACATGCAGCCCTGGCCCTGCGAGACTGCCCGGCTCTGGCACCAACTGCCTGGGTTCAAATCCTGACTGTCATCGCTGGCTGCGGAGCCTTGGGAAGTGGCTTCACCTCCCTGTGCACCCACAGTTGCTCGTCTGTAAAATGAGATGACCACAGTGCTGCCCGTGGGGTGGGCATGAGGGCTGGGGCTAACACAGGTAAAGTGCTGAGCACTGACCCACACCCAGGCAGCCCTCCACAAGGCGAGTGATGCCTTCTCATACACCAGCTCTTAACCACCCTCAGACCCATGATAATAACAACCGTGATGACGACAGCAGCTGAGAACCCACTGGCTGTACCATCACCAGGCGCTGTTCTAAGCACTGTGGATGTCAGGAGACTTCACGCTCACAATGAAATGATACACATTCTATTGTTTTCTCCTTTCCGTAGATGAGGAAGCGGAGGTATAGAAATGATCAGGGACTGGCCTGAGGTCCCGTGACTAGGAAGTGGCAGTGGAAAGATTCTAATCCAGCTGCCAGACCACTGAATTAATTCTCTCAACCGAAACACTCAGCCCGGCCCCCCTTGTCACCAATGCACACGTTCACCCAATTCCTTCCCCACCAATGTCCCATCCCATTAGGATCCAACCACCCCAGCCCTCGTTTTCTGTCCCTCTTCCCTCCCTATCCGATCTCTGTCCCTTGGTCCTGCCCCTCGCCCCCACTTTGTCTGGCTCATCTCTATAGCCTCCTGGTCCTCAGTCCTGTCCAGCCCCATCCTCCTCATCCCTCCCCTGACCCACCCTCCTCCGCCCTCCTCCCTGTCCCTTCTCAACACCCTCACCTGAGCCACCTCTGTGGGTCCAGGGGCAGTGGTCCCCAGGGGCAGGGTGCTCCTCTCAGGGATGTCAGGCTCCTGGGTGGTGGCCGGCCTGGGAAGGGCTCTTGGCCGGGAGGTAGCTGTGCTGACCAGCCTGGGTGTTGGGGCCTCGGTGTCCAAGACAGCCGCCGTGGTGGGCGGGGAGGGCGCCTCGGGGGTAGTGGCCCGTGCCGTAGCCACTGTGGTCAGTGGGAGAGGCAGAAGCCTCCGTACGCCAGTGGTCCTTATAACAGCAGTGGTGGCCGTAAAAGGGGGTGCTGCAGGGGTGCTGGGGGTGGCGGTGGCCACTGTGGCAGGCACTGTGGCCACAGTCGGGTCCCCTGTGCTTGTGGCAGCAGTGGTAGCCATGGTAGTGGAGACGGTGGTGGCTCTCTGGCTGGGCTCTTCCGGGACTTCTGTCACCACCAGGGGGCTGGTGGCTGGCTCCAGGGTGGGGCGCTCAGAGGGGAGCTCTTCAAATGGTGTGCCCACAGGCTGGATGTTCGTGGTGGGCAGCACCGCAGGTGTGGTGGACACCGCCAGGGCTACATCTGGGCTGAAGCGCATGGCTGTCTCAATGCCCGACTCCTGCTCGAAGTCTGAGGGGGTGGGGGAGAGGGAGAGAGCTAGGGAGCTGGGTGGTTGTGAGGGGCATGAGGATCCCAGGTAAGCAATGGCCATCAAGATTAGGTCTCCCAACCCCCTCTCTTTACCCAATTTTCCCAGAAAAGATGAGAGAAAGGAGGAAGGCACAGCCCAGCTAAAGGTGGTCAGTTGCTGATGTTCCCCAACTTCTCTCTGCCAAGTCAAAAATTCTGGGGGCCGCCTCTCCCGGGAAGCCTTCCTTGACTATTCCTGCCCACCCAGCCTACAGTTTCTATGAGGTTGAATCCAGGCAGCAGCAACTGAGGCGCTACTGGCTGCAAAACTTGCTGGGGCTTGCAGGGGAACACAGGAGTGGCATTCTGGGAAGAGTCAGACCCCAAAGGCACCCCTACCACAAGCTCAAGGCAGGGGTGGTACACTAAGGGCTTCCCCCAGAGGCAGAGGCGGAGGGTAAAAGGGAAAAGAAGCCCTTGAGGCAGGGGAACTGCTTGAGCAATCTGGCTGACGCAAAGCCGGGACAGTGAAGGAACTTGGGAGGAAATGAGATGGGGAGTAGGGGATGGGGGAGGGAGAAGCCACAGCCAGCTCCTGGGCTCGGAACCAGGCAGGAGGGAGGGGAGCCAGGGAACTTTGCGAATAGAGATGTGACCCAATATAAACGGGTTTTACAAAGATTAATTTGAAAGAGGCTCAAAGGACTTGGCTAAGGAGGGGAGACCAGAGGCGAGGGCTGTGGGGAGCCAGCTCTGTGGCGTGCAGACCCCGTACCATCTCCTCAGATGCCAGCCCGTGCCCTCACTGGGCCCAGTCTCAGCTGCCTTCTTTTTGCTACCATTTTGAGAGCTCCTCCTCTGTGCCAGACCCCAGCTTCCTATCCCAAACCCTCCTAGAGGCACTGAGAAGAAGTCGTATTTCTCACCATCCACAGGTGAAAATACAGGGATTCAGGGAGGGGGAGCACCGAGGGGCACACAGTTGCTACATGGCAGAGTGGGGTTCGCGGTGCCCTTCTCTCCCGAGATTCTGCTAGACCCAGCTGACCTGGCTCCCCTTCCCCAGGGCGGGGCCATCCCAGGCACCACTTGAAGCACCTGCCCTGTGTCATCACTGCCCTAACCCCACCATTGGCCACAGCTTATTGCACCTGACGGGACCACCGGAACCAAGCAAGGTCTGCAGAGAAAGCCACATAGCACACACAAAGATGCAGACGTGGGACCCTGGAGACCTGGACATTCTGGGCCCTGAGGTCCTCCCAGGTCTTGTTCTATCCCCAGAAGGATGTTCTGCCCTTCTTGTTCTGGGGATCCAGAGCAAGAAGAACTTGCCTGACCCAGGCAGTGAATGCCCCCTGCCTCACTGAAGCAAGCCCCCCGTGGGCTTCTCAGAGTTGAGGCTGGATACAGACTGGTCACTGCCCCCAGGCAGAGGTAGGGAGGGGGGTACTTACAGCCCGAGCCCGACCCCGAGTAGAGGTCATCCAGTTCATCATCGGGAAAGGAGTCATCATCCCCAGAGCCCTCCAGGTCCACGGGTCTCTCGAAGTTCTCACTGCGCCAGCGCTGGGCCTAGGGAAGGTAGAGGTGGACACAGGGCTCGGCACCCGAGACTGGCAGCCTGGGTGAGCCCAGAAGGGCGACAGGTGCCCTTGTGGGCTGAGTGACATCCACGTGGGTGACAGAGATCTTGTGTGTACCCTGAAGGAAAGTGCGTGTGTGAATAATTCACAGGGCAGGGGTGGGGTGTGGCAAGTCACCTGGGGTCCCATCCCAGAAGGCTTTCAGTGTCTGGCTGATGACTTTCTCTTAGAAACTGGTCATTTTTCATCTTGACTGCACATCTGAATATTGTGAAAACTAAATTCAGTGGTTCAGTAGGTCTGGGGTGGTCTCTGAGCAGCCGCAATGTTGGGCTGGCTGTGGGGAGCCCTGGGGCATGTGTGAGCAGGCGAGGGCTGGAATGGCCCTGCATTTGGGGCCCAGCCTCTCACCCCCTGCCACTGATGGGCCCCCTTCTGGAGTTGATACAGAGCCAGAGTGAGGATCTCAATCCTGTCTTCATATCCCCAGCCTCAACCACCTGCTCCAGAGCCCTGCCCAGCCCAGCCAGGGCAGGGAGCCAGGAGGTGCCCCCTCACAAAATGCACACACACACATAGTCTCAAAGTAATGAATTAATCAGTATTTACTTTCTACCAGTGAGTCATGGAGTGGAACAATTAGTGTAATTTCTCCCGTGACGAATTGCTGGGTCTTCCTCCTTTTTTAAACATTCTAGGAGCTCAGAGCAGTAGGGCCCAACTTTTCCCCAGCTCCCCTCTGCCCAGAAAGAAAAATACCCACGGTGGAGGAGCTAGAACTCCCCATGGCACTCCCCTCCACAACCTGAACCAGCCAACCTGGAGTCCCTGCTCCCTCCAGCTCTCTGGCAAGCAGCCTGAAGTCACACAGAAGAATGGGGACTGAGCAGGGACCCAGGCTCCGGCTCCTGCCCCTGCCCAGGGCTGTCTTCACTGTCTTTCTATCCTTCCCAGTAGGCTGGGCAGTGGCTGGGAGGCCTTTAGCTGGGAGGAGGGATACTAAGAGGTCTGTGGTCCCTGGAAGCCCCCAACTGAAGTAAATGTGGGTGCCAAAACAAGGGAGTCCCCAAGATTCCTCAGTGACCAGTGCCACTTAGCCCCTAACTTCCTGCTCCAAGAAAAGCCTGTACAAACCCAAAGACCTACCCCCATGCCACATAGACCCTTGAAATGACACACCCCAGAGACACAGCACATGCACAGACACACACTGAAACATGCTCACCTAAAAGCAGCCACAGAGGGCTCAGCGTGTCAGCATGCCTGGGGGTAAAAACAGCCACTCACATGGGGCAGGAGGAGCTGGGCCTGCTGTGCAGCTCTGAGCTCAGAGACAAGCATCGAGCCTCCTGGAAACCCATCAGCCTCCACTCAGGTAGCGCTCACCTACATACTATTCATCCCCAGCTCAGTAGCCATCGACATGACAACCGTTACCATGACGACCATCTTCTCCATGCTAACGACCAGGAGCTGCAGCTCCCCACAGAGATGGGGTGGTACAGGAGAGGGAGAGATCACGGGGGAACTGAGAGGATGACAGGGAAGGGGGAGGCAGAGACAGAGACGGTGACAGAGAGTCGAGGACTGAGGGAGGCCAGGGGGCAGAGGGGCAGAGACGGGGAGGGTGGGCTGGGGGTACGAGAGAAGGAGAGAAGGCAAGGGTGGGAGGCAGAGGGGAGAACTCACACATCCTAATTTAGCCTCATGCTGATGAGGCAAGGCTGGGGAAGGGGCCACCTCAGTAATTTTCCAAACCTGCTTCCAAGAGTACATTCTTTCCGAACAGCAAGCATCCCCAATGGCAGGGTGTGCAGGGGGAGGAACGGCCCAGTCACCCCTGAGCCCACCTGGGATGCTCAGCGGGAACTTAATGCGAGGACACCTGGGACCTGCAGGCATGGGCGCTGGGACTCATGAGGCCCTCTCAGGAACACTACAGAGGGGGTGCTGGTAGCTGCAACTCCCAGAGGGGACAGAGAAATAGGGGTTGGGGAACGGAGCCTGGGAGGCAGCAGGGAAAGCCTTAGAAGTCACAGAATGCCTGAGGAGGAGGGTGACAAGCAGGCTTTGACCCCCAAACGACCTCCGCATTTGCATAATCCATCATAATAAGCATAATTATCCATGCCATTCCCTTAAAGGAGAACTGAATCCAAAAGCCCCAGGACGCTGCCAGCTTCTCCTTGACCCTCACTGTGCCCCCTCCAGGTAAACACAACCCCCCCATGCCTGATAGGAGGCTTCCATACCCCCAAGACACGCGCGCACGCATGCACACACACACACACACACACACACACGACAGCCCAACATCCTCATGCATATATATTCTTCTGCATGTACTATGCACCCCAATGGATACACACACACACTATTAAGTGCAATGTTTGCCCACACCAATCTGTATACTCACCACAGCCTATAGGCAATACAGCCCAGCCCACACCAGCACACACTCACCCATCTACTTCACCCCTAGCTGCCTGTACACATGCCCTAGGGTACTCACAGACACACACACACACTCCTCTCCTCACCACACACCCCACGGATGCCCCCGAGAAACCTCAGCACATTCTCCTGACCCCACGCACCACACTCACCTCACCAAGGCCCACAACACGGACCCACCGCCATGGCCACGTATGTTCCCTAAACACACATCGCTCCTAGACATCACCCTCGGCAGGTGCATCCTCTGACTCAGACATGAACCTCACAACTCGGATACAACCTTTCCTCTCGGCTGCACCCCCCACACACAGCGAGCGTGCCCGGTGGAAGCACTGAACCTTCTGCTTCCGGCCACCACTGATCTCGGGAGGGGACACCCAGCAGAGGCTCCGCAAGCGGCCCATGAAGGCCTGAGCATCAGGTCCCAGGGGAGCCGCTGAGCGTTCCCAGGGCACTCTAGAGACCTCTGCCTGCTGCTGCTGAGGGCCTGCCCCAGGCCAGGTGCTGGGAGCATGTTATTTATGCAGCCTCCTTTAAGCATCACAACTGCCCAGGGTTTTATCATCCCCATTCCACAGATGCAGGAACTGAGGCAGGGGTTAGAATCCAGGCATGAGGCCTCTGTCTCTGAAACCCTTGTCCTGGACATTCCTGAGCCACCCCCAGACCCATTGCTTGTCCAGGGCTAAATTCATACATCTGTGCCCCGCAGCTGCCCTCACCCCCTGCATGACATCAACTCGGCAATGCCCACAGCTGTCCATGCCCACCCAACATCCACACCCACGCGCCAGCACACGATGGTGATAAGACTATGCAGCTCATAGCATTGCAGGAGAAGGGGCTGAGCACGGGACCCAACACACCAGGCACTCCCAACACCCTGCCTCCACATGTGCGCAGCCTACTTGTCCCTCCCTGAACCTGCCCCAGCAGACATACATCCCGCCTCACATGCCATTAACAGGTCCACAATACCTGCATCTCAGTTCCCTCCACACACACATGCGCGCAAACACGCACTTTCCTTCCGGGTACACACAAGTGCACACACACATCGGGATGAAATGTGGCACCCTTCCTAGTGGACTGATGCCCCCTGCTTCCATTTTTCCTCACAGTCCCCTAGTCACCACACCTTCCTGAAGTAACCCACAGCCTCACTCCACAGAGGCACCTCAGGCTCCCAGCCCAGAAGGGACCAGGCCCAGCAGTGACCCACAGGCCCCCTCACTCCACATCCACTCCCACCGATCCTCTCCTAGAGTTTTAGAGCAGCAGCTGGGGAGGCTCCCCTGGGCCAGGGGCAAGGAGGTGCCACCTCCCAGGTTGCCCAGCCCCCTCCCTCCCAGGAGCACCCCATCAGGGCTGTGATGGGTGAGGGTCCAAATGAGCTGGATGTCAGCTAAGTCTCCTCACTTTCACGGCTACCTCTACCCACCCACTCATCACTCACTCTGAGTGCAGGGGACACGTTCAGGAAGGCCAGTGCATCCCTCCCACCCCATCCTCTCTCAGAGCCCACTCCAGAATTTGGGGTCTCTCGTGCCCAGCCCCACACCACCATGAGCCTTCCTAGAGAAACCGGTCAGCACAGAGGCAAAGCATAATGAACCAGCTCCTCTTTACTACCCGGTTGGCTGTCAGGCAAGCCATTTAATCTCAGCACCTCAGTTTTCTCATCTGTAAAATGGAGATGATGAGAAGACTACGCAGCTCATAGCATTGCTGTGGGAAGGGGCTAAGCACAGGACCCGACACCAAGTGAAAAATGAATAAATCAGTGTAGCCACGATTGCTGTTAGTTTATGTTAAAATTTCTATTATTATTTCGAAGCCTTTATCTCATGTAAGCCTCAACCTCCTCATGAGGGAAGCCAAATTGGGATGACTACACCCAGGCAGATGAGACGATTAATGCCCGGAGAGGTTAAGTGGCATTGCCAAGGCCACACAGCAGGGGAGAGTGCAGAGAGAGACAAAAAGAGAGAGGTTGGATGAAGGGGGAGAAAGGGCAAGTTACAGAAACAGACACAAGCACACAAATTAGGTCAGCAGGCTGGGGGCCAGGAGCCCGGCACCCCTGTGCAGCGCTAATCATGTTGCAAAAAGCCAAGAATAAAATCGAGTGTAATTAGTTCTGCCCGAGCTTCCTTCCCCTAATTAGCCAGACTCAGGCCTCACTTTCCTGGTGACCAGAGGCGACATGAGCAAGGGGTGGGGGCCCAGCTTTAGGTTCTGACAGTCTTGGATTCAAATTCAGCTCTGCTTACTTGCTGGGTGACTTTGGATGTGTTACTTAACCTCTCTGAGCCTGTTTGGTTAAATGAGGCCAACAATGATACTTCATAGGGCAGTTGTGAGAATCAAGTGAGATCATGCCTGCACACAGTCGGAGCCGTATAAGGCTTTGTCTATATTCCTACAGCCTGCACTTCCCACCTCAGGCTGCAACTTCAAGGCTACACTGGGCCTGAGGGATCACTGAGTTCAACTCTCCCCTTTTACCGATGTGGAAACTGAGGCACAGAGAGGGGAAAGCCTTGCTTATCACGAAAGGAGGGGGCGGGGTTAGTCTGCCACGAAGCATTCAGAGAGGTAAAGTGATTTGCCCAAAGACACACAGCGACGTAACTACTAGCTCCTCGAGGCAGGGAGGGAGGGTGTCTCAGCATGGCCCTCTGGATCCCTGCAGGCTCCGTCCCCAAAAAGCCCTCAGTCCTGTGAGAACTCAGTGCCCCTCACGCTCACCAGATCCACCCCGGAGACCCAGAGCATCACCGCAGGAATGTGGGCTGGGGCCAAGCTCCGGGCAGCAAGACAGCCAAGGGGGCTGCACAATTGGGAGCCGGGACCAGGAGGGGGATGTCTCAGTCCCCACCCCCACCCAGCCACAGCTGCCCTGGCCAGGAAGCCGGCAGTCCCACACCCACTTGTGGCTGGAGATGAGGGGCACGAGGACTGCACCTGCTGGGGAAGGGGCTATGGAGCCCAAGTCCCAGAGAGCAGAAGCCCGGGGAGGAGTGGAATGGGGAGGGCAGAGAAGGCCAAGCTGAAACACCACAGACCCCCCCCAAGAAAAATCCACCAAGCCCAGACACACACCCTCCCACTCGCCCCAACTCACACACTCAAGCCTCTCACAAACCAAACCTATCCCCACCCCCTACTCCCATCTACAAAGGCAGCTCAGAGGGCAGGAAATGTTCCCTTTGGGCCTGTCCCATCCCAGTCAACTCCTCTGCAAAGATATCATGGCAGCAGAGCCCTCCCTACCCCAAGCCTGTATCTCTCCTGTCACCTCCAGTCTGCCCTCTACCCAGCCCTGTGTTCCCACCATCCCCCCAGGATGCCCTTTTTCCCACTGTGGCACCTGCCTCCACCCACATCCCCACCCCAGCCCCAACAGGAGAGCAGGTAGCAGCCCTGGCTCAGGCGCCCACAGCCTCCAAGACCGTGGACAAATCCTCTTCCCCCTTCTCTGCCTTTCCTTTGCCCCATTTGCAAAATGGAAAACCAAGCATGGTGGTCTAAGGGCCTTTCTGATTCTGACACTCTGGACTCCCAAGAATTTGATCCTTAGGTCAAGGAGATCCAGGACAATGTAATTTACGAGAGGGAAAAAATGGAAATAACCCACATACTGAACGACAGGGGACGAGTTAAATAAATGAGGGTACAACCATAACATGGAATATTACGCAGCTATCAACAATTGAGTTCTCACAAATCTACACTGTCTAATGAGGTTATTAAAAGACATAAATGTGTCATAGAAGGCTTTTTTTTACTTGCTACAAGGAATATTGAAGGATGTAGGAAAATGCACATATTGATCATCAGAAGACAAGACAGTATAGCTGTTGATAGGAATATGCAGATGGCTCTCTCAATTCCGATGTGACTTTGGGCAGATATTTAACTCTCTCAGGCTGCTTTAACTGGTAAAACAAAGATAAGAATGCCCACCTCGTGGGGTTTACAGAAGGAGGCTGGGCATGTTCACCCATTAACAAATTGCTCAGTAAATGCTGGCTATTAATATGAGTATCATCATTATGTTTAAAAAATAGGTTACAAAAAATATGTAGAACTTGATCCTGTTTTAATGAACTCACTATCAAAGTGAATTTCCAAATGCTGCATTATAACTAAAGGTTCCCAGAGGCTCTCTCTGGGTGGTGGGATTACAGGCAGCTTTAATTTCTTCTCAGGACCTTTCTGTATTTTCCACAATTTCTCCGATAAACCCATAGCACTTTTGTTATTAGAGAGCGCACATCCTCCCTGAGTCTCCATCCCTGGTGTTCTCTGGTCTGTGAAACTTCCGGGTCCCCTGGTTCTGCTGAGACCCCATTGAGACTGTTCGTGAGGGACCTTACGAGGAAACTGAAAAGGGGGGTGGAAAGGAAATGAACACAAAAGCCTCTGAGGGAGCTGGCAGGGCCCACGGCCCAACCGAGTCTCACCACAGACAGGCTGGCTTGGCAGGACCTGGCTCCCTCCCCTGGCATCAGCCTGTCTGGCGGCCACCTTGGCCTGTGGTGCCCAGACACCCACCCGCCCGCCTTCTCCCATCAGCCCTGTTCCTGGCTCAGCCGGGCTGGCCAGTCTCTGTTGAGGTGCAGACTGGCTGCCCTACAGCAGCCCACTCTGTCCCCTGTGCCTAGACAGAAGCTGACAATGCAACCCTGGGAAAGCCAGGCCCCCTCCTCAACCCAGGGCTGGGACGCCTCCGTCACCGCCCCATCAATCCCAGCCACCTGCCCTCTCACGTCACTCTTGGCCACCCTGACTCACACTGCTCATTGATGCCTGTCCCCAAGCTCGTGCCTGAGAGCAGGACCACCCACTGAGGCCCCGTTTCCAGACCCAGCAGCACCCCCCACACCCCACTCCCAGCTGCCCACCCCCATACTCCTCCCACACAAAACTATTTACAGTTCTGGGAACACGGGCTCCTTCAGGCCTGTTCCTGCTTCCTGGAATACCTTTCCCCACCATCTCTGCCTGGCCAGCACCTACTCAGCTGGTTAATCAGTAAAACCAATGGTTATTAAGCTCCTACTGTGTGCCAAGCACCATCCTAGGCACTAGATATGTCCCCACAAAGCTGGCTCAGCTCACACAATGCCTCCTTTGTCAGCCTGCTTGAATGTCACATACGCACGCCAACCACCTCCCTGGTCCAAATTAGGAAGTCCTTTCTTGGGGACTCAGTACCTCCACTGTGTTGTCATTTACTAAGGGAGAAGGCCCACCAACCATGCTCCCATCACTCTAACAGGCCCTTCCACTGGATCTCAGTGAAACCACTCAGCTGCCCTGGGAAGCAGATAATATGGTCTCCATTTATAGATGAGGAGACTGAGCCTGTTAAGCCACCAGTGGGGTCACACAGGAGTTGAATTCTGGCCTTGTTGAGTCTAAATCCTGTGTTCAGTGAACTCCTGAACCCCTGAGAATGCCTGCAGGGAATGCCAGTTTGTGATTCAAGACTCCTTCCACTGAGCACTTTTCTGGAAAAGGCTGGGCCATTCCATCCCTTATGAAAATGATCACAGCCCCGACGGAGGGAGCCCTCACTAAGTGCCAGGTTCCTTATATGCACATTGCCTCATTTCTCTTCTCACTTGACCAGAAAGGGATTGCCATTCCCATTTCACAGATGGGCAAACTAAAATTCAGAGAGGTGAAGCAACTGGCTCAAAGTCACACAGCAATGGGCCAGGATTTGAACCCAAGATTAGCTGAACCCCAAAGACCATGCCCTTTGGATTGCAGAGCACACCTGCTCCTAGCCCTAATCAGTTTCCCCTACCAGAAGGCTCTCAAAAGCAGGGCAAATGTCAGAGACCAGCACCACCTCACACTCAGCTCCCTGCACAGAGACAGCCTGAAAGCCTGGGAGTGAGTAGAAATGGAGGACAAGGCGCACTCACACGACAGGTGGCCCAGCTCAGGTAGGCACCCCCTGCCCCCACCATGACTCACCAGCAGGTGCCTCTAGGAGTCTGTCTCCAGGCTCCATGACGGTCACTGCCAGCAAACACGGCAAGGGTTGCCCGCTCCTGGGGCCCAGGAGTCTCCGAGGAACAACCTGGTGTGGAGTTAGGTGTTCCCGCCCTGGCTTCCCACTCCCAAACTGGTTACCTGGTCACATCCCTTCGCCTCACTGGGCCTCGCTCTGTCCTCCTATGAAACGGGAATAATGATCCCCAACACACAGAGATACCAGCTGTCACGTGCCTAGTGGTGATAGGCAGTTAGTAGGCACTGGGACATGACACTGTGTCCCCACTCAAAGCTCACCTCCCTGAACCACCAAATCCACCCAAACGACGTCCCCACGTGCCCAGCTAGTCTGCAAAACCAGGGCTAGTCCTCAATCGCTTACCACTGCCTGAAAATTGGCTGGTTTATTTCCGGGCTTCAGAGGAATGTGTCTGTCTCCCCCTCCAATTGCTCCTGGTGGCAGTGACTGGGTCTGTGTGGTCATTTCTCTAACCCCAGGGCTCAGACTGCTTCTGGAACACAGTCAGCCTCCATCAGTCTTTGTTCAGTGAATACTGTGGGTTGCATCATCCCCCAGAGATCTGCATCACCTGCCTCCTGCTCCCAATCGCTATGGGATCCCAAGGCAGGCCCTGCTCTTCTCTGGCCTCAGTCTCCCTGTGTGTAAAACCGAGGAATGAACAAGAGTTCTCTCTGATCCCTCCAAAATCCAGCCAGGAGGACTCCAAGTGAGCTGGGAGGAGGGAAGAGAAACAGACACTGATCCCAGCATATTTTGTCACAAAATGTTTATGTAAATTATATGCAAATATGCAGATCAGTGGGCTCCCAGTGGAGCATACATTCTGGCCATTTCTCAACCAGGACTGGAAGAAAGCAGCCTTCACTGAGCACACACTAAGCACTGGACTCTACCTTCTCAGGAGCCAGTGAAATGGGCCTCCTTACTCCACAGAGGCAGAAAGCCCAGGCGACTTGCTAGAGGTCAGTGAGCTCAGCCGGAGAGTCAGGATGGGATTCAGGACTGGAGCAGGGACAGGGAGAGCAGGCAGGGTGGGACGTGGCAGTGGGAAGGGGCTGGAGGAGCACATGGAGGCCCCTAAGAGCAGAAGGATCCTCAGCCTGACCTTGGAATCACTTGAAGCCAGGTGAGGGGGCTCCAGGGACCTCGCCAGCCCTAGAGCTCTGCTGGGCTGACCCCAGCCTCCTCCAGGGAACTGAAGAGAACCTGCTGGAGTCAGCCTGAGCAGGCCCAGACCTTCCAGCTGTCCCGGGAGCCTGCACAGCTCTGACGGCTCCCCAAAGCCCTCCCCACACACATGCTGAGCATACACCCTGGGCACACACAGCACACACACACACATAACTGAAACGGCCCTGTCTGTAAGAATGTGTGTGTGTGTCCAGGCCTCTCCTCCTGAGGAGGCGGGCTGTGGTTCCCCGCACCCTCCTGTTTGCTGGGTTATTTATAACCAGCCCAAACTCACACACAGTGGAGATGCCACTCCCCGCCCCCAGCCTGGAGCAGTCCCACTGGCTTCTCGGCTGCTCCTCTTCTAGGGACAGAACAAGCCAGACTCAGATGATCTGAGCCACAGCAGCCTTGGAAGTCACCACCACCATCACCCAGATGGGAAACTGAGGCACAGAGCAAGGCATCAGACAAAAAGGCTGGAAGAAGGGTTGGCAGGGCCCTCAAAAGCCAGCCTAGGGCCACACTTGCCCCAGGACTGTCTCCAACCCAAGATGAGGCTCTGTGGGACACAGTGGGGTGAGAAAGGGAGGGAAGGAGGGAGCAGACATGTCCAAGCCCTCACCCTCCCCTCCAGAGGCCTGGGAGACACAGCAGGGACTCTGATGCTCGACTATGTGGCTCCAAATCCCAGGACAGAACTTCACCAGCTACGCGACTCTGGGCAAGTCAGTCTACCTCTCTGAGCCTCAGTTTCTTCACCTACTAAATGGGTATAGTAATAGGACTGACCTCAGGGGTTGGGAGGATTAAATAAGATGATCCAAACAAGGCTCTCAGCCCACAGTCTGACTACTTCTCAGCCTAGTGACCCAGAACAAGCTGCTTGGCTTGAGCCTCAGTTCCACCATCTGCAAATGGAACAATGATATGGCCCAGAGGGTCATAAGGACTGAAGCACTGGTTCCCACACACAGTACGTGGTCAGCACGTACAAATTCCATCCTCTTTTCCTCCATTCCCGGGGGCCCCATGGTTGCTGACCACCCCCAGATCCTCTCCTTGATGCTCCCTGTCTCCCGTCTCTGAGCATCTACTATGTGCTGAGCTTGGTGGGGGTTGTTCTAGATATTATGCCATGGAATCTTCTAAACAACTCTTCAAGGGATAAATTCCCTTCCCAGCTCTGCAGTGGGCCTTCTGCCTTGTTGAATATAGATGTTCTATAAATACTTGAGGGATGAATGGATGCAAGAATGAATGTGATCAAAAAGTCAGATAATCACAAGCGTTGGCGAGGACGTGGGGAAATCGGAACCCTCACACACCACTGGTGGGAATGTAAAACAGCACAGCCGCTTTAGGAAAGAGGCTGGCAGTCTCTCAAAATGTTAAATGGAGTTTCCATATGACTCAGTAATTCTACTCCTAGGGTATATATTCAAGAAAAATGAAAATATATATGTCCACACACCAAAAAAGGTAGCATTATTCATAATAGCCAAAAGATTGAAACCACCCAAATATCCATCAGCTGATGAATGAATAAATAAAATGTGGTATGTTCATACAATGGAATATTATTTGGCAAAAGAAAAAAAAACTAATACTGAGGCTGGGCATGGTGGCTCACACCTGTAATCCCAACACTTTGGGAGGCCGAGGTGGGAGGGTCACCTGAGGTCAGGAGTTCGAGACCAGCCTGGGCAACATGGTAAAACCCCATCTCTACTAAAAATACAAAATTAGCAAGGTGTGGTGGCACGTGCCTGTAGTCCCAGCTATTTGGGAGGCTGAGGCAGAATTGCTTGAACCTGGGAGGCAGAGGTTGCAGGGAGCCGAGATCATGCCATTGCACCCCAGCCTGGGCAACAAGAGCAAAACTCAGTCTCAAAAATAAACAAATGAACTAATACTGATACTACAGTGTGGATGAACCTTGAAACCATTATGTTAAGTGAAAGAAATTGGCCACAAAAGACCACATATTATATTATTCCATTTATATGAAATGTCTGGGATAGGCAAATCCATACAGACAGAAAATAGATTAGTGACAGCCTATGCCTGCAGGGATTGTGGAGAAACAAGGAGCAACTGTTAATGGGTACAGCGTTTCTTTCTGGGGTGATAAAAACGTTCTAAATTTAGTGATGGCTTTACAACTATGTAAATATACTAAAAACCACTGAATTAAATACTTTAGATGGGCAAGATGTATATGAGTTATATATCAATAAAGCTGTTGTTTCAAAAATAACAATGAATATGAGACTGAGGCTCAGAGAGGACAAGAAACTTGCCCAGGGTCACACAGCAGAGCCTGGACTCAAGTTCAGAGAAGCCCAGCATTCCTTATCCTGACAACACGCTTGTCTTGGCCCTGCTCACCTCCTCTCCCATTTGAACATCTTCTTACCAAGCCTCAGGTGAAGCCTCCACAGCCCCCGCCCCCAGACAGGCAAACGTTTAGTCCGCAGACCACAAGTGGGAGGCCCAGCTCAGCAACTGCCTCTTCTAGGCTGTTCAAAGGCCACTTTGTCAGGTGGGGCCAGTGGAGGGGGACAGGCTCAGCCCAGAGTCTTCAGAGACTCCAGGGACTCCAGACCCAGGCTATCTGCCGTCCCCAACCCTCGACCCCAGCATTCCAGCTGCAGCCCTCAGTGGTTCCGGATGCCCCACCCCACCCTTTGACCATGTGCCTCACCCCTGGCTGCCCTCAGGAAAAGGCATGAGGATATGTCCCTGCCAGGGAAGGGGCAGAGCCTATCAGGGTCCCAGTGGTAAAACACGCCTGAATTTTAACTCAAGTCCATCTGCCCTCTGTCCCCATGGCTGTCTAGGGCAACCCTGAGGACAGGTGCCTCTTCAGGCCCCACCCTTCACCCTGGCCCCATCTTCACCTGGCTCCCAAGCACCAGCTCCGCCCAGCACAGCTGGCAGCCGCCAAGCCCCTCGGGTGGTTTCCACTCTACTCTCTGGCAGAGGCCTGTCTGTCCTGGGCTAGGCCTGGGCTGGAGCTACCAGGCCTTTGTCTGGAAGGTGCTCGGTAGCCCCGTCTCTCCTGCCTGGCTGAACTCAGGTATGAAGCCTAAAACCCCTTAGGCCCTGTCTTGAGCCTCAACACCTTGGCTTTGCCTCCCAGACTCTGATCTCTCAGCCATTAAGAAGGGAGGAGGAGGCCAGGAGCAGTGGCTCACACCTGTAATCCCAGAATTTTGGGAGGCTGAGGCGGGTGGATCACGAGATCAGGAGTTCGAGACCCCGTCTCTACTAAAAATACAAAAATTAGCTGGGCATGGTGGCGCACACCTGTAATCCCAGCTACTCAGAAGGCTGAGGCAGGAGGATGGCTTGAACCCGGGAGGTGGAGATTGCAGTGAGCCAAGATCACGCCACTGCACTCCAGCCTGGGCGACACAGTGAGACGCCGTCAAAAAAAAAAAAAAAAGAGGAAGAAGAAGAAGGGAGGAGGCCTCACAGTGCCTTAGACTGCCAGGCAGGGACCACAGAGGATCCTGAGTGGGGAGGCCAAGAACTCTACAAGGACCCCCTGCCCCTCAGCAATGGGGTGCAGGGAGCCAAAGAAAACCCAGTGCTCACCCCCCCAACCCAACATCCTCCTCCAGCCTCCTGCAGGTCCTGCGTTCCCCAGGTATCCTGCCAGCCCCTTCTCCACACAGCTACAGGCTCTTCCTCTCCCCCACTGAGCTCAGAGTCCAAACACCTGCCAGGGCTCAAGGACCCTGAGTGCCCTGGCCCCTATCCCTGCAGCCCAGGGATAAGGCCTGGCCTCCACTCCTCATGTGTCACCTGAACGTGGCTTCCCTGAATCAAACTGCTTCAGGTCTCAGCTGACCCACCCACTCCACCAGGAATAGCTCCCTGAGCATCCCCAGGCAGGATCAGAAGCCCAGCTTCTGCCAGTAGGGACCTAGTCACACCAGCTTGGCCCCCTCCCCTGTAGGAAGCTCCACCAGGGCAAGGTTGCCCACCAGCCTTAGCCCCAGGCCCCCAGGCCCCCAGGGAATGAATGAATGAATGAATGAATGATCCTAAAACAGTCTACCAAACAGAAACCAAAGCTCTGCAGTAGACAGTGCTTGTGGGAGAGGAACTGGGCTAGAAAAGATGGACTCAAAGTTGGACTTCAGGCAAGTGGCTGTTGCTAGAACACAGTCTTGTTCCCCAAACCCAGGACGAGGATGGGTAGTGACTGCCACCTCTGTGGTGATGGTGGGCTCTCATGGCCACTCCCCCAACATTTACCATGACTAGTAGCAGCCTGTGAGCAGAGCAGTGTGCTGGACTCTGCGCCAAGTAAGCCCTAGCTCTTGCAACACCCTGTAGCACCATGGTCACCCTCCAGCTTCATAGAGGACAACACAGGCTCAGAGGACGACACAAGTATAGTGACCTGCCCAAGTTCACCCAGCTGACATGCAGAGGTCAAAGTCCAAGTCCAAGTCCATGTCAAGTCTCAGCTGATTCATCCTCCCCTGAGCCTCCCCCGGCAGGATCAGAGGCCAGCTGCTGCCATTAGGGACCGAGTCACAGCAGCGTGGCCCCCTCCCCTATAGGGAGCTCCACCAGGGAAAGGCCAGCCCAACAGCCAAGTTGGGCTGATGCCCAAACGCCCTCTTTCCACCATTTATCACGGCCATCCCCTTAGACACAACACGGGACACACATCCCTGTAAACATGGAAAGGCAAAAGGGAGGGAAGTGCTGAGGGTGGGGAAGGTGCAGGGTCAGGGGAATCGGCCCATGCAATCTCTGTGCACCTCCACGGTGCCCCAGGCAGTGTGGAATGTTCCTCCCTCCCACAGCATGACAAAGACAGTCTCACCACTGTGCCATGGTCCATACCCACCCCACCCACCAGGAGCCCCCCCCCCCCCCACCATGTCTCATGACCAAACATTTGTCAAAAGCAACACTATTGGTACCTGGGCAGGACGATTTTCCACCAGCGGGACTGTTCTGGACACTGTAGCCATTTAGCAGCCCGACCCCCACCTGGCCAATGCCAGCTGCACTTCCACTACTATGACAACCAAAAATTTCAAAATGCCCCAGGAGCCAGCACCCTTAATGCCCAGCTCACGCGTCCCCTCCTCATGGAGGCGTCCCCATCCCACCCTAGTCTCAGGCAACCACCCCTCCTCCCTGCTCAGGGCCCCAACTTCAACATCTCTTGGTTGGGCATCATTTTCCCATAAGTCAGAAATGCTCTGATCAAAGAAACAGAATCCCCCCCAGAAATCAGAATCCCCACGAGGCCCTAGTGCCGAAGACTCTGATCAGGGTTTCCCCAGGCAGGTGGTGAAATAAAGGGACCCGCGTCTCCTGGCCTCTCTGACCCCAGCTGTCAATTTCCTCAGGGGCACAGCCACACTCCCTCTCCTGCTACCCCCTAGCCTGCCGGCATCCAGAGTGTGGTAAATAACATATAACTGCATCTCCGAAGGAATCCAAGGTTGGTTTTTTAGTGCAGGGTGCGGGGGAGTGAGAAGTGTCCCTGGAGGTCAGGCAGAAAACAAAGCTCTGAGGCCCTCCACACACACACCACACACACTGCTCCTGCCTTAATCACCTCTAACGAGGCCAGATGACCAGCTGCCCCTCTGGCCTGGGCTCCTAGACCCTGGGATTAAGAGTCAGGATTAAGGACAGACATATTTTCGTAGCTCAGAGCCCCAGCAGTGTGTGTGTGTGAGAGAGAGTGTGTGATTGTGAGTGTGCGTGTGTGTGAGTGGGTGTGGGGGTAAGAGTGCGTGTGTGTGCATGAGAGTGTGTGTGTGAGTGTGTGGGGACGACAGCGTGTGTGTGGATGAGTATGTGTGTGTGTGGGTGAGTGTGTGTGGGGGAGTGAGAGAGTGTGTGGGGGTGTGTGTGCATGAGTGTGTGGATGAGTGTGTGTGGGGTGTGTGGATGAGTGTGTGTGAGTGTGTGTGTGGGTGAGAGTGTGAGTGTGTGGGGGAGTGAGAATGTGTGTGTGGGGGTGAGTGTGTGCATTGAGTGTGTGGATGAGTGTGGGGGGGTGGATGAGTGTGTGGGGGGGTGTGGATGAATGTGGGGGGTGAGTATGAGTGGGTGAGAGTGTGAGTGGGTGAGAGTGTGCGTGGATGAGTGTGTGTGGGTGAGAGTGTGTGGGTGTATGTGTGGGCTACGTGTGTGTGGGTGTGTGTGGATGAGTGTGAGTGTGGGTGAGAGTGTGTGGGTGTGTGTGGGGTGTGTGTGGGTGAGTGTGTGTGGATGACTGTGAGTGTGTGGGTGAGAGTGTGTGGGTGTGTGTGGGGAGTGTGTGTGTGTATGTGTGAATGTGTGGGCGTACACAGGCATGCACATGCACACATCCAAGCACATTCAGGGGTATTTCTGGGCGTGTGTGTCTGTCTAGGTGCATCCATGTGTGTATGCCTAGGGCTGTCTCGAGTGGCTTAGATGCCTGTGTGGGTCTGAGTGTGTCCATGTTAGCGTGGAGGGCTGTGTCTCTGAGTGGTACCTGTGCACATGGCAGTGTATGTGTGTCCCTGTCTCTGTCTCTACACGTGTGCACAGGACAAGGGTATTTGCACAGGTCCATGTTCCTCCATTTGTAAGCATGCATCTGAGCCTCCCAAGGTAGAGAGCATCTCCCAACTTCCTTAATCCACAGTGTTGCGGGTAAGCCCCTGGAGCTGAGGCAGGGGGAGGGACAGCAGTTGGGGGACTCCTGATCCCCCTGGCATAGGCTACAAACACTTTTTCCTACAAAGACACCAGGGCCCCATGCATCAGCACAGACACACAACAACATGCCATCACACATGTTGCAGGTACACGCAAACCCCTAACCCAAACTAACGTCCTAAACAGAAACATGGCCTTAGCTCCACGTGGAAAAAGGATTACCTGGCCTCACTTGCAGCCTTGCAGACCATCCCTCAAGACACAGCTGAGCTCCCTCTGGATCTGAGATTGTCCCCACAAGCCCCCCAGCTCCGCAGCTCACATGAGAATAGGATCCAGCCAGCCAGGGCTCAGCTCCCAGAGGCCATGTAGGGGCTTCAGCCCCGGGGAAGCTGTTCCACTTCTCACTGCTGAGTGACCCTCAACAGCCACACTTCATCTCTGGGTTCAGTCTCCTCATCTGAACAGCAAGGCCAGGGCTGATTCCTGGCTCTTTGCCCCAAAACTCCATTTCAGGAGGGACGGATGCAGGGAACTGTGAGTTCTGGGGCCGGGAGGGCAAGGAACTAAAGAAGAATCAAGAATCCCTCTAGCCTTGGTCCTAACTACCCCCTCAGCCCTCAAGACCCCTGTCCCCAAGGGGAGCCCTCAGGTTCTGGCCCTGGTGGGTCACAGCCAGGGACATGGGAGGTTCCAACCAGCCAGGGAGCAAGATAAGGGCCTCTAGGGAAGCAGAGCAGGGGGAGGAAGCGAGTAAGAGGAGGAGGGTGGGAGGAGGGAGGGAGGGAGGGGGGCTGAGCAGAGACGGAGGAGGAGATGGAGAGGAGGGAGGTTGGAGAGGAGAAGGTCTCCTCAAAACCGAGCCTGAGCCTCCGAGCCCACAGTCTGTCCACCCTCCAGAAAGACGGAGCCAAACAGGCTCCAGTGCACCTCTCCCCGCCTGCACCTCCATAGCTCACTGGGTGCCCACTGCTCCCTGCTGCCAGGCTCCACTTTCCTCTTCTCCCAGTCTTGGGGGTCACATGAGCTGGGGGCTGGGGAGAAAGGACCAAATGTGACAACAGGGGAGAACTAGGAGTGAAACAGATTGAGGACGTGTGAAAGCAGGGAAAAGAAACAAAGTAGCAATGTCAGAATTTGGGGAAATGTAACAAAGTACCATGTGTGAGGGTTGGAGGGGAGATGATGTAATGGGGAATTAGCAGCTGCAACAATGTATCCAAGTGAGAGCTCCAAGGTGGTAACAATGTAACCCTGAGGGGAACCAGACACTACGAAGTGAAATAACATAATTGGGCTTGGCAAAGAATCCTAACAGGTAGAAGAGGCACCTAGGAACCTAGAAGAGGGAGGCAGGAGTGAGGGGGCTGAGGAGTGGCTTACTGTGCTTGGGGGCTGGTAGGAGGGGTCATTATTGGATTCCCAGAGGAGGAGACATCTGTGCTGGGTTTTAGAGGATGTGTAGGAGTTCACTGAAGAATAAAGGAACAGTCCATGAAGAGGGAACAGCATCTGGGTAGGCATGAAGGAAAAAGAGACAATGGTATGCTCTGTGCTCAGGAGGGCTGGTAGAAGCGTGGGATGTACAGACTGGGCTTACATTTGGGAGCATTTTGGGCTCAGCATTTTGGGAGGCTGAGGTAGGTGGATCATTTGAGGCCAGTAGTTCGAAACCAGCCTGGCCAACATAGTAAAACCCCGTTTATACCAAAAATCCAAAATATTAGCCAGGCATGGTGGCATGGGCCTGTAGTTCCAGCTACTCAGGAGGCTGAGCCAGGAGAATTGCTTGAACCCGGGAAGCGGAGGTTGCAGTGAACCAAGATCACACCACTGCACTCCAATCTGGGCAACAGAGTAAAAGTCCATGCCAAAAACAAAAAAACAGGAGCGTGGGAAGGCAAAGGGATGAGGCTGGAGAAGTGCATTGAAGGCACTGACGGGAATTAATTTGGCATAGGAAATATTGGGCATATATGGGCAGCTGGGGTGGTCAAGGAAGGCTTCCTGGAAGAAGGGTGTGGGAGGAGCTGAGCCTGCATTCTGGACAGAGCAGAGACAAGTACAGAAAAGGAACATAGTACAGGGGATAGTGCCCTGCCCAGGAGTCAGGAGACAGAGCTCTTAGTCCCAGCTCAGCCATCAACTTGTTGTGTACTTTGGACAAATCATTGCACTTCTCTGATCCTCAACTTCCCCAAATGTCATGTAAGAAAGTTGAATTATAGACTCTCAGAAGATACTCATGATGACTCGAGATCAATGCTTTGGCCTCAGTGTCCCCTTTGGAACAGTGAACAATTTGGACAAGAGTATTTTCAAGGGCCCTTCCAGCTGAAATCCTCTCCAGCCATCTGATCTTTCCCCAGCCTGGGTTAGCCTCTGCCCATAGCCCCATACAGACAGAAAATATGCTGCAGAGAACAGATCCATGTGGAAGCCAGGAGCCCAAAGTCCCAAGAAAGGGCCTGCCCGACAACAGCCACACAAGTTCAGGTACCCAGCAAGGCCTGATTGGCCCTACATTCATCCTGTAGGGATACCATGCTTTACAGTTAGAAATGTACACGGCAGCATGAAGCAGTGCTTATGTACTAGATGGGACTCCAGGGGCAGGCTGCTTGGATTCAAATCCCAGCTGGGCCACTCACTAGCTCTGTGACCTTGCACAAATTATTTAACCTCTCTGTACCTTGATTTCCTCTTTTGTAAAATGAAGATTACAATGGCATCTCCCTCATAAGGCTAAGGATTGTTTATAGATGAAACATTTGGCCGAGTGTTTTGCGAGTGGCAGGCACTCAATGGGCAGAACTCAATATGTCACCTCCAAGCTCCGGCATCTCATGCTATCTCCTCACGACAAAAGGGCAGCACCCTCTACCTGCAGGACAGTACCCAAATGCCTTGGTTTGGACTCAAAGCCCACCTTGTGAGCCAGTGAGCTCTTCCATGTGGAGGACCTGTGGGGTTCAACTGTTCAGAACAAGAACTGAGGCACAGGGCCAGACACCCACCAGGTACCTGGTGACTGTGTGTTAAAGGCATGAAACACACTCTCATCAGAAAGGGCGGCCCCTACAGCAGTGACCCCTCGCCGCCAAGGGAGGCGTGTTCCCCTCTCCACATGTGGTAGCTCCCTGATATACTGCGACCTTCCCCACTTCTCAGACTTTGTCCATCCTAGTCCCCCTATCAATGTGCTGCCATCTGTCAAGGCCTGGTACAAAGGACGCCTCCTCCATGAAGTCTTCCTAGTCTTCAGGGTCTAAATCAACCTCTCATTACCCCACAGAATTGAGAGCTTCCTAATGTCAGGGACCAAGCTGAGCCCCCTGGGGGTCCCTAGTGCTCGGCTGAGACCAGACACAGAGGGTCCATCAGTAAACAGTAGCACAGTGGGGATAAGGATCCAGGTACTGGACTCCCTGCCCAGCCCCCAGCTAGCTTGGAACTGATGATCATGTTCCAGGGTTCAGGGAGGGTGGTGGTGCCCAGCGTGATGGGCAAGGAAAGAGATGCCTCCTACCCTGGCCCAAGAGGAACCAGAGACAAGCCACGTGAAGGGAGCAGGCCTCCCCTCCCCACCCAGGCCAGCCGTCCTGCCTGCCCTTCCCCACTAAGCCAACTCTAGGTCAGGCCCTGTCTCTGGCCTCAGGTCTTTCTGATAGTTCCTCAAATCTGAAGACTACAAGGGCCCCTGGGTCACCATTCACTCTTCCCATTTAACAGACGTGGAAGTGGAGGCCCAGAGAGGGAACAGGCTGCCTGCTACCACTTGACAAGCTAGTGGCAAATTCACCTCTGAGACACAACCACCTTGGGGAATGTATAATAATTAAAAGTCATCACCCAGCAGCAGGTTCCTTTTAACCATCTGCACCTCCCACCACTCCTCACCACCACCTAACGGGTCAGGGATCACTGGATCTGTCTGACAGAAGAGGAGACTAAGGCTGAGTCAAGAGTCACTTAGCCAAATCCACCCACTTCTTCGTTTCGTTGTTGTTGTTTGAGATGGAGTCTCGCTCTGTTGCCCAGGCTGGAGTGCAGTGGCACAATCTCAGTTCACTGCAACCTCCACCTCCCAGGATCAAGCAATTCTCCTGCCTCAGCCTCTGGAGTAGCTGGGATTACAGGTGTGCACCACCATGCCCAGCTAATTTTTGTATTTTTAGTAGAGATGGGGTTTCACCATGTTGGTCAGGCTGGTCTCGAACTCCTGACCTTGTGATCTGCTCGCCTCGGCCTCCCAAAGTGTTGGGATTACAGGCATGAGTCACCAAGCCTGCCTTGTTGTTTTTGAGACAGTCGCGCTCTGTCACCCAGGCGAGAGTGCAGTGATGCGATCTCGGCTCACTGCAACCTCCGCCTCCCGGGTTCAAGCAATTCTCTGCCTCAGCCACCCAAGAAGCTGGGATTACAGGCACCTGCCACCGCCTGGCTAATTTTTGTGTCTTTAGTAGAGATGGAGTTTCACCATCTTGGCCAGGTGGGTCTTGAACTCCTGACCTCATGATCCACCCGCCTTGGCCTCCCAAAGTGCTGGGATTACAGGCGTGAGCTACCTCGCCCAGCCAAAATCCACCCACTTCTAATGGCAGAGCTGGGGCTCAGCCTGTCAGGGAGGAGGGGTAGGGCTTCCTCCCTGCTTCTCTTCAATTCCCCCCTCGAGACCTCACAAAAGCACATGCACCTGCCACCAGTAAACCTGCCTGAAGCAAGACATGGCCAGACAAGACATAGGACACACACGACACAACTGAACACTGACAGCCCCCTTGCACAGGGCTTCATATACAGCAGGTGCTTAGTAAATGTCTGCTGAGTGAGCAACGCAGTCAATCAAGACAGGCGCCCATGCAGGAGCCCACACGTCTGCCTGATGCCCTTGTGTGGGGAAAAGAAAGAGATCAAAATGGAGTTTCTTATGTCTTCCTTTTCTACATAGACACAGTAACAGTCTGATCGCCCTTTCTTTTCCCCACGCTCTTGAACGAGCATCTCCATAAGCACCCAGGCTCCAGGCTCAGAGTCCTGCTAACTGCCCCACTGTGGGCACATTGCTCAACCTCTCAGGGCCTCTGTGCCCCCATCTGTAAAATGGGGTAACCATGCCTGCCTCACAGGGCCATAGTGAGGACCCACTGAGATAAAGCATGTTAAGCACTTAGAACCACACCTAGCACATGACATGCAGCAGTAAGTATTGGCCGTTATCTTTCTCATCATCTTCCTCGTCATCATCTGTGCTTGTGTCTGTCTCCCTGACACAGGGAGCATCTTGAAGGCAGGAACCAGGTAAGATGCAGCTGCAGACACCCCCCAACAATGGCATCCAGGCCTTGAGGAGGGGGCATTAAGCAAGGGGTGGATGACAGAGGGTAAAGACTGACACAGGCACCTATACCCCAACTGTGGGCCTGGACAGGGAATAGTGTATGGCTTCTGTCAGGTAAAAATGCCCTTCCCCTGCTCCCAAAACAACAGTCCACCTCCCCCCAGCTCTCCAGGAGCCTTGCCTACTCAGGCCCTGCATCCCCCACGGAGCACCCCCAAGCCCCAGCCCAGGGAGGGGGACAGGTCTAATGAGCCGCCCACAGCCCCCTGGTGCCCGCAATCGAATTGGCAATCAGTTTGCTGCAATTAGATTTCCCAGATCCCGCTGGTGATTGATTCTAAATTACCCTCATTAAAGTCTGGGCTGGCAGGCAGGGATGGGGGAGGGCAGGATGGATGGGGGGGTCCTAGCTGGCAGTGCAGGGGGTACAGGAATCTCTAGGGTCGCCTGGGCCAAGGCTAACCCCAGGGTGAAGCAGCACCAGACAGCACCCTGGAAGCCCATGGCCCATCCAAAAGCAGGATGAAGGCCCAAGTCAGTGTTATCCCCAGTCCCAGCTGCACCCCCAGAAAACCCTGGCTAAGTAGGGGATGTGACGACAAGATCAGATGGGGCTCCAGGGTAGGAGAAGGGGCAAATGAACACCAGGCTCCACCAGCTCCTGGCTGTGTGTGCTTTGGCAGGTGGCCTAACATCTCTGAGCCTTCCTCTAAATAAGGGGAATCCCACCAGCCCCTCAAGAGTGGTGGGAGGCTCAGTGGGACCATCTAAGGCTGGAGAGCCAGCCCCAATCCATTGGCAAGGCCCCAGGCTGTGGCTGGGCCATCAGCTGTGGGATGTCAGGCTGTAGGGCTGGCCATCTCTCTAGGACTCTCCACCCCTGAGATCCTGCGTAAACATCAATAGTCACCTACTCTGGGCCAGGGCCCATGTGACAGACAGAACACAGCCGAGATGCTCCCTGGCTGGGAGGAAAATGGAAAGCACCCAGTCTCACCAAGTCCTGGGCTCAAGCTGCAAATAACAAGGCCTCTCTGGAGTTCCAGGAGTGGAAGGGCCTGAAGAGTCATCATGCAGGATGGACTGCAGGCTGCTCAACAGCTCTGGAGAACCAGCCCCCAGAAACTCAGCACCACGGACCCTAGAATGTGCTTCCTCTCATCTGGCTTAAGTCCTGCTGGCTCCAACTGGGAGTCCGGCCCTTGGTCTCCTTCTAAGGGTACCCCCACCCCCAGAGTTCTCCTTCAGGCCATCCATGATTATTCAAACTTAGTTCCCCCTCTCTCCAAAAGAAAACCCTGCTCCTCACCCCCAAGCAGTAGTTCTTCAGTAAGACCCAGAGAGGGACAGAAAAAGAACAAAAACCAAGGCAGGTGAATGGAAAAAAAACAAGATTTGCAGGAGCAGCCCGCTCCTTATTTACTTTAGTACTTTATTTACTTTATTACTTTATATTACTAATTCTCAAGCAACCCTGAGGTCCCATTTTAAAGAAGAGGAGACTGCGGGTTCAGAGAGGTTAGGTGAACTCACCAAGGTCACACAGCAGGAATGTGACAAAGCCAGGATTTCAACCCTGAATCAGCTGGCTCCAGGATCCCTACTCCTTCGATGACTTCAAGCTGCCCCCTCAGGCTTGGGACACCCCAAAACAGACATAGCACCAAGGCCAGGGGTGGGGAGAAGGCAGGCCTCAGCCAGCTGGGGCAACAGGGGTTGTAGAACCCTCTCCACCTGGTATAAAAGGCCAGCATAGGCGTTTCCTGCCCTCCACCCACAGCAGCCAGGTAAAAAAAGGGCCAGATCATTTGTTGGGGCCACCGCCACCCCCACTGCTGGGCCCTCAGCCATGGCCGCTCAGGCTCCCCCTGTAATCACGGCTTCCTGTTTGGCGCTGAGACTGGGCTTGGCCAGTGGGGGAGGGGAGTGGCTGCCCCTCTGGCCATGGCGGGAGGGGGGCCGGAAGTGAAGGCCACCAGGCCTCCTGGAATCTGGGGAGGCTGGGAGCCAAGGGGAGTGAGGGTGTGGGGGGTGCCATCAACAAATATTTACCAAGAGCCAGCCCGATGTTCCCAGGATGTGATGTTATGGAGGACAGAGGCCTGGAGGGGCCAGTGAGACAGGTCAGGAAGTCCAGGACCCTGCTCCCTGCTGGGACAGGGGTTTGGGGGGATGATGGGAGCAAGGGCCTGGGGCCTGGGCAGCTCCTGGCTCTGGCCACCCTGTCCCTTGAGACACAAAATCAAAGGGCTCCAAGCAGCTGGGCTGTAGTCCAGAGCCACAGTCCCTCGGTCCTGCCCAGATGTGGTGGTGGCAGTGCCTTGGCACTCAGACTGAAGGCCCGCCCGATGCAGCCCCCTGGCGCCTCCCAGCCCACGGGCACATGCCTTGCATGCAGCAGGACTCTGCCAGCCTCACTGTCCCCAACCCACCTACACAGGAAAGGACACAAGCCCCTGCCTGGGCTCCATAGCTCACAGTCCCGGCTTCCTTCATTCCTTTATTCCCTCATTCATTCATTCATTCCTTTGAATCATTCACTCGAGCCTGCACCAAGCACAGAGTGGTCCCTGGGGGTTCAGTGAGAAAACATGGCAGCCACGAGCCTGCCCAGGAAGCTCAAAGTCTATCAAGAAAGCACTGACATCACTCCTGACAGCTGGGGGACCCCCACCAAGTCACACCCCATCTCTAAGCCTCAATCACTATGAGGCCAGAGAGAATCTTGGCTGCAATGGGGCCAGTGCTCAGAGATGGAGCAGGAGGAACACGGATTTGGCCTCCACACACTTTCTAAGGGCCAGAGGGGGTTAAAGGCAGGCCTGGTCACCTCTGCAGACTCAGTCCCCAACACTGGGGGCATCTGGCACATATCAGGGCTTATGGTGGCTTTTTAGACCCCTCTCATCCTGAGATTCCAAACATTTCCCCTCTCCTGTGCCCTGACCACATGACCCAGACATAAACTCCCTTCCGCATACACATGTGTGGGCACACACACAAATGTACACATGCACGCACACACAATCTTGCTGACAGCCCTTCGCAGTTTATAAAGCTCTCTCTCCCCACCCCATACACCCCCAGTGGCCCTCAGAGTAGCTGCTTTTATGGGCTACAGAGCCTTGGGAGGCGGTAGATGAGGAAGAGCCCTGGCCAATCCCTCCCACAGGGTGAGACAGCATCACTGACCTCCAGGGCTGTGGGAGAATTAAGTGAGAAAAGATATGGGACCAACCCCCTTCCCAGCCCCACCCCGCCAGAAGAGCAGGCATTTACTAAACAGTAGCTAATGCAGACATAATCCAGGGGGTAGGGAGGCCCCAGAGAGGTAAAGCAGCTTGCCTAAGATCACACAGCAAGAGGGGGTAAATTTAGGACTGCAGCCCAGTCCCATTAGCCTGTCAGGCCCTGGCTCATACTAGCTCTGCCACTTCTGGCTGTGTGACTTTGAGTAAGTCACTGAGCCTCTCTGTGCCTCAGTTTTCTCCTCTGTAAAATGGGGGTTCTGGCTGGGGGTTGTGGCTCACAACTGTAATCCCAGCACTTTGCGGGGGCCGAGGTGGGAAGATCACTTGAGGTCAGGTGTTCGAGAACAGCCTGGGCAACATGGTGAAACCCCATCTCTACTAAAAATACAAAAATTAGGCAGGTGTGGTGTCAGGTGCCTGTAATCCCAGCTACTTGGGAGGCTGAGGTGGGAGAATCGCTTGTACTCAGGAGGCAGAGGTTGCAGTGAGCCAGGATCATACCACCACACTCCAGCCTTGGCGATAGAGACTCTGTCTCTAAATAAAATAAAATACTAAAATGAGGATTCTAATAATTCCTACATCAAAAAATTATTGTAAGGATGAAATAAGCCGATACATGTAAAGTGCTTGGTGGGCGGGGCTCTCGGTAAACATGACCTCTCTCTCCCACTTGGGATGAGCCCCCCCTCGCTCTCCCCACCACTGCCACCACTCCTGCTGCCCCGGACCCCCCAGGGACCCTATGCCCGCTTGTATGAGGTGGGAGGAGCCACTGGGTTTCAAAAGGCCATTTTTTTTGTTTTTTGTTTGTTGTTTTCTTTCACTTTTTTTTCCAGCACAGCTCACCTCGCACCAACCCCCAACACACTGAACTCACAGCTGGAGGCATTGTGCTCACTCCTCCCCAGAGAGCAGGAGGCTTCAGGTTCAAATCCCAGCCCTGCCTTGAGGATAGAGTCACAGCCCCCAGTAGTGATTCTAAAAGCCAAGTATTTGTTGCCCCCAGTTGACAGGTAAGAAAGCTGAGGGTCAGGGCAGGTTACAGCCTGCTACTGTCATGTGATGACCACTTTCATTGCTTAGCTCAAAACCCTCCTCCTCCAGGAAGCCTTCCCTGACCCCATCCATGCTCCCTCCCAGAAAGGTCCCATCTCCTGAGAGCTCACTACGTGGCAGGTGTGCTCGGTCTACTCAAGCAGCTCATTTCCAAGTCACAACATCCCTGTGAGGCTGACACCATTACTGTCCGCATTTTATAGACAAGGACTTTGAGACAGAAAGAAATCCCTCACTGGAAATCACACAGCAGGTGTCTGTCCCCAGAGCCCCTGGTACCTTGGGAGCTAACAGGCAGCATACAGCTGTGGTGTCCCTGTGCCTGTCCCCCAAATGCTGGAAGGGGAGATGGTTCACCCAAGAGCCTGGCCCAGAACAGCCCAGGGGCCCCCAACTTTCCATTTTTTTGGTGAGGACTATCTCATCCTGGAAACCCAAGGCTCACAGTCACCCAGGGGAGCCTGGAGGGGAGAAGAGCAGGGATGCTTGAAACAGGGTGAGGAAGGAACGGAAACCACCAGGCCTGGGGCTGAGCTTCAAAAGAATTCCCTACTAATTCCCCCACCCCACCCCACCCCCACCCCCACCCCCATCCGTACTCTCTCTCTCTCACAAACACACACACACACACACACACACACACACACGTCTCCCACCCTTCCACTCCCCACCCCTCCTGCCTTCCCAACCACAGTACAGCAACTTTGTAAAAGAACAAGAAATCCATATTTGTTGAGCCCTTAGTAGGTGCCAGCCACTGGGCTAAAAGCTTTCCAAATTAAGCCCTTCCATTCTCGCATTGTCTCCATTTTAAAGAGGTGGAAACTAAGGCACAGAGAGGTTAGGTAACTTTCACAAGGTCACACAGCCACAAGGTAGTGGTCTCCCATCACTGGGAGTATTCAAACAAGACTAACACCTAAGATCCCTTCCAGCCCTGGACTTTTGAAAGAACATGTTTCAAAAGCTAAAATGTTCAGGATCCTCACACTCCAAAACTTTGAGTGGTGACTTAAGTACAGTAGCTGAGGTGGCCTTAAAGGCAGATGTCCCTCAGAGTCCTGGTAACTTGGTCTGTCAGAAGAGGGACTCCTCAAAGGAGATGCCAGGAGACAGACACAGACACACAAACACACACACACACACACACTGCAATTCACCATCTGCAGTGTGAATGAGGCCTGCTCTCCCTGCTATCCCCATGCTGAAAGACACGAAGACACACACACACACACACACACACACACAAAGGCTGGCAGGTGACCCAAGGGTCATCATGTCCCTGCCCTTCCCTGCCCTGTGCCAGCCACCGCTCATCTACCAAGGCCACCCCTGGAGCTTCCCTGGCTGGGGCTCTTCTGATCTAACCTCAGTCCCTCCTGCTGCAGGCACTGCCCTCTCCCTCTGGTGCGGAACCCCGGCAACCAGGTACCACCCATTAACCCTTTTCCTCCCAAGTCAGATGAGGACAAGAGGGATGATGCCCCTCCTTGACAGCTTGACCCATGGGAAGATGTGAGGCCTGGAGGACACTCCACTTCCCACCACCTCACCAGGCGCCCCAGTACCTGCCCTCCCCCAGGCCCCACCCACCATTTCAGCCTCTGGGCTCAGACTCCCAGGGTCTGCTTGATCTGCCACCCAACACTGGGTCTGAGCCACACCTCTCAGATTCAGGTCACCCGTGTTGCGAGGCCCTACTGTGCATGAGGCTATTAAATGCTCTCACTAAGTCCTTCCACCACCTCGTGGAGTATGAATTATTAGCCTTATTCAGCAAGGAAAGTGGCCTGCCCAGCGCTCCACCTGGCCTCCAAGTCTAAAGCTTTCTGTCCTGAGCCCCTTTCATTCATGTGCACACCACATGACTCCTGAGCTCCTTCTCAGGACACTCGTCAGTCATCCCATTGAATTTTTGCCCTCTGAGGAAGGGGTCATTAGCCCCATTTCACAGAGGGACAACCAAGGGTCAGAGAAGTAAGAGGACCTGCCCAAACCATGCCACGAATCGGCGGGGGTAGCAGGATTGGAACCCAGGGTTGTGTGATTCCCAAGCCTTTGATTTTAAGGATGGTCTTTCAGAAATTTGGCTGAGAAGGCGACCCCAGCTGCTAGGGTGTGCTGGGTCTCTATCCCTCCCAGGGACCTCTTCCTCTCACCCCACTTAGGGGAGAGCTGGGAATGAGACATCCTGGCCAGCAGGCACTTCACACAGGTCAGCCCTCAACACTTCCCCTCCCTCCAGCTGACAGCCCCCTAGATGGGGAAGGCTGAGGAGGGGCCTGTCCATCCAAGAAGCAAGCTTGGAGCCCCTGCCTGTCCTCCTCCTGTCTTACTGACTGGCCCACTGAGGCTGGGAAAGGGAAGGAACTTGCAGAGGGCGGCTGGGCACCCAGTGTTGCTTGAGAGGCCTGGGTCCTTTTCAGCCTGGGGGATGCAGGACAGCATAGCTCCTGGAACCAACCTGGGAGGCTGGACCTAGAAATCCCCAGCCCGCCTGAGCCAGAACCTGGACACTTGTCCAACAAGAACTCATCTGGGGCCTGGATCCCTCAAAGGGGGATGAGGTCCTTCCTTTCTCTGCCATCCCTGACGGAGCTGGGACCAAGCATGGCTGCTACGGTCACTCAAAGGGACACTCAAGGGTCACCTCATACATACCATCACCTCCACCTGCACATGCTTGGTTCCCCTCAGGGGTCCTCGTCCTATGTCCAGGGTCCCCCATGCACCTGCATGCACACGCTGCTATGTGCACTCACACACATTCATGGGTCCAAGCACACGCCCACCAGAGGTCTTTCACACACACACCCTCACCCACTGCAGCCACACACGGCCATAGCCAACAGTGGCCCAGCCAGGCACAGGCACACATCATGCACAATGGGTCACCCTCCCACGACCACGGACGGGAGGGCACGCTGGCATCCACCCATGTGGCAGACACATCCTTCACCTGCACACGCCCCACAGGTCCCCGCACCCCTCACTGAGTTGGCCACACACGCCCACACACGCCCACACACAGGGTTACCCTCACTCCCCCCTCAGGTCACCTTCACCAAGTCACCCTCCACCTCCACCTCCCCTTCCCGGGCCCACTGCCCTGGCCGGCTGCCGCGACCCTGGGAAGAACCAAATGCACACCCTCCCCTCGGAAGGGGAACCGATCCGATTCCCAAAAAGTGGCCATGGTCTGGGCACACCCACGAGGCAAAAGCCAGGCTCACTCCCACCCCAAGACACACCCAGCCGGGACGGCGACCCCCAGCCCGCCGCCGGGTCCTTCTCGCGCCTCCCAGGCCAGCGCAGGGGTCCCGCTTCGTCCCCGGGGAGACAGTTCCCGGAGCCACTGGGAGGTGGGGGAACAGGGCTGAGGACCCGCGATCGGGTTCCCTCCCGGGATTCCCTCTGGGGAGGGGTCCCAAAAGGAAGGAGAGATGCGCCCCCCGAAGATGACCAGCGGCGGGGGCGGCCTCTCCCCGCGGATGCCAGCTAGGGGGAGATTCCGGAGGGGGGGGAGCAGGGTGCAGAAAGGGGCGCTCGGGGGAGGGTCGAGGGGTGGCAGGGACCGCGGCCCCGGGGGAAGCAGCCGGGGGGGAGGGAGCGGGGTCCCGGAGGGGGGGTCGCGGGCGGGGACCGGCACCCCGCGCGGGGGGCGGCCCCGGGGAGCCGTGGCGGGGATCCGGGCGCGTGTCACTCACCCCCGCGGCGCGCCCCGCCAGCAGCAGCAGCAGCAGCGGTGGCAGGAGCAGCCCGCGGGCCCCGGGCCCGGCCGCGGCCCCGGCCCCGGCGCCGGCCCCGTGGGCGGCCCCGGCACGGTGCGGCGGCCCCGGCTTCATGGCGGCGGCGCGGGCGCGGGCGGCGGGCGGCGGGCGGGCGCCTTTGTTCCCGAGGCGCGGCGCGCGGGGCGGCTGCTTGGCGGCGGCGCGGCCCGGCGGCTGGACCGACGCGCTCTAGGCTCGCGGGCTCCCGGCTCGGCCGCCCGGCTCCGCCTCGCAGCTCCGCGCCCACAGCGGCCGCGCCCGCAGGAAGCGTGCGCCGCCGCCGCCGCCGCCGGGCCGCCCCCAGCGCGGGCGGAACGGAGGAGGGGCCCGGGGCGGGGCGGGCCCCAGTGCGCCCCCCGCGGGGCTCCGCGCCCTCTGACCCCAGTCCCAGCCCCCGCCCCCACCCAGAGGGAGCCCCGCGCTGCCGAGTGGGCACCCGGACACCTGAGTGAGCAGCCGGCCTCGCCGATCCCGGGGCTGGAGGTCGCGGAGCCCGCCGGACGCACCTCCGCGGCCGCCGTGCTAGGTAGAAGGGAAGGGTCCCGCGTGGGATACCAGGGCCCGGGCCTGGCTCCCTGAAGTCGCCGAGCGGAGGGGTCGCATGGGCGTTTTCATCTACAGCCTCCCCCTGTGGCTCCACGCACGTGTCTCTTCCTGGACTCCCATCGTCACCCTCACACACTCAGCCAGTCCACCCAGTGGGCCAGAGGTCATCCAAGACCACGGGCTTTCATGCCTCCAGGACACCCAGGGGCTGTGTGACCTCAGATCAGGGCCCGGCCCTCTCTGGGCCTCGGTCTCCCCAGGGGACCATGGGGGTGGTCACTTCTGGGCCCTGTCACTGTGGATCTGCAGAGGAAAAGCCACGCAGACCTGAGCGCAGCTGCTTCCACACCAGCTGTGCGCCTCCAGCAAGGCCCCCAGTTCTCTGAGACTCAGACCCCCCATGGTTGAATGGGACCACCCCCTCCAGTGCAGGATGGCGAGAAAAGTACATCTCTGAGTGGCAGTCTCTAGCGCTGGTGGTCTTTCTACCCTGTGTGGTCACGGTGCCTTTTCCCCCTTCACCTTCATCCCCAGCGGCATACCCCATGCTGTTCTTACTTCTCCAAGTCTCCAATGGCGTGTTAGCTCCAGCGGGGGCAGGGTTTTGTGTCTGTCTTGTTCACTGCTATGTCCCCAGCACCAGCACAGAGCTCGGCATGACATCGATGCTCAATCCAAATTTGCTGAATCAATGAATGTGTTTCCCATTTACTGGGGCTCAAAACCAAGTGTTTTGGGGCAAGATAGGGGAGAGTGAAACATTTCTGGAACCCTGACCACATGCCAGGTGCCCAGCGCTTTCATGTGTTATATCATTTCTCAGGAACCCCATAAGGTCGGTCTGTCAATATCTTCACTTCTTAGGTGGGGAAGCTGAGAGCCAGCAAGAAGAGGTTATTTGCTGATGACAGCTGGCTGGACGTCTCTACCCTCAGTTACTCTCCTCTCTGGCCCCTGTGTCCCAGCACCCAGCTTAGAGCCTGCCATTAGAAAATAGGAATGAAATCAGGCCGGTCGTGGTGGCTCACGCCTGTAATCCCACCACGTTGGGAGGCCGAGGCGGGTGGATCACGAGGTCAGGAGATCCTGGCCAACATGGTGAAACCCCGTCTCTACTAACAATACAAAAAAATTAGCCGGGCGTGGTGGCGGGCGCCTGTAGTCCCAGCTACCAGGAGGGTGAGGCAGGAGAATGGCATGAACCCGGGAGGCGGAGCTTGCAGTGAGCCGAGATCGCGCCACTGCACTCCAGCCTGGGCGACAGAGCGAGACTCCTTCTCAAAAACAAAAAAAAAAAAAAAAAGAAAAGAAAAGAAAATAGGGGAACGAAATTGAGTTGAAACTGGAACAATTCCCTCAAGGAAAGGGGAACCAAAACCAGGATGAATGGAGGGGCAGGCCTTGAGGAAGAGACTCTGGGGGACCAGCCATGGGTTTTTGGTGTTGGGGGTAACTGTACTTGTCCTGCAGGGCCCTTGGGAGGAGGACCAGGGGACAAAGGTCAACTCAACATAAAGTAGAGATAAATTAGAAGGGGCTCCCCAGGAGGGAGGGAGAGCCCAGTCCCTAAAGGGTATGAAAGGCAAGCTCACCACCCTTTGACAGGGATCCTGGACAGGGAAGACAGGGAGACTTTCGAACTAGGAATTCTGAGGTCCCAGCCTCTGAAAATTCAATTCTCAAATCTTTTGGCATGACATCAATGCTCGATCCAAATTTGACTGGCACCTTGGGGAGATGGGCAGGGAGGCTGATGGGGTGCAATAGGTGGGAAACTGGTTTCTGTTGAGGTAGCACAGCTTGGAATTGAAGAGCTCTGGCTCTGGGTCGGCCAAGTATCTGGGTTCAAATCCCAGTTCTGCCAGTTATGAGCTGTATTGTGTTGGATGTGTGACTTAACCTCTCTGAGCCTCAATTTCCCAACTGTAATATAGAGATAATGACCACGCAGAGTTCATTCATTCATTCATTTAGCAAGCATAAATTGGGTGCCTGCTGTGTGCCAGGCCAGGTACCAGGTTGTGAGGATTACATGAGCTCTTCCCTGCCATCGTAATGGAGTTCAATGAAGGTGGCTGGGAATGAAGCTTACAAAGGAAGGGACTCAGATGTAGGGATAACATCATCCTTCAGAGATGCTGAGCAGATCCCAGGAACATACCAACCCTGAGGCGCTCCCAAAGGGCCAGCAGGGTTAGGGTGGGGATTATGAGGAGCCAGATGTCAGCTGGCCACAGACAGCAGTGGCAATTCTAAGAGGCAGTAAGTATCCTGTCTTGAGAGGTATTCAAGGCTCGGAGAACTATCTAGCAGGGAGACCATTAGGATGGTTTCCATGAGTAAGATGGGCAGTGAGCATGGCCCATCTTCAGAGGTTCCTGCCAGCTCTGAGACTTCTGGAAGCAGCAACTCCACTTCCCTGACATCCTGGGGAAGAGGTGGGGGCGGGGCAGTGGAGAATCTTTGGTCTGGACAGGCCAGGAGCGCCACCTGCTGCTCTTCAAAGACACTGGTCACAGCCAGAACTAAGACAGGTCTGGGCCCCTGAAGGTCCTTCTCATCTTGCTCCCCCCGGGTCCCAGGTCTCCCTGGGGTTCACAGATGCACACATTTCCTGCCCTCAAGCACATGGGTCATCTGCACAGTCACCCTTGCCCAGGCCTCCTTGTGCATTGGAGCCACATCCCCACATACTCAGGGTCTCCCTTCATAGCACCATAACCTCACCCACAGGCACCAGCTGCTGCCGCCTCCTGGCACAATAGTCACAGCCCCCTCCGGCCTTTAGAATACACACTGCCTCCTCTGGGAAGTCTTCCTGATGTCCTCTGGGTGATCAGGCCTGGTCCTGTCCTGCCGGCATCCTGATCACACTCATCCTGCACTCCCCACCCTGCTTTCAGTCCCTACTGTCTGTCTTGCTCAAAAGTGGGAGCATTCAGTATCCCAAATGAACAGTAGCTATAGAAGGGCCCAAGTGGAGCTGATTATGGGCCAGGCACTGCTCTATCAAATGCACACTCACATTAGCCCCATTTCCAGATGAAAAACCAATACACAGAGAAGATAGGAGATATGCCGAGGCACCACGACTGGCAGTGAGAGCTGAGATCCTGACCCAGGCCAACAGTTAAACTGCAATGCCAGGCCCAGTGGTGTATTGGGAGGCGTTTGATGAATGAATTAGAGTCACCGAGGGGATTCACACAGTCACACACCAACATGCAGACATACTCATGCAGTCTGGCCCCTGGGGAACCCCACAAGGCACGCCTAGTGGCTACATCTCAACCTTTCCACCTCACCCCCACCCCAGTCAGAGCCTTCTCTGCCCTTGACAGGGCCTCCTAGCTCTAACCAAGCAGCAGAGGGGTGGGGACGCCTCAGCGGCATCTCTGAACTCCACTCAGGTGAGCCTAAGATGCCTTATTCAGAGTGGCACGCCCAGGCCTGACACAGAGTGGGTGCTCAGTAGCTGTCACCTGACTCTACCTGTCCCCCAGGGGATTGGCTAAGACAACCAGCTCTCTGGACCTCAACAGTCCCATGGCATCCTAAAAGCCAAGATTGATGGAGGCCTTACTACCTGCCAGGCACTGTTCTGAGCACTTGCCAAACACACCCTCATCTACTCCTCCCCACAGGCCTGTAATTTGGGCACGACAAGCAAACTTGCCTCCCAGGGCTGCTACTATGAGAACCAAATGAGCGGCCAGCCCTGGAGTCCGGCACACAGTGAGCCCTGTCCAGGTGCTTGCTCTCTACTTCGTCCCATTTCACAGCTGGGGAATCTGGGGCTCACAGGAGTTCAATAATTTATCCCAGGTCACCCAGCCAGGAAGTGGGCAGCCAGGATTTGAACCAGGCATGTGATGACAGAGCCCTGGCTTTTCACCCTGTGCTGAGCTGTCCCCCGTGGGCAGAGGGGACTTTATGATCCTTACCAGACCTCCCAAACACAAGTGCTGTCTCAGCTCAAGGCAATCACAGGGCTTGCAAAACAAGTCCCGGCCTCCCCTCGCCACCCCCATCTCCATCCTGCTCCCTCCCCACCCCAACCATCTCCCACCACAACTTCCGGTCTTGCCCAAGAGTCAGGATGGAGGCCACAGCCCAGGCTTGCTTCTGAGAAAGTCCAAGTGACAGCAGTCTTGGAGGTCAGTGACCCCCAAAACTGAGGAACCAAAACAGGGCTCTGACAAGAGGGCTCCAGATCAGGAGGATCCCAAAGTCCTCCTAGGGGAAGCTGGGGAGACTCAGAAGCCATCTGGTGCCCCAGTGAGTGGAAATCTCACTGGGGAAGGATCTGCAAGGCCTGTGGCCGGACCAGGGTGACTGGGAGAAGGCTTGGCCTTCCCACAACAGGGGTCCTCAATCGTGGGGAGCCTCCTGCCCGCCGAAGGGACCTGGCCCATATGAGGGTCTCACAGAGCCATGCCCCGCCCTTAGTACAGAGCCAGGCTCGGCCAGCCTTCCCTGACCTCCCTGTGTGCTGGGAAAGTCCTTGTAGGGTGAGAGGGTAGGTGACACCCCAGGACACATGGCTGCTAGACACAGGTTAGGATTTGAACTCAGGCCTCTTCCAGGTCTGTGAGCTGAGGGTTTGCAAACTGTAGATCCCAAAGCGTTCCTGAGGGCTGGTGGATCCCCAGGTTCCTCAGGGCTGGTGTGCGAGGAGGGGGAGTAATCAGATTTTGTTTGAGCTCTGTGGCCTGTAGGTCACAGAGCAAGGCCTGGGCTGGCCTTGTAGGAGGGAAGAGGCTGTGTAGACTCAGCAGGGCCTGTGGCTGAAGAAGCCCCAGATTGGCAGTCGGGGAGGGGAGCTGCTTGAGGGGAGAGGAGAGCTCTGGGACTCCAAGCTGGGTAGGGGTGGAAACAAGGTGGGTCCCACCTCTGTAGGGTCTGAAGCTTATACGGTTTGAAGGGATCTCGAGTACACAGTTAGGAAGAAGGCTTTGGAAAGCGGCTGTGCAAATGAAGGGCCCTGAAGCATCAGCTTCATTTTATGGCAAATGTGCCTCTGAATGGCCACCCACCACCCCGCCAGATACTATCGCCTGAATCCAGCAAAGTCAGAGGTGGACTGGGCTGGGCGTTGGCTCACGCCTGTAATCGTAGCACGTTGGGAGGCTAGGGAGGGCAGATCACTTGAGCTCAGAAGTTCAAGACCAGCCTGGGCAACATGGCAAAACCCCATCTCTAAAAAAAAATAACAAAACAAAACAAAAGAAAAAAAACACGAGCCGGTTGTGGTAGTGGGCACCTGTGGTCTCAGCTACTCAGGAGGCTGAGGCAGGAGGACCACTTGAACCTGGGAGGCAGAGGTTGCAGTGAGCTGAGATCATGCCACTGCACTCCACCCTGGGCAACAGAGCAAGATCTTGTCCCACAAAAACAAAGGAAAAAACAGAGGGAGCCTGGGCAGGGAATGGCTACCTCCTCTCTGAGGGAATCTAGGAAGGCTTCATGGTGGTGGTGGCGACATCTCCCCTGGGCCATTGCAGGCAGGCCTTGGAGAATTGGGTGCTTTGAAATGGTCCTACAGGGGCTGAGCCCTACCTGGGAGGAGAGCCTCTAAGGCCCTGAGCTCCAGCTTGAGGCTTCATCCTGACATCGTGTGTGGACGAGGCTGAGAACATTCTGGAGGCTTGTTCCCTGTGATCTAGAATGGACAGAGCAGGCAGGGCCTACTTTAACTGCCCATTTCATAGAAGAGAATACTGAGGCCTTAAAACGGAATGTGACTGACCCCAAGGTCACATAATAAGCCTGTGGCAGAGCTGGGACTAGAACCCAGGTGGCTTCACTCCTTGCCCTGGGGCCTTTCTCTCTTCCACTCCCTTCTCCTGGACCAGCTGCTCTGTTTTGACAGAGCTCTTAGGATAAGCCCCCTCCCCAACCAAGGTCTTCATTCAAACCCACAGGCCGTCCCACTCTGTCCATCGAAGGTCACAGGACTAGGAAATGACCATTGGCAGAGCCCAGGCCCAGGAGCTGTGCTCACACACCTGCCCTCTTCTCTGTGCAGAGGTGGAGAAGCTGGGTGAGGAGAGAGGAGGGGAGGAGAGAGAAAGGGGAGGATGGGAGGAGGGCACTGCCCCAGAAGCCATTCCAGGAACACACCCCCGTGCCTGGGAATAAACTGCTCATTTAGAATCATTTTCCTGGAACCAAAAATATGCCTCCCTAAAAATATATTTTCTTTCTCACCTCATTCTGAGGCTGCAGCAGCTCAGCTGCCTCTAGGAGGTGGGTGGGGGAGAGTGACCGGGGCCTGTGGGGGGAGATCCCCCTTTCCCCAGGGCTGTGGATACTGACCACTGGGTCCCCCTCTCTGAGCACAGCTGTCATTGAGATATGCAGTACATCACATTTGTGTGTGTGTTTGGTTTTTTGGATTTTCGAGACTGTTGGACCCACATTCAAACTTCAACCTAGAGGTATCGAGCCCCAGCGAGGGCTGGGCACAGATCTGGACACTGAGGGAGCTCCCACCAAGGATGGGAGGCAGGCAACAGGCAAGCAACTGCACCAGGGGACACCTTAGTGCTGCCCTCGCCTCCTGTGTGCCTCTGAGCAGGTGCTTCTCCCACCCTGGGCCTCAGTCTCGTCATCTGCGAAGGGATCAGATGCGGGTAGCCACCCTGAATTCTCTGCGGACAGTCCTGCCGCTGGCCATGGTGGAGGGGAAGAGCAGCTGCCCTGGCAGCACTGACTCCAAAGAGAGGCCTGGGGCACTCGGGGCTCAAATTCTGGGTCTGCCACTTCCAGGCCAGTGGCCAGGGCCATTTTCCTCCCATGCAAGTTAGGGTCAGTGACGGCTCACAAGGCTGGAGGGAGGCAAACAAAGCAACACAGGACAGCACCCAGCATAGGGCAAGGCCCACAGTCACATGGAGCAGACCACTGTGTTTTTGTTGTTGTTATTTTTAGAGACAGGGTCTCACTCTGTTGTCCAGGCTGAAGTGCAGTGGCACAATCACAGCTCACTGCAGCCTCTATCTCCTGGGATCGAGAGATCCTCCTGCCTCAGCCTCTGGAGTAGCTGGAACTATGGTGGGCCACCACACCCAACCCTATGCCACTAATTTTTTTTTTTTTTTTTTTTTAGACAGAATCTCATTCTGTCACCCAGGCTGGAGTACAGTGGCGTGATCTCGGCTCACTGCAAGCTCCGCCTCCTGGGTTCACGCCATTCTCCTACCTCAGCCCCCTGAGTAGCTGGGACTACAGGCGCCTGCCACCACGCCTGGCTAATTTTTTTGTATTGTTAGTAGAGACGGGGTTTCACCATGTGTTAGCCAGGAAGGTCTCGATCTCCCGACCTCGTGATCCGCCCGCCTCGGCCTCCCAACGTGCTGGGATTACAGGCATGAGCCACCATGCCCAGCCCCTAGGCCACTACTTTTAAGTCATTCTTTGTCTGGTTCACCCCAGACCTGAGGTGGGAGGGCGAGGATACCCCACCCTTCCCCCACGGGAACTGAGAGAGTCTGAGGTTCCACAGGGAGGGGGCAGGTGGCTGCCAGGACCCTGGAACAGGTTGGCTTCGGCCCCTGGAGTTGTTGGTCCAGCCCTGCCCAAGGACATGTTCCCATGCTGGTATCTAGGAGCACCAGGAAGTGTAATCCAATTATACACTTTAAGTTATTTTTAAAAGTATGATTAAATTATTATTATGTTAATTTTAATTTTTATTTATTTATTTATTTGTTTTTTTAAACGGAGTCTCTCTCTGTTGCCCAGGCTGGAGTGCAGTGGCGTGATCTCTGCTCACTGCAAGCTCCACCTCCTGGGTTCACGCCATTCTCCTGCCTCAGCCTCCTGAGTAGCTGGGACTACAGGTGCCCACCACCACACCTGGCTAATTTTTTTTTTTTTTTGTATTTTTAGTAGAGATGGGGTTTCACCGTGTTAGCCAGGCTGGTCTCAGTCTCCTGACCTGGTGATCCACCCGCCTTAGCCTCCCAAAGTGCTGGGATTACAGTCTTGAGCCACCGCACCCGGCCGATTAAATTATTGTTGACTAGGCCAGGTACAGTGCCTCACGTCTGTAATCCCAGCACTTTGGGAGGCCGAGGTGGGCAGATCACTTGAGCCCAGGAGTTCAAGACCAGCCTGGACAACACAGTGAAACTCCTTCTCTACTGAAAATACAAAAAGTAGCCGGAGGTAGTGGTGTGTGCCTGTAATCCCAGCTACACGGGGGGCTGAGGCAGGAGAATAGCTTGAACCTGGGAGGCGGAGGTTGCAGTGAGCCAAGATCGTGCCACTGTACTCCAGCCTGGGCAACAGAGTGAGACTCTGTCTCAAAAAAAAAAAAAAAAAAAAAAAAAAAAGGACCGGGTGTGGTGGCTCATGCCTGTAATCCTAGCACTTTGGGAGGCTGAGGTGGGTGGATCACAAGGTCAGGAGTTCAAGACCAGCCTGGCCAAGATGGTGAAACCCCATCTCTACTAAAAATATAAAAATTAGCCAGGCATGGTGACAGGTGCCTGTAATCCCAGCTACTCGGGAGGCTGAGGCAGAGAATTGCTTGAACCCAAGAGGCAGAGGTTGTAGTGAGCCGAGGTCGGGCCACTGCACTCCAGCCTGGGTGAGACTCTGTCTCCAAAAAAAAAAAAAAAGGTTATTATTGACTATAGTCACCCTTTTGTACTATCAAATACTAGGTCTTATCATCCTTTCTTTTTTGTTGCACCCATTAACTGTCGTCCCCACCTCCTCTCCTCTACCCCCTCACTAGCCTTCCCAGCATCTGGTAACCAACCTTCTGTTCTCTATCTTCCTGAGTTTAATTGTTTTGATTGTTAGATCCCACAGATAAGTTTAAAGTGCTTCTTTGAGTGAAAAGCAATTCATGAACTGGGAAACACCAAACCAGAAGAGGTTTAATGTTCCAGTGACAAATCATCAGAGGCAAGTATTTAAGGGATAAACGCAGAAGTAAAATAAATTATTTGATTGGTTGCAATTATATAGTTGTTTATTTGGTCTATGCCGTTAGAAAGTCCCCCGTTATATAAAAATTTGTGGACTACTTCTGACTGGTTGAGCTGAAGTTCTGTTTTTCTTTAATAGAGGCATTTACAAGAAATAGCTCAATTTTTGCTTATGTTTGCAAATCAAGCAAGGTTGAGGTCATGTATGAGGCCTAACTGGTTTTGTCTGCTCTGGGATTCTTCAGACCTGGTCTCCATTTTAATTTAACAAGTGAAAGGGTTATAGGGCTGGGCACAATGGCTGACGCCTGTAATCCCAGCACTTTGGGAGGCCGAGGCGGGTGGATCAACTGATATCAGGAGTTCAAGACCAGCCTGGTCAAAATGATGAAACCTTGTCTCTACTAAAAACACAAAAAATTAGCCGGGTATGGTGGCGCGTGCCTGTAATTTCATCTACTCAGGAAGCTGAGGGAGGAGAATCGCTTTAACCCGGAAGGCAGAGGTTACAGTGAGCCAAGATCATACCATTGCACTCCAGCCTGGGCAACAGAGGAGACTCCATCTTCTTTTTTTTTTTTTTTTTTTTTGAGACGGAGTCTCACTCTGTCACCCAGGCTAGAGTACAGTGGTGTGATCTCGGCTCACTGCAACCTCTGCCTCCTAGGTTCAAGCAATTCTCCTGCCTCAGCCTCCCAAGTAGCTGGGATTACAGGCGCCCACTACTGCGCCAGGCTAATTTTTGTATTTTTAGAAAAGATGGGGTTTCACCATCTCGGCCAGGCTGGTCTCGAACTCCTGACCTCGTGATCCCAAAGGCCTCGGCCTCCCAGAGTGCTGAGATTACAGGTGTGAGCCAACACGCCCAGCCTCAGGAGACTCCATCCTGAAAAATAAATAAAGTATTACAGGACTATGGTTCCTCTGCCCACTGCACAGTAACAGACCCCATTACATGGAGACAGCAGGGTTTGCAGAAGCAGAAAGAGTTTACTGATCACAGGGCACCAAGCGAGGAGATCCTCAAATCCATCCCTCCGAGGAGTTCTGGGCTGGGATTTCTAAGGGGATTGTTGAGGGTGAGGGGCTAGAAAACTTGGGTCATTGATGGTTTTGAGTAAGGGGGATGACATCATCAGGACATGGAAACTGCATTTTTTGGTGAGTCAGCTCTTCAAACCAGTCAGGTCCTTCAAACCAGCTGAGTCAGCAGTTTCCTCAGTATGCAGGACCTGAAGGAATAGCTCAAAGAGAGAACTTAAGGCTTCCTAATGTTCAAGTTGTTATCTGCAGAGCAGCTAAGGGGAACTATCGTCCTGTAACAGGGTCTCGTGATTCTAGGTCAACAGGTTGCAAAAAGCAGCTGTGAGGAGGCAGGTCAGAGAGTGAGCTGACCTCAAAATGAAGGCTGAACGTGCTACAAGCTCAGTTTATTTTCATTATTCCCCCTCTCTTCTTCCCTGATTAATTTTATAAAGTTTATAGGGGCAGTTTCAAAAGCAAGCTGAGAGTGTGACCAGAGTATGGCATTATTCTCAGTTACTACCGTTAACACAGTCTGGAACAGAGCCATGTAGATGCTATCATCAACAGCTGCGTTAGGACTGTGGTCTTGTGGTCATTGGTATCCAAAATTGCATAGTCACTATAGGCCCTAGTGGTGGGCTTGCTCAGTTCTCCAGGTTGTTAAATCCTGCTGGCAATCATTCGATATGCAAGTGGCTGCGGGAAAGCATTTATTTATGTACTTATTTTTTAGAGACTGGGTCTTGCTCGGTCACCCAGGCTGGAGTGCAGTGGCACCATCATAGTTCACTGCAGCCTTGAATTCCTGGGCTCAATGATCCTCCCACCTCAGCCTCCTGAGTAGCTGGGACTACGGGCACACGCCACTGCACTGGGCTAATTAAAATAAAATTTTTTTGTAGAGACAAGGTCTTACTTTGTTGCCCAGGCTGGTTGAGAACTCCTGGCTTCAAGCAATCTTTCGGCCTTAGTCTCCCAAAGTGCTGGGATTATAGGGTGAAACGGTGTCATTTAAAACCCTTGAGAGGATACAATGCACAAAGGGGGTGAATAGAATAACTATAAGGAAAATAATAGCCAAGGACTGAAAAACGCCCTGGAACAAAGATTCCCAGGAGCCAAGATTTCACCAGCTAAAACATATCAATGAAGGAGGTAGCACCTATCTGCTAAGACTTGTATTTGTTTCTTAAGAGCCTTTATTAGCCAGGTGTGATGGCTCATACCTGTGGTCCCAGCTACTCAGGAGGCTGAGGTAGGAGGATGGCTTGAGCTCAGGAGGTCCTGGCTGCAGTGCGCCATGATCGCACCACTGCATGCATTCCAGCCTGGGTGACAGGGTAAGACCCTGTCTCAAAAAAAAGAGCTTTAAATTTTGGGCAACAGTTTCTTATTAACATAAAAGCAACTTTTTTTTTTTTTTTTTTGAGACAGAGTCTCACTCTGTTCGCCCAGGCTGGAGTGCAGTGGTGTGATCTCAGCTCACTGCAACCTCCACCTCCCAGGTTCAAGTGATTCTCCTGCCTCAGTCTCCCAAGTAGCTGAGATTACAGACATGCACCACCGCACCCGGCTAATTTTTGTGATATTTTAGTAGAGACGGGGTTTCACCATGTTGGCCAGGCTGGTCTCAAACTCCTGACTTCAGGTGATCCGCCCACCTCAGTCTCCCAAAATATTGGGATTACAGGCGTGAGCCACCACTCCCTCACTGGCCGAAACATTTCTTAATCAATAAAAACACAAGCTCCTCCTTATTAAGCTGTGAAGGTATCAAGAACTACGTTGGAGTATTATTGAGGCAAATTGTTCACTTCAGATTGTATCCCTTGAAGGGAATTCAAGGTTTTGTTCTACGAAAACAAAAGAAAAACAAAGGTTAACATCTGGAGCAAATTATGATGTTAGTTTTTGAGTCTCAAGGGCAGCTAGCTGAGATGTCTAGATGTGAGTGGGAAGCATCTTTAGATGACGGAATGAAGATGGCGTTGAATGACTCTGGCTATGGCATCAGGCAGTGTGCCAGTAAACTCTCCACATGACGCGTATAGTAGCAGGCATGAAAGTTGCCCGTACATGACCTGTTGTAGTGATATTTCTAAAACTTAAAGTCATTGAGTTTCAGCTTATAGGGCTTAGGAAAGGAGCAGTTTTAGTTTTTAGTGAAACTAGAAAGTTTCGGAATTTAATTCAGTTTACAGATAGATAACAAAACCTCAAAGAAAATGAACAGAACTAGAATTTGATAATGGGTGCACTATAGTGTTTAACTGAAATAACAATCTTTTTTTAATCATCACTCCTGTTTTTACCAAAAATAATCATAGTTCTTTTTTTCAAAATAAGTCTAATTCCATTAAATTTGACCTGATTGTTTACAGAAATGTAACATAATAATTTCGTGTATATTTTTAAATATGATACTTTAATCAGAGCTCTGTTCATATCCAAGGGGCTTTCGTGACTTTGTATCAATCAACCTTAGTTTTCAAAAACTGTCTGATAATGAGAAATCTCAGAACAGGTATTTTAAAACTTCTTGAAGAAGCCAAACTAAGAACTTGCCCAATTATGTTCTGTTATGAGAACCAATTTTTATTGAACCTATGATAATACTCATATTGCAAATAAAAATATTTAATAAGAGTTTCCAAATTCTGGAGTAATCAGGTAGGGAGAGAAAGATAAATGTTGCATTTTTGTTTACAAAGATATATATATAGATATATAGATATATAGATTTTTTTTTTTTTTACACAGAGTCTCACTGTCGCCTAGGCTGGATTGCAATGGCGTGATCTCGGCTCACTGCAAGCTCCGCCTCCCGGGTTCAGGCCATTCTCCTGCCTCAGCCTCCCGAGTAGCTGGGACTACAGGCACCCGCCACCACACCCAGCTAATTTTTTTTTTTTTTTTTTGTATTTTTAGTAGAGACGGGGTTTCACTGTGTTAGCTAGGATGGTCTCGATTTCCTGACATCGTGATCCACCCACCTCGGCCTCCCAAAGTTCTGGGATTACAGGTGTGAGCCACTGCACCTGGCCTACAAAGATATATTTTATCAAATTGTTATTGTAGACAGTTAAGGGAAGAGAAAAAAAGTCTCCTTAAATTTAGAAAATAAAACATTTCTTAGAACCAGCAATGCTTCAAAGAAAAACTCATAAAAAATTAAAATTATTTTCATCAGTTTAGTCTCATATAATTAATTTTTGTTTTCCTTGATATTGGATTAGCAGTTTTATGAGTCCATCAGTTTCCCATTACAGTTTTGGAAATTTTTACACAGTTCCATAGTATGATCTTATCAGAAAGCTGTATTGTCAGCCTTTTCTAATGAATCTCTTGTGCTTTTGTATCATAGTGGCATTCAAATGCTTTCAGGAAGGAAATTTGGTGTTTTGTGGCATATAGCATCTTAAGATAATAATTAGATTTATGACTGATAACAATATACCAGGATATATCAGATTTCTAGGAATTCTACACATTTCCTGGGATACTCATATCAATAACACATATAACTTAAAGAAGGATTAGTATCACTTATTATTTGACAACATCTTCCATGCAATTAACATATCAAATAAGCCTAATTAGTTTAACACTTCTCATTTACAAGGAGAGAAAATAAATTATTTTGAAATATTCCAGGGACACTTCTGGAAACTCCCAAAGTTAATGTGAGGTGGAAAACACTTAATTTAGAATTAATTTTGAGAAGCTGTCAAAAATGTCAAAATGTTTGAAACACTTGATTAAAAAGGATCATAAGTCATTGTGAAACAATATCAAAGTGATAAAAGATTTTAAAGGCAAATACAGAAAGTTACGTAGTTAAAGCTTGGCTTTTTTTTAAATACTGAAGACTAATTTTTCTCAAATAATCGAAGACCTACTAAAAAACAACATAATTTGGACTGCAGGGAAGACAATAAAAACAACAACAACATCAGGCTGGGTGCAGTGGCTCATGCCTGTAATCCCAGCACTTTGGGAGGCCAAGGTGGGCAGATCACTTGAGGCCAGGAGTTTGAGACTAGCCTGGCCAACATGGTGAAACCCCACCTCTGTGTGTGGTGTGCGCATGCCTGTAATTCCAGCTACTTGGGAGGCTTAGGCCGGAGAATCCCTTGAACCCAGGAGGTGGAGGTTGCAGTAAGCCAAGCCTGGGTGACAGAGCGAGACTCTGTCTCAAAAAAAAAAAAATTATCTCAATACAACACAATCTTTGTTTTCTTGGGCAATTATTTAAAAGGTAAAGAAAAAAACGTTCATAATCAAGAGCAAATCAACACTCCAAGAACATGTTGTCCTTTTAACAGAGAGAAAACAGAATTCTAATGACCTCAGCACATTATTGAGCTGTTATATATAAAACCTATCTCACCTTAGTAGTTTGACCACACAAAAAGTTTCTCTTTCACACACCTTCCACAATTTTCTGTATCCATTCAATTTTTGTCTCAGTCTTTTTCTCCTTTTTTATTCTGGAACAATCAGTCAACTTACTTTAAGACAAAATTATTCTTTTTGTCTTTAATGAAAATACATACCTTGTATACTTTTCCTATTAAATACACCTACTTTATTTGTACACTTTTATATACAGCTGTTTTCTTTTACCTTATTATTTCTAATAGTTTGAATTGCATATGTTAATTAAAATTCTTAGCCCTTAGTAATCTTAATTTTACCTTCCTTTTTTTGGAGACTAGGTCTCACTTGGTCACCCAGGCTGGAATGTGCAGTAGGACAACCACAGCTCACCACAGCCTTGACCTCCCAGGCTCAAGCAATCCTCCTCCTTCAGCCTCCTGAGTAGCTGGGACCACAGGAATGTACCACCACACCCAGCTGATTAAAAAAAAATTTTTTTTTGTAGAGATAAATTTTCCCTATGTTGCCCAGGCTGATCTCGAACTCCTGGGCTCAAGCAGTCCTCCACTTCAGCCTCCTGAGGAGCTGAGACTACAGGCACACACCACGGCACTGGGCTAATTTTTTATTTATTTTATTTATTTTTTTTATTATTATTATTTTCTCTTTTTTTGGGGGGACGGAGTCTTGCTCTGTCACCCAGGCTGGAGTGCAGTGGTGCGATCTCGGCTCACTGCAAGCTCCGCCTCCCAGGTTCTCGTCATTCTCCTGCCTCATCCTCTCCAGTAGCTGGGACTACAGGCGCCCGCCACCACGCCCAGCTAATTTTTTGTATTTTTAGTAGAGTCGGGGTTTCACTGTAGCCAGGATAACCTCGATCACCTGACCTCGTGATCTGCCCACCTCGGCCTCCCAAAGTGCTGGGATTACAGGCGTGAGCCACCGCGCCCGACCTGCACTGGGCTAATTTAAAAAAAATTTTTTTTTGTAGAGATGGGGACTTGCTTTCTTGCCCAAATTGGCCTTGAACTCCTGGCTTCAAGTGATCCTCCTGCCTTAGCCTCTTAAATTGCTGGGATTACAGACACAAGCCCCTGCACTCAGCCATTAATTTTTCATGAAAATTAGGAAATACATGATTTCACAGTTTTTTGTTTTTGTGTTTGTGTTTTTCAACAGAGTCTTGCTCTGTCACCCAGGTTGGAGTGCAGTGGCACCATCTCGGCTCACTGCAACCTCCACCTCCCAGGTTCAAGCGATTCTCCAGCCTCAGCTTCTCGAGTAGCTGGGACTACAGGCACGGGGTACACACCCGGCTAATTTTTGTATTTTTAGTAGAGACGGAGTTTCCCTATGTTAGCCAGGCTGGTCTCAAACTCCTGGCTTCAGATGATCCGCCCACCTCAGCCTCCCAAAGTGCTGGGATTATAGGCGTGAGCCACCGCACCCGGCCAGCTTTTAAATAGCATGCGTTTCCTTTTTATTTTTATTTTTATTTTTTGAGGCGTAGTTTCGCTCTTGTTGCCCAGGCTGGAGTAGTGCAATGGTGCGATCTCGGCTCATCGCAACCTCCGCCACCCAGGTTCAAGTGATTCTCCTGCCTTAGCTTCCCGAGTAGCTGGGATTACAAGCATGCGCCACCACCCCGGCTAATTTTGTATTTTTAGTAGAGATGGGGTTTCTCCATGTTGGTCAGGCTGGTCTTGAACTCCCAACCTCAGGAGATCCGCCTGCCTCAGCCCCACAAAGTGCTGGGATTACAGGGGTGAGCCACCGCACCCGGCAATAGCATGTGTTTTCTTGGAGCATGTGCTGTGCCTACTGGTGAACCCAACTCTCTCTAGTCTTTAATAAGAAGCCAAAAATACATAAGCTTAAATTTATGTTCAGGAATTAACGTTTTAGTAGTCATTTTATTTGGATATAATGTAGGTGTTTAATAAATATCTATCATTTAATTTAACTTAATATAATTTTATTTTATTTATTTATTTGAGACACAGTCTTACTCTCTCATCCAGGCTGGAGTGCAGTGGCGAGATCTCGACTCACTGCAACCTCTGCCTCCCGGGTTCAAGTGATTCTCCTGTCTCAGCCTCCTGAGTAGCTGGGATTACAGGTGCCTGCCACCATGCCCGGCTAACTTTTGTATTTTTTGGTAGAGATGGGGTTTCACCATGTTGGCCAGGCTGGTCTTGAACTTCTGACCTCAGGTGATCCGCCCACCTCAGCCTCCCAAAGTTCTAGGATTACAGCGCACCGCACCTGGCCTACTTAATATAATTTTAAAGTTTCAAGTTTTCACAAAGATTTTGGAAACTTTTCAAGCAGACATCTTGTAACATTTAAAAACCTACTTGTCACCTCAGGTTACTTATCTTGTTAATAAATTTTGTAACAGAGATAACATGAGTTTAACTAGCAAAGCTAAGTAGAATATGAATATCCATTAAGAATATCCATTTTTACTAAATCACCAATATTCTTTTTTTTTTTTTTTTTTTTTTTTGAGACAGGATCTCCCTCTGTTGCCCAGCCTTGAGTGCAGTAGGTGGGTTTACAGCTCACTGCAGTCTTGACCTCCCGGGCTCAAGCCATCCTCCCACCTCAGCCTCCCAAGTGCTAGAACTACAGGCTTGCACCACTATGCCTAGCTCATTTTTGTATTTTTTGTACAGACAAAGTTTCCCTATGTTGCCCAGGCTGGCCTTGAACTCCTGGACTCAAGCAATCCTCCCACCTCAGCCTCCCAAAGTGCTGGGATTACAGGTGTGAGCCACCATGCCTAGCTTAATATTCTTATTAAAGATTATTCAAGTCATATAAACTTGAAAAGCATTTGAATTAGTTGCTTTCTTTTCTGAGAAAATAATTTATGTGAGCACTTATTTTTCTCTAGGTCAATTAAGTATTAAGAGCTCTTTTAATATTTTCTTTTAGTAGGGAAAAAGATAATTATAAATTATTTCTGGCCAGGTGTGGTGGCTTGCACCTGTAATCCTGGCACTTTGAGAGGTTGAAGTTGTTGGATTACCTGAGGTCAGGAGTTTGAGACCAGCCTGTCCAACATGGTGAAACCCCGTCTCTACTAAAAATACAAAAATTAGCCAGGTGTGGTGGTGCATGCCTGTAATCCCAGCACTTTGGGAGCCTGAGTTAGGAGAATTGCTGGAACCCAGGAGGCAGAAGGCTGCAGTGAGCTGAGATCTCATCACTGCACTCCAGCACTGGGCGACAGAGACAGACTCCATCTCAAAAACAACAAACAAACAAAAAACAAAACAAAACAAACAAAAAACATAGAGAAACCCTGTCTCTACTAGGAATAAAAAAATTATCCAGGTGTGGTGGCACATGTCTGTAATCCCAGCTACTCAGGAGGCTGAGGCATGAGAATTGCTTGAGCCTGGGAGGTGGAGGTTGCAGTAAGCCAAGATTTGTACCACTGCATTCAGCCTGGGTGACAGAGTGAGACTCATATATATATATATACACACACACACACACACACACACATATATATATACATATATATGTGTATATATATATACACACACATATATACGTATATATGTGTATATATATACACACACATATATACGTATATATATGTATATATATTATTTCTAATAATACCATCTGGAGATAGAACAGTATTACATTTAAATAACATAGACATACATAGGCCAGGTGCATTGGCTCACGCTTGTAATCCCAGAAATTTGGGAGGCTGAGGCAGGTGGATCATTTGAGGTCAGGAATTTGAGACCAGCCTGGCCAACATAGAAACCCTGTTTCTACTAAAAATACAAAAATTAGCCGGGCATGGTGGCACATGCCTGTAATCCCAGCTACTCAGGAGGCTGAAGCAGGAGAATCGCTTGAACCCAGCAGGCAGGTGGAGGTTGCAGTGAGCTGAGATCGTGCCACTGCACTCCAGCCTGGGCGGCAGAGAGAGACTCAGTCTCAAAAAATTAATTAATTTAATTAATTACAAAATGAATAACATAGACATACATAAACATACAGACAGACACAAACAGAGATTCATGGCTTCTGTTCTGAAATTTGAGCCATGCGTCAGTCACAATAATATAAAACTCCCTAACTGGATCCAAATTGTGTTCTTGACAGTTAAAGTTACCTGTTCAGATGGCTAAAGGCTTTCATTAATGTTTTTGGAAAAGACATTCAGGATTCTTTCATCTGCCACTTTTCTAAAAACTTTTTTTTTTTATTCTGATGAGTCATTCTTCGAAGTTTGCATTTTAAAGATTTAAACATTTCTAAGGCAGAAAGCCTGTTAGGTTTTCACCAAAAAGGAGTCTTGGAGCATATTTACTTAGTATTGGGAGTCAATCTTGTTGAGACTGTGGATTAAGTTTTAGGTAAGTGACAGGGGAGAAATCCAATTTTTTTCCAATTAGTCTCAGGCGGTTGCTTTTATAATAGCCAAGTTGTGTGCAAGACCAAGATTTGCATTTAGTTGTTGCAGATACTCCTGGCTCATTTGAAGATCTTTTAAAGGAAGATAGTGTCCAGAATATTCAAGCATTCAGATGGAAAAAGACAAAAGATCAAACAGCCATGCAGATTCAAAATAATTTTTTTTTCTTTTTTTGAGATGGAGTCTTGCTCTGTCACCCAGGCTGGAATGCAGTGGCACGATCTCGGCTCACTGCAGCCTCCACCTCCCGGGTTCAAGTAATTCTTGTGCCTCAGCCTCCTGAGTAGCTGGGATTACAGGCGCCTACCACCACGCCCAGCTAATTTTTGCATTTTTTTTAGTAGAGATGAGGTTTCATCATGTTGGCCAGGCTGGATTTGAACGCCTGACCTCAGGTGATCCGCCCGCTTCGGCTTTCCAAAGTGCTGGGATTACAGGCATGAGCTACCACGCCAGCCTCAAAATAATTTTTATGAGTGTGTTGTAAAGATTTCTTTAGACAGGCTTTTTTTTTTTAAGTCATTCTGTCTTTGGGAAGCTTCCGTGTACCATCGAACAATGCATCTCATTGTTTCTTAAGTACTCAGGATCATCTTTTTTTAATGTACCCATAGATGAATAATTTCATCTAGAGTAAAACTTCCCTATTGTGGCCACTAGAATTGTAAGTTATCTTCCTGAGGCACATCCATTTCACTAGAATGGCACAGGTTCTGAATCTTCAGGTTCTAAACATAAAGTTAGCTGGAGCTCCAGACAGAGGAGTTTCAGACTCCCCAGATTCTGATGAACACACAATGCCCTGTCCTTCTAAATATGTGCTTACTTGAGGCCTCCAACTGGACCCTGTTCATTTCTTGTCAAATACCCACTTCAACCTCCAGATCCCAATCTGGATTCCAGTCTGGAAGTCCGTATACTAGACTGGACCTAGTCCAGCTCCTGTCAAACACCCAGTTTCACCCTAGTGAAAATTGCAAGGGCCCCAACATAGCAAGGAAAAATTGGAGGTAATGATAACTCCTATTTATGGCTTACTGTGTTCCCAGCCCTGTGTGTGCCAAGGGCTTCCAATATACCCTGTGAAATAAAGCTATTATTAACTCCATTTTACAGCTGAGGAAAGAGAGGAAGGCAGATGACTTACAAAGGTCACAAAGGGCCAGGCAGAGCTGGGATTTGAAGCTCAGTCATTAAAATAGACTCGGAGGTGTGCGTTGTTTGAAAGCTTGCTGCAAAAGCCAGGATGTGGCCCCAGAAAGAGGCACCAGGGTTGCATTAACAGAGGCAAGGGGCTGCCTGTGTGATGTGTCTTCCTGTGTGATCTCACACTAGCCCTGTGAGAGTGACAGGCCTGGTCTACCACTCCAGGTGATGGCTGGAGAAACCACGGTCCAGAGAAGTCAGTGATTTGCCAGAGATTACATAGTCAAAGGCAAAGCTGAGGTTCATGAGCCAGGTCAGTGACCATACCCTCTCACCCCACACTCACCATACCCTGACACCCTGTGTGTGTTAGGGCCTAGTGCTATGCACTGCAGACGCTGGAGGAAGCAGGAGGAGAGGGAGTGAAGAAGGGAGAAAGCTTAGTTTCAGGGCAGATGCCAGACCTCTGGTCTCTGGGTGGGATTCCTGACTACACTCCTGAGCCCTTCAATCCAGGGGAAAGCCATCCCAACCCTGACCTTGAACCCTTAGGCCTCCATAATACTCGCTTTAGGTGGCAGCACCCTCGTGTGGCTACAGATGGTAACTACATAAAGTTACAGGTTTCCTCCCTCAAAAGGATGCCTCACTCCCCAGGGCCTCACCCTTCTGCAATCCCTCTGAGCCTCAAAAAGAGAAGATGGCCATTCATGGGGCTAATGGCGGGTGGCAAGGGCAGGATGACATGGACAGGGCACTGGGCTGGGAGTCAGGAACCCTCAGATAAAATCCTCACTTGGTTACTGACTGCGGGGCTTAAGTCTCAAACTCCTCATCTGTATAAAGGGCTGAAACATCTCTCCCTGACTCCCTAAAGCTTTCTACAAGGACCAATGGTATCTCAAATACAAAGTACTCTGTAAACTGTAAAGCACTGTGAGAGGGTAAGGGTTATTACATAAACTGAGGAATGCACATTGGAGGGACTCTGGAAGAGAGACCAAGAATGCCGGTACCCAGTGTGTGACGACAGCCCGGGCCATAGAATCCTTGGGACGGACTTGGTAGCAGAGTAATGGTGGTCAGAAGAGGGGGTGGCCCAGAGCCCAGGCCACTCCATGAAACCCAATCCTGCAGATGGAGGGGTCTGCCCCCATGCCCACCCCCTCGCATGATGAACTAAGGGGAAAGCTTTATTGATCAGAGTTGGTCTATCAAAAGACTTGCATCAGATCCTAGGACCTATTTCCACATCTATGAGATAGGGACAGCCGCATTCTTCACAGGGCTGTTGGTTCCCAGAACAGTTGTTGAGAACATGTGAAAACCATCTCATGTGTGACTTGACGCAGAGTCGGTTCACAACAAATGACATTATTATGTAAACTAATGAACAAAGATAGTTTTGTTCATCAAAAACTGTGCAGGGAAACTGGTATCATTTATTACACCAGTGTGCTGGACACAATTTAATTGCCATAATTTCCCATGACATGACAAGAGAGCCACTTTACATAGATCTGTTACCTTTGGTCCACTTCCAGCAAGGAATTTGGTGAAAGATGAGGTGAACTAACTTGCCCAAGTGCACACAGAGTGGCGAGACCCACATGTGACCCCAGGTCAATCTGACTGGAATCATGCTATCAGAGCAGCATGGACTGCAGTTCCCAATGCCCGCAGCATGCCACCTCTGCAAGCGCCATGATGGCTACTGCAGTGGGGAATGCTGGGAAAGGGCCCCAACGACAGCTGCTGAGGCAAAATCACATGCTGGACTGGAAACCTGCATCCCCTCAGCTTCCTTTTCTTCTCCCCCTATTCCCAGGGCCTGTTAGTGATTAGCCCTTCCCCTTGAGGGGCCCATGTGAAGTTCCTTCAACCATCCTGACGCTCCACTTCCAGACACCAGCTGGTGTGGGCTTCCACCTGGCCTCTCTGGCTGGACCCAGCCTGTAACTGCCAACACTTACCAAATCTGCCCCTGGAGCAAAGTCGGTGAAGAAGGGCAGATGGCATCCTCAGGCTAGGGCCACGGGCACAATTGTGAGCTCCAGCCTCCTGTGTTACAAGCTAAAAGAGGCTCCCCAGTCTGAAGAGATGAGCATGCTCAGACATTGGACTGCTTGGCAGGCCTCAGTAGTGGGCACAGGTTGGCAGGGAGCAAATGGAGCAGCCCAAACAGAGGAAACGCGGAGGAGGAGAGGCCCAGACAGACGGTGCTGTAACCCAGACAGCTCATCTCAGGGGCCCAAGGAGAATATTCTGATGTGCAGAGTTGGAAATCTGGATTTGTATGTGCAGTATCTTGATTCTGAATGCACTGGGCAGGCTGAACCAAACATCTTTGGTTTAAATTGGGCTCAAAGAGCCATTAGTTTGGCACCTCTCCTCCCACCCTCACAAAACAACAAAACAAGCAGAAAGAAGCATGAGCAGGAAAGGGCTGTCCTGGGGAACTACACTGGGGGTGGGGTGGGGGGAGAGGTTAAAATAAAGCACAAACCCAGATTCCAAAGTTCTGTATTTTTCAAAATAAAGATCACACATTGTTTAGAGACAATCTACACAAGAGTTACAAAAAATAGTTGCCCAGGCATAAGCATACACAGGTTTGTTAATTATACACATATGGTTACAAGTGTGCTTGCAAAAAAGTTCATTGGAAATATACACAAGGCTCTGGAAATGTACACCGTGTAGTGTTACAATTCTATATTCAAACAAGGAAAATTGACAGTATGTTACATTCACTTACAAGTAGACAAAATGCAAAATACAGTTCATCTTCTGTACAAAAGGGAAGGGCGATTCACACTTTACAAGGTGAGAGGGGCTCTGATTGTAAGGAAAGCTCGGGCAAGGCTAGACTTTTGCACGTCCTTTTGACTGTCACAAAATCAAAACATTACTTTTTTAGGATTAAAAAAACACTAGTGAGAACTCAATCTTGAATAACATTTAGAAAGAATCTCGCTATACTTGAGACTAGATGACAAATAAAACCAAGCTATTTTTTTCTTTTTAAACATTAACTAGGCTGTATAAAGAACATTTATTCCTTCAAAAGAAAAAAATTTACTTCTGGTTGAAATTACAATTTACAATATACAACACTATATGCTACGACCATAAAAGGTGAGAATATACACTGAATGCACAGGGCTGGCTAATTCTCTTTTCTTACCAAAAAACGTGTTTATGTTGATTCAAACTTCTCCACATTTACATTACAGGTATACAAATGTACAATTGTACAATCAAAAGTATGTTCGACTACTAGGGTACATTATAGATACAGATTAGACATCAAAACAAGAAAATACTACAAATTTGTATATATGCAAAGTCTACACCAAGTATACACTATATATTTATAGAAGCAAGACCAAAAGCAGAGTTGGATTTTTTTTTCTCATGCTAAATAATCAGATTTTACCTTTCAATGTTAATAGAAAAAAATCCAGTAGGCAGTAAACAATCACACCCGCCCAGCCTCAAAAGACGTTCTGGGTGCTCGCATCTCCTCCTCACGAACAGCCTTCTTCAGCATAATATAGTCTCCAAAAAAGGCATTTTTTAGAATTTCATAAACTTAATGTCACAAACTGAAGCTTTAGCAACTCTGAAACCTTTTTCATTATATATATATATATATATATATATATTTTTTATAAACAGTGTTAAATGCCAGTTTGGGGTCATTTAACTACAATTCAAACTTCTCAGGTTTTTTTGTTTTTGTTTGTTTTTTACTAAAATGAGGAGGTGGGGAAGAGCTATTTGCAAAACTTGCCGGCCAGGCAAATGAGCTAAAAACCTTTTCCTTTTTTTCTTTTTTTTTTAAAGCTTTTTTTTTTTGTTAAACCAACCACCCTGAAAGTTTCCACATGTGAAATATAGATACAACAGTGAACAAAATATGTGGCCTCCCATGTACATTGGTTACCTATGTACAAGTATCCTATACACCAGTAAAACAGCAGGGCAATTAGTCAATTAAAAAAAATAGTACATGTTATGTGTAATAAAATTAAATTTACAAAGGCTTTTCCACTCGTGGATTTGATTCCTTTTTTGGAGGAGGGAGTAATCCTGGAGCAACCACTTGCCCGTCTCAGACTCTACACTAGAACATTTCTGGTTGCTGGTTGGATTTGCCAGTGGGCCAGTGAGGTCAGCGGGAATGAGGGAACAGCGGGTGACACTGCCTCAGATGATACCATTAGGGGGGCCACAGATGGGCCCTAAGTCAACACCGTTCTTCATGTAGTACTTCTCCAGCTTGGCCAGAATGTGCTTGCCATAGGTGTACTTACGAAGAGTTGCGATGTGGGGCCGGATCTGGGGAGGAAAGACAGTCTGTGTTACATGGCCTGAGATGAGACTTGGGGGCAGGCTTCCCGGACATGCATTTGCATGTCATGCATCACACACACATACACACACACACACACACACACACACACACACACACACACACACACCCCTACAGCAATACCTTTCACTGGCTCAGCCCAGTCCCCTGACTTCTAGCACTTTGGCAACCCATCAGATGAGGAGAGGAGCTCCTACCCTGAGTGGTGCCACAGGGCCTGAGGACCCTGGAGGCTGGGTGGCCATGGGCCACTCCCAGGACAACACATGGAGAAAGTGCATCCTAGCTGGGAAAATACACTGCCCACTACCCGCCAGCTGCACAGTGCTTCCCTGCAAGCATGAGCACAGGCCCCTCTGGCCCCATGCACGGCATCCAGGCTCTCCTGAGCAGTGGGGGTTATTTCGGGTCACCAGAATCCTGAGCTCACCACTTGACCCTGTCTCTCCAGGTCACAGTGGATCACAGAAAGCTAATCAATGACAAGAAGAGAAATGATGAACATCATGAGCTGGTGTGATTATCCCCATCTTACTGACAGAAAACATGAAGGCACAGAGTAGTTAAGTCACTCAGCCAAGGTTGAATGGCTAACAAAGGACAGCACAGATAGCTGAGCCCAAACTGTGTGGCTCCTCCACGAATCAGGTTTCTCCCCACTGTGCTCTCAAGGCACGCCCGCCACACCAGCCTCATCCCTCAGGCTCTCCGACCTATGCTCTGAGTCACTTCTCCAAGCATTCCTTTCTGTTCTTCCTTCCCTGGGCTGATCATTTCAAGAAGTCCTACATTCCAGAAAACTTGAGAGGTGCTTCTTCTCTGGAAGCCCCTTTTCTTTTCTGTGAGCTCAGGGAGCATTCTACATACCTCAGCTGTGTCTGCTATCTTTTGCTTAATTATCAATCTTTCCATATAAACAGTAAAGGACCACAGTTTATTCATCAGATTCCCCATCCAAACCTGCACCTGCATACATAAACGCACTGGATAAATGTACCGCAGTAGACAGAGGCTCTCCAGGTTGAGAGCTCCATGAGGGCACCAATTTTTGTCTGTTTAGCTGTGTCCTCAAAGCAAGGAAGGGTTGATCCGGTCTAGAAATCACCTGCGCATGCTTCCCAGGACACAGAGCTGCATCGGGTGTCACATTCCCACTTTGGAGCCTACAGGGGAAACTGGCTGGTGGCAAACAGTCCTTGGTTCCAGTTTCACCTCCCTTAAACTCACCTGTAAAACGGCGTATGCAATAATGCTATACTTTCCTTTCAGTTGTAATACTATGTTACTAATGTTTCTGTCATGAGAACTTGAGGTTCAAGATCCCCTTGCTTTTGGTAGCTTTCCTTTTAGAAAATAACTGAAATCCAATCCATTCCTCTGTCCCTGGAACTGGCTGCTGACAAGTCCAGGCACTTCACCTTTGTACTTCCCCAGAACAAAACAAAACAAAAAACCCCTAACAAGCCACACACACACATGTTGAACTCCATTTTTTATTGGATTTAACAAGAAGTGAAACGTTAATTACCTGCTTCTCTCCTTATGTCCCTTTTGCTGAAAAGGATACCACTTAGTAATGGAAGAGCTGAAAAACTAAGAGGGCTTCTCAGGACTCTCCCCGTCAACTCCCTCAGCCAACCAACTGCTAAGCCCTACCAATTCTAGCACCCTATTCTGTCCACTTCTCTTCAATCCCAAACCACCACCATCTGGTGCCTTGACGGCCTCCCATGTGGTCTCATCACTGCCTCCCTCCTCTAAACTACAAAGGCCACATGGCAGCCAGGACAATTATTTGAAATATACGTGTGATTTTGTCACCACACTCCTCCTCCACTGAACTTGTTTTACTTCTTCAGATACAACACGGTCTGGTCTCTGGCGTCCAAGTCTTCACACACCACGTTCCCTCTTCTGGAAAGGGTCATCACTCTATTAAGTATCACTCCGTTAGAGAGCCTCCTCTGTACCCACACGTTATAGAAGACACCCTGCCCATTCCTGGACAACCCTTTCCCCTGTATTTCTCCAGTGTCCCAGTAACTATCTGTGCACAGCACTATCACGTTTACCAATACAACCCTGCTGAGAATACGACCTGCTGTACAACAGGTGTTTAGCACTGAATGAATGAATGAATAGACATGTCTTAAGCTCCTACTTACCTCCAACATTCCCTCTGCCTTCACCAGCATCCTGAAAACTTACAACTTTAAGAACCTGGGACTCCCCCAGCCTTCAACTGCCACTGCCAACACCAGTGCAGTGGTTTGGATTGGTTTAGCTTGACTCAGGGGTGGTGGGTGTCTTGTCTGGCTCAGAACTTGAGTCCATTAACAAAGATTCTCATTACCGAACTTTGTTCTCAGTGAGGGCAAGTGGGTCATCATTGCCAGACAATGGCCAACCAACCCCTCAATTGAGAAGGGCTCAGTGAGTTCAGAGCCCAAAAGCTGCAGGCTCAGATGAGAAGCACCGGAGGCTGGAGGCACTGCCCAGCACAAACACAACTGTAGCACACCCTGCCTGTGGGTCTGTTTTGCCTCCTGGGCCCTGTGGTGTCTGCAGTGCTCACTGGACCCACGCCGTGACTTGTCAAGAAGCTGTGGGCCTGTTCAGGTGACTTCTCTTTCAGTTCCCCACTCACAGCACCTAAGCATTCTCATTTCTGTTCCTTCTTCCCTGTCTAACTCTTCTTTAGCCTTGCCTTCTCCTGCAAAGCCGGCCCTCAGGGACTCTGGGAAGGGTGAGGGGTCCTTCTCATGTCCTCACCACTGCTCACCACCATGGCTCTTCCCCACCAGAATGTACTCTGTGGGCAGGGATCAGGTGTTAGTCATCTCTGTGCTGATGAAGTCTGGCACAGAGTGGGCTTCAGGTCAATGTACCAGGCTATGCACCATGCTGGGCAGGCCTTTGTTCAATAGATGTTGGTGGGATGAAAGAACAGAAGGGAGGAGTGAGAAAAGGAAATGAGGCAAGTTGATTTGTTGGACTCATAAGCTGATTCTCTAGAGATCAGGGATGGAAATATTTCAAAAAATGTAGCTTAAGATTCTCATACCAGTGTGGCTATTGATAAGGGAGGGTTGGCAAATGTGTAAGGACAATGGTGACTCCACATAAAAGAAAAACAGAACACAGCATGGGACAGAGGTCAGTGACAAACTCTTCAAAAACAGCAGGGCACCCACCCTCCTTTGTGTTTCAGAAAGGAAGCCAAGGCCTTGCACACTTTCTCTGAGACCCTGCCCAGCCCGGCCTACCTTATGCATGACGATCTTCCGCTGGCCTGGCTCCGCCACGTCAATCATCTTCTGGACCACGTAGTTGGCATACTGGTCCTTCATCATGGTGTATAAGGCACTGTGGGGACCGTCGTTCATGGTGCACACCTCATCGATGAGCACAGCGCGCTCCGTACGTGAGGCGTGAGTAACACACTTCTCCACAACATTGCTGTAATGAGATAAAACCAGGGACAACTCTTACAAGAGAGGCCCCTGTTAGTGAGGCTGTGCTTGCCTAGCTTCTGCCCTGACCTCCGGACCAGCAGGGAGAGAGAGCTATTTAACATTTGAGGAAGATGAGTCGCCAACTGTCTGACTCTCTCAGTCTCTGACTCTCCACCTGTGCCATCTGTGGCATCCAATCGTAGGAAAGGGGGAACGTGGCATTAAATCAGATTTTTTCTCCAATCCACGGGGACTATAGAGGGTGATCAAATTATACACTGCCATACTACTGCATACTGACCACCCAGAGAGACCAGGTCTTCAAGGACATGGGACCCGGCCCTCTAACGGGTAAGGGTAAGGAGCCCAGGTAGGTGAGGAGACTTAAGCACAAGGTTCAGGACACTGGTTCACCACCAGCTGGTTATTATTTTAACACTTACCAAAATCTGTCCATTCTTTCCTCGCCTTTGTCAGTTCACCAAGGCCAGGAACAAACCTTACTTATGCCTATCTCCCTGCTGCCAAGCAGGGCATGGTGGTGCATGCCTGTAATCCCAGCTACTTGGGAGGTTGAGGCAGGAGAATTGCTTGAATCGGGAGGCGGAGGTTGCAGTGAGCCGAGATTGTGCCACTGCACTCCAGCCTGAGCGACAGAGCAAGACTCCATCTCGAACTCCTGACCTCGTTATCTGCCCACCTCAGCCTCCCAAAGTGCTGAGATTACAGGCATGAGCCACCATGCCTGGCCTCAAATAAGTAATTTTTTTTTAAGTAAAAATAGAAATTTTAGAAAAGGAAAATATAACATCAGAAATAAAATTTACTGTATGGCTTTAATAGTGGATTAGAGATGACAGAAGAGTCAATGAACTTGAAAATAGATCAATAGAAGTAAACAAAAAAATACATCAGTGGCTTTCAGACATTTATTTTTTATTTTATTTTCATTTTTGAGACAGGGTCTCACTCTGTCACCCAGGCTGGAGTGCAATGGCATGATCTCGGCTCACTGCAACTTCTGCCTCCCGGATTCAAATAATTCTTCTCCTGCCTCAGCCTCCCGAGCACCTGGGATTACAGATGTCCGCCATGACACCGGGCTAATTTTTGTATTTTTAGTAGAGACGGGGTTTCACCATGTTGGTCAGGCTGGGCTCAAACTCCCAACCTCAAGCAATCTGCCCGCCTCAGCCTCCCAAAGTGCTGGGATTATAGGCATAAGCCACCGCACCCGGCCCTATTTTTATTTTTGTAGAGGCAGGATCTTGCTGTGTTGCCCAGGCTAGTCTTGAACTCTTGGCCTCAAGCAATCCTTCTGCCTCGGCCTTCCAACATGCTGGGGTTACAGGCATGAGCCACTGTTCCTGCTTTCAGACATTTTTGATGGTGACCCAGAGTACAAAGTAAATTTTTCCACCATTTGAAAAAATTTTTGTTTGAGACAGTCTCGCTCTGTCACCTAGGCTGGCGTGCAGTGGCACGATCTCGACTCACTGCAACCTCCACCTCCTAGGTTCAAGCCATTCTCCTGACTCAGCCTCCCAAGTAGCTGGGACTATAGGCGTGTGCCACCACGCCCAGCTAATTTTTGTTATTTTCAGTAGAGATGGGTTTCCGCATGTTGACCAAGCTGGTCTGGAACTCCTGGCCTCAAGTGATTTGCCTGCCTTGGCCTCCCAAAGTGTTGGGATTACAGGTATGAGCTACCGTCTCCAGCCCCTATTTTTTCTTTTTAAAATAAGATTCTCAGCCGGGCACGGTGGCTGACACCTGTAATCCCAGCACTTTGGGAGGCCAAGGCAGATGGATCATGAGGTCAGGAGATCGAGACCATCCTGGCTAACATGGTGAAACCCTGTCTCTACTAAAAATACAAAAAAATTAGCCGGGAGTGGTGGCGGACACCTGTAGTCCCAGCTACTCGGGAGGCTGAGGCAGGAGAATGGTGTGAACCCAGGAGGCAGAGCTTGCAGTAAGCCAAGATTGCGCCACCGTACTCCAGCCTGGGCGACAGAGCGAGACTCCATCTCATTCATAGATAGAGATAGATAGATAGATAGATAGATAGATAGACAGACAGACAGACAGACAGACAGACAGACAGACAGACAGATAGACAGATAGACAGATACATACATACATACATAATTTTCTACTAAAATCTCCTATCTTTTCATTCACTACAGCATATTTTCCTTTACAACCTGAGTATATTTAAACAGCTGCTGTATAATCCTTCTTTACTAATTCCAATAACTGGGTCATTTTAGACTACCCACTGATTTTTATTTCTTTTTTCTTGAGTATAGGTCACATTTTCCTATTATCCAGATAGACACTGCGAATAACAGGCTACAGAAACTCAGACTTCTGCTATGTTCCACCAAAGAGAAGTGCCCTCCACTCCTGTTTTAGTGCAGTTAACTTGGCTATAGTCAAACTACAAACTTCTCCCATACAGTAAGCAGCAGCTGAAATCCCAGTTCAATTCTTTCAGCCTTAGCTGGAAATGTGGTTCAGGGGTCAGCCGGACTTGGGGGAAGGTTAAAACTGGGCCCCCCCGAACCCCTTCCGGCTCTCTCCCTTTCTAGGATTTCTCTTTGTTGTGGCTGCCCTGAGGATTGCCTATTCCAGCTTTAGCTGCCCAGCATGGAAAAGACTGGGAAGTGACCACAGGCTAACAGCCATCAGAAATAAGAAATTTCCCCAGTGCAATTCTCTTCTTCCAAATGCCAGCCCCCACCTCTCTGGTCTCCACCTGCCCTTTGGTTACTCTCTAGTGTCTTCAGGTAGTTCTTGTATTTTTGTCCACAGTTTACACATGTTATCAATGGGAGGACTGGGCCCACAGTAGCTACTCAGTTATTAATTGTTGTAGCTGGACATGGTGGTGTGCACCTACAGTCCCAGCTACTTAGGAGGTTGAGGTGGGAGGACTGCTTGAGCCCAGGAATCCTAGGCTGCAGTGAGCTAGGAGTGCACCACTGCACTCCAGCCAGGGCAACAGACTCTGTCCCTTAAAAAAATAAAAACTTCTTTTTTTTTAAATTGTTTTTGAATTTGTTGTAATATTAATTAATGCTTAGGCTATATCCAAGGGTGAGAAATTAAATACTGTGAACAAAAATGTAAACAGGAGACTGACCCGAAGAAGAGAACCCAAGAGATTCTGATCCCCATTCCTCAGTCCTGGCAACCGGTCAAAAGGAACCCCCCAAAACAAAACAATATAAAGTCGTAAGAGATAACCCTGATAGGGCTAGGCTATGGAGACACTGGATCTACAGGTACTTTCATTTCTTTTCTCTGTTTTTCCATGCTGTGACATGTTATAAAATTTCACAAATTTAAAATGAATGAGGCCAGGTACTGGTGGCTCGTGCTGGTAATCCCAGCACTTTGGGAGGCCTAAGTGGGAGGATTAAGTCCAGGAGTTCAAGACCAGCCCCTGGCCAATATGGTGAAACCCTGTCTCTACAAAAATAAAAAAAAGTAGCTGGGCGTGGTGGCGTGCGCCTGCAGTCCCAGCTACTTGAAAGCCTGAGGTAGGAGGATCGCTTGAGCCTGAGAGGTGGAGCTTGCAGTGAGCCGACACTGTGCCACTGCACTCAAGCCTGGGCGACAGAGCGTGACCCTGTCTCAAAAAATAACATAAATTAAAAACATCAAGGTTGTATGAGTCCTGTCCTGCCTTGCAATTTATTCTAAAAACCAGGGAAGAATATATTCCAAAAATAAAAAATAGTATGTTATGTGGGCAGTAGGACATATACAGTATCTTCTCAGAAGACTATACCACTATCCACATGGAAGGGCCATTGATTCCTTCTCCAACCTCTGCTACTTATAAGTGACCTAAGACACCTTTCACAACCTGGGAATAACTACTGCATTTCATTCTTGAGCTTGCACAATATGAAGACTGGAAAAGAGATCCTAAGAATACTAAGGCCTATATATAGATATGCATATGGTAAACTGCCTTTCTTTCAGGTGCTAAAAAGGGAAACTGAATAAACAACATTTCACAATTCCAAACAAACAAGTTAATAAAATATTCAGTTCATCAAAGTGTAACACTCACATTCTTTAGTAACATATTCCCCAGATTTCAAAGTGGCTGACTCTATCAGAGTAAGAAGCCCACTAAGGGACCTCTCAGAGTTTATACTTTGTAATAAAACTATTTGACTTTTAAGCTATATATACTTTGAAAACAACAACAACAACAACAACATTAAAAAATAAGATAATTATAGTTCAATACTACTAATCCTCTCTTCTGGGAAATAGTCCTTGTAACTCAAAGCACGTACCTTGCAAATTTGTGCTGACTCAATACAAGTACATTGCCTCGGATTTCTGCTACAATTTTGCTTTTATCCTCAGGACGACCGTGCTCCAGTACATGTTGGATTACATAATTTCCATATTGATCCTGTTTGAGAAACAGTAAGAGAAATAAAATGTATGTGAAAGCCAGTTCTGCAGGTTACTTAAGTCCTTATATCTAATTAAAACCTGTCTTTCTTTTACCACCATAACGGTTTATATGAATACTAATGAACACACAATTTTTAAGACAGGTAGTAACGTTCTTCTCTATTATTACAAAACAGGAACATATTATTACTAGACAATAGAATATACATATTCATTTTTAAAAGGGGAGGGAGTGTTATGGCAGTAAATATTCATTTTTCTCAAACACATATACAAATGGTTCACTGCACCTATCTATAACAGAGAAAAACTGGAAATATTTATGTCCAACAAAAAACAAGGGCATACCTAATTATTTAATCAGTGGTATAAGCAGAGAATGTATCAAAGCTAAAAACAAGAAATCAACAAATCAACTTATTTCATTTAACGATTATGAAACAGAGACCCAGAGGGATTAAATGTCTACCTAAGGTGACACCACAAGTACATGACAGAGTTCTGGAAGTCAGATCTCCTGACTCCAGGGCTAGGGCTCAATTCACTACCCATATTCATAAAACACAAACCAAGCTGCTCTGAATACAAATACAACCACAAGATTCAAGGGTATTTAAAACACATTAACCTCTTCTGGAACCTACACTGACAAAACACACAAACTCTGGCCCTGCACAAGCCCACAGGTGTTCGCAGTTCCTCTACTGGCAACTCCACTACCTGTACAAGCTGCTCTGTGTGCTGGTGAAGCTCCTCTAAAATAGGGAGTGTCTGGTCAGGGAGACAGTGCTCCAGGATTCTCTGAATCACTCGGCAGCCATAAGGATGTGTGGATAAGGCAAATACCTAAGGGTAGACAAACACAAATGAGAAGCAAAAATGACAGTCACCACCTTCAATGCTTCAGTATTGTTTATATATATATATATATATATATATATATATATATATATATATATGTATTATCCCACTAATCTTCACAAATGAACTTAATGGCATTTAAGTTCTCTCTACATATAATAAGGTGTGTGTGTATCAATAAACTCATCGCTTATCTATTTTAGGAATTCATAGATGTGCACAATTCAGAGCTGAAAAGGACTTTTCCAAGCCGCCAAGAAACAGATAGCTAGTCAAAGTCATGAAAAACACACTTAGTTAAGAGTCAAGTGTGTCAACTGACAACCTCTCCAAAAGACAGCGCTAACAACAGAAAAGGGAAGGACTGGGACCAAATCCTGAATGCTTTCACACCGCCAGAACAACCAGAATGCAATGTTCTGATTTAACTGTGATGTTTTTCAGCAATAAGAAAAGATTCTTTTGCTGGGTTTGGAGCAATAGAAAAGCACACTACCCTTGAGATTCTGCCCTTCCTAGCTTAGTGGCATACATCTCACAACTGTAATCAAGAACAATAATAAGAGCAATAATAGCAGCTAACACTTACTGGATGCTTGCCAAGTGTAAGTCATCACACCCAGTGCTTTCTGTATGATTTTGTTTTGTTTTGGAGACAAGGCTGGAGCGCAATGGTGATCACAGCTCACTGCAGCCTTGAGCTCTTGCACTCAGGTCATCCTCCTGCCTCAGCTTCCCAAGTTGCTGGGACTACAGGCACTTGCCACCACATCTGGCTACTTTAAAAAAAAATTGTGTGTAGAGACGGAGATTCGCTATGTTGCCCAGGCTGTTCCTGTACTCCTAGCCTTAAGCAATCCTCCCACCTTGGCCTCCCAAAGTGCCTGGATTACAGGTGTGAGCCACTGCACCTAGCCTTATGTGTGACTTTATACATGTAGCTTTATATTTACAATCGTAAAGATAAATAGTATACTGTATGGTTCTCCTTGAATTTAGCTTTATAAAAATGCTACACTTGTAGTCTGGAGCAACTTGATTTATTTCACTCAACATTATGATTCCCATGTTCATTTACAATACTGTGAGTTTCTGTAGTTTATTCTGCATGGTATATACAAAGAATTTTTTTTTTTTTTATTAGACAGAGTTTCACTCTTGTTGCCTAGGCTGGAGTGCAATGGCACCATCTCGGCTCACTGCAACCTCCGCCTCCCGGGCTCAAGCAATTCTCCTGCTTCAGCCTCCCAAGTAGCTGGGATTACAGGCACCCGGCTAATTTTTTGTATTTCTAGTAGAGACGGGGTTTCACCGTGTTGGCCAGGCTGGTCTCGAACTCCTGACCTCAGGTGATCCACCCGTCTCAGCCTCCCAAAGTGCTGGGATTACAGGTGTGAACCACCGTGCCCGGCCATGTATATGACATTTTTAAAAAATGCAATCCCCTGCTCATGGTCTTCTGGGTTCCTTAAGTCTTTTAAGAGAATAATGGTGTTTAAACATGTCTAAAAGGTCTCATGGTATACATGTACAGATATTTCAACAGGATCACAGAAATTATGAAGGTTGAAATTTGAAAGACAATACTAAATTATTTTCCAAAATGGTTGTGCCAATGTCTATTCCCACCAGCAGTGTACCTCATTCCTGTCAGCACATAGCAACTGATGGGTAAATAATAGTCTATTATTTGTGGCTTAATTTTGCATTTTCCTTGTTCCTAATGGAACTGAGTATTTTTTCATGTCTACTGGCAATTTGTGTTTCTTCTATGAAATGTCAACTTGTGTTCTGGGCTCACTTTTACATCATGTTGTATTGTTTTCTTTCATTAGAGAGGTTCTTTATACATTCTAGTTATCAATCCTTTGACCGTCGCATCTTGAAAATATTCTCTCCTGGTGGATTTATCGTTTTATCTTTTTTGTTGTATAATTCCATAAATGTAACATCTTAATGTTAAGGTAAACAGATCTACCCTTTTTTCTTTAACTCAGAAACTCCCAATAACCACGTGGGTTGCTGTCAGTGATCAACCATTGTGGTCATTGAGCAAACAGCAAAACCTAAAGATTACTACACATCACATATCACTCTATACTCAGCAGTACATAAATTATACCTGAAAATCTATGTGCTTTTTCTCATTTTTCCCCCTTCCCTAAAGAAAGACCAATTTCACACACCCAAAGGGGAGCTGAGTTTTACTGTCCTGTCCCACCCACCTTAGGAGACTGTAAGGACTTTGTGTTTTGGAAAAAAACAAAACAAACAAACAAACAAAAAAACACAAAACTATAGCCAATTCAGAAGCAATTCTGGAAAAAGGTATTTACATATAAAAGTAACAATCTTACTTGGAAGCTGAAGCTAAGAAGAGATTTTTGATATACAGGAAAACAGGAGAAACTAGAAGTTATCTCTGGTTATTTGGCCATTTAATACAATTCAAACCAACCTGGACTGCATCCCTTCCAAAAAAATTTAAGCAAAAAGCACCTTGTTATTTTAAAGATATATTCACACATGACCTACAACATTAGTACCGTAAATTACCTGAATTTTAAACCAAATTTAAAACGAAAGCACTGAAATATCAGAATAAATAGTACTTAACCAAGGGAAATAATTTATTCTTCAAATATGAGATTTCATCTTAAAAACTCTTATGATGGTGTTTCATCCCAATGTGAGCAGACAACTGCATTAATGACGGAAAGAAGACCGAGACCCAGACACTTGGCAACACACAGACAGGTACCTGACAGTACTATACAGGACTGCTTTTTACTGCAGTCTAAAGTACATTAAGATCAGGCACAGTGGCTCATGCCTGTAATCCCAGCAACTTCGGGAGGCTGAGGCAGGTGGATTGCTTGAGTGCAGGAATTCAAGACCAGCCTGGGCAACATGGTGAGGCCACTGTCTCTACAAAAAATTTAAAAATGAGCCAGGTGTGGTGGTATGTGCCTGTAATTCCAGCTACTTGGGAGGCTGAGGGGGGAGGATTGCTTGAACCTGGCAGTTCAAGGCTGTAGTGAGCCGTGATGGTGCCACTGCACTCCAGCCTGGGCAACAGAGTGGGATCCAGTCTCAAAAAAAATAAAGTACATTAAGCATATTGAGAACATGCCACAAATCCTACTCTGTTTTCTGCTCACAAAGGAAATAAATTTGTTTCCATTATTTCTCTCCTGGGTCACTTACCTGTCCCTTAAACGCATCGATGATAAATTGCAAAGACTGGGGCTGTACACATTCAATGCATTTCTGAACCACGTGATTGCCATTCTGATCTTTCACACACTTCAAGACATGGCCATCTAGTTCCCGAACCATCTCATTCTAATGGAGACAAAGAAAGCACCACCAGAATCACAGCAAGCAAACATGTGGACAAATAATATTCTTTTCACCAAACATGAAAGCACTACTGAACAGAGAATCTGTGATGATGAAAGTGGAATAGCAGCTGTGGAACAATGACAACAGGGAAACAAATGAGGACCTGAGTCTTTTCAGACATTAGCCAATTTACAGTAAAATTTCCAACAATAAATTTACTGTAACAATAACCAGTAACCAAAAAGATCTCACACCTGTAAAAACAAAAAACAAAGAAAAGCCTCTTAAGAGTGCTTTTGTGTTTTTATTTTATTTTTTTTGAGACGGAGTCTTGCTCTGTTACCCAGGCTAGAGTACAGTGGTACAATCTCAGCTCACTGCAACCTCCGCCTCCCAGGTTCAAGCAATTCTCCTGTCTCAGCCTCCCGAGTAGCTGGGATTACAGGTGTGTACCACCACACCTGGCTAATTTTTGTATTTTTACTAGAGACGGGGTCTTGCCATGTTGGCCAGGCTGTCTCGAACTCCTGACCTCAGGAGATCTGCCCTCTTTGGCCTCCCCAAGTGCTGGAATTACAGGCATGAGCCACCACACCCGGCCAACTCCTAGAGCTTAAAAAAAAATAAAGGGTAGACATCTTCAAATACAAAGAAGCCTACATCAGGAACAGATACTCCTTAACTTAGAAAAGAATTACATTCCAATTATAAGTTGAAAATATCATTAACTAAAAAATGCATTTAAATATCCCTAATTTACAGAACATCATAGCTAATCCTAGGCCCTCAGAAGTGCTCAGAGCATTTACAGTACCCTAGAGTTGGACAAAATTATTTATCACAGAGCCTATAATTAAAAAAAAAAAAATCATAGGCCAGGTGCAGTGGCTCATGCCTGTAACCCCAGCAATTTGGGAGGCCTAGGTGGGCAGATCACAAGGTCAGGAGTTCGAGACCAGCCTAGCCAAGATGGTGAAACCCCATCTCTACTAAAAATACAAAAATTAGCTGGGCATGGTGGTGCGCGCCTGTAATCTCAGCTACTCGGGAGGCTGAGGCAGGAGAATTTCTTGAACCGTGGAGGCGGAGGTTGCAGTGAGGCAAGATTGTGCCACTGCACTCCAGCCTGAGCGACAGAGCGAGACTCTGTCTCAAAAAAAAAAAAAAAATTATTTTATATATATACTTATATACATATATATAATAAAAACAATAAAAAAGATTCAAAGTACAGTTTTGAAAAATCATAAGTCAGGGGCTATTTGCACACTGTATTAAAGAATTTCTACATGGCACACAGCCATAATCCCAGCTACTCTGGAGGCTGAGGTGGGAGGATCACCTGAGCCCAGGAGTTTGAGGCTGCAGTGAGCTACGGTAACACCACCAGAAGCCTGGGTGACAGAGCAACACCCTGTCTCTAAAAATAAAACTAAACCAAACTAAAGAATTTCACATACAATTAATCGTGTTTTTATTATGATAACTCTGTAAAGTATGACTAGTAATGATACTAATTAAGCTAGAGTTTACCCCTGGTTAGGCATACCTCTAACCGTGTAACATGTTTTAATTAAATTTTCCTAACAGTCTTACGGAGTGGACACCACCATAGATGGAGACACCAAGGAAGAGGCAAATTAAAAGACTTACAAAACTATAGACCTAGATTCCCAACATTCAAACCCAAGCAATCTGGCTGAACTGTATGGTAAACCACTATATCAGTAAACCAAACTGTCAACAATACATTATCCTGAACACCCCACCTCTGCTGGTATATAAAAGAAACTGAGACAGAGGGGCTTAAGTCACATATTTCAAACTATGGATAGAAAGTGACAGAATTAGAATTCTAGCCTAAGCTGTGACTCCAACACCTATGATCTTACTACTAGGTCACAGTGACTGCAGAGTCAGCAGGAATGGTTCTCAATTAATGAAAAGTGTGCAAACAAAGGAAGTAAATGAAATGGCCAGAAACTGAGTCTGTGAGTAGGAAATGGGTGATGGTGACAGGATATATAGAAAGAGAGACACTGGGATTTTGACTGGAGCCCTTCCCCCAAACTCATTGCCCCAGGTCTTAGGTATCTTGAAATTAAATGCCTGCACCATGGCTATACCTGGTGCCTCCTGCCCAGTTTCCCTGCTGTCTCCAATCTCTGTACATTGGCTAAACTGTGCTGCCAGTGGATTTATGTTAGAAGACTGCAAGTCACATCAAAATAGTGATGTTAATGAATACAATGTCTTAAATGCCCAAAATGTTGAGTACCTCAAAGCAACTAAGATATCATCTAATTAAATTAAAGATTACACTGGCAGGGGCTAAAGAAGCAAAAGGCAAGAGACACAGTGATTAACCAAGTGTCAGAAGGGAATAAATTTTTTTTTTTTTTTTTTTTGAAACAGGGTCTCTTAGGATCTGTCACCCAGGCTGCTCACTGCAGCCTCAACCTCCCGGGCTCAAGCGATCCTCCTGCCTTAGCACCCCAAGCAGCTGAGACTATAGGAGTGCACCACCATGCCCAGCCAACTTTTTATAGAGATGGGGTTTCACTATGCTGCCCAGGCTGGTCTCAAACTCCTGGGCCCTAGCAATCTACCCACCTTGGCCTCCCAAAGTGCTGGGATTACAGGCATAAGCCACTGTGCTGGGCCCAGAAGAGAATAATTTACTCTGAAAATACAATTATAGGAATGATGGGAATTGTGGGAATAATTATGACAATGAAGCTTATACAAAAATAAAGTCAAAGAATACTTATAAACAAAATGAAGGAGAGATGGCTTCCCTGGATATTTTTGTGATCCAGAAGAAATAAAAATTCCAACAAAGATGAGTTAATTTTACCCAAAATGGCAAATTTGCATCTAGAGAAGAGTAAAATAATAAAGGGTAGGAAGCATAAGTCAGGCCCAGAACAAGACACCACAGAGAAACATGACCAGAAAAAATATGTGCAAAAATATAACACAGGAAACAACGACAGCTGGGTATGGTATCTCACACCTGTAATCCCAGCACTTTGGGAGGCCAAATCAATTGAACCCAGGGGTTCAAGACCAGCCTGGGCAACGTGGTGAAACCCCATCTCTACCAAAAATACACACATTAACCAGGGGAAGTGGCGTATGCCTGTAGTTCCAGCTACTCAGGAGGCTAAGATGGGAGGACCACTTGAGCTCAGGAGGTTGAGGCTGCAACAAGGACAATTGTGCCACTGCACTCCAGCCTGGGTGACAGAGTGAGACCTTGTCTCCAAAAAGAAAGAAAGAAAAACAAGAAAATTAAAGAAGAACAATTCAACTATCTATGAAAATCCAAGAAAAATTAAAATTGGCAATGATCTGAACATTAAAAGAAAATTTAAAATAGCTTCACACTTGCTTCTAATTACTTATACTTTCTTATTAATGCTACATCTCTAGTACTAAGCACTGAATAAATGAACTCCAGACCTGCTCTATCTCCAACATTCCTTTCTCCCTTCACCAGCATCGTGGCACATACCTTTGAAACTTATCACTTTAAAAACTTTGGACTTCTTCAGCCTTCAACTGCCACTGCCAACACCAGTGCAGTGGTTTGGATTGGTTTAGCTTGACTCAGGGGTGGTGGGTGTCTTGTCTGGCTCAGAACTTGAGTCCATTAACAAAGATTCTCATTACCGAACTTTGTTCTCAGTGAGGGCAAGTGGGTCATCATTGCCAGACAATGGCCAACCAACCCCTCAATTGAGAAGGGCTCAGTGAGTTCAGAGCCCAAAAGCTGCAGGCTCAGATGAGAAGCACCGGAGGCTGGAGGCACTGCCCAGCACAAACACAACTGTAGCACACCCTGCCTGTGGGTCTGTTTTGCCTCCTGGGCCCTGTGGTGTCTGCAGTGCTCACTGGACCCACGCCGTGACTTGTCAAGAAGCTGTGGGCCTGTTCAGGTGACTTCTCTTTCAGTTCCCCACTCACAGCACCTAAGCATTCTCATTTCTGTTCCTTCTTCCCTGTCTAACTCTTCTTTAGCCTTGCCTTCTCCTGCAAAGCCGGCCCTCAGGGACTCTGGGAAGGGTGAGGGGTCCTTCTCATGTCCTCACCACTGCTCACCACCATGGCTCTTCCCCACCAGAATGCACTCTGTGGGCAGGGATCAGGTGTTAGTCATCTCTGTGCTGATGAAGTCTGGCACAGAGTGGGCTTCAGGTCAATGTACCAGGCTATGCACCATGCTGGGCAGGCCTTTGTTCAATAGATGTTGGTGGGATGAAAGAACAGGAGAGAAGGAGTAAAAAAATATGGAAGGTGGGTTGGATGAAAGTTTGACTTGTTGGAGAAAATGATGGCTTATTAGTATTTTACCTGCTTTATTCATGGAAAAAAAAACCACCTATAAAATTGAACCTATTAAAGGCTAAGTTCTAGCCAATGGAAGAGTATTGGATACCACAGGTTTTAATACAAGATACTTGATCTGCAACAAGTTTAAATTATTTGCACAGTTCATGCTTGCCATGCACAAAAAGGCAGCCATAAGCAACAATGCAAAACCATAAAAGAAAACTGAAAATTGACAGAATTACAGGGTTCACTACATGTACCATGGAGAAACATCAAACACCAAGAGAAAAGTTAAAGGGGAAACTTACAATTACCTGCTGGTCTGAAGGAATAAACTCAAGAGCTTTCTGGATAACACGGCAGCCATACATCTGTAGTGCCAATGACAGGACGTGGCCTCGAATCCGTTCTGCCAAAGCCAGCTTCTGTTCAAGACTGCCAAACTAGACATAATGTGTGGGTAAACACCATTACTTAAGTAGAAGGAAATAAACCAGAGAAAGCAAAGCATTCATTATTCTGCATCAACCACTGGCATAACCTCTTTTAGCCCTGATACCCATGATTAACTAAACCTTTTATTTAAAGAGCCATTGCTTCTTCAAGCCAGTAGTTCTCGATCTCTTAATTATGAGTAACCCTTTTTAATGTTAAGAAGTTTCTCGGATACCCAACAATAGGTAGTTTCACTATTAATATCTGCTAAGCAAACACATAATTCCTCAAAGCTGTCATTAATTCATACTATTAAATGAATCTGGCCAGGTGCAGTGGCTCACACCGGTAAACCCAGCACTTTGGGAGGCCAAGGAGGGTGGATCACCTGAGGTCAGGAGTTTGAGACCAGCCTCGCCAACATGGCAAAATCCTGCCTCTACTAAAAACACAAAAATTGGCTGGGCATGGTGGCACGCTCCTGTTAACTCCAGCTACTCCGGAGGCTGAGGCAGGAGAATCGCTTGAACCCAGGCGGCAGAGGTTACAGTGAGCTGAGATAGCACCACTACACTCCAGCCTGCCCAATGGAGCAAGACTGTGTGTCAAAAAAAAGAATCCTACACTCTTACTGCCAAAGCACACATGGACACACTGTTTTGAAATAGTATTCTACATCATTAAGAGAATTGATTTTTTTTTCTCCTATTTACACAAGGTAACAGAGTTGGGAGGGGAAAAATCAGTAGAATCAAGAAGTGAGGCTACACAATGTTAAAATTCTACTTAGAATGATTTTCCATCCTTGGCTTATTATTTTCATTTCAATCACATAATCGTGAGATTGGAGGAGACTTTATGAATTCTCAGCCCATCCAACCTCCTCATTCTCCCAAGGGAAACTAAGATCCAGAGAAGTTCTCAAGCTTGGTCCAAATCATATGGCTATAATCCATTGTACATTTTGTCACCCCAAGGTGCATCAGCCTCCAGAACTAGAAAGCTCAGTATTTTTATATATGTGACAAAACGGCAGTGCAAAGTCATTCTAAAATCAAAAATACAAAAGTCATGTTTAGATTGGTTTCTTAGTCCAAAGCTGAAGAATTCAGGGTGAAAAAACATAAGTCTTCATGAAAAAACTTGGGAAGGTAAAACTTGAGTACGTCAGTTTTTCATCTTCATACAAATCAAACAGGATGAGATGTTAAGACATTTACAAATTTGTTTTGTGGTAGGTAATGTGCAGAATTCCAGCATTTTCCTCCCCATACCAGACTCCTCCTCATCTCGAAGTTTTGTGCCATTCTGCATCTACACCTTAGGGTTGCCAATACCAGATAATAAGGGCTACAATGGTAAGCAAAAAAGTCCCTGCCTCTCTGAAATTTTACCTCACTAGAGGGAAAAGACATCAACCTAACAATCTCATTCTTTCCAAAGACAATGATACAACAAGTGAACATTATTCAAATTAACAGAAGTAAAACAAGAAATCAAGGCCAAACGATCAGCCAAGAAGCAGCATTTAACAATTCTTGTGACCCTAGCTGATAATGAAACATACTGGAGTCGGTGTCCAAAGACAATTCTCTAAGAACCTTAGAAAAATTTGTTTTTGGCAATATTTTATTGTGATCCTGCTAAAACTACTTTACAAGGATTATTTCCTCCTTAAGTGACACGTTTTGTGAAACTATTATAACAATCTGAAATAATGTGCTGGGTCCTAAATGGGGACACCAGTTTTCGAAACACATTTCCAAAATAGATTGGCATTATCTGCTCGGATATTTAAACCATACAGAATAGATAGACTGCTGCTAATGAATTGGAAAAACACTAAAAACCTCTTCAAAAAGACCACACACCCTTCATTCTGAGGACTGGAATGGGACTGCTATGCTTAAAAAGGCTAATGAAAATCAAAATGCTCTGCAGATTCTCTTAAGTCAAAGGATAGAAAGAACAAAGGCTTACTTCAAAGAACTTCTGAATGACGTAATTACCAAACACATCCACCATGAGTTGGTAGGCAGCCTGGAGGATTTCATTGAAGACAAGCTGGCGCTCAGCTGGTGTGGCACGCTCCAGTTTCAGCTGAATGAATCTGAAGTACAAAGTAAAAAGGGCAATCACAGCACTGAAGGAAGACCTGGAGATACATCAGTGTACCTCGGTTTATAGACTGCATCCGTTCTGAAACATGTGAGTGAGCATGTGTGCACACACATGCACACAATAAACCAAACTTTATTTGAATGAATCACTTGAACTCCCTTGAAGAGTTTTTAAATAGAGGAAGAAGGTCCTAACTTAATTGAGCTTTGAAAATTACATATAAATGTTGGCACATTTCATTCCAGTAGGGCATGCATACTGAATCTTATTTATGTGCAAGGTGGGAGGGAAGATGAAAGCGGGGGGGGCGGGGGGGGGGCGGGAGGGGCAGGGGTGCAGGAAGAGAGGAGGGGTGGAGGGAGACATAACACAACATGTACCCTACTTGACTTTTTTCCTTTAGAAACCAGCCTCACATCAATGAACTCAAAGCTTACAGTCCTTACTATATTCTTTAACTTATTTTCATATAAAACAGTACTCATCAGCTACTCGGGAGGCTGAAGCAGGAGAATGGCGTGAACCCGGGAGGCAGAGCTTGCAATGAGCCAAGATTGCGCCACTGCACTCCAGCCTGGGCGACAGAGCAAGACTCTGTCTCAAAAAAACAAAACAAAACAAAACAAAACAAAAAAACAAAAACAAAACAGTATTCATTATCTTCTGAAGTAGTAACAGTCTGCCTTTTTTTAGTCCAAATGACCACTATCAGGAAAATCATGTTGCCTCTGAATCTAGCCTATAGAATTCAAATATGAGAAATTTTGGCCCAGTAGCAAGCTGGCAGAACTTAAGGAGGAGGTAGCTTCTGTAGAAACTGTTTCACTGGACACAGTATCAGAGAAAGAAACAGAAACAGAAATGGGAAAGAAGGATGGGTGTTGTCACCATAATTATGCTCTATCCCCAGGACCAGATTCGCTTTCTGTGAAGCCCACTGCAGCAGCCCAACAGGAAGGGGTAAACCAAACCAAATTCTGTCTTCTATAATAGTTTCTTCTCTCGTCTCTACATAGACTGTCACTTCTACAGAGTGGAACAACAAAGAAAGGTGGTAGAGCTGTCTTACTCCTCAGCACCCTAGATCAAACTTGTATTTGAATAGCAACTCTTTGAGAGCAAAAGATTCTTCATAATGCTTAAAGCAGCCGAAGTGTATGTATGTCTTTGTGTTCATGTTTGTTTCTTAAATCCCTATGAAATAATGTGATGCAAACTAAGAGGCACGCTTTTAAAAAATTACTATATGGCAATTTATTTAAGTAGATACCCATCTGAGCCAAGACAGTTAAGGCATTACAATTTCGGGTACCTTAAAGTGCCAAAGCCAAGTACTCACCTGGACCCATGCTGGTCTTGGGAAAATTCCATTATATGTCCAGCAATCTCCCGCAGTTGTAAATTGGGGTACCGGTTGTTTCGAAAATCTTCCAAAAGCCTGCTCCTGCCAGAAGGCATGACATCAGACATTCCATATCGCAAACGAGAGGAAGAGAAAAGAGTGCTGCTCGGGCTGAAGAGGCTGGAGGCGCTGCTTGCACTGCGGTACTTGGCTTCAGCGCCTGGAGCAGCAGAGATGTATCTTCCACTGCCATTCGTGAGTCCTCCTGTTGGTTACAGAACAGGATAACTTAAGACCACTCTTCAGCAACTTCATTCAAGAGAGAAAAAAGCATTCCCACACCCGAAAGCCTGCACCATTTCTGATTTCTTCAATGCTGTTGTTTTTGTGTCAAGACAATTCTATTAGCGTCATGACTTTCGTGGGTCAACTCAACAACCTGGAAGGAAACTTTTGCACAAAGATTGAGAAGGGAATGCTTTTACCGTTGATGGTAGACTGCTAGTAAGGCTGGAGCAACAGTTAGCATGGCCCCTAGTAAATGAAATGAGGAAGAAATGTGCCGACCAGGTGAACCTAGCACCTGAGCACCAGCAATAAAAACTCAGAAAATGCAAAACAAACTCAGACTGGAGTGGTTTTCCATTCTGAGATCTGCGGAGATTCCTTTCATTCTTGAATAACCCCCATTTCCATCTGAAACCCACTCTAAAAAATCAGGCATCCAGATTGGTCTGTTTTATACAGGGGATCCCATGAAAAAGCTGTCTTTGAAGGAATGATTTTGCCACTAAATAGAAGTGTGAAAATCGCTAAGACATTCCAGGCCATGGATGAGACATAATGAGTACAAGACAGGAGATGCCTTAAAAATGAAAAATTTTCGAGTTTTCATTACAAATGGACAGCTCTTAACAATTTCTATTGTGACACAGCCTGAAATGACTGTAGTTCCAACAACCTTCATGCCACTGATAATGCTGTTTTGATGGGTGACAAGGGAATAATTGTGAATCACAGATAAAACAAACATATGACCAAAAGGCGTATCAAAACATATAGCAGGCCAGGCGTGGTGGCTGATGTCTGTAAACCCAACACTTTGGGAAGTCGAAGCAGGAGGATGGCTTGAGCCTAAGAGTTCGAGACCAGCCTGGACAACAGAGAGAGACCCCATCTCTAAAAAAAAATAAAAAATAAAAATTAGCTGGGTGTGGTGATACACACCTGTAGTCCTAACTACTTGGGATGTTGAGATAGGAGGATCACCTGAGCCCAGTAGGTCGAGGCTGCAGTAAGCCATGATTGCACCACTCCACTCCAGTCTAGGCAACAGAGCAAGACCTTGTCTCCAAAAAAAACAAACAAACAAACAAAAAAAAACAAAAACAAACAAACAGAAAAAAACAGTATAGCAGCATAATAAATTATGAGTATTTTAAAATAACAAAATAACAGGCCAGGGACGGTGGCTCATGCCTGTAATCCTGACACTTTGGGAGGCTGAGACGGGCCGATCACAAGGTCGGGAGATCAAGACCATCCTGGCTAACACGGTGAAACCCCGACTCTACTAAAAAATACAAAAAAAAAAAAAAAAATTAGCTGGGCGTGGTGGCAGGTGCCTGTAATCCCAGCTACTTGGGAGGCTGAGGCAGGAGAATGGCGAACCCCGGAGGCAGGGCTTGCAGTGAGCCGAGATTGTGCCACTGCACTCCAGCCTGGGCGACAGAGCAAGACTCCATCTGAAAAAAAAAAAAAACCAAACCAAAACAAAACAAAACAAAAAACAGTTCTTATTTTATTTCATTTTAAATTTTGATTGCAATAGAAAAAAGATGCCAAGCCTTTCTGGGGTTGTTTCCCCCACCTCCTTTTAAACAAAAGGCCAAAGGAGGTAAGAAATATTACATAAACCACAAAAAGTTTAGATGAATAACAATTAAAAACCCACGAGAAAAGTCATCCAATATTAACTACTTCTCAACTCTTCACAAGTCTTAATAAATGTCTGGTTTGGGGTTTAATGGTAGCCACAAAAAGATACCCAGGCTGGACTTCACAGAATTCCAGGGCCCAGCTTCAAAAGTCTGGGTCTCAATCAAAGTGATGAAACCAAAAGAAAATGACTCAATGCAGAAATTTGTAAAATATTTACTTAGTATTTGTCCTAAGCCCAATTCTATGTTAGAAGTTTTTCATATACACTTTCTCTGGAATTCTCACTGGCATTTTGGAAAAGGAGTTTGCAACTCCCATTTATGTAACAGAAAATTAAGCCCAGAGAGGTGAAATGTTCATCCAAAGATACAAAACCCAAAATTGTCATGGCCAGAATTCAGAACAGGGCTCTTGACTCCAGGGTCAAGGCCCTTTCGGGGTCTGAAATTCATTTTCTGACTCAGTTTCATCAAGTTTTCTTGTTCTACAGAACATTCTTGTCAAATTCCACAGTATTTCTGAATTCAAATGAAAAGTGATTTTTTTAAGGAAGAAAGGAGATTAACTGAAAAGAAAACAGCAGTCATAAGACTGTTTTTTTTTGTTTTGTTTTTTGTTTTTTTTGAGACGGAGTCTTGCTCTGTCACCTAGGCTGGAGTGCAATGGTGCAATCTCAGCTCACTGCAATCTCCGCCTCCCAGGTTGAAGCAATTCTCCCACCTCAGCCGTCCAAGTAGCTGGGACTACAGGTGTGCACCACCACGCCCGGCTAATTTTTGTACTTTTAGTAGAGATGGGGTTTCACCATGTTGGCCAGACTACTCTCAAACTCCTGACCTCATGTGATCCGCCCATCTCAGCCTCCCAAAGTGCTGGGATTACAGGCATGAGCCACGGCGCCCGGCCAAGACTGTTCTTTATTCCATTTCAGAAACAATTCTGTCTTACCTGTCTGAGGCTGGGGAGAAATGGACAAAGAGGTGGTAACAGGGTAGGTTGGCAGGTATGGGGAAAGTGTGGCAATAGCAACAAACATACCAAAGAAGAAGGTATGGGGCGAACACACAATGTTTTGAAAACAATTTAAAGGGATTTTAAGAAACTGGTCACTGACCAAAATGGAAGGTAAATTATAAAGGAGCCAGGTCCTTGGTGACAATGTTTAATGACAAGACAAACCAACCCTGAACACTGCCCTACCACTATACTTCCAGTTATAAAGGCCAATAAATGCACTTATTGTTTAAGCCACTCTTTGTTGGATGTTCTGTTATTATGGGCAAAAACATAATGACTAATCCACACACAGGACTGGACTGAACAACAGTTAATACGCCTACAAAAACGGTTAATACATTTACCGTGAAGTTTTGATTTTTGCCTCTTATCTCCTTAGATGTCAGACAAGTACATACTACAAGGACATTCATACACACACACACACACACACACACACACACACACACAGCTTTTATTACTAAGAAATATAGACATCTCTGAAGTGAAATTTTCCTAGGTACTAAATTATAAATGGCAATGGCAAACTGACAGTTCACAGACATATTTTGTTTGAGCCAAGCAGTACTTCTTTCAACATTAAGCCAAAGCTTAAATTTTTGCTCTAAATTGTAATATCTTGTTTTTGAAAAAAATGCGTGACAAATAGTAAATAAATATCTGACCATCAGTAAGTATTTGTTGACTGAATCTCATTTAGATGGCGAATGCACAAATGTGCTTTCCGATTCACAATAGTCTGAATACCAACATGTACTTGCACCCAAACCACTATAGCTCTGGGGGTTTGGGTGCAACACTCTGGAAGTGTTTAAATTTGCAACTGTTTTAAAAGAAACATTTCTCATAAGGCTTCAAAGGGACAGTGGTGGATTTCATAGGAGTGTGTCCTATGACAACTTTCCACAGAGAGTAAGGGCTTAAATGTTTTATTTAAATTAATAAGTGCTTCAGCTATTTTGCATAATTGTATATAAGGGATTTCTGCCAGTGGTCATGTAGTATGTCATGCCCATGCTACGTCAAATGTTATCATTTACTTGCTTTTTGTACTCATAGATCTAATAGATGCCTAATGGGCAAAGCCCTGCCTTCCCACTTTTAAAGAAAAATTCCCATGGTCCCCAGTATCTAGTTCTGTGTTTAATACAACCAGAAGCAACAATGTTCATCAAAATGTTTTAAAAATAAGTTCTCTCCAATTCATTCTCCAACACAACACCAAGGTAGCTCTAAATTAAATAACCCTGAAAACTGATCATCTTAGTGCATGATTAATGAGTCCAAAATACGTTAATTGTCACATGGTTGGTTTTACAGCTGATACGTCTCCTTCAAAGAACCAAGTGAGAAATCACAAAATATTCATTTCAATTCAGAATGGGGAAATACCTAAACACATACATGACTACTGCTTACTGGCCAGTAACTTAGAAACTTCTCCTTCAGTTCAAGCAAGGACAGAGAAAGGTATTTTCTGTTTGAGCTGTGCTTTTCCTAAAAAACTAAAAGGCGTATAAAACCCTGAAGATAAAGGACAGAAAGAATACATTTTGAGAAGATAATACTTCTATCACAATAATAAAACTAAATGCTTTTTAGTTTAGAACTAAGTTTAGAACTAAATTGAAATTTAGTTATAAATGCTTTCATTTTTTTGCCCTAGACAGCTTATGAACTTTTGAGCTCATTTTTACTATTATATATTTCATTTCTGAAGTAATGAACAACCACAACACTTTTCTTCCAGGGCAAATGAAAAGCCTGGGTGTCGTCAACAAAAAACTGTACCTGCTACCTCTTGATGTTTAAGAGTTTTTAAATGATACAGCCAGGGGATTGTGCAAAAAACTGTAAGCATGGAGAAGCATTCTAAGAAATGAGGGGTGAGAAAGGGCGGGGGAGTAGGATAAAGAGATCCATGGGTAGGCAGGGCATGAAACCATTACAGTCAGTCTTTGGGGACACTCATATCCACATCCCTTACTTTTTTTCTCTTTGAGATGGGAAGTAGAATTTACTAGACATGGATGTTTCAGTTATAGGTGAGAGTTTAAGGTTTTCTATGTAACCCACATATAAACCACAAATGAGAGTTACAGATCTAGTTGTTAAGAAAATTCATATTTATTAACTATGATTAATAATACTGTTAAATTGAGACATGTAACACATAAGTCAAACAAAATAAATACTTGCAACATCTGCCTTGTTCAGGGTCACAACATATTTTATATGTACACATTCATGGGTATATATGCATGTATGGGGAAGATGGGAGAGGAAGATTGAGAGAGAGATTTCACTTATTAAAATAGTACATTTTATGCTAACAAATTTGGCATTTTAGATGAAATGGACAAATTCCTAGAAGGTCACAAATTATCAAAACTGACTCAAGAAGAAATAAAAATCTGAACCTATAAGACCTATAAGATGTAAAGAAATGGGTTAAGTAAAAATCTTACTACAAATAAATGCCCAGGCTAAGACTGGCTTACCTGGTCAAGTTTATCAAATGTTTAAAGAAATAATGCTAGTACTCCACAAACTCTTCCAGAAAACAGAGAGGGATGGTACACTTCGAATTTCATGCTATGAGGTCAGTATCACCCTGACACCAAGCCACAACACACACCTCACGAGAAAGAAAAACACACATCCTTCATTAATACAGATTCAAAAATCCTCAACAAAAATACAAACACACCAAATCGAACATGACCAAAGTAAGATGTATATCTGGAATGCAGTTGGATTAATATCTGAAAATCAATTAATGTAACATACCACATTCACAGAATACAAGATAAAAGCCACATGATGGTCAGTTAAGATGTATATCTGGAATGCAGGATTGGATTAATATCTGAAAATCAATTAATGTAACATACCACATTCACGGAATACAGGATAAAAGCCACATGATCGTCAATTAATGCAGAAAAAATGGCCGGGCGAGATGGCTCACACCTGTAATCCCAACACTTTGGGAGGCCAAGGCAGGCAGATCATGAGGTCAGGAGATCGAGACCATCCTGGCTGACACTGTGAAACCCCATCTCTACAAAAAATACAAAAAATTAGCCGGGCGTGGTGGTGGGCGCCTATAGTCCCAGCTACTTGGGAAGCTGAGGCAGGAGAATGGTGTGAACCCAGGGGGCAGAGGTTGCAGTGAGCCGAGATTGCACCATTGCACTCCACCCTGGGAGACAGACCAAGACTCCAGCTCAAAAAAAAAAAAAAGGGCATAAAAAACACTTGACAAAAACTAAAACCCATTTGCAACAAAAACTCTCAATAAACTTAGGCTAGAAGGAAACTTTCTCAACCTAATAAAGGGCATCTACTAAAAACCAACTGTGATTATGCTTAATGGTAAAAGACAAACACTTTACCTCCACCCCCTGCCAAGATCAGGAACAAGGGAAAGATGTGTGCTCTTATTTCTTCCATTTAACACAGTCCAGGTTGAGTACCCTTTATCCAAAGTACTTGGGACCAGAAGTGTTTCAGATTTCAAAGTCTTTCAGATTTTGGAATACGTGAATTATATCTACCAGCTGAGCATCCTAATATGAAAATCAAAAATTCTAAATGCTCCAATGAGCATTTCCTTTGAGCTTTGTTAACTTTCAACAAAGACTTTGTTGATGCTCAAAAATGTTTTGGGTTTTGCAGCATTTCAGATTTTTGACTTGGGATTCTCAATCTGTCCTGGAGGTTCTACACAGTGCAATCAGACAAGAAAAAGAAAAGTCATCCAGATTGGGAAATGGCTTTTATTCTTAAGATGATATGATCTTATATGTAGAAAATCCTACAGAATCCACCCAAAAACCATTAGAACTACTAATAAACAACTACAGCGAGGCCACAGTATATAAGATCAATATACAAAAACCAATTGTATTTCCATAAGCAAGCAATAGTCTATCAAAAGATAAAACCGGAACATAATTCTATTTGTAATAGCATCAAAAATATATCCAGTTAGGAATAAATTTAACAGAAGCAGTGCAAGACCTGCACACCAAAATTACAAAGGAAAATGGTGCTAGGACAACTAGAAATGCATGTGCAAAAAGATGAACCCTGACCTGACACCCAAAATTAACTCAAAATGGATCACAGACTTATATTTAAGAGATAAAACAATAAATTTTTTTAGAGCAAAACATGAGAAAATATTCCCCCAAGAGTTTGAGTTAGGCAAAGATTTCTTCGATACTATTCCAAAACCAAGATAAACTGGACCTCATCAAAATAAAAAACTAGTGCATTTTAAAAGACAACATTTTAAAAATGAAAAAAAAAAGGGACCAGCCTGGCCAACATGGTAAAACACCATCTCTACTAAAAATAAAAAATTAGCTGGGCATGGTGGCACGTGCCTGTAATCCCAGCTACTTGGGAGGCTGAGGCAGGAGAATCACTTGAACCGGGAGGCAGAAGTTGGAGTGGGCCGAGATCACGCCACTGCATTCCAACCAGGGCCACAGAGTGAAACTCTATCTCAAAAAAATAAATAAAATAAAATAAAGAAAAAAAGGAGCCAGGAATAGTAGCTCACATCTGTAATCCTAGTGCTTTGAGAGGCCAAGGCAAGAGGATCACTGGAGGCCCGGAGTTCGAGACCACCCTGACCAACATAGCAAGACTTAGTTTCTACAAAAAAAAAAAAAAAAAAATTATTTTAATTAGCTGGGTGTGGTGGTGTGTGCTTACAGTACCAGCTACTTGGGAAGCTGGGGTGGAAAGATCCTTTGAGCCCAGGAGTTTGAGGTTACAGTGAGCTATGATAGCACCACTGCATTCCAGTCTGGGCAACAGAGCAAGACCCTGTCCCAAACAATAAAAACGGGGGGGAATAGAACTCAAAAAGGTTTGTTTTTAGTCTGAACTTTAAACAATCAGTAATGAAAAACCATGCCACTCAATAAGTGATTTTTAAAAAAATAATAGGAAAAATTACTAAACAGGTCACTGATTTTGTTAAAAGATACTAACACATATCTGCCTCCTGGGACAAAGTGTAAAAAAGACAAGATGGGGAAAAGATCCACACGAGATATAGGCTGATGTGCGCATTCAAACACTAGTTTTGTGGTCGATATCATTAGCAATATTAATTAAGCCACGCTGAATTTTAAGGGGTGAAGGGTTCTTTTGAGTATTCAACACAATGAATATAAAATGCTTAGTATGGCTGCTCATCACTGCTGATGGCTGGTGGCAGCAGTGAAGTAGTATTAACAACAGAAGCTATATTAGGTGTGGGCCAGAAAGAAATGTTATGTTTCTTATACTAAAATGTCTTTAAGGCCTTTGTATGGAGATTGTTAGAAACCAAGTAGCACACCTCTACTTTCTCGAGGAAACAGACTGAGCTGAGGCAAAGCTGTACTGAGACAAAGAGTTCCTCAGGAATGGCATGTACGAAACATGCACTACACACAACAGAAGTCCAGTGCAAATGTACACTAAAAAACTGCTTGAACAAGGTGAATGTTTCCAAAGAGAAGTTATGTTAAACATAAAACTAGGCAGGCAACAAGTCATTTGACAAGAAATAACTCACACTAATAGTTATTTCCTTCTTCACAGGGAAAACAAAAATTAAGAGGTAGTATTACATTAAATTGCTGATGCTTTAGAAAGAGGAAAGGTATCATGCATGAAAGTAGTATTTCTGGCTCCATTTCCACGCACCAAGGAACCACAGCTTTTTATTTTATTTTATCTTATTTTGTTTTGAGACAGGGTCTTACTCTGTTGCTCAGGCTGGAGCGCAGTGGCACGATCTCAGCTCACTGCAGCCTGTCTCCCAGGTTCAAGCAATTCTCCCACCTCAGCCTCCCAAGCAGCTGGGACTACAGGCACACGCCACCATGCCTGGCTAATTTTTGTATTTTTTGGTAGAGGCGGGGCTTCACTATGTTGGCCAGACTGGTCTTGAACTCCTGACCTCAAGTGATCTGCCCACCTCGGCCTCCCAAAGTGCTGGGATTACAGATGTGAGCCATCATGCCTGGCCCATCTATTTTTATAAATAAGGTTTTATTAGAAGATAGCTACGTATTCACTCATTTACATTTTGTCTGTGGTTGCTTTCACACTTCAACAGCAGAGTTAAATATTCACTACAGACACCATCTGGCCTATAAAACCTAAAACATTTACTATCTGGCTCTTTATGAAAAAAAAACTTAGCAGGTTCAGTTTATTTAGTATGTAGTATGGGATGACATAGTTCACATGTTTTTAAACCAAGAAATTAAAAGATACATATTTCTGGATTTGGTAATGGACTGGTTCAAGATATCCTGAGTACATCATGTAACAGGATATACACTGAAACTGCATGCTTTGGAGTCGAAAAGGCTTGATTCTAAATCTGTTCAAATCTGAGATGACACAGGCTAGGCAAGATATTTAAGTCCTGAGACACGAAATAATACCTATACCTTCCAGTGTTGTATGTACAGGACCCAAAACCATTAACACCAGCAGGTAAATGCCAGGTCAGTGAACATTACTTCCTTCCTTCTAGCCACGTATCAAACTGGGAGTTTGACAGCTCTCTCCAGATTCTGCATTAACCCCCAGTGTTTAAAGCCAGGCATTGTGTCACTAGGAAACACTGTTGTGCAATGTACCCCATCCCCCTGTCTACCTATTATGGACCTACTAATCAGGAATGTCACAGTAACTTTTATAAAGTGATGTTCATATATAACCTGAGAAAATGAGTTCTACAACTAAAGTTCTTACTGTATAAAACTTCAGGATACGCACACACATGCCAATGTGTATATATAAACATAGTTTTGACTTGAAACTCGCCTCTTTCAAACTCAAAGCTATCACTCCTAGGTCTAGAATAATAAGTCTATTACCCTACCCACTTCAGACTTCTCTTGAATCTTATAAATCACTTTCTAGTCTGCCTATCCAAACGAAGGCATCCTGTTTGTTTTTAGTCAAGTTCTCACTTCTGAGTCCATGAAGCCACTTTTAATCTTGCTGGTTAAGAACAGAATCTTCTTGGTAAAGTGGCCACATGTGCTGATTTGCCCAGGACAGTCCTGATTTAGGCCTATCATCACCAAGTAATTATTCATAGCACCCCCTTCCACTCACAAAAGTGTTCTGGTTTGCATGATACATTATATGGTGACTCTACATCTAGCATTCAATTTTCCCCATCTAGCAAATAAATCAGTACTTTAAACTTAATACATAACTGCGGGAGAGGAGTATGCACCATGCTTGAGATAAGAAAACATCTCCCATGTCCTGAAAGATTTAGAGATTTGCCACCAAAAAAAAGGTAATATAATTTTCTTTTCATTCTTATAGCCTGCTGCTTGGGATCCTCTTTTTCTCTCCCTATTTTCTAGAATCTAGATGGTAATATTTTAAAATCCCATGCATAAAACAATCTAAATATTTAATAGGGAAATATACATCTCCTCATTAACATACTATATGGTTTGAGAGTTTATATTTACAAATATTTTAAAATATGGCAAAATTTTAAAAATAAAATGCTTTTTGTGAAAAAGCAAGATATTATATGTACATATAGCAGAGGGGAAATTTTGAAAGGAAATAAGGCAAAATATTAATTGTGGTGGTATTTCAGGTGGTGATACTAGGTGATTAAATTCTGTCTCTGTGTTTCCTAGCTTCACTGAAATGAACCTGTGTTTATATTGTTTACATTGAAATACTCTCACAGGTAGCCAAAGAATAAAATGTTCATACTAAAGCTAACTGAATATACAGGGAATGTACCCAAACTATAATAAAGCCAAAACTGCTATACTATCTATAGGTACAGCCTGAATAACATGAGGTATTTACGGAAGGCACAGAACACCCAGGACACTTCTAGTATAAAGGGACTGTCCTTTGCTTATGCAAAGTTCTTGTAATGTCATCGGTGGCAAGAGAGTTCTAGAGTTCAAGGTGGTGTTAGAGTAATGGTTCTTACCCAGGTTTAAGCTTGAAGAGGATCCATGTGAAGAGAGGGAAGGAGGTGGTGTCTGTGAATGTCCTGGTCCCTGACTAGGGAGAGGCATGCCCACGGGTCCAGGAGAGGAGGAAAAGCTAAGGCCGTTATAAAAACTGTGTCCAATGGGGGTCAAGCTGCTCGATGTCCTCTTATAAAGGTCACTGCTGCCAGTCAGGGAGTCACGGCGGGAGCCACTGCCAGTGTTGGAGTTTGCAACTAAAATGGAATTAAAACAATGCAGATAAGAACAGGCCTGTTCTTCGAAGAACAAGCCCAGTGACCTGTTCCTAACACTTTGATCCAGACTCCTTACCACCGCAAATTTGTCAGCAGAGACAGCCTAACTGTTAATGTAGCAGTACTAGGGGCAGATAAGTAATAAAGAGGACATGGCTCAGGTTAACATGACCATCAAACATATGCCAAATTTACCTTCCTATGGTGTCGTATATTATAGGATAAGGGAGGGTTAAAAAGCTCTGACGGCCACATGAACTATGGAAAAGGTGGAAGAAAATGGACTAGAAGAATGCCTTTCATCAATTGAAAAGGTTCAAGTAGAAAAATGGGATACAGAAAAAAGATTTGTAAATGGGGTACTGCCCCACTACACAAGACTTCTATATGAAAGCCTGTTTTCTCAGTGGGTTCAATCGAGAGTTAATGCTGCCCTCAATTCCAATTAAGATACTTTCTTTCACACATGCCCTTCTATTTAGGGATCACTTTTGTTTGTTTGTTTTTTATAATCTCTGCAATTATCCCATTATTCACCATACTACACTCCTGCTTTTTTCATCAAAACATTAAAAATATCTTGGTCTAATATCCTTCCTCCTAATTTTCCACATGTCTACCTTAAATTCTACTCAAAAGACTGAAGAAAACTTGTAACTCTTTAAGGCCTGCAGGCCAAGAACTCGGCTCAGTCTCAATTGTGGAGTATTTCAGCTCTGCTATCTTTAGTAAGTCCTCCTCCCTCAGTTTTTGATATCAATTTCTACAGTTCCCTCAATATTTTTCCCAAATACAGCAAAAATCTTCCCTAGATTTCAAATCCCTGAAAGAAACTGATTAAGTAAGTAGCCACATGAGCATGGATTGAAATAGGTCCCATCTGTATAACTTGATTTCAATAGTCTATCATCTCACAGATTATGTGGGATGGCTGGATTCCCACAAGGCTTGGTCCAGATCTGCCTGTGGTTCCATGCATTGCCAGTATTCCAGAAGGATTGTAAAAATAATTAAAATTCAGTCTTAAGAGCATATCAGTCTAATTTCTACCTGCTGTTCCAAACCCTCCAAGGGCGGATCCCAGGGTGGCGCCGAGAGAACTGCTACTTCCGAATCCCAAGGATGTGTTGGCAGGCTGGGCAGAGCCCTGGGAGAAGAGGGAGCTGCTCTGTGAATTGCTGTTCAGAGAGTTGTTGCCGTAGAAAGAACTGGATGCCAGGTTGTTATTGGGCTGCTGCTGGGGCTGGGGCTGAGGCTGCTGTGTTCCTAAAGGGCGAAATGGTCCATTTGTTGTTCCAGCAAGACCACCAGCTGCTCCATTTGCTGAAGCTGCGGCTGCTGCAACAGCTATGAAGAAGAAAGCAAACCGTTTGGCTATGAAAGGGACTGGCCACATTTCCAAACTACATTTTTATCTTTTTTCAAAAAATCTTTTAATGCTGCCTATCTTTTCAAAACAGACACAAACCATACAAATCTGTCTTTGATCCCTTCATATGAAGCTTCTATTTTCTGTTTCTACTTTCAATTTGAACTCAAAATACCACTAGAACAAGTTCACTATGCTGGTTGCTTTTAAGAGTATACAGATTAAAAGGGGTATAAACATCAAATGTATCCATTAAATACAACTACTTCCTAAAATCTTAAATTCCATAAATATCTATGTTGAGGGTTTCTTCTAGAACCATGTAATGCACATACACATCCTTCAAATTCCTATTTTAGCACACTGCTGTCTTCTAGATGTTCCTGTTATTGTTCTTAATTAAAAAATAAATAAATATAAACACTTAAAGTAAAAAACTATTACTCCTCCCAACCAAATGTATTATTTTGTCACTTCTCACTACTCTTTCCCACGTCCTCCACTCCTGCCCCTGTGGCAAAAAACAACCCCTCCTCTAAAATTATCTTAAAATAATGACTTGGATTTCTGCCAACAAAGCCATTTTGTGTGAGTAATGCAACTTCTATGTTCTCAGTGGAGCCAGACCTTCAGACCTTGCTTCTAACCAGCTGGCACATGCCACCCCTCCCCCAACCCACCAACCCCCCAACAAAAAGGAGAATCCACTAAGGTCACTTATTGCTTCTGATCTCTTTTTGAAACATTACAGGGTAGAACCGATATACTGAGAATTGCCAAAAGTTTATTTCAACATACTTTAAGAATCTCACTATCAGTCGCCACTTTTAGATCTCTGGCAGGAGTCCACTCAGATGTGCGCTCACCTGCTTGTGCAGCTGAGGAACTAATGATGACTGGGGCAGGAGCTACAAGTCGAACAGGAGCTCCAAGACCATTTCTCGCGCCTGCATTCACTACAAGGGCACCAGTTTGGTCATAGTAAGCAGCAGGAGCCAACACCGGATAACCTAGGAATATCAAGCCAACAAAGAAATGTATATGTTAAACAAACAAGTATCTCCTGGGCACCAACATATTGTCAATAATCACAAACTCAGCTTTGAGGTTGAATTGGCCAGATTTATATACTGGCTCCATCACTTAAATAGTTGAATAAACAGAGGCTACAAATGATTATAAAAATCATAGTACTTTCATACTACATAATAATTTAAGAACAAATATCCTGCAAAATAGCAGGAAAAACCTAGATAGGCTTTAAATAACATGATCTTTCAATATTATGTGAGATAGAATCTCCAAATCCCAGTTTAAGCCATATGAAAAACTGCAGGTGACTTCCTAAGAACACACAAAGGCTCAGTAACTAAAAAACAAATGAAACAGGTTAAAGTTATTTATTGAATTCATAAATGGCTCAGTTAAATTGGCTATGCTCTATGATCAGTAAAGGTCCATAAAAATACGCTGACATCTCTCAAAGACTTGTTTCACATGTAGAACATCAAAGTACATCTAATCCCATGCAAAGCACCAAACCAGCTGACAGTGAACCAAAAACAACATATATTCAAGATGTATCTATATAAACATGTATCTCAGAGGTAGACAGCTAAAAAGGACCCCTACTATTGGTTTAAGAGAAACCTTAAAAACGTAAGGGATGACCCTATCAAGGTATACCAGAAATTTCTCACTAATCATGCTGTTCAAAAACATCAACATAAAGACTAAGCCTTGTAAACTAGCTTGGCCACTCCATCTATCCCTGATTCTGAAACAGAAAACAGATAATCCACCAAGGAAAAACCACATATTCCAAGCTGCATGGACATTTAGATACCTCCAATATGACTTAAGACTGGCTCAGAACAATGCTCTCATCAGTGAACTATAGTCTAAGTGAGGGCAAGTGTGTATCATCCTTGCCAGTCCCCAAATCATGACAAGCCTAAGCAAGGTGAAAGCACTGCTCATTCCCCTCTGTAATCACCTCAAACGTGCAGCCTTTTTCCCTGCCAAAGTATTAGGAATAACAATGCAGCCGCACCTGGCATGCCTGCTGCCAGACCTTGTCCAAATGCAAGGGCAGAATTCACTGCTGCAGCTGCCACAAGGGGATCCGTTTGCTGTCCCTGCTGGTTCTGGTTTGGGGTCAAAGGACGTTGGCTGGCTCCTCCACGGAGAACCTGGGAAAGGAAGACAGAAATAACTCAACCACTTTCTTTTCATTGGAGAAGACCTACCCTATGCTCAGGTTGGGTCAACTTTTAAAACTTAATTGTAAATTGTTTCCCTATAATGGTTTTTATATGTCACAGCTGTTAGCGTATAAATTCAATTAATAACATTTCATAGAGTGGAATTTCATTCTACCATTCTTACTTTAAACACATTATCTCTATAAGCAGCAAAAAGCACACAAAAGTGATGATTCATTCATTCAAACATTTTATCTCATCTGCCTCATAAAGTTCTTGTGACAATTAAGTTAAAAGATGAATTTGGAATATCTGGCATCAGCAAGTGGTAGTGTTATCAAATATTTAATGCCTACCATGTGGCAAATGGGCAAGTGAGACAGAGCAATGAACAAGACCGACAAAGCCCCTGTCCTCATGGAGCTTTTATTTTAACGAATGAGACAGACAATAAACCATACTATATAATGTCAGTGCTCTGACAAAAAGTGGGTGAAGAAAAAAAAAGAGTGTAACAGGCCAGGCGTGGTGGCTCACGCCTGTAATCCTAGCACTTTGGGAGGCCGAGGCAGGTGGATTATCAGAGGTCAGGAGTTCGAGACCAGCCTGGCCAACATGGCAAAACCCCGTCTCTACTAAAACTACAAAAATTAGCCAGGCGTGGCAGCAGGTGCCTATAATCCCAGCTACGAGAGAGGATGAGGCAGGAGAATCACTTGAACCTGGGAGGCGGAGGTTGCAGTGAGCTGAGATCGAGACACTTCGCTCCAGCCTGGGAAAAAGAGCAAAACTCCATTTCAAAACACACACACAAAAAAAAAAAAAAAAAAAAGAAAAAAAAAGAGTATTAATGGGGGTTGGGAGGGGTTCCAGACAAGATGAACAGGGGTAATTTACCCACACATTTAAAGTCAACTGAGTCTCACATGCACACAAAAGATGGAATGAGAATATTTCCTCTTTAACACTAATATATTTATCAAGGTCCACATGGCCCCAAATGAGTTCACCAGATTCGATTTGGTAGGGCTCTCACCTGACTATTTCTATTTCCCTCTCAGAAATTCCACAAACATACGCATTAGTCAAGTTCAGTGCAGAATACCAGTTATGCCACTCTGATAAAGGATCTACTTTTTTTTTTTTGGTGGGCGGCGGGTGGCGCGGAGTGCAGGGAAGAGACAGGGCCATGCTCTGCTGCTCAGGCTGGAGTGTAGTGTGGCACAGTCTCAGCTCACTGTAACCCCTGCATCCCAGGCTGAAGAGATGCTCCCACCTCTCCTGAGTAGCTGGTACTACAGGTATGCACCACCACACCTGGCTAATTTTTCTATTTTTTGTAGAGACAGGGTCTCACCATGTTGTTCAGGCTAATCTCTAACTCCTGGGCACAAGCAATCCACCTGCCTTGGCCTGCCAAAGTGTTGGGATTACAAGTGTGAAGCCACTGAGCCCAGTCAAGGATCTACTTTTTATTAATGAAACACAGACATCAAAATGCTAGCAATCATTATTATTCTGAATGATGTGAAGAATCTATCTCACAAGATCTACACACTCCAGCAAGCAAAAATGCAAAACCCACAAACCAAGGCTAAAATTACTACAGTTCCTAACAATGTGTTTTGTCATATTGTCAAGTGTACAGTTCTTATCAGATCACTTTCAATTTCACTGTGTTATTTATAAAAGTTAGACATATGGTCAAGAAAATGGGTACAAATTATTCTTGGTACCAGTGGTAAAAAAAAAATGTAAAAAGAGAAGCAACACTAATAACCAATTAAATATTTGTTAAGTGAGTATAAGGTGACCAACACTGTCCACACTGGCAAGAAGGGATGTGTGGACACTTAATTTGCCCAATCTTTTACTTCTATATCAGTAATAAGTAAGAATTAACAAATGATCTTGCAGATTTGCTGGAAATATCTCAAATAATGTGTTTAAGCCACACTGCCTGATACCCAGGAGATCATCAATAACCAATAGCAAATCACTATTATCAAGATATTATATAATTTGTTTCTGACCTAAAGAACCTAACCAACTTTGTAAGAGAAAGTGTGTTTCAAACTACGTAGATAGAAGAGTCGGGGGGCTGTACAGGTGAGTTTTACCAAATACTTAGAATTTACATACCCAATAACTCAAAAGAGATCTCACTCTAGGATAAGTAAATAGCAAGCATTTTTGCCAAATACTTAGAATTTACATACCCAATAACTCAGAAGAGATCTCACTCTAGGATAAGTAAATAGCAAGCACAGAAATATGGCAAATGCTAATAGTTCAAAATTGCTGAAGATTTTAAAAAACAATGAAAGCATTGCTTTCACAGAATATAAAGAAGTAGGTTTATGTTTGATTAGGTGTTCTGTGAAAGGGCAGGTGTGGTAGAGTGGACAAGGTACCTAAAGAGGTAGTCTAAGACTATTGATGAGTCTTGTAATAAGGAAGGAAAACAGTGTTAGCTTTTTGTCCACTCTCTAGAAATCTGTCCAGTACCCCTAACTACAAATAAAAGTCCTTCAGTTATCTGCCAAAATTCATATATTTTCATTTCATCAATAGCTGTCAAATCCATGATTTTATGGAAACAAAATATACAGTTTCACAAGTAACATTTTAAAGTCTAATAAATCACAAAATGACTGAATTTATAAAAACTATCCTAGAACAGTCAGCTTGACTAGAACGCAACATATACTTTCTGATAAAATACAAGGGCCCAAAAGGCCAACAGCAAAGTTTAAAAAGAACCTCTCATTTTAATTACTATGACAAGGCAGTTTACCAAAAAAATCATATTTTCCTCAAATACTTAAAATCAGAAACTGGCACCCAAAAAAAAGGAACTAAAACAATGGCTGCTAATTAAAAACTAATGCTAAAAACTTCTTAGTAGGGTTTGACAGAACCTGTAGGGAATGACAGAAAACTGAAAAGTTAATGATTATTATGTCCATTTTATAACAAAAATATATGCATTTAGAGAAGCCATCCAACTTGCCCTAGTTGTAAGCTAGTTAACGGCAGAAGAAACACAAGATCTCAGATTTTCTTTAAGTCAAGACATCACAATATGGTCAGAAGAAAAGTTGTCAAGACAGAGGCTTATGTTCAAATCTTAACAACTTTGTATTTGTGTGACCCTGGGCACACAAATTGTATTTCCTCAATCGATTTCCTCTCAATTATGAAATTCTATTTCATAAAACAAGAAGTTGTACAACTATCATAATAAGAGAAATAGAAATTACATGTACAGCACTTAACTCTGCACAGAAAGCTTTCAATAAACAGCAATTAGTATTATTCTTGTTCACTGTATTAGACCTAATTTTAAAACATGGTAATTACTTTAGTCTTCCAAATGCATAATAATTTGGCAGCCATTTAAACAAAAAGATGATCACACAAATAAATACAGACTTATCCACAAAGAGCAGTTATTAAGAAATTTATTTGCTAGGTGCAGTGGTTCACACCTGTAACCCAGCACTCTGGGAGGCCAAGGTGGGTGGAACACTGGAGGTCAGGAGTTCGAGATCAGCCTGGACAACATGGTAAAACCCTGTCACTACCAAAAATACAAAAACTAGCCAGGTATGGTGGCACGTGCCTGTAATCCCAGCTACTAGGGAGGCTGAGGCACGAGAATTGCTTGAACCTGGGAGGCGAAGGTTGCAGTGAGCAAACTTGGCGCCACTGCACTCCAGGCTGGAAGACAGAGCAAGATTATGTCAGAAAGAAAAGAAAAGAAGGGAAGGGAAGGGAAGGGGAGGGGAGGGGAGGGGAGGGGAGGGGAGGGGAGGGGAGGGGAGGGGAGGGGAGGGGAGGGGAGGGGAGGGGAGGGGAGGGGAGGGGAGGGGAGGGGAGGGGAGGGGAGGGGAGGGGAGGGGAGGGGAGGGGAGGGGAGGGGAGGGGAGGGGAGGGGAGGGAAGAGAAGAGAAGAGAAGAGAAGAGAAATTAATTTATTTAATAGGCCAGGCACAGTGACTCATGCCTGCAATCCCAGCACTTTGGGAGGCCGAGGGGGGTGGATCACTGAAGGTCAAGAGTTCGAGATCAGTCTGGCCACCATGGTGAAATCCCATCTCTACTAAAAATACAAAAATTAGCCAGGTGTGGCGGCACACACCTGTAATCCCAGCTACTCAGGAGGCTGAGGCAGAAGAATCACTTGAACCCAGGAGGCAGAGGTTGCAGCGAGCCAAGAGCTCACTGCACTCCAGCCTGGGCAATAGAACTAGACTCCATCTCAAAAAAAACAAACAAAAAAAGAAATTTGGCCAGGCGTGGTGGCTCAGGCCTACAATCACAGCACTTTGGGAGGCCGAGACGGGTGGATCACCTGAGGTCAGGAGTTCGAGACCAGCCTGGCCAATGTGGTGAAACCCCGTCTCTACTAAAAAGACAAAAATTAGCCAGGCGTGGTGGTGGGGGCCTGTAATCCCAGCTACTTGGGAGGCTGAGGCAGGAGAATCGCTTGAACCCTGGAGGCAGAGGTTGCAGTGAGCCAAGATTGCACCATTGCACTCCAGCCTGGGCAACAAAAGCAAAATTCCGTCTCAAAACAAATTTATTTTAACAGATCACTCATTCTGTCAACAAATTATTTACTGAATTTCCTTATATATATGGTACAAGAACTGTATCTGTTGCCAAGAAAATCATTTAATAGTGTCCAAATAACGGGGGGAATTTCAAGACCTGTTTTTTTTTTCTGTAATTGTGTGGAATCTAAAAAAAAAAAAAAAATTAAACATACACCCTCTGAGTAAGACTGATGTCAAGCAAAAAATTCTTGTTTGGATCATTTAATATATTCATATATGAGCAGGGTGTTTTGTCTCAAATGACAGCTTTTATCTGACAATGCGTATCGAAGCCTAAGTGCTGATTTTATTTGCTCCAGAAAAACTCCATTACTAGGAATTTTTTCCAAGGATAAACTTATGTAAAGGATGTTAATCAATCTCATTTAAAACACCAAAATACTGATACAAATGAAATATCAAATATAATAGACTAGTCAAAATAAAGTATCGTTTGGTGGATTTAAATGTACCTAGTAAAAATGTCATTTAAAAGAACACTAAATAACACAGTAAAGTATGAAATCAGAATGTAAAACCACGTGGACACAATAATGACAATTTTGTAAAATATTAAATAATAAGGCTAAAATAACAGATACCAAACATAATAGCATTGGTTTTCTGACATAAGGATTTAGGGTAATTTTTTTTTTCAAGTTTTCTAGTTTACCACAGTTTCTATCAATAAAGAGGTGTTATTGGCCAGGCACGGTGGTCACGCCTGTAATCCCAGCACTTTGGGAGGCCGAGGCGGGTGGATCACGAGGTCAGGAGTTTGAGACAAGCCTGACCAACATGGTGAAACCCCATTTCTACTAAAAATACAAAAATTAGCTGGGCATGGTGTAGCGTGCCTGTAATCCCAGCTACTCAGGAGGCTAAGGCAGGAGAACTGCTTGAATCCGGGATGCGGAGATTGCAGTGAGCTGAGATTGCACCACGGCATTCCAGCCTGGGCGACAGAGCTAGACTCCATCTCAAAAAAAAAAAAAAGGTGTTATTCTAGCAATCAAGGAGGAAATGACCTGTTTAAAAAAATAAAAGATGTAGTTTTGCAGTTTACCGTCCTTTCTCAACTCAAATAAAAAGCTAATGCAGATATGATAGTTTAAGATTTACATCCAATCCAATCCAATAGGTACTACAAATAAGCAGTCTAAAAATCTAGTACCCCTGCTTTAGTGTCAAGCCCCTTGCAAAACCCTGAAATGATCTGAAAGTGGTGCTTAGCAAGCAACTACAGTATGGCAGAACAAAATTTTACTGTAACTTTGAAGATCCACTTTGCCACTTGCAGCTAAGCAATTTCCCTATAGGTGAACTGGTTAGTATCGTTACCCCACCTAGGTACAATAGTGTCTAATATATAAAAGACATTCCGTAAGAGTAGTTAAATCTGAGCCTGAACTCAGACACACATATATACACACAAGAGGAAATTCATGCATTCACAGTGTTTTTCTATTAGGCGCAATATTACCTATTAATTATCCACAATACTACGATTCCCACTTAGAAGAGGTAAATTTTGTCTACATTTACCTGCTGCTGTCCTTGCTGAGCCTGTGGGGTGGTCTGTTGATTAGCTGAATTAGTTGCTGCAGCGGCAGCGGCAGCTTGCTGCTGGAAAAGACTGGCAGGGTAGACTCCCCAGGGAGTAACTCCATAATACTGGTGAGGGACCACAGCTGGGCCTAAAAATAGCAAAAGAAAGGTAAAGAAAGTCTGAACTACTGAGGCTCATCTCAGCCTTTCCAAAATTACATCTGACTCAATAGATCCTACTGTAAAATATTAACTTAAAAGTATATATTAATTTATGCTAGCTAATCATTAACTCTTTTTAAAGAATAGTAAACATTATATGAGATCCTTACACCAGTCTTCTAATATAATCCAGGCCTAGAGGAAGAAGCAGTGGGGAATGAAACATTAGAAAACTAAAAGGGGGAATCACTGATAGAAGGGGTTCAATTTAATAACAGATGGAGGATGTAGCATAGAGACAATATCTGTTGGTAGAAGGGAGTAAATGGAGGGTTTGCGTGCTTAAAGTGATGGAATAGAACAAAAGGTTAGGATGTATCCTATGTTCAATGATAAGAATGGCACCTAAGGTGATTTAACGGAGTGCTGTTGTTTCATTAACTCCAGAAAAAGAACATCTATCAGTCTGACAACAAAACCTAGACACTCAACTGAACCTCCACTGCAACTTCAAAGTTGCTGTTACTGTTTGTTTTTTTTGTTTTTTTGTTTTTTGAGACAGGGTCTCTCTGTCACCCAGGCTGGAATGCAATGAGGCAATCTCAGCTCACTGCAACCCTGACCTCCCCGGCTTAAGTGATCCTCCCACCTCAGCCTCCCTAATACCTGGGATTACAGATGCATGCCACTATACCTGACTAATTTTTTTTTTTTTTTTTTTTTTTTTGGTAGAGGTCTGTGTTGCCCCAGGCTGGTGTCAAACTCCTGGGCTCAAGCGATCCATCTGCCTTGGCCTCCCATATTGCTGGGACTTTAGGCTTGAGCCACCAGGCCTGGCCCCTATTTCTATTTTTAAAGTCACAAAGGCATTCAACACAACTACATTCAGACACTGATATGTGAAATTTTAAATTTAAGTCAACGTTGAACACAAATAGAAACAAAAAATACAACACCTTGACTTGTTACAGACCTGTTGAGAACCTTAAACAAAATTAAGCATTCTCTGTAACCCCAGCATTACGGGAGGCCAAGTTGGGTGGATCACTTTGAGGTCAGGAGTTCGAGACCAGCCTGGCCAACATGGTGAAACCCCATCTCTACTAAAAAAATATATAAAAAATTAGCCGGACGTGGTGGCAGATGCCTGTAATCCCAGCTACTCGGAAGGCTGAGGCAGGAGAACTGCTTGAACCCAGGAGGCAGAGGTTACAGTGAGCCAAGATTGTACCACTGCACTCCAGCCTGGGCAACAGAGCAAAGAGTGTGTCTCCAAAAAAAAAAAAAAAAATTAAGCATTCTGCTTTAATCCAAATTATCTGTTCATTTTCCTTGGCAACAAAGTACAGCTGCAGTCGGCCACATAAAGTACACAACAGAGATATAACAAAATTATGCAGATATCAACCCAAGTGTGGCAGAAATCTAATTATAGAATTCTATGACGAAGCTGGTAGCAAGAAACACCAAAGACACATTTGCTAACCAGGAAATGGGCTCAAAGTCAATTCTTCAAATCTGCTGAAACATATCTCCAAGTTGAACTTCCTTAAAGCAGAGAGTTAAATATTTCCAACTTGATTCATTAACAGTAACCAAACCTTCCTTACACTGACTGAAGTTCTGAAGAGCTGTTTCAAATATTACAGCTACTCTGATGCTACAGCTAATTCTGGAGAAACACATAATTCATTAAGCCAAAATAAATAGACACATATTCTTGTTTCCCCCATTTTAAGCTTCCAAAACACAAATAAGTCAAATTGTACCACTGCCCAATATAAATATGTTTTGACATTTCTAATTTGGTGTTTTCTATACCTGTGGGCTTAGAAAAGATTAAGAAGCTGTTTACAAGCAAGGGTGCACACTGAAACACTATACCTGGGTACAGAATAAAGGTGTTGCTAAGAAAAGCTGTTACACTATGAACTATTTTACTATAAGAAGAAAAGGGGTTAAAACATTTTTTAATTTGTCAGAAACTGAACGGCCTAAAAGCCATGTATTCAAGTTTAAAAAAAAAAAAAAGAGTGATAGAGCCTCATACTCATTTGATTAGTGTTTATAAAGCAGGGTGGTCTTGGGCAGTTAAAGAAATAAATAAGAGAAAAAACACACAAAAAAGACCCTAACTGTGCCTTAGTTTCCTCACCTGTAAAAATGGGTAAACAGGTAGAGTGTTCCTTAACCAGAGTGCTTGAGACCAGAAGTGTTACCGATTTCAGATTGTAGACTATGTGTGTGTCCAAGAGTTATCTTGGGGATGTGACCCAAGTCTAAACACAAAGTTCATTTACGTTTCATATATGCCTTATACACATAGCCTGGGGGTAATTTTACTTTTCCTTTGGGGATGCTGAATAGATGAACTGTGTGTTATGTGCCTGTGGTTTTGACTATGACCCATCACATGAGATCAAGGTCAAGTGTGGAATTTTCCACTTATGGTGTCATGTTACTACTCAAAAAGATTTTGAATTTTCAGATTAGGGATGCTCAACCTGTAATACATGTTGGGAGTACAGCCGTATCTACCTTGAATGAGTGGTTGCAACCTGCAATAATAGTCCCAACGCTCTCCCAAAAGCCAACAAAAGCGAGCCTCTACTGGGCAAGGACTGCTATTACCATTAACATCTGCATTACTCTCTAAATTTTCTCAACTGGCATTTCTACTACTATACGCTGGTCACATGGCCTAAGGTTAAATTTAGGAAAACATCCCAGGGCAAATCAACTGAGCTTGGCACATCAGGATGCCCACTTCAATTCCTGTGTGACTGACACCCTCAAAGAATACACATTTTCATAGTTTTAACAGTTAACATTTCCTGTTATTTGTGAAAGTATTAACTCATTTTCACCCTGGCTCAACTGACATATACAAAAAACAAGATTCTGATCACCGAACTACCATCTCAGTGACAGCAGCAGTGTCAACCCTAAGACCAGTTCTTTGTTTCAAGTAACATAAATTAGTAAAGACTTCTAAAGAAAGTACAGAAAAGACAATTCAAGACAGACAGCACAGGCATTCTATATACTATAGTGAAGCATACGCATGAGCTTTGGAGTTAAACCTGGTTCAAACCCCAACTCTACAACATTTAAATTGTGTGACTTCAAATGAGACAGTTCTCTCTAGGTTGGGCGCAGTGGCTCACAACTGTAATCCCAGCACTCTGGGAGGCCAAGGAGGGTGGATCACTTTAAGTCAGGAGTTTGAGACCAGCCTGGCAAACATGGCAAAACCCCATCTCTACTAAAAATACAAAAATTAGCCAGGCGTGGTGGTGGGTGCCTGTAGTCCCAGTTATTCAGGAGGTTGAGGTAGGAGAATCAATCACTTGAACCCAAGAGGCAGAGACTGCAGTGAGCCGAGATCGCACCACTGAACTCCAGCCTGGGCGAGAGAGCAAGACTCAGTCTCAAAAAAACAAAAAACAACAAATAAGGCAGCTGTCTGAGCCACAAATTTCTAATCTCTAAAATCATCATCTGAAAAATCATATGAAAGAAAAGCATTCAGGACAATGCCTGACAAAAGTTAAGTGCTCAATAAATATTAATGATGGTTAGCAGAGATCATTCTCCTACGAAGAGCTTTCTGTTTTCCCCCAAAAGGGGGATGACCACGGACAGCCAGATGACCCTATGTTAACTATCTTCCCATCATAACCATGCCAAAATGTAAACAATTTTTTAAAAAATCTAAGAAATGCTAGGCTACATTTAAGTTCATAATTGCAAATTACATGTTACATAATAAGTAGTAAAATTTCGAAGTAATATTTAGTCATGATGAACTTGACTTGGAGGGATCTTCCCCCAGTGAATATCTAAACTGGAAGACATTTTGTTTGTCCTAATGTTGAATTCAACCCATCATACATTTATGGTCCCATCACGGTGACGGTAACTGTGCAACACACAGTCAAATAACAAAGATGCCTGTCTTTTAAAAATCTAGTCTCAAGGGAAAGAAAAAAACACTCATAGGCTGGGCACAGTGGCTCATGCCTGGAATGCCAGCACTTTGGGAGGCCAAGGGAGGAGGACTGCTTGAGCCCGAGAATTTGACACAACACCAGCCTAGGCAACGCTGGCGAGACCACCCCATCTCTCCAAAAATTTAACAATTAGCTAAGTGTGGTGATGCACAGTAGCCCTAGCTACTCAGGAGGCTGACGCAGGAGAATCCAGTGGGCCCAGGAATTCAAGGTTACAGTGAACTGTATTCACGCCACTGCATCCCATCCTCGGCAACAGAGTGAGATCCTGTCTCCAAAAAAAAAAAAGAGAGAGAGAGAAAGAAAGAGAAAAAAAAAAAGAGGGGAAAAAACTCATGTATACATCCCACAAGCAAATAAAAACAGTGCAGTAATTAGCCAACTAGGGCACTTCACAGGCAAAGAATGGGAAAAAGAGCTTACTACAGAAGACCACAGTGACCAAAGACAGGGGCCTAAACCAATGCAGTATCTGCAGCAAACTAAAATCAGATCTGTACTGCTACAATGTATGGTGTTAGCCAATGGCAGTCAACTAGGAAGGGAATTGGGTGGTACATATGTAGAGACCTGTATGTATGAGGCATGGTGATAGAGCCCTATATACTGTGGGTCCCAACCCTAGCTAACCCACAGAATTATCTGGAAGCTCCTTAAAAATACTGATTCCAAGGAACAAAACACCACCACCCCCACCCCGACTCCAAGTAAGTTGTAATGATCAGCCATGTTTGGTAATAACTGTAGTATGACATACTAGGGTAGAAAAAAGGGAAATCAATAAAAGGTTTAAGCAGAAAGATGAAGAGGTAAGATCTAAGTTTGAAATCATTTTCTTGAACAATTTAGAGGGGAAGAGGAGGTGAGAGAGGCAAGGAAATTATAAATACATTAGAGACCAGTAAAAGTACCTGAACTATATGATAGACTAGAGGTGGTAGGAGATCTGGGCAAGGGGGGAAATTCCCAAAATATAAATGAGTATCTGGTGGCTCCATGGATCAAAAACACATATGCAAGGCGTATGTGATTAATTTGCCTTTGAACATTTTCAAGTCTGAGGGGCCTATGATACAGCTACGGAGAGATATTAAGCTGGCAGGTAGATGGCATTGAAAATCTGGATAATCTCCACTGGAGACATGGATTTGGGAAAGAGTATAAAGAATGCACGCCCATCTCAAATGACTTTTCAGCAGGTGAGAAAATCCCTCATGCAGCAGAATGTCTCACCTAGTGTCGCTGCTGCAGCCAATCCAGCTGTGTAGGGGTCCGTCCCTGGGGGAGCAGCGCTGATGATGTATGGATTGGGGACAAACGCAGCGGGAGCTAAACCTGCTGAAAACATACCTGTCAGTAAAAACAAACTTGACTAAAACTGCAGCCCTATCAAATACCTACACAGTTTCGCTATTCACTCCAGACAGTAGATAAGGAAAAAATGAAAAAAGAGAAGACGGGACAGGTTGAGGGTAAAGAGAAATTTTAAAAAGATAACTGCTATACTAAAGATTATAATGAAATGTTTATATAGTCAAATTTTACCTTTGCTAAAGAAATATTTAACTTAAAACTGTATATAGTTATAAATTCAGCATTTCTAAAAGATTATTAAAATTGTAACAGCCTACAATAGAACAATTTTAAAGACTAATATTAAAATGGGATGAAGTATTTATTTCTATTTAAAACAATTTTCCAAACAGTTTTCATGAAATAAAATGTATGGGTATTTATAAAGATTACCATCTACAACTATACATTATCAGACCCAAGGACTTTATGCCTGGCCTTTATTTATTTAGGTTGGAAGTAAGTATATTCTTCTATAGCCTATCACATCCAAGATTAGCTATCTCCTTTCTACTCAATCATGCCATTTTGACACATTAAAAAAAAAAATTCTACTTCTACTTGTTTATACTTAATGCACTCTAAGAGACCTTAAGAAGGTCCAGGGGGAAGAAACGTCTAGGCAGTACGATGAATACATCGCTCAAAACTTTAACAACTGCTAAAGGAAAAGGGCAAAGCTACTTTAAAATCGGTAATTATATGAGAATACTTTTAAATTTTTTCAATGCATACTTACTGGAAAATGGATTTATACTGTTTGTTCACAAAATAAGAAGCTGATATATTAGTCTATAGAACCACAACTTATGTAATCAATGTCATCCAAATCTTACCGAAAGAGCTAATGGTAGTCACCAGTCATTACTCTGATAAATACTTTAAATCCTGAAACATCTGAGGTAGGGCAATGGCTGAACACTGAAGAAATGTTATGATGCGGGTCTACAAGCTATGTCAAAACTAATGTGGCTGGAGACAACTGGACAAAAGGAAGAGGCCACTTACTCTGTCTGAGGGATTTGTCTGAACTTTTATAATCAGTTTAAATTACTGGGTTTCACAGCAACCAGTTATCCTAAAATGGCGGCCACACCTATCATGAAAGAGCTATGGGCTTAAGGACTTACCGATGTGCGGCTGATGAGCAGCTGCCAGTGCATACTGCTGCTGCTGAGCAGCTGTCAACTGCTGGACAGCAAGCGCATTAGGTCTTTGGAACAGCTGAGGCAAGAGGAAAAACACGGTGTGGTTAGGGAAACTGTCTTACAAAATCATTTAAAAACCTCTCTGACTAAAAATTTTAATAAGCACTTGTTTAGGCGTGACACCTTAACAATAAATGTTCTCACACTCTACTTCATTCCCATGGGATTAAAATGTTTCATACTTCTGTTCTCCCTGTCTCTCTTTCTTTACTTCAATTTACTGTGTCCTGGTTCCATGAGCTGACCGCTTCACAGATTATATGTCCCCTGAACCACAAATACACACTCTCTCACACACACACACACACATATGAGATATCTATATCTATATCTATATATCTATCTATATATCTCATATATATGCATTCAAAAGCCCTAAAGATTATCAGGTCTACAGGTCCTGCCTGATCCAAGGCAAAGTTAAAAATTAGACAAATGTACTACCAACTGATTTGTCACATTGTCCCTAGTGCTGAATCTCCTTTCAGTGCTTTCAAGACCCCACAAATAACTGAATTAATCCTCACCTACTCACATTTTGGAGAAGAATATGAAAAGTGTTCACTTCATCCTCTGAGCTGCCTCTTCCTGGGAAAATGGTATTGAATAACTTCCTCAACTAGTAGCTTATCCTAATGAGTAAATTAAGACACCTGCCCAACTTTCGGGAGCTCCAGAGTCTTCTGGGATACTATTCTTTATATGTTAAAAATAAAACAGCAGAAACACAGCAGCTACTAACAAAACTTGGATTATGAGCTCACACCTAGCACACTTCTTAGTTCTAAAGAAAAGAAAGTTCAAAGGCCTTAACAACACTAAGAATGTCTTACGATTCTACGTTAATACAAAACCAGTCATTCACTCATTAATTCAACAAATATTTATGAAACAAATGATACCTGCTAGGCACTGTGCAAGGAACTAGGGATATGACAGTCAATAAAACAATACATAATCCTGCCCTGATGGAGATTACATTTTAGTATGAATAGTATTGGTATAAAGAAAGGGGATGCCAGTAACCTAATTTGTGGATCACCTTAATGGGCCTCCTTCCAAGGAGTCATACTGAAGACTTCAATGTTTGCTAAAATCAGACTGAAAGCACTTACTGAAGTGACCTCCCTGGATAGGACCTTCAACCTACCTGCTCTTCCTACAGGATTTTTCAACAGCTCAGCTGACATTGCTGGATGATGTTTAACAGACACCATGGATCTTGAATTACAGATGTCCTCATAAAGAGACCTGATTGTTTCAGACATTAGGAGATAATGTCATTCTAGCAACTCAGCTTAATTATTGTCATGACTGGACTTACTCTTATCTTAGGTGGTGGAGAGATTTTATCCTGAGATTTGGCTACCCTCTACACCTCAAACATGAGGCTAATTTTAGATTAAAAGAAAACAAAAAGTGAATACTTTGAAGATATTGGCCAATTTCACCTGTTAACTCTTTAGTCTTAGTCTCTGCTTTTGGAGTATGAATGTCAAAAGTAACCATGCACAGATTTCAAAAATACTTTAGTTTTTTTTGTTTTGTTTTGTTTTGTTTTTCCCCAAAAGTTAAAGAAAAACTTCACTGCGATGCTGGCAAAAAAGAAACAGTATTACTAAATATCAAGTCTTAAAAAGAAATAGGGGAACTGAATCTACTGACAGACATTATCAAAACATTTGTCCTCCAGGAAGGGAGCCAGTCAAGACTATTTGGTAACAGTGTGCTTGTGATTTCTGCAAGTTGGTTTCACATTTCTGTTTTACTAAAGATGTGTCTCACACAGTATTCCCTCCAACAGGAGGCAGTCCACCCAAGAGGGGCAGCCAGGAGTGGGAAATAAGTAAAACAGTAGAAAGTTACTTTTAAATTATTTCCAAGGTTGTGAAAACATCTCATAGTTCCACTAAACATGTATTGCCTCTTCAATGGGTTTCTGGAATTTTCTTGGCCTAAAACCTTTTGCAACATTTAACATATCAGCTTGTGCTAGCTGCTTCTCTCTACCCTTCTTTGCCCTACTGCAAACAAAAGAATTCATTTCATTCAACAGATGTTTTTCGAGCACCTATTATTAGGCAGGTGCTGTGACATGGAACTGGGGAAAAAAAGACAGTATGTTCAGAACACAACTCTTAAGGGTATCTCGATTTATTAACCAAAAACAGTAGTCCACTGCCATTCCATCTGACTTAACCTCACTTCATATATTTTTGTTTGTTTGAAGAGTCGGAGTCTTACTCTGTCTGTCACCCAGGCTTAAATGCAGTGACGTGATCATGGCTCACTACAGCCTCAAACTCCTGGGCTCAAGCAATCCTCCTGCCTCAGCCTCCAAGTAGCTGCGCATGTCACCACGCCTGGCATTTTTTTTTTTTTTTTTTTGAACTTTTTTGTAGAGATGAAGTCTACGTTGCTCAGGCTGGTCTGGAACTCCTGGGCTCAAATGATCCTTCCACTTTGGCCTCCCAAAGGACTGGAATTACAGGCGTGAGCCACCACACCTGGGCTATATATTTTTTTAATATTACATGTAAGTCATTTTATGTATGTGTACTGTATCTGTAAATATACACGGAAATACATGGCATGTGGGAATACCACAAAAGTAATCATTCCATATAACATTAGCTTGTGGTTTTCACCACCACATTAAAACATTCTGAAAGCAGGAACTATTACTTTTAACTAAAAGCAAACAAGCCTTACAAGAGACCCCATATAGCCTATGTTTGAGAGCTGATTAATATCTTAGTAATTATGGTGAATAGAAAAGGATTTTCTTGAGACCATTTTGCAGTAAACAACTTAACAAAAGTAAATTATACATCTACAGCAGACAGATTTGATTACAGAACAGATTACAGCAATTTTGGCACATTCTCTTTATGTAAATGGTGCAATATTAACTGGAAATACAGAGTATTCAAAACAAATTGGGTAATTGGCAAGTGACAGATTCCAAAGGATCCTGAAAAACTCACACAAATGCCATCTGCTGGGCAAAGCACTGAGCTCTGCTAACATTTTCATGTTTTTCACAAAGCAAGCGAATATCCCATAACTGAGAAACAAAATACTGTGAGTTGGGGGAAATGCTCAAAGGTCAGTATAATGATAAATGTGACGCAGTTAATTATAATTCACTTGGGTAGATTTCACAAGTTGTTCAAGAGTCTGAATGCTGGGGAAAATGTATCATCTACTTCAAGCATATCGAGGTTCCTAATAAATACTGAAGGCATAGTTTAAGAAGTAGACAAGCTGGTTTGCCTCCTTTCTCTGTCACTTACTATATTAAAAACAGTCTACAGAGCTCTTATTCCAGAAAGGAATCCGGGCAGCCAAAAACACCCAATATAGTGACTGACATGTAGTTGGCATCTTATAAAAGATAGCTACTACTATTATTACTGTTGTTGTTATCAATAGCAGTTGCTGACATAAAAAATTATGGCTTTTTTTTTCTAAACCTGGAGGAGTAATGTCTAAATAAGGAGTTAGTAAATGCAAAAGACTACCGCCCCCACTCCCCCCTGGCCACCGGCCACAATAAAATGTACTGCCAGCCCTGACTTTTTTACCAGTTTGAGACTATATACATAGCAGACAGGGGTTAAGAGCACTGACTCTGGAGCCAGACAGCCTTGGTTTCTATCTCAGCTCACCAGTGACTTGCTATGTCACCTCTGGCAAATCGCTTAATCTCTCTGTGCCTCATTCTCTTCTCCTCTTTAATATGACAATAAAGATAATATGTAACATGGCAGGTTGCTGTGGGGATTAAAATTAACACATGTAAAGATTTATAAGAGTCCTTTATGTGTGATGTTCTTTCTGATGAATGGGGAGAGCACCCCCAACAGACTCAGCCCTTCTGAGAGTCACCCTTTACAGTTCCTTCCCAGAGCCAGGCAGCCCAAGCAGACCAAAAGCAGAGGGCAGGACTCCTCCTAGTCTGTATTAAGAGTCTAAATCAGCCAGGCAAAGTGGCTCATGCCTTTAATGCTAGCATTCTGGGAGGCCGAGGCAGGCGGATCACCTGAGGTCAGGAGTTCGAGACCAGCCTGACCAATATGGAGAAACCCCATCTCTAATAAAAATACAAAATTAGCCGGGAGTGGTGGTGCAGGCCTGTAATCCCAGTTACTCGGGAGGCTGAGGCAGAAGAATTGCTTGAACCCAGGAGGCGGAAGTTGAGGTGAGCCGAGATGGCCATTGCACTCCAGCCTAAGCAACAAGAGTGAAACTCCATCTCAAAAAAAAAAAAAAAAAAAGAGTCAAAATCTCACCGCACCAGGACCACCAGCTGCTATCAGTGGGTCACAAAGATAACAGGGAAGAAAGAAAACCATTTTTGTTTTTACGGATGAGTACTTTCTGCATTATACTACTTTAAGAAAAAGCTATGTAGTTGAATTTGAAGGTGAGACAACTCCACCTATTAAAAGGCCCTGCGTTTCTAATACAAAGTTCAAAAGAGACAGCCTGAAGCTAGAAACCAAAATAATAGCTATCTGCATAGCTTGTACTAGATGACCTTCAAACAAGTCCCTAAACTTCACTGATTTTTTTTTTTGGAGACAGAGTGAGACTCTGTCCCCGGGGCTGGAGTGCAGTGGTGCGATCTTGGCTCACTGCAACCTCCGCCTCCTGGGTTCAAGCGATTCTCCTGTCTCAGCCTCTGGAGTAGCTGGGATTACAGGCTTGCGCCACCACACCTGGCTAATTTTTGTATTTTTACTAGAGACGGGGTTTCACCATGTTGGCCAGGCTGATCTCAAACTCCTGACCTTGGGTGTCCTGCCAGCCTCAGCCTCCCAAAGCGCTGGGATTACAGGCATGAGCCACCATGCTTGGCCTCTTATGTGTAAAAATAAAATAGCTGCCCTACCTCGTGGGGTTGTTTTCAGGGTTCACAGAGAAAATCCCTTCGAAACAGTAAAAGCACTATATCAATGATGGGATTCTAAAATTTTAAGAAAAAGGTTTATTTTGGAGTCATTCCTCAGCATATGAAATTTGTGAAATCTTGTTACTGCTTGAAGCTTCTAGATAAAAGCCCAGTTTATACCAGGTTATTTGAACTACTGCAATGATCAACTAATGATTACAATGATTTTTCGTAGGCGCATACAAATTAAACCATGCTGCTAAACTAAAAAAAAAAAATCATCATCATCATCATCTGTGCATTTCTTTGGCAGATGAAGAATCTGATTCCAAAACAAATGATTTCTAAGGTCCTAGGGAAGAACAAAACACATCCCTTCACTAAGTATTATTAATACTTTTTGAGAAAAACTTCACCATAAGTAAAATTTGAACGAAGTCAAATAACAATAGAAGTTAAGCTTCAACTGATCAATTACTAGTCACTCTTTGTCAGTTACTATACACATGACACTTGATAGAATAATCATTTGTAAGTTAAAGAGAAAGTTGAGCATATTAAATACCTACATTAAAAGTATATACACACTTGGCCTCACGAGAATGACATTTAATCACACTGCCACACTTTTAACACATGCCGATTTCCACTCCCCTCTGACTGTGGTCGTGCAGGAATGAATACCATACTTCAACTTTCATTTTCAGAATATTGAATCTTTGTTAAAATTCATGCTTAACAGATGAGTTTTAGTACAACAGTGTCCAATTTTGTGAAACATACTACATTAGGCTATTTTTAGATTAACTGAATTCTAAATAAAGATCAACAATACAATTAATTCTACACTGATATAATCCTGGCTTTGGTTTGTGCCATGTTTGTAACATAATACAACCTAGTAACAAATTTTTTTTTTTTTTTTTTTAAGACGGCGTCTCACTCTGTCGCCCAGGCTGGAGTGCAGTGGCGTGATCTCAGCTCACTGCAACCTCCGCCTCCTGGGTTCAGGTGATTCTCCTGCCTCAGCCTCCCGAGTAGCTGGGACTACAGGCGTGTGCTACCACGCCCGGCTAATTTTTGTATTTTTAGTAGAAAGGGGATTTCACCATATTGGCCAGGCTGCTCTCGAACTCCTGACCTCATGATCTGCCCGCCTCGGCCTCCCAAAGTGCTGAGATTACAGGCGTGAGCCACCGCGCCTAGCCAAAACCTAGTAATAATTTTCTAAACTGCATTTAAGGAAACAGGCAACTGTATAGCATTTTGTAAAAAATAAATACTGCTCCAACATCACAGTACAAAATGGTATGAACACATTATGCATGAACTGCTCACAGCTGTTTTCCAGGATTAAGAAGACAATGAAGTGAATTTGAGACAAAGGAAGAACATTTTAGAAATAACAACGAGCATTTCAAGCTGACAAAATACTCCAAGTCAGAGGTTCTGAACCCAAGATATTTGTACTTGGGTGGGTAATACTGCATCTTTATCTCATGCACATTTACCTGAAATTTAGCATGTTCTTCAATTATGATTGTAGACAACAAACTACATTAACTTTAGCAATATACCTGTGACATTATCACAAACAGAAATCACATATACTTTCATGTTACTTTACAGTTGTTACAAGTATCTCAACATCTTACTTGTGCTCATTATGACAGCTAGTACATCTACTTCTATTTCATGCATCATATCATAAATAAGTAAATATATAATTAACTTTGTTTTTAAATATGACAGCTATTTTTATACCACTGGTTTCCTTTGTAATCCTACTTTATACATTTTAAACATTATTCTGAGAAGTAGTCCACATGGTTCACTTATTAAGAAGTTCACGGCACACACAAAAACAAACAAAAAAGAATTAGAAACTCCTGCTCTTATAAATAAACCTTACAAGGGTTAAATTCAGAGTGATTAACAGTGACCAGACAACCAACTGACTCATCAAAATCCCATGTCACAGCTAACAAGAACTAAGTTTGCAATGAATTAAATGAAAATTACCTTTTCCCTATTTGCAGGCTGCTCCATGTCATGTATCTCATTATAGGCTGATAATAAGTTTGATGAAACCAGCTTATTACACCAAATCAAAGCCAAGATTGAAAGAAAATATAACAAAAGAGAGAATTACTTATTTTGTCAACCTCCAAACCAGATTCCTATTCTAAAAAATCACAAATAAAGCAAACCTACCATTTGCAGCAAACTCTAAACCAAGAAAAATGATCACCTTTGTTGCTTATTTCAGAAAGCCAAGATAAAAAGAGCAGAATGTGCAGAAAAGTATGTGCTGCACTAGACCTCTGGTCCAACCCTCACAATCATCAGTACTGTCTGAGACTTCCAGCTGGTTCTCAAGGCCTCCGGGACTCAATTTTCAAAGGCATCTGTACCTCCTTGTCCTCTTGTACACTCGTCTTCTACTCTCTTCAGCCTAGGACTACACCACAGTCATTCCCAGCTCCATACCTCTGCTCTGACCTGCAACAAAATGTATTCCACCTGTCCTTCAAGTCAGTTGCATGCAACCTTTGTCCTCATTGAGCCCTCCCCTTGTCTGATAAGATTCAGAACCCATTAATTTAGCACTTAGTTCCCCAAATATTCCACTACTGTTTCATTCAGAACCCAAGGTTCCTAGAAGGACACAACAGTCAACAGTTAACTGAATAATAAGAGTAAGAGAATGCCTCAAACTGCTGCTAAACTCACACTAACCACAAAAAAAACAAACTATAATAATTAAGTAATTCCTGCTTTAAAGTGTCTTCTCATTTCCTATAGGCAACACAGCATAAGACTCACAACACCATCTCTTCAACCTCTCTAGTTATTTTTCTTCAACCTAACCACCAACCAGACTGACTACTTCTACATTATCTACTGAACACATATCTGTTTTACTATTTCCTCCACTAGAATTCTCATTTTCTTCGTATATAAAAAAGTCTTTCAAGGCACAGCTAAAGAACTACCTCTTCTGGCTGGGCGCAGTGGCTCATGCCTGTAATCTCAGCACTTTGGGAGGCCAAGGCGGGCAGATCACCTGAGGTCAGGAGTTCGAAACCAGCCTGGCCAGTAAGGCGAAACCCCATCTCTACCAAAACTACAAAAATTAGCCAGGCACAGTGGTGGGTGTCTGTAGTCCCAGCTACTCGGGAGGCTGAGGCAGGAGAATCGCTTGAACCCAGGAGGCGGAAGTTGCAGTGAGCCAAGATCGTACCACTGAACTCCAGCCTGGGCAAAAGAGTGAGACTCCGTCTCAAAAAAAAAAAAAAAAAAAAAAAAAAAAGAACCACTTCTTCCACAAAGTCCTTCCCTTCCCAAGAGACCAGAGTACACTCTCCATAGTTGCAGGGTTCCAAGAATATGGGCATAAATGGTCTCATCACTTGTCATCGAGTACTTCCATGCACAATTTAAATGATAAAGTGAGTTACAATGACTAACCTGAGAGCAAATCAAGAAGAAGAAAGGGAATCTTACTCTATTCATGAAAGATATGGTTGGCTACAAAGAACAAAAGATATGAACAGAAGGCTGTATCTGTAGAACACAAATCTGTGGTCTCCCTGAAGTTATCTACAAAACTGAGTGTCAGAGAATTATGTACATTTTTCTCATGAGAGAGACCATGGCTTCTGATCAGATGACAACAGAGTGAGCCTTAAAATATTAAGTTCTGATCCAAGAAGTAACTTTCCTGGATATTATACAGCATAGTTATTTGTATATAAGTGGTAAGCTGGATCCAAAGGACACACATATTAGAAAACACGGTAGTTCTCAAAGAGTAGCCTCCAGACCTCCTGAAAGGCTAGTTTCAAATTTTAATTTTGGGAAGCATATTACGTACAGAGGATGCACTGAGATATTATAATAGGGATGGGGGAAAGTCCCCTGAAACCTTGTTCTGCTAAAGCAATGCAGAGGAAATGGGGTAAGGTTCAGTCTTTGCCCTCAAGGAGCTTACAATCTGGCAAGGACTATTAGACGAGTAATCACAACACAAGACAAAACATGGTAACACCTTCTCTTAAAGGAAACACAAAATGCTATGGAGTTCTAGGGAGGCAGACATGACAGCTTTTTGGTTTGGAGACTAAGAAAGGAAGGTGACAGTACTGAACCTTGACAAATGAGGTGGACGTAAATTAGAAATGAAAAGTGGAATAAAATGTAATGAAAACTAAAAGGATAAGGGATAAAATGTAAGAAACAAACACCAATTTCCAATAGAAAAGGAATCGTTCCTTCTTGACAACTACTAGCTCTTATACAGGAACACCGAGAGATTGAGGGTCTTAAAGATATAGGAGGCTTACGCCAGTGGTTCCCAGGTATGCTATTAGGGCCCCCGGTACAAGAATGTATAAAACAAACTACTCAGAAAAGAATTATGGCCCATGAGATAAAACAACACTCACATCATGACAGTGGTATGTCTGTGTAAAAATGCCTCTATGTTGCAGCAACCAAGACATGCACAGGAAACCTGAATCCAACAAGAGATTAACTTTCAAAATAATGTTTACTTTCAATAACTGCTGAGATATATGGTGAGGGCACCCTTGGTTTTATATTTTTGAATAAGTGGTAGCTATGATGTAATCATGCTAACTACTTGTGGGTACATAGAAGTACATTTCTGTTCAAGTTCTAATAATTGTCCAGTCTCCAAAAACTGGTAAAATTATTTTGAAACCAAAGATCAATAAATCAAAAAAGAATATCAACTCTGATTATGAAGTAAAGAACAGTTTAAAAAAAAAAGAGAGAACCATATATTTTTGTTCATAAGAAATCTGAGACAAACCCTTCTTAAAAAACACAGAAAGTGTTAGATTGCATTACACTGGGAATGGAAGCTAAGAACCAAAAATGGCCATAAAGAGAAAAAAAGCACAGAGAGTCAATTCATATGGGGAGGCAGGCATACCTACTAAGAACTGCACGGAGAAGAGTGTACACTTTCAGTTTACTCTCTCTGAAAGATATTTTGTTAATTTAACCTTATATGAATATGCACATTCACACAATCCCTTAAAGGTATTTATTGTTCATAAACGACACAGGAGACTTAAAGGGAAACTTCATATGTTTAACTTTTTACTCTATCAATCAAAATTCATTTAGTATCAGCTATTTATGACAATAACTAAAGGTACAACACGGCATAATAATCTCCAAAGACCATAAGCTAATTTCCCTACATAGAATTTCTAAACTTCAAAATGAGATGCTAACCTTTCAAACCTAGAAGTCTGCATTAACGATCTATTACAAAACTACTAAAGAGTAACAGAAATTCATGGTCAATCAAACTGCTTCCGCCACAAGGGAGAACTTAACAAGATTGGGAAACTAACAGCCCCTCTTTTGTAGTTCAGACAGCTGACCTTTCTTTAAAAAATAAATAAATAAACACAGAGATCAGTTAATCCTAGAGGTAGTCCTACATGTCTTCAAAAACAGAAGGTAGACATACAACATCTTCAGGGACTTATGAATTTAAAAAAAGAAAAAGAGCCAAGCAATTTCATGGTAGATTTTAAGTTGAATGATTTGTGTGTGTGGTTTCCTCTGATCGCATTCTAATACTTTTGAAAGATGCCAGATCCTTGTCTATGCTATCTGGAGTAACTTGTTTAACTGTAAGACACAACTGGTAAGATGACCTGGCACTACACTCCTGACAGCGGTGGATAGTAGAGTTTACTATTTTAAAAACAAAACAAACCAACAGCATCACAACCACATAAATCTTCAGAGATTAATTTAGCACCCGAGAGGGTTGTGTTACAAGAGGCAATACTACCTCATCCACTCCCCAGCTGCTGAGGAGAGAGAAGAACCAAAGGAAGTACATACAGAGGACGGTGGCCTCTTGCCAGTGACCTCAGCATAGGGACCAGCTTCATGAGGGGACTCTGTAAACCTACATCACTAACAGGTTCACAAGGGCTAGCTATGGATAGCCTGAAACAATGCCACCACCTCCCCCATCCCCCCATTCTTAATTACTTGAACAACGTGCTGGCTGGAGGGAGAGTAGAGAGGGTGACAGAGACACACACAGTACCTGTTGTTGAGAATTGTAGTCAAAAAGTCCCACAGTTGCTGCTGCTGAGTCCACAGGTACCTGCGTGCCTGAATAATCAAACTGAAGAGGCTCCATGCCCACATGTTCCATGGGGTCCAAGGGGACACTCTGGGACTCCATGTTGGAGAAATCCTCCACAGGCTTGGCACCATTGGTGCTGGTCAGCTGGGCTAAGCCCTCAGAACCATTCTGGTTTGGACCCAGAAGATCCACTTCATTAGCAGAGTTCTGGCAATTACCAGGGGTACGGCTAAACAGAGAAAGTAAAGGGCATTAAACCTTATTTTCAGTGGGGAGGGACTACAGCAACCCAAGTTTAAGGACAATGTCCTCAACATAGCTCATTATCAACAGTATTTAAAACTATTTCTATAAAATAACCAGAGATACTTTACAGGGCTTACAGGGTTACATCTTCTAAATTGATGCTTCTATTGCCGGCAATTCCATATAACTCACCCCTTAAATTCACATTAATTGCTATTAATTTACATCCCTTCACCAAGGGGGCCGGGTTTGAGGAAAACTGAAATAAAGTGGAAAAATCACTGTCTATAGCATCCATGAAAGCAGATCCCAAAATGCATCAAAATGCAACATCTACTCTATCTACTCTTTAAATACAGAGACAATGGAAAAAGTTGGTTTCTGGGGGAAATTCCACAACTCAGTGATTCTAAAAAGTTTTTATCTTCCTGGCATATTTGTGAGGAAAGAAACAGAATGAAAAAAGTTTTTACATGTCGTTGGTATTACTGACCAATGTTAAAACTAACTCCCCTTTCTAAGAAACCGAAATAAGCAGACTATTCCAAAGTAGTACAAGATGAACTCATTATCTAGGATATGCCCCTGTTAAGGAGACAATTCTAAGAATTAAAAGTAATGGGAAGATGTAATTTATCATCCAAACCAGGACATGCCTAAGATTTAAAAAAAAAAAAAAAAAACAGGGCACTATTGATAATTATTGTAGGACACAAGGTTCTGGGTAACCCAGGGTCTACCATCACCTTATATAAAAGGACTTCAGGATTATATGATCCAAAATCAGACTAATATATAATATTATATAAACAGAAGAGTGTAACCTGTGGCAACATTCAATGCCCTTCTTCTCCACCTCCAACCCCCTACCCCAAAAAATCCTGTAGTCCAGTAGCTGGTACATATTAAAGGTATTATTCTGGTTCCTTCTCTTTCTTTCTCTCACTCACACACTCACCACCACCACCACCAGCCCCCATTTAAATACAACAAAATACTGCTACAGGCTGCTGGATATTCAAGGTGGAGAGGACACCTGAACTCATCTGAAAGACCTTAGGTAAGTATTTATTACCCTGTGCCTTAAATTTCTTCCAAAGATTGTAATTCAGGCCGGGCATGGTGGCTCATGCCTGTAATCTCAGCACTTTGGGAGGCTAAGGCAGGCAGACCACTTGAGCTCAGGAGTTCAAGACCAACCTAGCAACATGGCAAAACCCCATCTCTACAAAAGATATAAAAATTAGCCAGGCATGGTGGTGCGCGGCTGTAGTCCCAGCTACTCGGGAGGCTGAAGTGGGAAGACTGCTTGAACTCAGGAGGTGGTGGCTGCAGTGAGCTAACTTCATGCCACTGCAGTCCAGCCTGAGTAACAGAGTGAGACCCTGTCTCCAAAAAATAAATAAATAAAAATAATTTTTAAAAAGTTTAAGACTGTAATTATTTACACATGCAAGATTAACAATAATTAGATTAGGGATACAAAACAACTGACACTTGTCCTACAACGATGGTCCAAAATACATTTTCATTTTGACTTTGGCAGACATTAGAATAAGCAGAGGGGTGTGAGTGTGTGCATGCACACACATTAGCTTTACACTGATATTAAAATTACTCAAAATTAAATTCTCTACCTGTACTATCACACTGGAGATTAAAAAAAAATCCTCTACCTGTATATATAACTGGACAAGGATTTTTATAGATTTTTCAAGAATATGTGCCAATTGTGGAAGATAAATATACATTATTTTAATACTGTGTAACTTAAATAATAGGGTAAAACCTGTACATTAATCATGACCAGAGATGGAATGAGAGGCATCTGCAGAAGAGATATGATTAAGAACAAATCATTTAAGCTGCATCTCTGGCTCTTCAAAATAAGGAAAATGATACCTGGTCCACCTACCTCAAAAAGAGCTCATGAGACTCAAATGAGATAATGCACAAGTTCTCAACTGTTTTTCCCTCTAAACCACCAGAGGGATATGACATATTCCATTAGTAACCATAGCTCTCTAATACGGTAATTTGGGAGAAACTTAAGAAAGGTTCCAAGGCATCTATCCTAGGTGATTTTAATATCTGAGAATCACTGAAATAGTCTTCTCTGGAATCTTTCTTCAGATTTTAAAGTTCTATGCAAATGCAAAATCTATCATTTTGGCAACGCTTCAGGCATTGACACCTTTTAGAAAATTCCACCTCACCAGTTAATTTACAATCTTTGTAGCATAGCCTACACTAGATTGGATTCTTAAAAAGAAAACATGAAGAGGGGAAGAAAACGAAAATCAAAGTAAAACTAAATCAAAACAAACAAAATCCCATAGCCCATATTCAAAAATCAGAAGTGTAAAACATACAAACCTAAAATCTTTGACGTCTGCATCAATCCCATTCTGCACTGGTAAACCATTGGTCTTGTCCATCACATCACCCTCCTCCTTCAAATCTCCTAGCTTATCTCCATCAAACGTACCCTTGTTCTTCTTTTCACCTTTGTCGTTTTCATCACTGTCTGCATCCCTTGGGCCCTGTTTAAAAAATAGCTTCAGCTTCACTAATCGTCATCAACTAATAATAACGGGCAACCGTTGTGGGCACCAGACTACACTAGATGCTACTCAGAAGAGGATAGTGTTGTGCCCTTTCACACATTACAATCTAATTAACAAACAACACAGAGGCAGGAACACTGCAGAAGGTCTTGCCAAATGAGGGAGACAGACATACATTTATGTTACAGAGTTCAGAACAGTCTTACTATATCCAATGTCCCACCAACCCATTTTCTTCCTTCCTTTTTTTTCTTCCTTCCTTTTTTTTCTTCCTACCCAAAGCCCAGCCATAACTTTGCAGCTCTTGGTCAAGTTCTCTACTCCCAAACCTAACTCTGTATAATAGCATGACTCTTAATAAGCCCCAGGTATGACAGCTAATAGCATAGAAAAAAAAAATTATTAAGCCTGTAAAAAGAATTTCATACTTCTCCACTGCACTATGTAAATTCCTCCCTTACTTCTAAATATTGAGCCAAGTGTGGTCTAACATCATATCAACTCAATTATTCTGTACCTGATCTTGGGATATATGCCCTGTCAATTTGCATCACCTCCCAGCTCTACCCTATAAGCCTCACAGGTATGCATCAATTCACTGATGACCCTTAAATTTTTTAATGCCTCAAAACAAGTTAACTCTGAGATTCTTTCACCAAAAGTATTCTAATAACTATCTTCTACCATCTACTGGTAACAAAGATTATTCATGAGATCTCTAAGTGGGAGTATGTTAAATTGAAGCATTTGATACAAAAGAATTTCTCTCTGAAGTGTCTATCTCCTCTTACCGACATCCCAAGTTAAGCCCTGGACATATAAAGTACATGTACCTTGATTTCCAAAGGAAAAGATTTGGTATAGTGACTTGACATAGTACAGAGAGATTTGCAGAACCTTACACCAAAGGGTTAAGGGTTTAACCCTTTGTTCTTGTAAAACTAGAGGGAAGCAGCCTTGCTTTTCCCCACGACTGACTCCTGGTTTAAGGAAGAGAAATGCACATGGACCAAGTTCAAGTTCCTGGTACAAGGCAAGATCCACTCAATAGAAGATGAGAGTGGCTGCAAAGCATTCCCAGTCACCAAAACCAAATGTCAATGGGGAGAAATCAACAATGGAGGACACAGCAGCAGACACTCGGTTATAAATAGACTGACTGTGGACAGGCCTGTAGATCCAAAACCAACAGATGCTCTTAAGAGATCACTGGCCCAGAAAGGCTGACATTCTTAAACCTTTCAACTACTACTTTAGAGCCCATTTTACTTCTAAAGTTATTCTCTGTTCAAATGTGATACAGAAAAAGATAATATAAAAAAAGAACAAATATGACAAGGAACTGAGAAAGGATATACAACTTAGCTTCATGTGGCATCAAAACAGTAAACCACAGCTTTGACGGCCATTGAGATGTGCCCTTCAGAATAGAATCTTTAAAGTATGTGGCTGTTATTGATTTAAAAGGACTGAATGATAACCAATTATGCACCACATTGAGATTCCTCAAAGCAGAGATAGGAATATGATAGGGTTCTAAAGGCAAAAAGATCTTTCAAAATATCCAAAGGCAATAGCTTCCTCCATACTGCAGAGGCAAAACTGACTAAAGCTGTGTACTCATTTTTATATCCCTAGCACTGACTGCAGTGCCTGATAAAAGCTCAATAAATATGATGAAGAAAATTAAAAGGAACAAAAAAATCATGCAAAACTGAACTGTTAAAATAAGAATGATCTTCCTGTTGTCCTTATCATCATTAAATAAGAGTCCTGGAGGTGGTAATATGGTCTAGATGACAACTCTGCCTGAATCAGAAACCATTAATGTCAACAGCAAAAGAATATTACAAGAATCATCCCACTGCCACGCCTAAGTCATCATCTTCCGCAGTCTACAAATCAAATCACTGGCTCAGAAGAAACAGTTCAGCTCCAATTTCTCAAAAGGAGTTCAAAAGGTCTGTAGGCAAAAATGGAAAGAAAGGGCCAGGCGCAGTGGCTCACACCTATAATCCCAGCACTTTGGAAGGGCAAGGCAGGATCACTTGAGCTCAGGAGTTCAAGACCAGCCTGGCTAACATGGTGAAACCCTGTCTCTAAGAAAAATACAAAAATTAGGCAGCACCTGAAATCCCAGCTACTCGGGAGGCTGAGGCAGGACAATCGCTTGAACCCAGGAGGCAGGGGTTGCAGTGAGCCAAGATCACACCATTGCACTCCAGCCTAGGCAACAAGAGTGAAACTCGTCTTTTTTTTTTTTTTTTTTTTTAAAGGAAAGAAAGGAGGATAAAGCAGCAGTAGGAAGTTTCAACAACAAGCAAGACAGCTGGTTGCAGGGGATGTGCACTAGTCATATCAATGCTCTGCATTATCTTTCCTCAGGGGCTCTTCACAAGGGCTTTACTGAGAACCTGCTCAGCTCTTCTACATGCTGACTGGCCTGAAATCTCTTTTGTGGTGGTGGTGGTGTTTTTTAAGACGGAATCTTGCTCTGTTGCCCAGGATGGAGTGCAGTGGTGCGATCTCAGGTCACTGAAACCTCCACCTCCCAGGTTCAAGTGATTCTCCTGCCTCAGCCTCCCCAGTAGCAAAGATTACCGGCATGCACCACCACGCCCGGCATGGCCTGAAATCTTGACTGCTAAGTTACACTTTCAGCCACTAATTTACATTCTCAGTTATACTGCCACGGGCCAGATTTTCAAATATTTCCCTGCAATGTGTTGCATTTTACCAATATCGTACAGGCCATTCCTACAAAATACCGGGTTTTCTACTCTGAATAAGCTATTGATGCCTAACCAAAATGGTGGGCTCCTTCTTTTAGAGAGTGGGGAACCCAAGGGAAGTTTCTAATTCTTGATCTGGGAAGGTGTTATATGGGTGTTTTGATTTTGCAGAAATTCAAGACGAACATTTATGGCTCGTACACTTCTCTGAACATAGGTCATATTTCAATATAAAGTTTACTTAAAAGAAAAAAGAAACTCAAGAAATCAACAATGGCCCTCCATAAAAATGGCCAGCAGAAGTCTGACTTCTGAGTAAAAACAAAAGCACAAATAGGAAACCATTCTGTCAAAAGTCTGTTATTAAGAGATAGTATCAGCTGCACGCAGTGGCTCATGCCTGTAATCCTAGCACTTTGAGGCAGAAGCGGAAGGATCTAGGTTGAGGCCTAGAGTTCAAGACAAGCCTGGGCAACACAGAGGAGACGCCATCTCTAAAAAAAAAGTTTTTAAAAAAATTAGCTGGGCAAGGTGGCATGCGCCTGTAGTCCTTGCTACTCAGGAGGCTGAGGCAAGAAGACCACTTGAGCTCAGGGGTTCAAAGCTGCAGTGAGCTGTGGGGTGGGCACTTGATCTACTCCAAGAATAGATAAAATAAAGGATACGAAAAGAAAAGAAAAATAAAAGACTTGACTGATATTTTGAGCTCTCCTGTTATTCTGAAAGCTGCTCTCCTGAAGTTTGAGATTCCTATGGGGAATACTACCAAAAATTTACAGTGAATGCTCAGAACAAAATATGCACTGGCAATGCACTCCAGTCTGGGGACAAAGTGAGACCCTGAGTTTATTTCATTAATAGACAGCAGTATCAGGTTCAAGATCCTTAAAATGGTCTCTTAAAAACATGAAGACCCTAAAGACAATAGAAGAAAGGTATAAATGGGCTAAGTTTTATGAAAATTTTACACTTCTGAAAAATATTTAAGATAAACTATTCATAGCTGTGTGGTGTTTTTGTTTTTGTTTTTGTTTTTGTTTTTGAGACAGGGTCTCGCTCTTTCACCCTGACTAGAATGCAGTACTGCAATGATGACTCACTGCAGCCTTGACCTCTAGGGCTCATGTGATCCTTCCACCTTAGCCTCCCAAGGAGCTATGACTACAGATGCACACACCATGCCTGGCTGATTTTTATATTTTTTGTAGAGATGGGGTCTTGCTATGTTTCACAGGCTAGATTCAAACACCTGGCTTCAAGTGATCCTCCTGCCTTGGTCTCCCAAAGCTCTGTGATTACAAGTGTGAGCCATAACACCTAGCCCAGTCTTTTAAAAAAATACTGAACCCGCCAGGTGCGGTGGCTCACACCTGTAATCCCAGCACTTTGAGAGGCCGAGGCAGGCGGATCACCTGAGGTCAGGAGTTCAAGACCAGCCTGGCCAACAAGGTGAAACCCCATCTCTACTAAAACTACAAAAATTAGCCAGACGTGGTGGTGCACACCTGTAATCCCAGCTACTCGGGAGGCTGAGGCAGGAGAATCGCTTGAACCCTGGAGGCAGAGGTTGCAGTGAGCCAAGATCACACTGCTGCACTCCAGCCTGGGTGACAGAGCAAGACTCTGTCTCAAAAAAAAAAAAAAAAAAAAAAAAAAAAAAAAAAAAAGGTGCTGAACCAGGGTGCACAGAACCTACATTCTATCTCAACTGCTAACACTTACTGGTCACAGGACTTTGGACAGGTCATTTAATCTCTGAGACTTTGTTTACTCATGAATAACAATGAAATAATGCATGCCTAAAAGTTTTATAAAGATAAGCCATTTTACACAAATGTAATATAATAGTAATAAAGAGACGCACTGGGATGGTGTTTCTTTGTAACACTATACATGACATCAAGAATAAAAATCTTAAATGTCCCAATTAAGTGGTTTAAATCTCAAATACAAGTATACGGCCAATATGGCCCTCCCAGGGGCATTGTCATTTGCACAAAGCAGTGGTTCTATGATTAGGGTTAGGCATCGCAATCTTTTTAAATTCACAGGTGGCTGGGCCCACCCTCTGCACCAGAGATTGATCTGATTGGTCTGTAGAGGTTCCTGCAAATGTTGTGAAAAGCTTCTCCTCAAATAGCTCGGGTAAGTATCCACAATTGAGAACCAAGGTAATTAAATGCAACATAAGCATCAGAAAGGCATGGTTTGTGATTTGCTTTTTTGTTATATATTATCAAGTACATACAGTACTGGAAAAGTCTATTAGCTAAATGAATAAATGAAAAAGGCTTAACAGCATCTTTTAATTATGGGCTTTCTTTAGCTGAATGTTAACCCAAAGCTATAGTGCTCAAATACAAACTTCAGTAAAATGCTCAAATTGCAAGTGGCCAAGCCCAATCAAAATCTCAAGAGTGGAACCAAGATGGGTGCTGAGAGATCCCAGACCTACAGAGAGGCAGAGAAATTGCTAAATATCAAAGAACTGGGAGAAAAGCAGACGTAGGTAGAACTATATATTGTTGAGGTCAGAATCCATGCACTTATGGCTCAACTTCCTCAAAAGACTCACATAAAGGGGGGAATACTTCCTAATATACCTATTAATTCTGAATGAAGTCAGAAGATTTCAAATCTATTTACTACTCTTACTGCCGTGATCTTAAAAGAAAGCTTCACACAGCAGAAGTCATATTTAATGGGATTAGTCATTTTCCTCCCTTCTTTCTACAAAGTATTTTATACCTGCTTGACACACTGAGTCCAAAAACTATAACAATGTTAACTAAAACACTGGTTTCTCCTGCACACACTTACCCATTTTCACAAAATGCCATAAAACTGAAATGTCTGATTCCTTTGAAGTACAACAATGTCGAGCTCTACTGGTAATTTAAAATTTCAAATATAAATTAGCTGGGTGTGGGCCGGGCACAGTGGCTCACGCCTGTAATCCCAGCACTTTGGGAGGCTGAGGCGGGCGGATCACGAGGTCAGGAGAGCGAGACCATCCTGGCTAACACAGTGAAACCCCATCTCTACTAAAAATACAGAAAAATTAGCTGGGCATGGTGGTGGGCGCCTGTAGTCCCAGCTACTCTGCAGGTTGAGGCAGAATGGCATGAACCCGGGAGGCGGAGCTTGCAGTGAGCCGAGATTGCGCCACTGCGCTCTAGCCTGGGCGACAGAGCAAGACTCCGTCTCAAAAAAAAATAAAAATAAAATAAATAAATAAATTAGCTGGGTGTGGTGGCACATGCACTCCTGTAGTCCCAGCTACTGGGGAGGCAGGGGCACAAGAATCACTTGAACCCAGGAAGCAGAAGTTGCAGTGAGCTGAGATCACACCACTGCATTCCAGGTGACAGAAAGAGACAGAAAGAGATTGTCTCAAAAAAAAAAAATTCAAATATTAAAAATTATAAGTTTGAAACTGCTGGCCATGTGAAATACTCCTTAATTTAACATATTAAATCTGATCCTTTTGTGAGGATTCCTACTCACAAACAATGCCAGTATGGCACAGTTGAAAGCAATACAGCTAAAAATTGAAATTAGAACAAACAAAGTTTGAATTCAGCCCCCCATTTCCCCTCTAAGACTCAGTTTTCTCATCTATAAATTAATAGAGACAACAGTATCTACCTCAAAGTGTTGTTCCAAGGACTAAACAAAGAAATTCATGAAAGTACAGTTGTCTTTTTAAAAAAATACTTTATCCAATTTTCACATTTTTTCCCCATTGCCTTTTTCACAATGCCCTCACCAGCCCTCCCCACCAAGGCTTAAAAATTGCTAGACATACTATGTTTTTTCCCCTAGGAAACTTTTAAGGCTCTAATCATTAGACTCTTTGTCCAGCTGAGTTTTCTGAGATAACGCGTATGATAGCAGTGCTTATCAAACTTTAATGTGCATACAAATCATCTGGGTAGTCTTGTCAAAATGCAGATTTTGATTCATTCGCTCTCAGGTATGATCTGAGATTCTGCGTTTCTGATAAGCTCCCAGGTGATGCTAATGCTGTCGGCCCACTGACTTTGGTAGTAAGACTTCTAATGTTTACAAAGCATTTTCACATATGCTACACAGCCGTATGAATTAGACTTTGTTGAGTTTTGATTATTCTCATTTTGCAGATGAATTAAGGTCCATTTGAAACTCAAACCCCTGATTTCTATCTGCATTACATTGTACAGAAGTTTTCAAACAAAACCTATGAAAGTTAAGTAGCACTGGTTACCTAAAGTAAATGCAGTGAAACCTAGACAAACAAGTTTCACGGCCCAAATAGATGTATACTACGAATGTGTATACATCCTCCAGATCAAAAAGCAGATACTCTCTACAGAACAAACAGAAAGACCTTCCCAATATATTTTTTCTAAAAATCTTTCTTCTGTGAGGTTAAGGTGGTCATTACCCTAATCAAAGTTTAGAGTGATCTTCTCATTTCCCTGGGCACCATAAACCAGCAAGGTAGAAATCATGATCCATTTTTTGGCTGGCTAGGCTTCCACCTATTTGAAAAAGATCAGCTGGTATTCCAGAGAGCAGGGTCCTTAGATGGCAATCTCACCCATGGGCCTCAAAAATAAAATAATTACATCTGATTTTGTAACCACCCTGAACCATGGGGGGCTGTGGGGTGAGCACCTGTTCTACTCCAAGAATAAATAAAGGATACAAAAGAAAAGAAAAATAAAAGACTTGATTGATATTTTTGAGCTCTATTATTCTGAAAGCTGCTCTCCTAAAGTTTGAGATTCCTATGTGGAATACTACCAAAAATTTACAGTGAATGCTCAGAACAAAATATGGTTGCCAGATTCTTCTTGTTAGCCAGAATGTATTCTTATCACAGAAGCCAAAACCACTAAACTGAGACCATTTGTACAATCAAAATGAATTCAAGCTAGACAAAGAGCTAAACAGCTTCAATCTAGCCATAACCAGCAAAGTTCACTGAAAATGGTAAAACACTACATAGAGATTTATTTTAGTTCTAAACACCTTTACCTGAAAAGTTAAAGTCTCAATTATCTGTTGTCAGTGTGTTAAGAATAACTTCTTAGTTACTTGCTTTGAGGTCTACAATCACTATACCATCAGAGATGATGCTTTCAGCTCTCAGGATTAAAGTGAGGCTTACTGGAATTAATGTTGATACAGCTACCCCAAAAGTAAAAATACGTGGATGCCCTGACCCCATACACTACCAAGTACCACTCCTCCTTTAGAACAATTATCTACAAGAAGCAGAAATCCTATCTTCCTGGTTCTCTGAATTCAACACTTTAAATGACAGACTAGACTTTAAAAGAAAAGGCTCACTTTCCTCAAGAAGATGTATGCATACTATGACAAAAATAAAGTGATTCAGGCTTCCACAAAAAGAGCTTTGGTCAGGTGTCATCCTGACCAACAGGCAGAGCAAAGTCAGGTTAGGTATAAAATCAAGAGGATACAACCACAAAGCTGATAATCAGTTCACTGGCCGGGCGCGGTGGCTCACGCTTGTAATCCCAGCACTTTGGGAGGCTGAGGTGGGAAGATCACCTGAGGTCAGGAGTTTGAGACCAGCCTGGCCAACATGGGGAAACCGGATCTCTACTAAAAATACAAAAATTACCCGGGCATGGTGGCAGGCATCTGTAATCTCAGCTACTCAGGAGGCTAAGGCAGGAGAATCGTTTGAACCCTGGAAGTGGAGGTTGCGATGAGCCAAGATCATGCCATTGCACTCCAGTCTGGGCGACAAGAGTGAAACTCCACCTCAATAATAATAACAATAATAATCAGTTCACTGAGCCACAGGTCTCCATCCACCAGAAGACTGTATATGCCAACAAGTGGCTTGATGTCACTAGATCAGTCCTCTTGTATCACTCTATAGATGCAATCTAAGTCAAACTATGGGATAATATTCCATTACCCACAATCTTCCTTCTAAAAGAAGCTGGAACACAGATTTGGAGAATTTTCATTTATCTTCATGCATACTTCAGAATTTTCATTTATCTTTATGCATACCTCAGCAGCTCAGTAAATTATCTTGATGGTTAAAGTCCAATCTTCTGGCCCCATCTATCTAGCCTGAAGTCTTAACCTCCTCTGTCACGATTCTTTTGTAAAAGAGGTAAATCACCAGTCTCCCAAGACAAATGATACAGCTTTTGTCATCAAAATAACCGTCTAGTGAGATGACTGTTTAAAGAGAGAAAAATAAGTGGCAAAATGATTCAATCCCACCATGTATCTTCCTCCTAATTCCAACTATTTTTCTGCCTCCTACAAGCTTCACAGTAATGCAGGCACATGCCTCCTGGTTAGTGCCCAAGAATTAGAAACTGATCACACACATGACAGAGAATTCACAGCTAGAGTCACAGGTTCCAGTTCACCACACTAGCAACCTACTGATGCACAACACTAATTTCTGCTGAGGAATCTGTGCTCATAAGATGAGGAAAGAGTGAGGACAGAAAAAGAGGTGAGCTGGGGATAGGGTGAAGAAAGAGAAGTAACTCACATCCAAAGGGTAGATCTTGTTCTTCCCAAGCAGCCCCTTGGGAAGGTTCAAATAACAGGAGCCATCTCCTATCTGATTCACAAGCTACTAAACCTGACCTAGGTCTCTGCAGGGTCAAAACACTGAAAAGCAATCAGGTCAGCTTTAGAATAGCTAGTACTTAAGAACTGTACTTGACACTTGAGAAAGCTGCACCAAAAATGAACTACTGTTACTCTAACAAAATTTAATGTGGAATAGGGAAAATAGGACCAAGCCTCTGATACCCAGCAAAAGATGTATAACACTAAGAAATACTGAGCAACAAATGCTATTAAAGAAAGACAGTTATAATATTAATTCTCAATTTGTGGGAAAGAAGGTGCTTCTGCTGTTCTTTCCCACAAATTACATTAAAATCTTTTAAATGACTGTTTTCAGGTGATATCAGCCCAAAATGACTGCAGGGAGAAATGTCTTTGAAAAAGTACAAAACAAGTTTAGACAGGAGAAAGGGAGGGAAGAAGATTCATGTGCCTCTCATGGCCTTCCTGTCTGTGACCTGGAATATGACAACAGTCGCAGAATTCAAAATGAGGAAGACTCAAATGGAAATACATCTTAACACTTCTCGATCTAGAAAGTTAATGATAAAGAAAGAAATTGTTTTGAGAAAGGCTATCACAGATGCTCATAGAAAAATGCTTAAGACTTAAAAAGAAAAAGGCTATAGACACAGAGACTTATTTGACTTCAGTTTAGCATCAGAGAGGTCAGTGATAATGAATCAAAAAAATTTGTAAGAAAGAATTAACAGAATCCCTAATTTCTTGACAGGCCAGGTGTGAGAAACAAAGCCGTTCAAGGAGGGCCAAAGAGGATTCTATAATTAAATCGTAGCTAACAAAACAAGAATAGCCCTATAATCTGATCTATATTAAGGTTTCTCGGGTATTGGCAAATCACTGCTCTCAAATCTGGAATTCCCTGTTAACATCCCAGCATCAGCTTTATTTTTTTAATTCCTTCACCACCCCCCTTTTGCTTTTATTTTAAAGTAAAAATGGTGTTTTCTGATAGACCAATGAACTTTGATCCAGATTTCAGTTCTTATCTCACAATACTATCAATGTGTCCCCCCACCAAAACATTATTACTTTAGTTTTTAAAAGTTGAGTTTACATCTCCTACTATGTTTGCTGAGTTCTATTTACAACAAACGTTGTTTGAAAATACCCTGTAATTAATGCTGTGAACATCTAAGGAAACTAAACAGGCATGTTTTGCTTTAGGGGAAAAAAAGAGAGAGAGAGAGAGAGAGAGAGAGAGAGAGATAGGAACAAGTTCCTCAAGCCAACTTACAAATCCTCCTTTTCTTAGACAGGAATCGCCCGGGGATGAGCTCAACACATACTCCACCATGCTAACGCCTAGTCCCCCACTCTCCGATCGTGGGGACAGTACAGAATTGACCTCACTGTTCACATGGAAACTCTGACCAGGTCTTCTCTGCACCATGATTGGCTGGGAAACTGAATGATCTACAAAAAAGATACACAAGCATGATACAGTGCAGCCAGAGGCTCAAACAAATTATGAGTGATGTCTCATGGATAACCAATGGAATCAGGAAACTTGCCATGGTCAGTTGAGCCAAAACCTCCTATCATGTCCCTCACTGTATGATATTCAACATAAGCTAAGGAAATGGAACACACTCCTCATTTATCCAGGATAGCAGAGGAATACAACAGTTTATCTAGCTTATCTGGTTTAACTAGCTGAGTGGATAAAATTTTTACCCCTTTATAAGTAAAAGGATTTCTTTTTAATATATTTTATTAGTATTACTAAAACAAAATATGATTTTACTGCCCTTTTTAAAAACAATATAATTTGTTCTTTTCTGATAATTCACTGTCATCATGAGGTTCCATGCTTACGTTGTACTGTAATACACGACATTGGCTTTTGGGTTTTCTGTCTCCTTCCTCCCTATCATCTGTCACTTTTTCTGCTGTCAGTGTGTCTGCCTCTATAAGTTCTCCCCATCCCTCTTCAGGGGTAGTATGCCAGAAGAATGTCCATGCCCAGTGACTTGATTTGGTCCCAATCACGTTTAAAGATAGATCATTCCATACACGGTACACAAGGGCAAGGGGAGAAAAAGAAACATGAACTTCAAATGGCAGGTGTGGATTTTCTAATTCCAAGTATGCTGACAGCAGTACAGAACAAAACGTTACAGCTGAAATTATGGTCGTTTCAAATAAGACCATTCCCCTGTGGCTAGCACTTCAAAAAATATTGAAGATATGATTTTGTGTTAATTATGTTTTAATAAATTACATCATATAAGCTCCTTAATGGCAATTATACTACAGGAGAGGACACTGCTTGACATGCTTATGTCACTGATGTAAAATTCATGACTTGCCAATTGCTGAGGAAAGGAGCTCTAAGACAGGCATAAATCACAGTACAGATGCTAGATCTAGATTACCTGATGTTCCCCAGGCACTGTCTCGCCATTGATCACCCAGGAATATTCCTTTTGGTCCATCTTTGCTGGATTCATCTGTTTCCCAAAACTTTTTACCTGGCAAGAGCTGCTGCAAATTAAAAATAATAGATGCTTTTAAAGAATTCATAAAGGATGAAAGTACAGCAGTCAACACTTTCTTTTAGACAAGGGTACTGAAGATGCTCACGTGCCCTGAAGGTCTTTAATTAAAGTGTTCCAACTACACAACTGTGGTCAGAACACTGCTATATATTTGGTAAAAGTCACAGAGAGGCCTAAGGCAAGGTGGGGGGCAGGGGTGGGGACACTGATCAAACCATCCAATAGAGGCTGAACTTAAATATCTAGAATTACTCGCTTAACCCATGCCAAGATTTTTAAGGAGTGGGGAAGGGAACTAACAGTGACCCTATTAGCTAACTACTAAGTGGACTCTTACTGAAAAAGAAAGTATTTACAACTATTAAAACACTTCTCTCTATACGTGTACTAACTACCAGACAAAGTTACTCAAGCTGGAGCATGAACCAGCTATGAACCTCAGCTATGGAATGCCAGAGGCAAAATTCACTTCCTTTATACACAGAGACTCCATTAACCAAAATACTTCCCAACCACAACACTAACCTATTCCAAGATTTTGGAAGGACAGAAAAGCTATTCCTTCATTACTGGAAGGGAAATAAAATCTTCTAACCTCCATTAATTTTTTAACAATACTTGGTAATGCCATTAAAGTGACTTCACAAATCACTCCATGCTTCAGAGAAACAGGGATCGCTGGCCATAAGCCAACATGAGAAGTTTATACTAGCTTCAACAAAAAAATGCAAAGTACCCTTCAAGCAAGACACAGTACAGTTTTGCATAAGATCAAAGCACCAGTGACCAGGCTTACAAAGTAAAATTCCACAGAACTCTATCATTCTTGGTTCTGGTCATCAGCTTTACTGACTAAAATGCCCCCTCTTATTTCCTCTAATTATGTTTTCAACTGCTATTACACAGGAAACTAAGATGTTTGAGATAGTATTTAACCACCATTTTTGAGCACAAAAATACCTGGAGAGTTGAATTTCTCAGAAGAACACAATAAAAAACCAGAAAGCACAAAACATTTCCTCTCCTTGACGATAAAGGTTTAACTTTCCCATTTAACCCATAACCCAATGATAATGGAAAAATAATTAAACTCTGCTCTCACTAAAATAAATCTCTGCTTCCCAAATCTAATTTCTGGGTTTCTCGGCATAATTTTCATCTACCTTTAAGTGGCTCTATAATCTATCTCATGGACTTGGGTTACTGCCTGGACCAAAGCAGTTTGCCATACATTTTGCTCTTAAGGACCTAATTTGTTGTTTACTAATTAAACAAGATTGAGAAAAAAAAAAAACATTTGTCTGGTATTTAATTGCACAGATACCTAAGTTTCCTTGAAAATGAACAGTTATAAGTAGCAGTCTTCCTGGTGTACCACTTATTACCCTAAGGGCATTTGGGGGAGGGTGAGGATCAGGGTAAAATGGGAAAGAGCCCCGATCGAGGGTAGCATTAGGGTCGGGAAGCACTAAACTGGACAACTTTGAAGTGCCCTAGGAAATCTTACTAAACTGCCCTGAACCTCATTCTCTTTTTATTGATGAAGAAAATATCGTTCAAGTTGCTGTGATGATTAGAAATATTGTTGATGAGTGCCTAGCACAACAGGTTCTCAATAATGTATTCAAAAACATCACACCTAGGCAAAACAGCGGTCAAACCAGGTCACAGAGGGGATACTGAAAATTAATGTAAACTATGCAAAGGACAATTCAATAATTATTTTTAAACTTATTTTTCTCCTTTTAGTCTCAAAAATGTCCTGTCCCCTGCAAGGCCGGGCGCGGTGGCTCACACCTATAATCCTAGCACTTTGGGAGGCCAAGGCAGGAGCATCACAAGGTCAGGAGATCAAGACCATCCTGGCTAACACAGCGAAACCCTGTCTTTACTAAAAATACAAAAAAAAAAAAAAAATTGGCCGGGCGTGGTGGTGTGTGCCTGTAGTCCCAGCTCCTCAGGAGGCTGCGGCAGGAGACTAGCTTGAACCCAGGAGTGGGAGGGTGCGGTGAGCTAAGATCATGCCACTGAACTCCAGCCTGGGCAACAGAGCGAGACTCCATCTTCAAAAAAAAAAAAAATCCTGTCCGAAGATTACAAATAAAATTTCTTTCCTCATTGGTTATACCCTTTCTCCAATTAAAATTCTGATTTTTTTTCTCCCGTATTTTGTGCAAAGCAAAAGCAACTACTCTTTTGTATTCCAGAAGAAAGAATGTCAGCCTAAGGAGGGTCTCACTTGTTTTATGCTCCACATAACAGTGCAAAGAACGCTAAGGTGATCAAAACCATTCTTGTCCTTTAAATGTTTTAAGAGTTCATTCCTCACAGAAACTTGTAAATGTTTATTTAAAACTCAAGGAACAGGGCCCAGCATGGTGGCTCACGCCTGTAATCCCAGCACCTTGGGAGGCTGAGGCAGGTGAATCACCTGAGGTCAGGAGTTCGAGACTAGAATGGCCAACATGGCAAGATCCCCGTCTCTACTAAAAAACTCAAAAATTAGCTGCGTATGGTGGTGTACATCTATAGTCCCAGCTACTCGGGAGGCTGAGGCACAAGAATTGCTTGAACCAGGGACGCAGAGGTTGCAATGAGCCAAGATCACGCCACTGTACTCCAGCCTGGGCAAGAGAGCAAGACTCTGTCTCAAAAAAAAAAAAAAAAAAAACAAAAACAGAAACAAAAAAAAACACCTCAAGGAACAGTTTCCAAAAGTACCAGCCTCCATATGTAAATATAGTCTTATCCATAATTTGTAAAATTGCTTACAGAAAGCAGCAGCCTTTCAGCTCAAGGCTTCAAAAATCAGTTCTGGGATCCTGTCACCTTTCATGATAGTATACCAGGCTGTCATAATGTGCAAAGCCAGGAGAAGCAGGTGAACACATAAGCGAGGCTATTTTCAGGGTAAATTCTCTCAAAAGGAAACAACAATACAGCAAACATGAAGCAAAGTGCTATTAGGTTGGTGCAAAAGTGTGGTTTTTGCCACTATGGCAAAAAAAAAAGAAAGCAAAAGACTGAACCAAGGTGCTTGGGCAAAGACAGAAGCAAAATTAGCAAAGCTCTTAAAAGTCTCTGAATCTTACTCAGTCTTTCTCCCTTTCCTCCAAAACATATGCGTCTATACTCAACTGCTGTGGTTAGCAGCATCTGAAATGACTCTTAATGATCTTCACTTACAAGTACTCATACCCTGAGTAATCCCCTTCCCCTGACTGTGGGCTAGACCTATGACATGCCTCTAAGAAATAACATAAGACAAGTCATGGGATGTTCCTTTCAAGATGTTACAAAAGCTGTGATTTCCATCTTGCTTGTCCTCTTCTATCTATTGTCCTGATTGCTTACTCTGATGATGACTGCTGCTATGTTGTGAGCTGCCCTATACAGACGCCACATGAAGCCAAGAGAGAGACATCTCTGGACAACAGCTACATATACAAAGCTGTTGCTCCGCAGCTTCCCACTGAACTCTGCCTCTGCCCTGGGTCATTTACACACAATTAAGAACTGAGATCCTCCGTCCAACAACCAGCAAAGAATGGATTCTGATGGTTGATACCACATGAGTGAGTTTGGAAACAGACCTTTCTCCAAGCAAGTTTGAGACAGACCTTTCTCCAAGCAAGCTTTGAGATGAATGCAGCCAAAGTTGAAATCATGACTGCAGCTTGTGAAGGACCCTGAAGCAGATGACTCAGGAAAGTCATGCCTAGGTTCCTAACCTATAGCAACTATGAGGCTTAAACAACTGTCTTGTTTTAGGCAGGGCGTGGTGGCTTACACCTGTAATCCCAGTGCTTTCTAAGGGTGAGGCCAGGAGTCTAAGATCAGACTTAGCAACCAACATAGCGAGACTCTAGCTTTACAAAAGACTTTTTAAAAATCAGTCCGGAGTGGTGGCACACCCCTGCAGTCCCAGCTACTCAGGAGGCTGAGGTGGGAAGACTCCTTGAGCCCAGAGGTTTGAAGCTGCAGTGAGCTACGATTACACTACTGCACTCCTGCCTGGGCAACAGAGTGAGACCCTATCTCTTAAAATACACACACACACACACACACACACACACACACACACACACTGTGCTGTTTTAAGCCACTAAATTTTAGGGTGATTTGTTAAGCAGCAATAACACTGTTGTGAATATGTGGAAGTATTTTTGTATATTTGAAACACTTCTTTAGGAGTCTGTTTTCAAGAAACACTTCTTGTTCCATTTCTAATATTTAAATGTAAGTGATGAAACTAAAATCCTTTTCAATTGAAAAAAAGTAAAAGACTGGCTTTTTTAACTCGGCAAAATCAAATCAATTTAGACATGTTGAGCTTACTGAGAATTAGTAGCAATCACTTATATTCAACAGTCAGCTAAAAGATACCTAACTGTTCAAATCTGATCATATTAAAAGGAGTTAGAAACTACTGAATTATAAAACCAAATGATAATGTGTTATCCAAGTACAATTTCAAATTCAACAGTAAGCTCTCTGGAGGTAACATCATCCACAGCGTTGGGTAAAATATCCTAGTTTGCCAACCCACTGGCATAAATACCAGCAGTTGCCAAATCTTCACTTAACACACAATAACCAAAAATGTAAATGCATCCAACCTATGAAAAGATAGTTCCTATCCACCCCATCAAGAATCTGGAAATAAAGACTAGTTTTTTTGACAAGGCGAAAAGTAACAGATCACAAGAGAGATGTAGAGTTTGTTTTAAAGAATAACTTAGCAGTAAGAGGATTAAATGATGTGACAATTCCAAAAGAAGATAACAGGAATTAGGAATTGGTCCAACAAAAGCAAAAGAGACCCAAGGAATCAGATGTAGCCAGTATTATCCAGGTGACACATTTAAGGGCAGGGCATATGATGCACAAAGAAGCCTATTCTTATCAAAGCAATTAATGCATCTGGTTAGATAGTAGCTTAATTACACTGGACACTAAAAACACCCAAGTAATCTCCCTGGCTCCAACTCTGCTTACCAAGCCACCTTCTTAAAGAACTGGCTTCCTCCTATAGCCAACCATGCCAATCACCAAACACAACCATCCTTGTCCATCTAAGAGTTGTTTTTTTTCCTTAAAAAAAAAAAATCAGCAGACTGCATTTTGGTTTTCATACATTAGCCTCTTGTTGTTCTGGTTAGTGTGGGGTCAATATCGCAACCCAGTCATCTGAATTAGTAATAACAGTCCATTTCAAGATCTACAAACTGAGAACCATGACTTGGGGAGTCCTATCATCCCCAGCAATAAAATAAATAGACCTTGTACTCTTTCTTGTAATGAAACATTAAGTGGAATTCCTAACTGCCCCACCAATAGTGTGTGCTCTCAAATCTCTGGGAGAAACACACACACGTACACTGTTTATCCCACCCTGAATCGTAAGTTTATAAAATAAAAAAACTTATGAAAAGTAAAAAAAAAAAAAAAAAAAAAATTCAGTAAGCTTATCTATGAGGCTTCTGGAAAACAAAATAGAAGTCAAGCACTGGTTTACAAGCAATGTCAGCCACTTGAGACACTTCTTTTAAATTTGTCTGGAAACACCTTTTTTCCTTTCCATCTAACAAAAAAGAACAATACGCAAAACCACACTTAACACTTAACAATCAATCATGTCATAAACCCCTACACCAAGAACCCTTAAAACATGGATTAAGACAATAAAAAGTGGAGAATATCAAGAAACTCTAAGCTTCTTATTTTAAGAACAGTGATAAAGACCCATGAATGCTCTGAAATCACTTTATTTTAAACTAGTTTTAAATCCCAGCTGTGTGAATTTTATCCTCTTCTGCTTTTTCTCACCTATAAAATGACCTATTGTGTACAATGAAAGAGATAACACATGTAATGACATAATACAATGCTGAAACAGTAAACAAAAAATCAGCTACTATCCTTCTTTAAAAGAGCAAAGTAGCAGCCAATAGACATCACAATACTAATGATTTGTCAATGAAATGCTCCTATGTCAAACTATCAGACACAGTGATCATGGCATCACCTAGGCCATGTCAGTACAAACCTCATTACATTAACTACCCCAACAAAACAACACTACAAGAACCATGATTACGGCTTTTCAGGAACTGCAGAGGCAAGACAATTATTGCCTGGACTTGTTTGACCATACCGCCACTAATATTTGAATAGGGATTTATCAATGAGGTTTACTGATGATCTCAACAGTAAAAGGGCTCTCCAGCAACTACTCTGTACTCAAAAGGAATAAAATATTAGGTAACTGCTTACACACTCAATACAGGCTGCACAGAGCATCTCTCAGAGCAGAAATTGAGCATCTTAAGAAATACTACTAACATGGATGTTACAACCCTGCAGACGTGATCAGTTTGATCATGTTATTATCTAGCATCTCTAACTTACAACACAAGCTTAGTTTCACTGGAATGCAGCCAATGCAGGAAACAAATGCTTGATATTTAACTAGCTGGTAAGACAGACCAACAACCAAAACAATTATTAATCTCTTAGTATATATCTCACCACACTCTCAGTACATTAAGAGAAGATGACATCAACTCAGAGAAAGGACCTTTCAGAACTAACTGAAATGAGGAAGTTTGATTGGTAACCACTGATAATCACAGGTGGTAGTCTTACTTGTAAAAATTTTGTATTTTTCACAACTTATGTAGTCTCTCCATACCACAGACTGTTGTTGTGAAATCAAGTGAGATAGTATATGAAGTGCTTTTATAAATACTAAGAACTATACTGATATTAAGTTATACTAAAGCTTTATTTAAAGCTTTAACTTATTAAAACATATCTTTAAGAAAAGCCAAGTTCATTCATTCCTGGTTAGCGTAATTCTTTTGGAAGGGCCTCAGAAACTACATACGTATCAAAAGTCACAGCCAGGTATGATGGCTGATTCCTGCAATCCCAGCACTTTGGGAGGTGAGGCAGGAGGATAGCTTGAGTCTAGGAGTTAAAGACCAGCCTGGAAAACATGTGACAGCCCATCTCTACAAAAACTTAAAAAAGCCAAGTGTGGTAGCACATGCCTGTGGTCCTAGCTATTCAGGAGGCTGACCTAGGTGGGAGGATCACCTGAGCCCAGGAGGTCAAGGCTGCAGTGAGCCATGATTGTGCCACTGCACTCTAGCCTGGGCAACAGAGCAAGATCCAGTCTCCAAAAAAAAAAAAAAAAAAAAAATCTACATTCAAAGTGCTTGTAAAAATAAAAAAAAGTCGAGGCTGGATGCAGTGGCTCATGCTTGTAACCCCAGCACTTTAGGAGGCTGAGGTGGGAGGGTCACTTGAGGAGTTCAAGACCAGCCTGAGCAACATGCCAAGACCCAATCTCTATTTTTAAACATTAAAATTAAAAAAAAAAGAATTAAAAAAGTTGAAAGTAGGCCTGTAATCTCAGCACTTTGGGAGGCTGAGGCGGGCGGATTGCTTGCGGTCAGGAGTTCAAGACCAGCCTGGACAACATGGTGAAAACCTGTCTCTACTAAAAATACAAAAATCAGCCAGGCGTAGTGGCCAGGCGCCTATAATCCCAGCTACTCGGGAGGCTGAGGTAGCAGAATCACTTGAACCCAGGAGGCGGAGGTTACAGTGAGCCAAGATCGCACCACTGCACTCCAGCCTGGGCGACAGAGCAAGACTGTGTCTCAGAAAAAAAAAAAAAAGTTGAAAGCAAACTGCAAACTAAGTATTCAACAATAAATTAGCTGTGGGCCTGGTGCAGTGGCCCACACCTATAATCCCAGCATATTGGTAGGCAGAAGGATCACTTGAGGCCAGGAATTCAAGACTAGCCTGTGCAACATAGTGAGACCCTGTCTCTTTAAATAAATAAATAAGCAAGCAAACAAGTTGTAGTACAACAATGTAAGCTCACCAAAAATAGCCATAATGACTACATGTAATATTTATAAAATAACATTAAATTTTAAAAGTAAAATACAAAATTGTACATGTAAAGACTGCTTCTCCTCATGCATTCTTCCCTTTTGGATCAAGACTGGAAAGAAAAATAAAAGCAGAAGAGTGTTTGTTAGTGCACTGGGATTGTGGATTACTTAATTCAAAATATACTTTTGTTATGATTTTCAACTAATTCTCTAATAAATAAAACTGAGATTATGGTGGTCTGAAATTCACTGCAAATAAATAAGGCATATCTCTCAAGCAGATACATTTCACTTCAACATAATTTCATTTTCTTTTTCTTTTTTTTTTTTGAGACGGAGTCTCGCTCTGTTGCCCAGGCTGGAGTGCAGTGGCATGATCTCGGCTCACTGCAAGCTCCACCTCCTGGGTTCACGCCATTCTCCTGCCTCAGCTTCCCGAGTAGCTGGGAATACAGGCACCTGCCACCACGCCTGACTAATTTTTTATATTTTTAGTAGAGACGGGGTTTCACCATGTTACTCAGGATGGTCTTGATCTCCTGATCTCGTGATCTGCCCACCTCGGCCTCCCAAAGTGCTGGGATTACAGACGTGAGCCATCACGCCCAGCCACTTCAATGTAATTTATTTATTTTTCTTTTTTTTTCTTTTTTTTTTTTTTGAGATGGAGTTTCTCTATTGTTGCCCAGGCTGGAGTGCAATGATGCGATCTCAGCTCACCGCAACCTCCGCCTCCTGGGTTCAAGCATTTCTCCTGCCTCAGCCTCCGGAGTAGCTGGGATTACAGGCATGCGCCACCATACCTGGCTAATTTTGTATTTTTAGTAGAGATGGGGTTTCTCCATGTTGGTCAGGCTGGTCTTGAACTCCTGACCTCAGGTGATCCACCCGCCTCGGCCTCCCAACGTGCTGGGATTACAGGCATAAGCCACTGCGCCTGGCCACTTCAATACAATTTCAAAAGGGCAAAAGTTAATAGCAATTTTAAGAAGAGAGCTCATGTCCTAAATTTCAAATATTTTTAAGCAAGCTGATACAGGCTTAGCATCCTTAATCCAAAAAAATGCAAAATTTGAAATGCTCTAAAATCCAAAACTTTTTGATTGCCAATGTGACAGTCAAAGGAAATGCTCACTGGATCATTTCAGATTTCACGTTTCCAGATTGGGCTGTTCAGCTAGTAATTATTATGCAAATATTCCAAACATCAAAAAATTCCAAAACATTTCTGGCCCCAAGTATTCTGGGTAAGAGATACCCAACCTGTAATAAACTTCCAACTCATTTTGAAAATTGTTGCTTAAATAAGGAATGTTAAAAATGTTGAGTGTTCCATCACAAGCCAGTTTTTTTAATTAAAAATAAGTATATAAAGCAAAGAATTTTTAAGTTTTCACCTTCTCTTTCAGTGAAGGAATAAGATCTTCCAAATTCTCGTTTTGCATTTATATATATGTATATATTCATGGTATTAAAAATAATCTACATATAAGCAGAGTGAAGTGCATCCACTTTAATCAGTTACTCAATACTTACATGTAAAGATGTTAAATGTTAAAATTTGTGTTCTCATTAATTTAATTCAAATCACCAAAAAAACTGTCTAAGAATCAACATCTCCAATAATTTTCTTCATATTTCTCTACTAGGTATCATCACAATCTGGCATGCAGTAATTACTGCTTAAAATTTTTACCCTGTTGTTTCAAATGGTTACTACTGAAAACAGATTACCATAGACATGGTGGTGTCTTAACAAAATGCCTCTTTTGGCTGAAATCTAATATACTGCTTTTAAAAAAAGCAAACTTTAATCTGTTGCATAATTATAATTATGCAGTATATAAATTAACAGATTTTTTAAAGGTTTTCCCAGGTTATTAAGCACCTTTTATAAGCACTGTTGATACCTGTATCTAATGCCTTTAAATAACACTTCCTCCACTAAGGATGAAATCAAGGAGATCGCAGAGTATAGGACAAGATGAGGTAATCTGATCTTCTCTCCCACAACTGGGAAATCAACACTGCTTTTCTGACTATTGAAAAAATAAATTTCAGTATTTGAAGTACTTGCTGATGCCCAAAAGTACTACTTGCACACACCCTAAAATGCACAGCCTGCATTAGCCACTATTGGAAAAAACAAAAAAAGCAGTAAAAGACATTCTTTGCCCTGAAGGAACTTAAAAGATTAAAAAGAAAAACCAGAGTCAAACGGACACGTAATTTTAAGATAAGCACACTGCCTAATAATGGAGTATAGACTGCTAAAATTCACAACCTACTACAGATGAAGAAAGGAAGAGTAACCAACCACACCAATGAAGAAATGAACCTGGGATAGGATGGTCAAGAAGTATCTTAAAGAAGGGGACAGAATTTAGAGCAAGCTTGTCCAACCCGCAGCCCAGAACTGCTTTGAATGTGGCCCAATACAAATTCATACACTTGCTTAAAACATTATGAGATTTTATTTTGCGATTTTTTTCTTCTTTTTTTTTTTTAGTTCATCAGCTATCACTAGTGATAGTGTATTTTATGTGTGGCCCAAGATCACATTCTTCCAATGTGGTCCAGGGAAGCCAAAAGACTGGACAACCCTGATTTAGAGTGAGTGAGACAGTGCAAAGGACCTTCTACAATGAACCAAGGTAGGCAGAAATGAAAGCAAGTGGAGCAGGTGCCCACCTGGAAACTGGCCATCAACACAGGGTAGCAATAAGAAGAGGGTGAAAAATCACTAATGTCAGCTGTCAGTGAGACTACAAAAAGCACCCCTAGGGCTCTAATCCAATAGGCAACAGTAGTAACATTATAAAATTTATCTTTAAAAGATTGATCTGACAGTCCTCCATAAAATGGGGTGAAGGAAAGCAAATGAATATTGGGAGTCTAAGCAAAGAGGCCAATGTAGTAATCCAGATGTGAAATGGTAAGAAAAGGAACTGTGGAAGTAGGGGCAAGGACAAAATTGCTGCTGAGAGACTCTTTTCAAAGCAAGTGTTTTTGTTTTTGTTTTTTTAAGCTATATAATTTTACCAGGCGCGGTGGCTCATGCCTGAATTACCAGCACTTTGGGAGGCCGAGGTGGTGGATCACCTAAAGTCAGGAGTTCAAGACCAGCCTGGCCAACATGGTAAACTCTCATCTCTGCTAAAATACAAAAATTAGCTGGGTGTAGTGGCACATGCCTGTAATTCCAGCTACTTGGGAGGCTGAGGCAGGAGAATCATCTGAGCCTGGGAGGTGGAGGTTGCAGTGAGCCGAGATCTCGCCACTGCACTCAAGCCTGGATGACAGAGAGAGACTCCATCTCAAAAAAATAAAAATGAAAAAAATTAAAGGCTGGCGAGGCGTGGTGGCTCACGCCTCTAATCCCAGCACTTTGGGAGGCCGATGGATCACCTGAGGTCAGGAGTTCGAGACCCAGCCTAACCAATGTGGTGAAACCCCGTCTCTACTAAAAATACAAAAAATTAGCCAGGTGTCATGGCATGCACCCGTAGTCCCTGCTACTTGGGAGGCTGAGACAGGAGAATTGCTTGAACCTAGGAGGCGGAGGTTGCAGTGAGCCAAGATCATGGCACCGTAATCCAGCCTGGGTGACAGAGCAAGGCTCCATCTCAAAAATTTTAAATAAAGTAAAACAAAATAAAAGCTATAAATTTCAGAAGAGTCATTGCCCATTATGATGATCAAGAATGAATTCACTAAGTATACATAAGCCAGTCTATCATTGGAGTTCTTTTAATTAGGAATCTATTCTGCAGAGACAGCTGAGTGCAAAAGCTAAATGAAAACAGAATCCATTAAGTCTCCTGTGGGGTACATGAAGAAAAAGAAAATTCAAAAATAAAAAATAAAAACACAAACAGATCCAAATGTGTGCATATAGTATCAAAAGTTTAAGTTTTATGCATTCAAAGGGTATTGAGGCTGCCCTGAAGATCCTCTATAGGCTGCTGGGCGACAGTAAGAGCAAAAAGAGCAATCAAGTTGAGATAAGAATTTGGTAGCTTTTAAATTTTAGGACAACCAGGTCGGGTGTGGTGGCTCATGCCTGTAATCCTAGCTCTTTGGGAGGCTGAGGCGAGCGAATCGCTTGAGCCCAGATTTTCAAGACCAACCTGGCCAATATGGTGAAACCCCGCCTCCATTAGAAGTACAAAATTAGCCAGGTGTGGTGGCAGGCACCTGTGATCCCAGTTACTTGGGAGGCTGAGGCACGAGAATCACTTAAACCCAGGAGATGGAGGTTGCAGTGAGCCAACATAGTGCCGCTGCGCTCCAGCCTGGGCAACAGGGCAAGACTCTGTTTCAAAAACATAAATAAATAAACAAATTTTAGGACAACCACAAATTAGATATTAGATAGAATTGCAAACTTGATGACTACCATTAAACTTCAAAACGCACAGGGGTTTCCTGTTTTCTGCACACACCAAAGAATACAACCCTGTCTGTCAACGACTTCATCCTAGAAACCAAGCACATCAAAAGATATCATTCATACTTTCATAAAGCAAGTCCATTAAAGAACATTCAGAAATACTGTTAGCACCTTACACTCCATGTTATTTTGTCATGAATTAACCTGAACAGGCTCCCATACACGTGCCCTTCTGAATCTGAAAGTAAAGGTTTCTTTATACCTTCACATTTTGTTAATGGAACAGAGCCAAGAAACTTCTCTTCTCTACTGTCTTCATAAAACCTGACAGACTGACAGTAAAGTATGTTGATAAAATGATGAAATTCCCAGAGTGAATCGGGCTTTTCTGCATGATACAGGAACAGCATATAAGGGATGTTATGTTATCTACAGGTTACCTATAAATAAGGTCACGTGTTTTTACATATGAATAAACTACACAAGGTTTTTTTTTTTTAGATTCAGAGAGCAAATGTGCAGGTTTGTTACATGGCTATAATATATTGTGTGATGCTGAGATTTGGGCTTCAACTGAACCTGTCACCCAAATAGTGAACATAGTTACCCAATAAGTAGTTTTTCAACCCTTGCCTCCCTCCTTCCCTTTCCCTTTTTGGAGTCCTCAGGGTCTACTGTTCCCTTCTTTATGTCTATGTGTACCCAATGTTTAGTTCCCACTTACAAGTGAGAACATGTGGTATTTGGATTTCTGTTCCAGTGATTAATTCACTTAGGATAATGGACTCCAGCTGCACCCATGTTGCTGCAAAGGACATAATTTCATTCTTTTTTTATGGGTGTAGGTGTACCACATGTTCCTTATCCAATTCACTGTTGCTGGGCACCTAAGTTGATTCCACGTCTGTGCTATTGTGAATAGTGCTGCAATAAACATGCAAGCGCAAGTGTCTTTTTGGTATAACAATTTATTTTGACTACATGGTTTGATCTATAGCATAACCACATTCATTTTATAATAGGTATTCACTTTAATAATTACATATTACAGTACTTGTGAGCCCAGTATACAAAAGATAAGCTCCAGACCCCTCAGGATACTGTAAAGTTCACAAATACAATGATGAAAACATCTAGATTGCTTCATGACCCCCTCACACCCCCAAAGCAGGAAGCAAACAGCCCGACTGAGATAACAAAGAATACTCCACATCAAGATGGGACCAAATACTCTAATAAACCCACACCCAGTTAGCCTCAGGGAATTTTAAATTTTTGATCTGAAAAAGACAAGGATCTCAACCCTGAGTTCCCCTTTTCCTTCATTATAGGAAACAAATATTTCATAGATATGCCTGCTATGTATATAGGGAATACAACACAGAAAATAAACTTTTGCTACATGCTTCACCTCAATGAGAACCACATCATGCACCAATTAATCAAAATACAATGGATTTGCTTTGATGTTATGGTTCCTTATTAGCAAGGTTACAGTAACCAAGAAGGAATTACACACAACATAGTTTAATACCAGCTTGAGAAAGCAATGGAACAAAAGTAATTCTATTTTTCTAAACATCATTATGTCTGGTTACTGTATATATAATGAGGATATATTTCCATGCTCCAACAGATGGCCCAGAGAAAGTACCATCGATCTGTAACAACGTAACAACTATATTAAACAAAAGATCCTTTATTTAAAAATGCCTTTATATATCGGATTCAATTTGGGTAACAGCACTGCTGATTTATTGTTTGTCTTCTATATTTTTGCAAAAGTAGCTAATGAATAGCTTTTAAATGTACATATTTGCAGACAGCCTGAATATATGCTTTCAGTTTTGTCTGTTCTTTATTCTCTCCCTGTACACTCCAACATCCCTGAGAGCAGAAAAGTCATGTGAACAGAAAATACAACCAATATTTACTAAATTGAACTGAGCTCCCTTGGGGGATAGACAAGGATACCAATTTCTGATGTAAAAGGAAAAATAAAGAGGAAACTATGCTTAGGAAAAAATATTTACTGATATGATTCTTTCAATACAATATATTTAGCAGCTATTGTTTACAAAGCACATTATTAGCTGAAGCCCCACCCTCAACAAACTTTTGTATGAGAAAAAAGAAAACATCACCATATATACACAAATCATTATGTATAAAACAAACTGGGCCATGATTGTTGAAACAGTACTTTAGAGTCCAGCATGCAAAAGATAAAGCCCAGACCATCTGGGTATCATCTGGGGCTTTGATAAGCCACAGATCATCATTTGTATCATCTTTGTAAGAATACTACAAATCACTTGCTACTTGAATTCCCCTTCACAGCTTCTAATGGGAGGGAGCAAAAAAGCTTTAATAGGGGAGCTGATATCTGAAGCTAAATCTTGAATAAGTAGACTGTGAATATGCAGAAACCAACCAGAAAAACTCAGGATTTGAGTTATAAGAGATCTGGGTTCAAACAGAGGCTTAATGATTACATTAACTTCTCTAATCCTTGTTCACCCCATCTAAAAAAAAAAGGCATCATAATATTGCAGGACCACCCTAAAAACTGTAACATACATGAGGTGATTAGCATAGTTCTGGGAAAATTGTATACACTCAATATTTTGTAGCTATTATTACTTCCGAGCCTAGAAAAAAAAAAAAAACAGAATTTGAAGATAATCCCCATCTTGACACTTAAGAATTTAGCTGGAGTCATTTAATCTTAGGGCTCATTCTGCTCATCTAAAAAAAAATGGGAATAATACCTCTCAAAAACCTACTGGGAGATTCATATCGATAATGATATCATATAGATCATTATATTGAAAAGTGTTACCATTTATTAGTCTTCCCTCCAATAAAGCATGCTAGTATGGATAAAAGAGTAACATTTTAGCCAAAGGAGGTTGATGAAAGGGAAGAAATTTAATGAAGACAAAGTAAGCAGCATGTGGATCTTCTGCTGCAAGAGTATGATTTGCTGCATTCAAACATTCCAAGACAGCTTAACATCTACATACAGTAGTATGTTCCTGGTCTTCCCAGTGCAGGTTAGAAGACAGACAGAAGAATGGGTGGGGTTTGCACATTGGTCTCAAAGTCAGGACAGACCTGGGAACTACGTTCCAAATCAGTTATGACCACATTTCCTGGGTTAGAAAACACCTTCTCCTATCTCGTTCCTCAAAGTGCCCAATCCCAATCCCAAAATTATTATTTTGGGTCCCAGGAACTTCCTCAAACAATACTGATAAAAAGGTCACTTTACCTCTAACAGTCATTAACCTAAAATAAGCCATCTACCAAGATCTTGTTCCTCCAGACCACTTGGCGTGGTTAGCTGTTTTTTCTAAAATAAACATTTCAAGAACAAGATGTCAAAAAAATACCCAAAAAACATAAAGTTAAGGGAACTAGGGTGTTTTTACTATTCCTATTGTACGTGAAAGCTACATTTTGGCTGGGCGCAGTGGGTCACGCCTGCAATCCCAGCGCTTTGGGAGGCAGAGGCAGGTGGATCACTGGAAGTCACGAGTTTGAGACCAGCCTGGCCAACATAGTGAAACCCTGTCTCTATTAAAAAAAAATACAACAAATTAGCTGGGAATGGTGGCACACACCTGTAGTCCCAGCTACTTGGGAGGCTGAGGCAGGAGAATTGCTTGAACCCAGGAGGTTGAGGTTGCAGTGAGCTGAGATCGCACCACTGCACTCCAGCGTGGGTGACAGAGTGAAACTCCATCTCAAAAAAAAAAAAGGCTACATTTTGAGGAAAAAGGGGAATTAATTACACTGCTTGGTCACATATTTTTATATTAATATACCTCAAGGCATTATTAATTTTTCATCCCTTCAGCAAGAAAGTCTATATGATTTTGCTGGCAGACATCTTTCCAAAACTCAGTCCATTTTGGAGTCAACTGTGCTGCTTTTATGGCACCCTAATTGCAAAGAACTGCCAGTGTTAATTTAAGGTAGCCCTCCCAGAGCTGTGGATTCTAGAAGTACTTTTAGCTATTCAAAAGCCTCCAATTCTATTAAGACACTGTTTGCCATAATAGAAAGATGTGGGAAAAAAATTTAACAGATTTAGTCTCCATACTGGAGTCAGGCTAATACTTGCCTTGACTCCAGTATTACCATCCCACGAACTCTGATGGACACTTCAGTGTCTTGGGCAGCTGCAGACAGTGAATAAGTCACTTTAAAGAACCCAACGAAGCCAGGCGCGGTGGCTCATGCCTGTAATTCCAGCACTTTGGGAAGCCAAGGTGGATGGATCACGAAGTCAAGAGATAGAGACCATCCTGGCCAACATGGTGAAACCCCGTCTACTAAAAATACAAAAATTAGCTGGGTGTGTGGTGGTGCACATCTGTACTCCCAGCCACTCAAGAGGCTGAAGCAGGAGAATCGCTTGAACCCGGGAGGCGGAATTTGCAGTGAGCCAAGATCGCGCCACACTTCAGCCTGGTGACAGAGCGAGACTCTGTCTCAAAAAAAAAAAAAAAAAAACCCCAATGAAAAGTTACAAAATCTCTAAATCACAGGGGGGAAAGTCAATCTAAAAGGATATCTTTTAGACACTCTCTACTATATCCTAAAAAGGCCAGAACAATTCCTCTTTTCTATCTTTTTAAAGAGAGAAAGAAGGGCAAGCTCCCAGAATCTTAGACCTGAAAAGGTCCTAGGAAACTATCTAGTCCAACATCTTTGTCTTACGGGTAGAAAAAAGTAAGTGCAAAGAAGATGAATGTTTGAACCTAGGCTCTAAGAAGTTGTGGCGTCAGAGTTCTGGCCCAATCCAATGCTACCTCTATCCCACCAAATTTTGCCTTTCTTTGGATTAACAGCTCACCCAAATCACTATCCAATTCCTCCCTCTATAAGCCACTCTGCTATCCCACACCTATGGATCAAGTACTATATAATGTCTAATGAGAATATAAAGCTACAATTTAAATATATCTCAGGTTATCCTAATTCCTGTGAATAAGGTAGGATTTGTTATCACTCTGTATATAGGAGCACTTTCTAGATTTCCTTTGTCAGGTTTACAAACTTGTTATAATCAAGGGTATGTTTTTCTATGCTTCAGCTTTCTAAGACAAAGGTGAAGAGTCACATATCTAAATACAATCCATTTGTTGTAGAAATAAGCTAGTATTCACTACTATTTTAACTTCCCTGGAAGTTGTCAAGTTCACTACACATAAAACATTAAAGAATCTTAAGGGAAAAAAAGGTCCTTGATTTTTAAAAGTTAAAAAACCAATTATGCGAACAAAGTACCTTTCTGTCAACCTCTCAAAGTACTTTCCAACTACAGCTTCTTTTTTAAAAATCCATCCTTTTCTAGGTCATGAACAGTAACAATGCTGCCAACCTAAAGGTGGAGCAAACAGGTTATGCAAGATCATAAACCAAACCAATTTAGAAATAGAGCCCAGAAGCCCAAGGTCAGTGAGCCTTCCTCTCTACTACAAACATCCTTTTCTAGAATCATCGATTAGCAGACTGATCTCTTCATATATAAATAAAAGCTGCTAAAGTATGTGCCTTTAAACTTCTCAGGGCTTTAAGCCAAATGAAAGGGGCTAACAAGGAAAGTAGACAAAATTTTTAAATAATTTGTGGCCTTGATCCTAAGATCTTTTCCTATCTTCTTTTTTATATTAGCTTTGTAGAATAGGAAGCACATAAAGCACTTGTACTATGAGTCCTTCAGCTAAGAACAGCTTGGAGAGTGATATTTTTAAGTAGTCACCTCTTAGCAAGATTTCTTCTAAGAAATACTCTAAACCTTTCAAAGTGACACCAAGAGGCCAACAGTGGCTTTGAAGAAAAAAACGTAACAAGAGTCAACCAGCACTAATTTTCAACTACTAGAAATCAATTACTTTGAATGGAACCAATTCTATTTGAATTCTAAAGACTCCATACATTCTTTACATAACTAGCATTTACCCTAATGACTCACACAGATGCACACGCGCATAGGTGCCCACACATCCACAAAGAAACCAAATAACTCAAACGAAGATATGGTGCCTAGCTTAAAAGTCATGCAATTTACTTCTAGTGTTTATATGGGTAAATACTGGTTTGTTTTTTGTCTTTTTTTTTTTTTTTTTTTTTTTTGAGACGGAGTCTCACTCACTCTGTTGCCCAGGCTGGAGTACAGTGGCACTATCTGGGCTCAGTACAACCTCCACCACCTGGGTTCAAGTGATTCTCCTGCCTCAGTCTCCCAAGTAGCTGGGACTACAGGCGCACACCATCACGCCCAGCTAATTTTTGTATTTTTAGTAGAGATGGGATTTCACTATGTTGACCAGGCTGGTCTCAAACTCCTGACCTCAGGTGATCTGCCCACCTCGGCCTCCCAAAGTGCTGGCATTCCAGGCGTGAGCCACCACGCCCGGCCAGTAAATACTGTATTTATACACACTCCCTCTCAGAGATGTTTTATTGCTAAAAAGGAAGAAAATTTAATGAAGTTAATTAGAAGCTGTTCTTTTTTATTATAAAAGCTTATCTTCCACCGGGCACGGTAGCTCAAGCCTGTAATCCTAGCACTTTGGGAGGCCAAGGCAGGCGACTGCCTGAGCTCAGAAGTTCAAGACCAGCCTGGGCAACACAGTGAAACCCTGTTTCTACTAAAATACAAAAATAAAATTAGCCGGGCACGGCGGCATGCACCTGTAGTCCAAGCTACTCAGGAGGCTAAGGCAGGAGAACTGCTTGAACCCAGGAGGCGGAGGTTACAGTGAGCCGAGATTGTGCCACTTCACTCTAGCCTGGGTGACAGAGTGAGACTCAGTCTCTTAAAAAAAAAAAAAAGAAAAGGAAAAAAAAGCTTATTTTCATTTTTTCTTTTGTGCTGTTCTCCCGTTGCTGCAAAAAAAATTCTCTTAATCTGTACCTATCCAAAGCCTAACTAAACTAGAAGATGCTTTTTAAGGAATATCTCTCCTCCTCCATTAAAGTCTAACTAGTCCTGTCAATAATGATCCTGCCTTCTCTGAACTCCAACCATACATAGAAAAAAATTTACTCTTTCTGTTTATATGTATATTCATTGTTTCCTTAACTAGCTAAAGAAAGAACTCCTTGAATACAGAAACCTCACTCCACACTTAGGAAATGTTTTACCTCTCAATTATTTTACAAACATTAACTTCATTTACCCTAATTAAGGGCACATGCCTTGCAGTGGGAGGAAGCCAGGGAAGAATCCTATCACTTACTAGATGTGTTACCTTTGGCAAATTATTTCATCTCTCTTGGCCTTTTTCCTTATCCGGATAATAGAACTGTCCTCATAGAGTTATTAATCAGATAATGCATAAAAGCCCCTTAGCATCTACCTATGATTGATAAATGGTAGTTGTTACTGTTACTTGTGAATAGTGGGGAAAGGAAGAAGAATGACACAGCATTACTGATGGAATATACTGTTTTGTTATTAACATATGCCTATATTCATGCCCACGGAATTATATACATATACCACAAAAAAAAAAAAAAAAAGGCGTTTCTGGAAGAAGAAAAAAATGATAAAAAAAGAATTTAACACTGTCAACTTGTCATTTAAATAAACTTTACCCTCTACTGAAATTGTTTGCTATTCAATTAAAATTAAGCATTCAGTGATTATAAACTGTTGCTCACAAAACAATAATAGGGCATTATTCTTATCTTGTATCATTAATTTTTTAAAAATAAAAACAGGCTGGACACAGTGGCTCATGCCTGTAATCTCAACACTTTGGGAGGCCAAGGCAGAAGGATCACTTGAGCCCAAGATTAGTCTGGACAACATAGTGAGACTCTGTCTCTATTTTTATAAAAAATTCAAAAAAGAAAGAAAAACACCTGGAATTGGATTTTTGGTGGAATACACCAGCTTAGAATTATAGGAGTAAGAAAGACAATACATATAGTTTCTCTTTCTATACTTAATATCCAACAAATATGTTAACTTTCTGTTCAAATCTGCTCCAAAAACTTAGTGACAAAGTCTTTTAGACTTTCTAAACCATACAGGGTTTATTGATTTGCATTGTGTCAGTGACATTAGGCAGGCACAGGAAACACAAGGACATCTCCCAATCATCTCCTAAAGCTCTAGGAGGAAAACAGACCAAAAATGCATGAACTCAAGATGATAGGACACTGGACTCTGTGGCCACAAGAAGATTCAGAAAGTTGGAAACAAAATCTTGTAACAAAGAAAGCAAGGATCTCAGTTTAAACATCAACAATTTTTAACTGTTCACTGCCTAACCACAAAGGCAATCAAGGAATATTTGCTTCAAACTCAGAAGAGTAATTATCCTAATTTTGACCTCAGAACCTAGCACAGTGCCTGGGGATCAAACATTTGCTGAATCAAAGAACAAATGTATCTAATAAATGGTATAAATGAGGACCCTAGAATAAAGTAATTCTCCCTCTTGTGAAATATTAAAATCGATGTAGGAGCTATCAAATATTAGATACACAAAAAATGAAATGGAAGAGAAAACCTAACGTCACTTTCCAGAACAAGAGAGCCACAACAAATGTCACTTGTGGGCCTGTGGTATTTTAAGTAGTTAATTCAAACTGTATATTCTACCTTTGTCATCAATACATGCTTATTGTCACAGCTACAATAGCCAGCAGTTGGCTACATGTTAGATATCTATACTCCCCTTCCTTTTTAAGACTTACAGCAACCCTCTCTATTGATGTAATGGATAAAAGTAAATTTTGTTTCTGCAAATTTTAAACATTACAGTCAAAGCAAAATTCTTATTTCTGAATTTCCTGTAATGGATGACTGGCTCAGCTCTCTACCTTCTGTAATTCCTCCACTAGAAACCTAACAACTTCCCTTTCACAATGGAGCTCTAAACAACTTCCTCAAAAAAAGGCACTACTCTAAAAATAGGTTACTGACATTTTCTGATTAGCAGCCAATCTAAGACTCCCTTTGCCATTGGCGGGGGGGGTGGGTTGGGGGAAAACCTAGCCACTGGAAAATGAAGTAAAGGTTGGCCTTTTATTTAATGCATATAAAATTAAAATACTTCTTAAACTTAAAATGTCTCAATTTATAGCTGACATTAATATTCAATAATTTGTGCTCACATTTTGGCTACTTTGTTTTGCTTTTAAGACATTAGGTTATGGTTAACATTCTTCTTTTAATGACATAGTTTTGGCAAAATTCTCCAGCATCCCGTTCCTATCATGAGAATGGCAACAAGGAAAAGCAAGCACATATTTCTGGAGACTAGATTTGGACACATTTGATGAAAGACAACTCCAACCTTCCCTTAAAAACAGACCCACTTTTCTGACACACCAGTTCACTTACCTCTCCCATCGCTCTTCCCTCCAGAGCAAGTGCTTGAAAATCATGATTCAGTTCATCCATGGAACGCACCTATTGTTTAGAATAGAGAAGGAAAAATCTTCAAGTCAGCATCTTGAATTTTACATACACATTACACACAATTGAAAATTTATTCTATGTTTACTTTCAGACATTGGCAAAGACAATAGCAATGATCAAGTGACTAAGAGATTAAACATTCACTTACCTTTAACCATCAGGGTTCAGCAATGACCCCTACTTTCTCCCCTCCCATTCCCTTATATTTTCAAAACATGAAAAACACAAAATCCAAATGAATGAAAAAGCAAATTCCATCATGAGAATTATGTTAGCTATTTCTCATACTTTTTAATTTAATAAGACCAACATTCTGAAGAGCAATGATGCCTTCAAGATGACTATGTGACCTAATGAGTCAAAAGATCATGGCTCCTCCCCAGTTGTGAACAGTTAAGTTAAATTAGGGAGTGCATTTGATTCAATCCACTATTTCTCTTTGGTAAACCTCAGGAAAGGGGGATGCAAACCCTATAATGAAGTATCCCAATATCTCTCCATATTGGGAGATCCCTGGGGGCTCCCCAAACCTAACCAGGGGGAGAAAATAACATGTCACAAGAATCCCTCCAAACCTTACTAATTGTTAAATGTAATCCTACCTACAGCATAACAATCTCTTTAGGCTTCAATTTACCTATCTATCTCCAAAGCCATTCCTACAAGGTAATAACATCAAGGATGATGTGTGAAATAGATTATTCAAAACAGTTATAATTCAACTAGTTTACTGGTCTTCTTTGTTATGAGCAGCAAGCATGTCTCTGCTGTCTGAGGCTAGAGTCACCACCTACCCCTGGGCAAGGGATTCAAGAGTACATTCCTTTGTTTATTAAAGACGTAGGCTCCCAGCCTGGGGAACATGGCAAAATTCCCCTCTCTACAAAAAATATAAAAATTAGTTGGGCTGTGGTGGCACACACCCAGATACTCAGCAGGGTGAGGTGGGAGGATCACGTAAGCCCAGGAGCTAGAGGCTGCAGTGAGCCGTGATCGCACCACTGGACTCCAATCTAGGTAACAGAGGGAGATCCTTTTTCAAAAAAAAAAAAAAAAAAAAGGCTGGGCGCAGTGGCTCAAGCCTGTAACCCCAGCACTTTGGGAGGGCGAGGCAGGAGGATCACTTGAGATCAGGAGTTCGAGACCAGCCTGGCCAACATGGTGAAACCCTGTTATCTACTAAAAATACAAAAATTAGCCGGGCGTGGTGGCAGGCGCCTATAATCTCAGGAGGTTGAGGTGGGAGAATCACTTGAACCCGGGAGGCAGAGGTTGCGGTGAGCCAAGATCGCGCCATTGCACTCCAGCCTGGGTGACAGAGCGAGATTCTGTCTCAAAAAAAAACAAAACAAAAAAAAGATGTAGGCTTTGCTCTTCTGCCTACATGAAAAACAATGTTGACTACCTGAAGCAGGAGTCTCTCAAACTCCCTCCTCTGATCTCCACTACCTTCCAATGTCTGTTTACAATTTCTACCACTGGATAAACGTATTGAGGGTCAAGTTAGGGCCAAGCAATGGAGAAAAGAGTATGGAGAACATGAGCCAGAATACAATTAAGAGAATCAGTTTAAGAATTTTATTTGAGGCAAGATCACTAAAGCCCAGGAGTTCAAGACCAGCCTGGGCAATGTAGTAGAGTACCCTGTCTCTACAAACAAAAATTTAAAAAATAAAAATAAAAATAAAATAGCTGGGCACGGTGATGCACGCCTATGGTCCCAGCTACTCCGGAGGCTGAGGTGGGAAGATAGCCTGCACCCGGGCAGTCGAGGCTGCAGTCAGCAGAAATCACGCCACTACACTCTAGCCTGGGTGAGAGTGAGACAGTGTCCGGAAAAAAAAAAAAGGATTTAATAACATGCTGCCTAGCTGCCTATACATTATATCACCTAAGAATCTTAACTGTCAGAACTAACACTGCAAAAAGATACAGTTGCATTATTGTTTTCAGTCACATATTTTAAAAACGCACAGCCAATACTATGCTACAAATGAGACACACCGTATCACTAAGATACAAAAGATTGGGAATGCTCACTAAAAATTGAAATTTATAAAACTCAAAGTAAGAGTAAAGTTCAGTTAGTTACATGAGCACAAAGAGACAGACAAGGCTTATAATACTGTGGTGTTTTAAAAAGGCCCTGAAATAGGAGCTATGATCATTTTACATGGTGTTTAGATTATTAGATGAGCACAATAAATAGACTCATAAACTGTATATAATAAAAATAAAGGAGGGTAGGGAGGATGAAGACAGGATGTTAGCTAGGAACTCTACACGTTATATGAAATGATAAACCTTTAGGCCAGCATTAACATTGACAAAGCATGTAAATCAAATGCACAAAGCTCTGTATCTAGCTCTTTCTGTGGAATCTAATTATACATTTAAATAGAGCTAGACATTTCTTGGAAATCCAAAAACCTACAAATACAGTTTCAACCAGAAATATTAAAAATTCTATTTATATGTCCCAAGGAAACTAAGTAGGAGGAGTAAGAAAAAAAGTATGCACTGTGTATATTTATGTAGCCATCACAACAACCTCACAGTGATTATTCCCATTTTAGAGATTAGGAAACTGATCCTCCAAGAAATGCCTTCTCCAACCATTGTTAGGTAGGGAAAAGCATAGGAGGAAACTAAGGCTCAGAGCACTTACATGGCACTGCCAGGATCTTAATCCAAGTCTTCCCATTTAAAGTTCAAGGCCCTTTCTGTACCACCAAGCTGCCCCCTGGCAGTCAAAGGAAGTTTCCACCTCCAATATTCTATTATTTTACTACATAAAACTGCTGTCAGTTTCTGCTGTGGGCTTCGATGAATGTGCTCTCTTGGTCTTGCCTTTGCTTTTCACTATCTCTTCCCCTACCTTCAAAACTTGCTCATCCTGCCCTTGTAGCATTTTCCATTCCTTTCTACACTATCTTCCTGCCACCATTCTCTTTCACCATCTATTTACACTCTTTTGGATATGCGCACTCTCGCTCCCTGCCTCCCCTGGCCCTCTCTCTCTCTCTCTCTCTCTGGTTTCTTCTCTCCCTCTCTTTTTCTCTCTACTCACCCTCCCCACCTCCCTCTTTCAGGGTATCTCCCGCTGCCTCATTTATATAAGAACCACACTCTTTCCCTATCCCTGTATACCACCCTCCTGCCCTACCTCTTACAGTCAATTGTTGAGAAAGGAGGCTCAACTTCTAAGAGTTTTGCTAGTGCAGAAACTACATTTTAAACCAGTCACCCACGTTGACTACATGAGATAAACCAAGTCATTCTCTCACAAAAGTTTTTAACTATTTGGGAACTTATTTATTCATACTGGGAGCTGTATTTTGTACAGTCACTGCCACAGGGCAGACTCTCCAGACAAAATTCTTCCTAGGAAACAAAACTAATACTCAGAAAAAGATGCTCAAGAATCAAGAGAAATCAAAAAATGAAGGCACTGTAAGAAATATTTGTAAGAAATATTTTAGAAGGGAGAAGTATTTTCCATGATAAAGGAGAAAAGCTAGCTGTCAATTATAATCAGAGTAAATGCTCCCATCAAGGTAGAATAAGCCTTTCAAGTTCCTTCTACACTTCCCTTTTCTCTAGCAATCTATTTGAGTCTCAGGTTAATGTTTTGTTTTGTTTTTTGAGACTCCTGCTCTGTTGCCCAGGCTGGAGTGCAGTGGCGTGATCTTTTTTTTAAAAAAAAAAAAAAAGGTTTTTAATCAAATAGATAAACCTGGAACTACATTACCACATTTTGGAAAATGAAAAATTAAAAGTATCACTTTACAAATCTTTTGGCATGTGCCTGTAGTCCCAGCTACTCATGAGGCTAAAGCAGGAGGACTGCTTGAGCCTCGGAGATGGAGGCTGCAATGAGCCAAGGTAACACCACTACACTCCAGCCTGGGCCATAGAGGGAGACCCTGTTTCAAAAATAAAATAAAGTGGGCCAGGCGTGGTGACTCACACCTGTAATCCTAGCACTTTGGGAGGCTAAGGCGGGCAGATCACCTGAGGTCAGGAGTTCAAGACCAGCCTGGCCAACATGGCAAAACTCCGTCTCTACTAAAAATACAAAAATTAGCTGGGCGTGATGGCGCATGCCTGTAGTCTCAGCCACTCGGGAGGCCGAGGCAGGAGAATCGCTTGAATCCTGTCTCTAAAAAAAAATACAAAAAAAGAAAAAAAAAAACGTTATTTTCCTTGACTACAGTGTAGGCTGGCAGAAATAAAAGGTGGAAATCTAAATACAGGGCTAGGAAGAGAATTAGGAGACCATATTGGTTATCGAGCCAAAAAATAAAGGAAGTTTAGAAGACGACCTTACTGATTTTTCCTTTTTTTTTTTGAGATGGAGTCTGGCTGTTGCCCAGGCTGGAGTGCAGTGGTGCGATCTCACCTCACTGCAACCTCCACCTTCCAGGCTCAAGTGATCCTCCCATCTCAGCCTCCTGAGCAGCTGAGACTATAGGTATGTGCCACCACATCCAGCTAATTTTCTTTTTTTTTTTTTTTTTTTTTTTTTTTGAGACGGAGTCTCGCTCTGTCGCCCAGGCCGGACTGCGGACTGCAGTGGCGCAATCTCGGCTCACTGCAAGCTCTGCTTCCCGGGTTCACGCCATTCTCCTGCCTCAGCCTCCCGAGTATCCAGCTAATTTTCATATTTTTTGAAGAAGACGAGGTTTTACCATGTTGCCCAGGCAGGTCTCGAAGCCCTAAGCCCAAGTGATCCATCCAGCATGGCCTCCTAAAGTGCTGGGCTTACAGGTGTTAGCCACCACGCCCAGCCCATTTTATTTTTTTGAGACAGGGTCTGGCTCTGTTACCTAGGCTGGAATGCAGTGGCGCAATCACAGCTCACTACAGCCTCAAACTCCCACCTCAGCCTCTCGAGTAGCCAGGACTAGAGACACACACCACCACACCCAGCTAATTGTTTTTAATTTTTTTGTAGAGACAAGGTTTCACTATGTCATCTAGGCTGGTTTTGAATTCCTGACCTCAAGCAATCCTCCCGCCTTCTAAAGTGCTGGGATTACAGGTATTAGCCACCGCACCCAGCCATGGAAAATAAATTCAAACAGACTTGGGCACAAAGGAATTCTGAATTGTAAGAAGTTAATGATCCAAATAGAAATTCAATTATTTGAATAATTACAATTTATCCATTTTTCAAGCAGGTATTATTGAACATTGAATCTTAAAAAGCAGAATAAAGCAAACATTATGTTAAACCATGCATTCTGGAATAAAATCACTAAAAACGACACAGGTTTTGCTAGCATTCTGGTTCAGTTCTTGTACTTGCTTTACTGGCATTCTTGTCCTGAACTGCTCAGTGTGTCTTTACAATGAACGTCCCTTTACTGGAGCCGATTTGACTAGTTGTCTGTTGCCTGATTAGAGAAACCAAACTCAGTTACAACAGAGTATCACTGAGTTGGGGAGTTCATTAAATCACACTGAAAATTTCCATATTAAAACAAATGTACAGGCTCACACCTGCAATCACAGAACTTTGGGAGGCTGAGGTGGACAGTTTCACTCGAGGTCAGCAGTTCAAGACCAGCATGGCCAACACGGTGAAATCCCGTCTCTACCAAAAATACAAAAATTACCCAGGTGTGGTGGCTAATTGACGTATAAGCAAAAGGTAGCAGTCAACATAGAGAAAAGAAATGTGCTGAAAGAAGCAGAGACAAGGGACTACAGTGCCCTTTAAAAAAACAGAAAGCCTCCAAGTATTCAGGAAGCCCACATATATATTTCTTGCTCTGAGGTTCAGAGAGTCCTTAGTGTTCTTTCACTAAATCCCCTGAATTTTTGTTAACTAGAGTAGATTTCCATACTTTTAACTGCCTTTGCTAGATTATTTCCTCATAAAGATAGGCTCTTCATCTCCACACCTACTTTTGTTCTCAAGGATTTTTTGCATACAGAAACCTAGATCATGATGGTTCCATTTCACTAAAAGAGATCAGAACAATATAATCAGAATCGTTGATGCCAGGAACCATTATGGAAAGGAAATACCAGTGAGAAAATGGCAGGCAAAGAGGAGAAACTTGAGCAATGAGAAAAGGAAAGAGAATATAAGAATTAATCTAATTTGAATTTAATCAACAAAGGGAAAAAAACCTAGTAAATCTGTTCTACAGCATCTTCTGCACACGATATATCTGTATTAATAACAACTATTACTAAGACTTACTTTGTGTCTGGTCCTGATCCCATAAATACTTTATACACTTTATCATCTCTTTTAATAGTCATAACTACACAGGAGGCTGAGGTAAGTGGGTCCCTTGAGCCTGCGACCAGCCTGGGCAACATGAGAAAAATCCTGTCTCTATTAAAAATATGAAAATCAGCCAGGCATGATGGCACATGCCTGTAATCCCAGCTACTTGGGAGGCTGAGGCACAAGAATCACTTGAGCCCGAGAGGCGGAGGTTGCAGTGAGCCGAGACTGCACCACTGCACTCCAACCTGGGTGACAAAACAAGTCTGTCTCAAAAGAAAAAAAAAAAAGTCATAACTACCCTGAAAACACAGATAATATTATTCCCATTTTGGAAGCAAAGCAAGAAGTTGGTGGGGCGCAGTGGCTCACACCTATAATCCCAGCACTTTCGGAGGCCGAGGCGGGCGGATCACCTGAGGTCAGGAGGTCGAGACCAGCCTGACCAACATGGAGAAACACCGTCTCTACTAAAAATACAAAATTAGCCGGGCATGGTGGCGTGCACCTGTAATCCCAGCTACTCAGGAGGCTGAGGCAGGAGAATTGCTTGAACCTGGGAGGCAGAGGTTGCAGTGAACCGAGATAGCGCCACTGCACTCCTGCCTGGGCAACGAGAGTGAAACTCCATCTCAAATAAAAAAAAAAAGAAAAGAATAGCAAGAAGTTATTACAGCCCTTAAACAAAATATAGATAAATCATTCTTTCCTAATTACTGGAGGAGAAAAAAACCAAAAAACCTCTTTTGGTATAAATGGCTGCAAAACCTATTGCATGATGTTATGAATGAATGTTCATATCATTTATTAACTGTCAATAACAACAACACTAAACACCAGGCACTGGCACTGCGAAACAGACGTTATTCCATTTTATATACGAGGAAACCAAGGTTTACAGAAATTACTTGTCCAAAATCATGTAACTGATAAAGATCCGAAATAGAATTCAAACTCAAGTTTGTTTTTTTTTTTTTAGTCTCACTCTGTTGCCCAGGCTGAAGTGCAGTGGCACTATCTCGGCTCACTGCAACCCCTGCCTCCCGAGTTCAAGCAATTCTCCTACCTCAGCCTCCCGAGTAGCTGGGACTACGAGTGCGTGCCACTGCACCTGGCTAATTTTTTGTATTTTTTAGTAGAGATGGGGTTTCACCATGTTGGCCAGGCTGGTCTTGAACTCCGACCTCATGATCCGCCTGCCTCGGCCTCCCAAAGTGCTGGGATTACAGGTGTGAGCCACCATGCCCGGCCCAAATTCAGCTCTTTATGCCTTTTACCACTTGTTCCTGTTGTCATCAAAGGCAAGAGCAGACCATACAGGGTGGCTCACACCTCTACATGGCCAGTACTTTCGAGGCCAAGGCAGGAGGATCACTTGAGGCGAGGCCAGGAGTTCAAGATCAGCCTGGGCAGCACAGCAGACTCTCATCTCTACAAAAAATATGTTCAGGCAAACATCCTGCTCCCCAGTCAAGGCACTTGGCTAAAAATGGGATTGGACAGCAGGGGAGGCAGGGATTCGGAGTGCTCTGAGGCCTCGAGCTCTCCACTGGGGAGCAGCTTAGTGTTCTGTTTTGAAGAATGCTATGAAGTTCCTGGCTATACATGAGGACACGTTTAGGTCTTTGGAGCCACACTCAGAGTACACGAAGGGTAGGAAAAACCACACGAGGCAAAGAACTTACATCAAGACCAGGCCTAAAATACATTAATGTGGGTGGTTCAGCACAAGGGCAGTTGTCTGATAGCTATAATGAAGAAGAGTATGACTGTCCCATTTCAGATGAAGATAAGAGTAATTGATGAGTCAGATAACCATATGAGAGAAGGTAAAGATACTGCTGATTACCATGGTTGTGGTTTCTTCCCTGAACACTGGCTTCACATAGTTTTTTGTGCTGAGAACAGATACCAACCAGTGTATTGTACACAAGACTTAAACAAGGGGTTAAGGTCAGAAGAAACTAAAAGACAATACTCAGTGTGAGATTTCTCACTCTTTATGAAGCCACAATATCCTACAAGGAAAAACCAGGCATCAACTATTCAGCAATAAACCAGAAGAGCTAGAAAATAATATAGATCAGATCTTGAAATAAATTGAAAAGTGGATCAAAGATCGTAACACTTGGACCATAAGACTAGCCACTTTACAATCACTCCTGTTGATATTTCTCTGCTGACGTGACAGAAACTGTCCAAGTATCGGTGACGCTTCATTAAAATTATTTTCCAAGACTAGCAGGTGGACAGTGAAAAGGTTTATTAAGTCTGGGTATCTACCTCCCCATGAGAAAGTTAAAGATCTAAAACATAATGAATTTAGGCTGGGTACAATGGCTCATGCCTCCCAGCACTTGGGAGGCCAAGGCGGGCGGATCACTTGAGGTCAGGAGTTTGAGACCAGCCTGGCCAACATGGTGAAACCCTGCCTCTACTAAAAATACAAAAAATTAGCTGGGCGTGGTGGCGGGCACCTGTATTCCCAGCTACTCAGCAGGCTGAGGCAGGATAACTGCTTGAACCAAGGAAGCGGCCAAGATTGCACCACTGCACTCCAGCCCGGGCGACAAAGCACGATTCAGTCTCAAAAAAAGAAAGAAGGAATATAAGATTATTCAGGATTTAAAATAAAAATTGGCATCATTTAGGGCCGGGCGTGGTGGCTCACACCTGTAATCCCAGCACTTTGGGAGGCCAAGGTGGGCAGATCACGAGGTCAGGAGATCATCTGGCTAACACAGTCAGGAGGTCAGCAGACCATCCTGGCTAACACGGTGAAACCCCGTCTCTACTAAAAAATACAAAAAAATTAGCCAGGCGTGGTGGCAGGGGCCTGTAGTCCCAGCTACTTGGGAGGCTGAGGCAGGAGAATGGCGTGAACTCAGGAGGCGGAAGTTGCAGTGAGCCGAGATTTCGCCACTGCACTCCAGCCTCGGAAATAGAGTGAGACTCCATCTCAAAAAAAAAAAAAAACCCTGGCATCATTTAATACTTCAACTGCTAAAGAATAAATAAACATGGCCAAATGGGTGGATACCTTTTATTACAGAAGAAAATGCAGATGATCTTTAAAGCTAAAGGTTAAAAAAAAAAAAGAGAGAGAGAAATATGTTCAGAGGAGAACTATCAGCTACCAGGCATGCCTACAGTGTTAGTCTCCATGAACTGAGGGGGTAGAAATTATTTAAACAAGGGGGAAAAACTTTAACCTGCGATTACTTCTCTAGTTGATTTGCTCTCCCTTTGCGATGGACTAGGCATTGCAGAAATGTAGACTACTGTTCAAAGACCATGGTAGACACTACTTTCTACACTCTCCTTAACATCTGAAGTAACACCCGCCAAGTACCAAACCGCACCTTATTAACAGTGCTATGGTGATTTGTCTTATCTCCCTAAAAATAATCCCTTGAGCGTCTAGCACAGTATCAAAAACATGACAGGCATTACATACAAATATTTGTAATGTGAGAAACTGCCCTTAGTCATACAAGTGGTGAAATAGTACTGCTAGAGCTAGGTTCTTTAAGATGATTCTTATCCTTCTTTAAAACACGCATACAAATACACACAACTTTACCTTGCTTTATTTGACTTTTCTGGACATCTGACAATATGTAATATGGGTTTGATTAATATTCATGCCCTTTGATCTGGTAATTCCACTTCTAGGAATTTAACCTAAGCAAATCATGAGAAATATGGGCACAGATTTGTTAACAAACATCTTTAACCTGGTACTGTAATAGGAAAAGATGGAAACAGTCTAAATACAGCAGTAATTATTAAAGCATATACTTAGAGAATTTATATAGCCATTTAAAATGTTTTAAAATTTTATATATATATATATATATATATATATTTTTTTTTTTTTTTTCCTTTTCTCTTTTTGAGACAATGCCTCATTCTGTCACCCAGGCTGGAATGCAGTGGCACAAATACAGCTCACAGCAGTCCCAACCTGCCAGGTTCAAGCAGTCCTCCCACCTCAGCTGCCTGAGTAGCTGGGACTACACGTGTATGTCACCATGCCTGGCTGACTTTTTAATTTTTTTATAGCAATGAGGTCTCCCTGTTACCCACGCTAACAAAAAAAAAATTTTTTTTTTTTTTGAGGCAGAGTCTGGCTCTGTCACCCAGGCTGGAGTGCAGTGGCACGATCTCAGCTCACTGCAAGCTCCCTCTGCCTCCCGGGTTCGTGCCATTCTCCTGCCTCAGCCTCCCGAGTAGCTGGGACTACAGGCGCCTGATACCACACCCGGCTAATTTTTTTGTATTTTTAGTATAGACAGAGTTTCACTGTGTTAGCCAGGATGGTCTCAATCTCCTGACCTTGTGATCCACCCACCTCAGCCTTCCAAAGTGCTGGGATAACAGGCATGAGCCACTGCACCCAGCCTACCCAGGCTAAAACTTTTTAAACACAGAAAAATGTTATGTATGTGTAAGGATTCTATAACGTAGGCTATAGATGGGTGTATATAAAAAGATGTTAGGCTGGACCCAGTGGCTCACGCCTGTAATCCCAACACTTTGGGAGGTTGAGGCAGGCTAATCACCTGAGGTCAGGAGTTCAAGACCAGCCTGGCTGACATGGTAAAACCCCGTCTCTACTAAAAACACAAAAATTAGCCAGGCATGGTGGCGCACTTGTAATCCCAGCTACCTGGGAGGCTGTGGCAGGATAATCGCTTGAACCCAGGAGGCAGAGGCTGCAGTGAGACAGAAAGCTGAGATGCTGCCACTGTGCTCCAGCCTGGGAGACAGAGCAAGACTCTATCTCACAAGAAATTTAAAAAAACTCATGCTGGGCCCAGTGGCTCACACCTGTAATCCCTGGGCGACAAGAGCGAAACTCCATCTCAAAAATAATAATAATAAATATTAAAAACAAAATACATGAACTGTGTCTTATCATTGAGAATTCTAATTCAGCAGGACTGGACTTAAGCCCAAGAATCTCTTTTTTTTAAAAAATAGAGACAAGGGTCTCACTATGCTGCCACAGCTCTTCTAGAACTCCTAGGCTCATGCGATCCTCCCACATTGGCTTCCCAAAGTGCTGGGATCACAGGCATGAGCCACCATGCCCCGCCAAGAATCTCTTTATTGAAACAGCTTCCTAGCACCGGATGTTAAGGGAAAAAGTAAATATTAAACTCCAATACAGGAAGATAAAGCTTCAATGAGATGTGTATGACATACAATAGTGGCATCAAAGGCAGGCACCCAACCTTGGAGAAAAGTGGGAGTAAAGGAGTACATTTATCAGAGATGAAGATACATTAGTTGAAGCTTGAAAGATGAGGAAAAGGCCAGGTAAATGAAGAAGGTAGGGGATTCCAAAGAGAAAACTACATAAATAAAAATAGCACTAGTATGCTGAGAAACTGCACAAACTATAAAAATAGGATGGGTATTCACAAAACTACAAATACTTTAGTATAGCCGAAATGGAGCGCCAGTAAGGACTGGAGAGGCAAGCTGGACCAAAACACAAAAGACAGCTGGGCATGCGAAGGCATATGCCTGTAGTGCCAGCTACACAAGGGGGAAGGGACTGCTTGAGGCCAGGAGTTCAAGTCCAGCCTGGGCAACAAAGTGAACACCCTCATCTCTAAAACTAATAATAAATTTAAAATAAAAATTTATTTTATCTTTAAAAAAAAAATAACATGAAAGGTCTCCTATGCTATGAGGAGGAGCTTAGAAGTTATCCCAAAAGCAACAGGAAAGAAAACGCACACACACACGAGTGCGTGAGCAAAAGGGTGAGAAATAAGCAGATCGTATCTTCAAAAACATCAATTTGGCAGTGGCACAGACAATGGCTACAAAGAAGAAAACGGGAGATGCAGGAAAGCCAGTGAGAAGACTACTGAACATCTCCAGGCAAGAAACATGAGCCTATCAAATAAAGCAACATAGGTATAATCTCGGAACTATTGTCGGCAGAAACAGGAGGCAGAAATCTAGGATAGCTCCTAACATGCCACAAATGGATATATCAACCACAGAAACAGAATACAGTACAGGAATTGAAGGAAATAATTAAATTCAATTTTGAATAGCATCATGCCATTCACTGAGCACTTATGAAAACTAAACTCCTAGGCTTTTTAAATATTTTTTAACAGATATGGGGGTCTTGGTATGTTGCCCCAGCTGTTCTCCAACTCCTAGACTCAAGTGATCCTCCCACCTTGGCCTCCCAAAGTGCTAGGATTACAGGCATGAGCCATCACGGCCAGTCAAAAAGTAAATTTTTTTTTTAAAGAAAAGCTATCCTCTGGGGGGCGGGGGGTGTGGGGAAAGGATATTATACTTTGATATAGCTTGGATGTTTGTCCCCTCCAAATCTCATCTGAAATGTGACTTCTAAGGTTGGAGGTGAACCTAGTGTGTAGTGTCTGGGTCATGGGGGCCCATCCCTCAGGAAGTACTTGATATCCTCCCCATGGTAATGAGTGAGTTCTCACTCTATTAATTCACACAAGAGCTGGCTGTTTAAAAGTGCCTGGAACCTCTTCTCTCTCCAGCTCCCTCTCTTGACCATGTGACACATGTGCTCCCACTGTGCCTTCTGCCATGAGTAAAAGTGTCCTGAGGCCTCACCAGCAGCAGATGCTGTAACTTACTTCCTGTACAGTCTGCAAAACTGAGACAAATAAACCTCTTTTTGTTATAAATTGCCCAGTCTCCTATATTCCTTTATAGCAACACAAAATGGACTAACATACTTTTTTTAAAAAAAAATGAGAAAGATAAAAATGTGCATACAGTACTGAGTGGCTCAAATCATGTAAAAATATTAGAACACTTCCAGGACAAAGCATATGATTACTCGTTATTAATTCTAGATACAGAAAGGAAATAATACTAAAATAAAATCATCTCTAGGCCAGGCCCAGTGGCTCACGCCTGTAATCCCAGGACTTTGGGAGGCCGAGGCAGGTGGATCATCTAAGGTCAGGAGTTCGAGACCAGCCTGGTCAACATGGTTGGAACCCTGTCTCTACTAAAACTATAAAAATTAGCCAAGCATGGTGGTGCATCCCTGTAATCCCAGCTACTCAGGAGGCTGAGGCATGAGAATCGCTTGAATCCAGGAGGCAGAGGTTGCAGTGAGCCGAGATTGCACCACTGCACTCCAACCTGGGCAACAGAGCGAGACTCTGTATCAAAAATAAATAAATAAATAAATAAATAAATAAAATAAAATAAAATAAAATTGCCTCTAGATCTCATTGAATACACCCAACCTATTTCAGCAACCTATATTCAACATATCTACTAACTTTTTTAAAAATTAAAAGAGAGATAACTAATGCAAAGGACAGCACTTCATCAGGGGAAAAAAGCTAAATAATTTCGATTTCCAAGGTCTTTTCTAACATCTAAACTCCACTGGAAATGTGTAAACCATCTGCTTTCACTCAAAATGGCAGACCAAGCTCTTAACAGATGGTATAAGGTTTGTCTTTTTTTCTTTTTTAACTGTTTGAAATTCAGAAAATACAAAATGGACAAGAGCAAAGCATACTACCTGTAATCTCTCCATGCATACAAATATAAACACTTTGCAGTACTTTCTTCCAGTCCTTAATCCATGTACATCACTTTTAAGGGCTACACTGAACTTAAAGACCATTTTCTTAAAAGACAGGGTCTCGCTCTGTTGCCCAGGCTGGAGTGCAGTAGCACGACGTCGGCTCACTGCAGACTCCACCTCCAAGAGTCAAGCCATTACAGGCATGCACCAGATGATTTTTCTTTTTTTTTCTCAGTAGTGACAGGGTTTCTCCATGTTGGCTAGGCTGGTCTCGAATTCCTGACCTCAGGTGATCCACTTGCCTCATGTGCTGGGATTACAGGCATGAGCCACCACGCCTAGCCAGAAACAATTATCTTTATAATTCCCTCCTCTCTTTATGAAACTAAGTTTCTCCAAAGGAACGACATATTAATTTCATTGTTTTGTATTTTACAAGGCTTCTGACCCTTAAAAGTGGTATCTCCCTAATTTGGGACAACTGGGTGGGGGAAGCAATTTGACTCAATAAACTCTAACAAATTAAAGAACATTTCCTTTTTTTTTGAGACAGTTTCACTCTTGTTGCTCAGGTTGGAGTGCAATGGTGCGATCTCAGCTCACCACAACATCCGCCTCCAGGGTTCAAGTGATTCTCCTGCCTCAGCCACCTGAGAACCTGGGATTATAGGCACCCCCCCATCATGTCCGGCTAATTTTTTTTTTTTTGTATTTTTGTATTTTTGTAGAGATGGGGGTTTCACCATGTTGGTCAGGCTGGTCTTGAACTCCTGACCTCAGGTGATCCACCTGCCTCAGCCTCCCAAATTGCTGGGATTACAGAGAACATTTCTTAATAATTAACACCCAATTTGGTGATTTTAAATACATATAATAACCAAGACTAGGTTAATGAACTGTCCCCTTGTTAAAATTCTTAGGGAACTTGCTTTAATAAAGAAAAATTGTCACCAGCAGATCAATCAACTGCATATTCATTGCATCTAAAGAGTTTACGGAGCTCACTGAAAACACCTGTTCTCTACAGTTTAAGCACTCCTCTTCCCGGGTTTGTAAACAAGTTTATTTACAGTGTTAGCCTCCAAATACTTCCTTCAGAGAGAAAAGAAAGTAGTCATTAGCCCCAGTAAAATGTGTGGCTTGGAAAAATTCCAAATCCATAGTGTAAGTTGTAGATAAACTAATCCTCCCATCCCCCATTTCTAATGAGCACCTGCCCCTAGTGAAGAAATTTGTTATTTTTGTACCTATACATTACAAATTTATATACTCTCAAACCTGAGAAATGAAAGCATGTCTACAGAAAAAAACTTGAACACAAATGTTCATAGCAGCATTATCCATAATAGCCAAAAAAGAAGAAAAAAAGGCCCATCAACTGATAAATGGATAAATTAAATGTGGCAGATCTATACAATGAAATATTATACAAAAATAAAAAGAAGGCCGGGCGCAGTGGCTCACACCTGTAATCCCAGCACTTTGGGAGGCCGAGGCAGGTGGATCACGAGGTCAGGAGATCGAGACCATCCTGGCTAACACTGTGAAACCCCGTCTCAACTAAAAATACAAAAAATTAGCCAGGCGAGGTGGCGGGCGCCTGTAGTCCCAGCTACTCGGGAGGCTGAGGCAAGAGAATGGCGGGAACCCCAGGGGGCGGAGCCTGCAGTGAGCTGAGATCGTGCCACTGCACTCCAGCCTGGGCGACAGCGAGACTCCATCTAAAAAATAAAAAATAAAAATAAATGATGTACTGATAAATGCTACATACAACATAGATGAACCCTTAAAACATTATGCTAAGTAAAAGAAGGCAGTCACAAAACATGCTTCACTTATGTCCAGAATAGGCAAATAAAGAGACAGAAGTGGACTGGTGGTTGCCTAAGACTGGGGAGTGACGGCTGCTGGGTAAAGGATTTTTGGGGTAATGCAAATATTCTAAAATTAATGATTATGATATATGCACAACAATGAATACACTAAAAACTAAAAACTACTGAACTATATATTTTTTTTAAGATGGAGTCTTGCTCTTGTCCCCCAGGCTGGAGTGCAATTGCATGATGTCGGCTCACTGCAAGCTCCGCCTCAGGCTCCAGCCCAGCTAATTTTTATTGTTTTGTTTTGTTTTTTGTTGTTGTTGTTGTTTGAGACAGAGTATAGCTGTGTCACCCAGGCTGGAGTGCAATGGCACGATCTCGGCTTACTGCAACCTCCGCCTCCCGGATTCAAACAACTCTCTTGCCTCAGCCTCCTGAGTACCTGGGATTAAAGGCATGCGCCACCACGCCCAGCTAGTTTTTGTATTTTTAGTAGAGATGTGGTTTCATATGTTGGTCTCGATCTCCTGACCTCGTGATCCACCCGCCTCGGCCTCCCAAAGTGCTGGGATTACAGGAGTGACCCACCGTGCCCAGCTGGAATTATACACTTTAAATGGATAAACTACAAATCTGTAAAGCTGCTTTTTTTTTTTTTGAGACGAAGTCATCACCTAGGCTGGAGTGCAGTGGTGCGATCTCAGTTCACTGTAACCTCCGCCCCGACAGGGTTCAGGCGATTCTCCTGCCTCGGCCTCTTGAGTAGCTGTGATTACAAGCGCCCACCCCCACACCCGGCTAATTTTTTTCTGTATTTTCAGTAGAGACAGGGTTTCACCATGTTGGCCAGGCAGGTCGCGAACTCCTGGCCTCAGACGATCCACCCACCTCAGCCTCCCAAAGTGCTGGGAATTACAGGCTTGAGCCACTGCACTGGCCAAAGCTGCTATTTTAAAAAATCTTTAACAGGCCAGGCATGATGGCTCACACCTGTAATACCAGCACTTTGGGAGGTCAAGGCAGGAGGACTGCTGGAGGCCAGAAGTTCAAGACAAGCCTGGGCAACATGAGACCCCATCTGTACAAGATGATAATATTAATTAATGAATAAAAATGAATTTAAAAATATTTAGGGCCCCCAATTTCCAAAAACCTAGAACAGTTTTCCTGATGAGACTCATAAAAATATTAAGAAAGGTACTTGGACCATAAAAGAGCACTTACTAATGGCAACAGACAAATCCACATCTACTAAATCTAGTAAAACCATTAATAAGCTATCAACAAAAATCAATAGTTCAGGCTGAGCCCACTGGCTCACATCTGTAATCCTGGCACTTTGGGAGGCTGAAGCGGGTGGATCACTTGAGGCCAGGAGTTCAAGACCAGCCTGGTCAACATGGCGAAACCCAGTCTCTACTAAAAATACAAAAATTAGCTGGACGTGGTGGTGCATGCTTGTAATCCCGGCTACTCGGGAGCCTGAGGCAGGAGAATCGCTTGAACCCAGGAGGTGGAGATTGCAGTGAGCCGAGATCGTGCCACTACACTCCAGCCTGGGCAACAGCGTAAGACTCTGTCTCAAAATAATTTAGAAAAAAAAAAGGGCTGGGGGCGGTAGCTCACGCCTGTAATCCCAGCACTTTGGGAGGCCAAGGTGGGCAGATCACCTGAGGTCGGGAGGTCGAAACCAGCCTCACCAAGAAGGAGAAATCCCATCTCTACTAAAAATACAAAATTAGCTGGGTGTGGTGGCGCACGCCTGTAATCACAGCTACTCGGGAGGCTAAGGCAGGAGAATTGCTTGAACCCGGGAGGTGGAGGTTGCGGTGAGCCGAAATCGTGCCACTGCACTCCAACCTGGGCAACAAGAGTGAAACTCTCTCTCAAAACAAAATTAAAAAAATCAACAGTTTTCAAAAAAATATTACACAAAAAACATGAAGCGCATTCCTCTGGAGAAGTCTAATAACTGCAGCGGGGTTTTTGGGTTTTTTTTTTTTGTTTTTTTGGTTTTTTTTTTTTTTGAGACAGAGCCTTGCTCTGTCACTCAGGCTGGAGTGCAGTGGCGCGATCTTGGCTGACTGTAACTTCCGCCTCCGGGGTTCAAGCGATTCTCCTGCCTCAGCCTCCTAAGTAGCTGGGATTACAGGCACCTGCCACCACACACAGCATGTTGGTCAGTCTGGTCTCGAACTCCTAACCTCGTGATCCACCCACCTCCGTCTCCCAAAGTGCTGGGATTACAGGCATGAGCCACCACACAAGGCCCAACTGCAAGTACCAACACATTTACACCATTCAGGGCCAAGTTCTTTAACCAAATTCCCAAGTATTAAACTTACCCAACCTATTGCCAATCACTGACCCCACCACTTCTTACATGGAGGTGTAAGATTATATTCACAGCAGGCTATGCACAGTGGCTCACGCCTGTAATCTCAGCACTTTGGAAGGCCAAGGCGGGTGGATCATAAGGTCAGGAGTTCAAAAATCAGCCTGGCCAACATAGTGAAACCTCATCTCTACTAAAAATACAAAAATTAGCCAGGCATGGTGGTGCACACCCCTAGTCCCAGCTACTCAGGAGGCTGTGGCAGGACTCACTTGAACCCGGGAGGTGGAAGCTGTGGTAAGCCGAGATTGCACCATTGCACTCCAGCCTAGGCGACAGATAGAGACCCAATCTCAAAAAAAGAGTACATTCACAGCAAGGAGCAAAATGCCAGGGCAGCCAACAACTACACACTGAGCTGAAGCCACAGTGCTATTATGGCTCTTTACAATATCCAGAAGTCAAAGAAACTGAATGTAAAAAACAAAGAGGAGATCAGAAATCTCTCAAAAGGAAAAGAAAAAAAAAAGATGATTTACCCTATCCTCAGCACTTCAGCACTGACTTCTCTCCTGGCACTATGTTGTCAGTTCTTTCATCCTGTATGAATGTTTAAGTCCTTTCACAAGAGTGAATAACTAGATAGATTCTAATTGTTAAAGTATTCTTTCCACACACCCAGAAACCTAATTTTGTACTCAGGCTTAGCCTGCAGAGTATTCAGCAAATGCTGTTGCCTGAGAGAAAATGGACACATGCACAAAAGACATGTGTGTCTTCTGAAAATACAGAAAGGTGTCATGAAAAACAAGTAATAACATCCCACTGGCTGGGCATGGTGGCTCATTCCTGTAATCCCAGCACTCTGGGAGGTGGAGGTGGGTGGATCACCTGAGGTCACGTGTTCGAGACATCCTGGCCAACACGGTGAAACCCCATCTCTACTAAAAGTACAAAAATTAGCTGGGCATGTTGGCACATGCCTGTAATCCCAGCTACTGGGGAGGCTGAGGCATTGGAATGGCTTGAACCCAGGAGGTGGAGATTGCAGTGAGCCGAGATCGCACCACTGCACTATACAGCCTGGGCAACAAGAGTGAGACTCCGCTAAAAAACTTTTTAAAAGGCCGGACACAGTGGCTCACGCCTGTAATACCAGCACTTTGGGAGGCCGAGGCGGGTGGATCATGAGGTCAGGAGATCGAGACCCTCCTGGCTGATACAGTGAAACCCCATCTCTACTAAAAATACAAAAATTAGCTGGGCTTGGTGGCGGGCGCCTATAGTCCCAGCTACTCGGGAGGCTGAGGCAGGAGAATGACATGAACCCAGGAGGCAGAGCTTGCAGTGAGCTGATATCGCGCCACTGCACTCCAGCCTGGGCAACAGAACGAGACTGTCTCAAAAACAATAAAATAAAATAAAATAAAAAATAAAAAAAAGAAATAAAAAAAATCTTATTACTTTACAGTTTACAAAGCACTTCAACCACATCTATAACTGAAATTCCAAACACAACTCTCCCTAACTGCTGTTTTTTCCTCTAAGTAAGAATCTCAGGAATCATTATGCTTTCCTCTTTTCTTTAGCCACCAGGACCATCAAGGTAAATTCTTTTTTCTTTTTTCTTTTTATTTTTATTTTTTTTATTTTTTTTTTGAGATGGAGTCTCGCTCTGTCGCCCAGGCTGGAGTGCAATGGTGCGATCTCGGCTCACTGCAACCTCCGCCTCCCAAGTTCAAGCAATTCTCCTGCCTCAGCCTCCCAAGTAGCTGGGACTACAGGCGCGTGCCACCATGCCCAGCTAATTTTTTGTATTTTTAGTAGAGACGGGGTTTCACTGTGTTAGCCAGGACAGTCTCAATCTCCTGACCTCATGATCCGCCTGCCTCGGCCTCCCAAAGTGCTGCGATTACAGGCTTGAGCCACCATGCCCGGCCCATCAGGGTAAATTCTATAACCCATTATTCTGGTGCATATTTCTAACTTTACTCCAATTTATTTTCCTATCATGACCTTTTATTCCCATAGTCACATCTCACTACCACCTATCATACAATTTTACTAATTTCACATCAAAAACCTTTTGAGGCCGGGCGCAGTGGCTCACGCCTGTAATCCTAGTACTTTGGGAGGCTGAGGCGGGTAGATCACCTGAGGTCAGGAGCTCAAGACCAGCCTGGCCAATATGGCAAAACCCCGTCTCTACTAAAAATACAAAAATGAGCTGGCATGATGGCACATGCCTATAATCCCAGCTACTCAGGAGGCTGAGGCAGGAGAATCACCTGAACCTGGGAGGAGGAGGTTGCAGTGAGCCGAGATTGTGCCACTGCACTCCAGTCTGGGTGACAGCGAAACTCTGTCTGAAAAAATAAAAAACAAAAAACTACAAAAATTGGCTGGGGGCGGTGGCTCATGCCTATAATCCCAGCACTCTGGGAGGCTGAGGCAGGTGGATCACTTGAGGTCAGGAGTTCGAGACCAGCCTGGCCAACATGGTGAAACCCTGTCTCTACTAAAAACAGAAAAAGTAGCCGGGCATGGTAGCATGTGCCGGTAATCCCAGCTACTCAGGAAGTTAAGGCACAAGAAGTGCTTGAACCCAGGAGGCAGAGGTTGCAGTGAGCCAAGATCGCGCCATTGCACTCCAGCCTGGGCAACAGAGCAAGATTCCGTCTCAAAAAAAAAAAAAAATTAGCCAGGCATGGTAGTGGACACGTATAATCCCAACTGCTTGGGAGGCTGAAGCAGGAGAACTGCTTGAACCCAGGAGGAAGAGGTTGCAGTGATCTGAGATCCTGCCACTTCTCTCCAGCCTAGGTGAAAGGATGAAACTCCATCTCAAAAAAATAAAATTAAATTTAAAAAACCTTCTAAAATTAAACAAGGTAAAGATACATCATAAATATCTCTACAAGTTGCCATTTCAGAGGCATATATAATCAAGTACCATTCAGCATTAGAGAAGAGCATCTGACTGAACTTCCTTTTTTTTTTTTTTTTTTTTTTTTGAGACAGAGTCTTGCTCTGTCGCCCAAGCTGGAGTGCAGTGGTGCAATCTCAGCTCACTGCAATCTCCGCCTCCCAGGTTCAAGTGATTCTCCTGCCTCAGCCTCCCAAGTAGCTGGGACCACAGGCACCCGCCAACACACCTGGCTAATTTTTGTATTTTTTAGTAGAGACGGGGTTTCACCATGTTGGCCAGGCTGGTCTCAAACTCCTGACCTCAGGTGATCCGCCCACCTCAGCCTCCCAAAGTGCTGGGATTACAGGCGTGAGCCAATTGCAACCAGCCGAACTTCTTTTGTTTACACTGGAACAAGGTAATTCTTAAAGTTATAATCAGGCTAGGTTAAAATTATAGTCAGGCCAGGTACGTGGCTCACACTTTTAATCTCAGTACTTTGGGAGGCCAAGGTGCGAGGACTGCTTGAGACCAGGAGTTTAAAACCAGCCTGGACAACATTGTGAAACCCTGTCTCTACTAAAAATACAAAAATTAGCCAGGCATGGTGGTACACCCCTGTAATCCCAGCTACTCAGGAGGCTGAGGCACCAGATTGCTTGTACAAAGGAGGCAGAGGTTTCAGTGAGCCTAGATAGTGCCAGTGGGTGACAAAGTGAGACTCTGTCTCAAAAAAAAGAAAAAGTTATAGTTGAAGAAGGCCTGCTGATGATTCCTTTGACCAAGCACATAATGTTAAGCCTTGTGAATTCTGAGCATAATGAAAAGGCTCTAAGAGTACATGTGTAAGAGAAACAAAATATGAAAGATGGATTATTCAGCTTTAACATGTTAACCAAATGCTACTAGCACAAATGCTAAGGCAATCTACCCAGGTAGACAAGATTCATTGTCTAAGAGAGTCCATCAGCAGGTACAACAGAAAGACATTTCTAGGGAATGTCAAGACTCCCCAGTTTGGGAAATACTTGGGCTCCCTCCCAGTTTAACATAGTAGTCCCTGTTAATTACAAGGTATAAAAATTAACTGGAGCTCTTTCCTTTTGTCTCACTGCACTCCTGAGAGCAAGATGGGTCACCAGCAGCTCTACTGGAGCCACTCGCAAAAATTCAGCCAGGGTTCTCTCTCTTGTTGCGTATGCTCAGACCAGCAAGATCTGATCCAAATTACGGCCTCAATATGCCCCACCAGTGTTTCTGTCAGTAAGCGAAGAAAATGGGTTTCATTAAATTGGGCTGCATTAAGTTGGACGAAGTGATCTTCCTTGAATGGATTATCCAAGGCATCCACCCCAATGAAAGAAACCATGATAGCTCTTTTTTAATACATAATAAAAATAAAATTTTTAAAACCCTTCAAAAAAAAAAAGACTAACAGCACTGAAGAGTAAGACTGGTTGACATGTCAGGGGTGGGTATCAGAATATCATTGTTAAGATGGCCACACCAAGTGAAAGAAAAAGAAGGTACAAGTGGAGTCAAAATATATTCATCCACTGAATTTTTTTTTTTTTTTTTTGAGACGGCATTTCGCTCTTGTTGCCCAGAGTGGAGTGCAATGGCACAATCTCGGCTCACCGCAAACTCTGCCTCCCAGGTTCAAGCAATTCTCCTGCCTCAGCCACCCAAGTAGCTGGGATTACAGGCGTGCGCCACCACGCCCCACTAATTTTGTATTTTTTGTAGAGATGGGGTTTCTCCATGTTGGTCAGGCTGGTCTCCAACTCCTGACCTCAGGTGATCCGCCTGCCTTGGCCTCCCAAAGTGCTGGGATTATAGGTATGAGCCACTGCACCTGGCCTCACCCACTGATTTTTTTTTTTTGCCTGGTTCTCTGGAATTATCTCCTATAGGCTGTCAATCTATGATGGATACTGATATATCCTAGTGCTAAAAGAGTGCAAGCAAAGTGGGTAAGCTCTGTGGAACTGTCCTCCAAATTTCCCTTCCCCCAGGGCAAAGCTTCTACCTCTGTCCCTCATAATCCAGTACAGAGGCTACAGTTCAACCAATCGACTTTAATTTTTTTGCCCTATTTCATCAACCAGTTTATCTATCCCACAGCAGTTTACAGAGAAAACAGATTTCACAATACAAGAATAAAACACTCTCAAGTCAAAGACTTGACCTTAGGCTTTTAGTAATGAAATTTTCAATGTTATTCAGGAAAGAAAAAAATCTAAAGGTATAAAAATTACTGTCAAAATAAGTAACTTTTTTTTTTCTTTGGAGACGGAGTCTTGCTCTGTCGCCCAGGCTGGAGGGCAGTGGTGCGATCTTGGCTCACTGCAAGCTCCACCTCCCGGGTTCATGCCATTCTCCTGCCTCAGACTCCCGAGTAGCTGGGACTACAGGCGCCCACCACCACACCCGGCTAATTTTTCATATTTTTAGTAGAGACAGGGTTTCACCGTGTTAGCCAGGATGGTCTCGATCTCCTGATCTCGTGATCCGCCTGCCTCGGCCTCCCAAAGTGCTGGGATTACAGACATGAGCCACCGTGCCCAGCCCAAAATGAGTAACATTTTCAAATACATAACTCATTTGGGTGGGAAGATGTGTCTAGTGTTTCCTAGTATTTGTTTTTTAAATTTCCTTTTTTTCATTTTTTTTTTCTTTTCAAAGAGACAGGATCTCACTGTCACACAGGCTGGAGTGCCTGAACTCCCTGGGCTCAAGTGATCCTCCCTTGAGTAGGACTACAGGCATATGCCACCATGCCCAGCTAATTTTTTTCCTTTTTATTGTAGATACAGTGTCTCACTATATTGCCCAGGCTGGTCTCAAACTCCTGGCCTCAAGCAACCCTCCTGACCCAGCCTCCTGAGTATCTGGGATTAGAGGCAGGAGCCAATGTACCCAGCTTTATTTTCTAGTATTTTGCTCCATATCCATTATCTTTTTTTTTTTTTTTTGAGACAGAGCCTTGCTCTGTCGCCCAGGCTGGAGTGCAGTTGTGCGATCTCAGCTCACTGCAACCTCTGCCCTGCTTCCCGGGTTAGAGCAATTCTCATGCCTCAGCCTCTCGAGCAGCTGGAATTACAGTAACGCGCCACGACGCCCGGCTGATTTTTGTATTTTTAGTAGACACGGGGTTTCATCATGTTGCCCAGGTTAGTCTCGAACTCCTGGCCTCAACTGATCCGCCCACCTCGGCCTCCAAAAGTGCTGGGATTACAGGCATAAGCCACCACGCCTGGCCCAATATCCATCATCTTTTTTTTTTTTTGAGACAGAGTCTCCCTCTGTCACCCAGGCTGGAATGCAGTGGCGGGATCTCGGCTCACTGCAACCTCTGCCCCCGATTCAAGCGATTTTCCTGCCTCTCCTGAGTAGCTGGGATTACAGGCACGTGCCACCACACCTGGCTAATTTTTGTATTTTTAGTAGAGACAGGGTTTCACCATGTTGGCTGGTCTCAAACGCCTGACCTCGTGATCCACCTGCCTCAGCCTCCCAAAGTGCTGGGAGTACAGGCGTGAGCCACCACGCCCAGTCCACATTATCTTAATTGTATACTATGGGTATAATTTTACAGGCAAAAAAAAAAAAAAAATTTTTTTCATGAGACTTCTTTCCCTCACTTCCCTCCGAAGACCTCAGTTTGGCCCAAAAATGAGGGCTCTCTGCCGGGCGCAGTGGCTCACGCCTGTAATCCCAGCACTTTGGGAGGCCTTTTTTTTTTTTTGAGACAGGGTCTCAACTCTGTCACCCAAAATGGAGTGCAGTGGCACAATCTCGGCTCACTGCAACCTACGTCTCCTGGGCTCAAGTGATCCTCCTACCTCAGCCCTCCAAGTAGCTGGGACCACAGGCACAGCGCCACCATGCCTGGCTAATTTCTGTATATTTTGTAGAGACATGATCTCACCATGTTGTCCAGGCTGCTCTCGAACTCCTGGGGGCTCAAACTATCCACCCTCCTCAGCCTCCCAAAGTGCTGCGATTACAGGTGTGAGCCACTGCGTCCAGCCAAAAAATGAAAAACTTTTTAATGTAAGTATACAAGTGGCCCAGGAACGGTGGCTCATGCCTATAATCCCAGCACTTTGGGAGGCCGAGGCAGGTGGATCACCTGAGGTTAGGAGTTCGAGACTAGCCTGGCCAACATGGTGAAACCTTGTTTCTACTAAAAATACAAAATTAGCCGGGCGTGGTGGTGCACACTTGTAGTCCCAGCTACTGGGGAGACTGAGGCAGGAGAATCACTTGAACCCAGGAGGCGGAGGTTGCAGTGAGCTGAGATCGCGTCACTGCACTCCAGCCTGGACTACAGAGCAAGACTTTATTTCAAAAAAAAAAAAAAAAAAAAAAAAAAAGGAGTTTGAGACCAGCCTGAGCATGGCAAAACTCCACCTCTACAAAAAATACAAAGATGAGCTAGGTGTTGTGACGTGTGCCTGTGGTCCCAGGATAGGGAGGCTAAGGCAGAAGAATCGCTTGAGCCGAGGAGGCAGAGGTTGCAGTGAGCCTAGATGGTGCCCATTGCACTCCAGCCTCGGCAACAGGAGTGAAACCCTGTCTCAATAAATAAAAAGAAAAAAGTGTAAAAGCAATTGCTCTTAAATGGGAGTAATTACGAGAGAAATAAAGTACCTGGCATGACAAAGAGTTCCCCTCCCTCCAATGCTACTGGCATCACAGCCTGTGATATTCTTTACTTCGCTAGTTCACTAGTGAAAGCATCCTGCCAATTCGATCTCAAACTTTGTTCCATTATGCCAAAGGGCCACTAAAAAAAAAAAAAAAAAAAAAAAGGCCCAGTGGTAGGGTAGAATGAGCTGGCAATAGGATCACTTTATATTGAGTCATTCTGTCTCTACAGAGATAATTTTCCATCCACATTACCACTTAGAACACATATGTAATAAAAAACAGAACTGAAGAAAAATGGACTTTACCATTACTGCTTTTGGGAGTTGGGGGCAAGTACTCCTGCAATTATAGGAGAATGGTCAACATTTGTATTCATCTCATTATTAAGTTTACAGTCTCTAAATTTCAAGCAAAATTATGGCAAAACAATTCTTTGGCCCTGTAATGTGCCACTTGGTTGCACAGTTTTGTCTGGTTTATCTTGCCTAGGGAAGCAGAAACAGATCTAGAACGTGGACACTGGAATCAAAGACTGATTTCAAAAACCAGGTATTACCTGGTAACAAAGCCTCAGTTTCTCACTTTTCAAAAAAGGGTATTTATCTCCTTCATAGGATTGCTGTAAGGATTATATATAGGAAATACAATAGCCCAATGCCTAGAACATATAAATATTTCCGTTATCATCAGTGGTTCTCAACCTCTTTTTCACTCTGACCCACATGACAGATCAGGCACCCTCTTACACCTCCTATCCGTAACAGTGGCTAATAAGGGCAGAGATTCTCCACCTAGAGATGTGCCCCTTTGCTCTTCAATTATGCTACCCTTAGCACAGCTGCCTATCAAGTGGCCTCTACCTGTTGCCATGTGTTTCCCAGCAGGATGACTGAGCTGTAAGACCCACTCCTTTACCTGAGCGCAAAACTGAAGAACCTCTCGTCTTCCCTCATTCAATCAACACGAAAGTTTCATAATACCTCCTGGAAAAGGGGCATGAAAAACACAAGTCTCTGATCTAGAATAGTTCAGTCCAGAAGGTGAGAACAACACTAAAACCAGTACAATACACTATAATGACTACAGAAAAGTAACCTGTGGGTGGTCCACAACTGCAATATACCAACTACCCTGAGTTCCCCAACGTTGTTCATTATTTCATGCGTCCAGCCCAAAGAATTGTGTTGTAATGATGAATGCCAATTCCAAGGTCACTGGTTTAGGCCACCTGAGTGGGAAACAGGTTTTGCCATTTACTATTATTAACTCAAGTTTGCTAACTGACCTGGATAAAACTGCTCAGTAAGTCAGATGTGATTCCTTATGATAGGGCTCAGTGTAAGACAGAGGCCTGAGTAAGCCTTCAATAAACGCTTCTTAACTTGCACAGCAATAATCAGATCTTAGAGCTCTGCCAAGGACTGACCTAGAGTTTGATTTGCTCACCTAGCAAAGAACCTGCCAGGCACCTTGACTCTCCTTTCAGCTTCCACCCATCAGTCTATCATTAGGAAACACAACAAAAGATCTTATAGATCTTTATTACAGATTTTAAAAAACCAATGTTTATGATTTTTGAATAACATTTAGCCAAATAGTACAGAGATTACAGGGTTTGTTTTTGCCCCACTACACAGATGCCACCCAAATCAAATACCTCCTACCTTGATTTCCTGCTACAGGTAGAGCTGCCTACAGTATACACCCAGATATTCTGCTTCTACCTCAAACTCAACAGGTGTCCTATCAAATGTAATCACTGTGTCCCAAACCAGAGGCACTCTGTACTTTTCCTCCATTACTTCATCTTTCCAGGATATAAGATTTCTAATTCAATCACCAAATTCTGTGCATATCTTCATCCCAAAGAAAGAGAAAATCTTTCTTTTTTCTTTTTTTGGAGACAGAGTTTCGCTCTTGTCACTCAGGCTGGAGTGCAATGGTGTGATCTCTGCTCACTGCAACCTCCACCTCCCGGGTTCAAGCGATTCTCCTGCCTCAGCCTCCCGAGGAGCTGGGATTACAGGTGTGCACCACCATGCCAGGCTAATTTTTTTGTATTATTAGTAGAGACGGGGTTTCACCATGTTGGCCAGGCTGGTCTTGAACTCCTGACCTCAGGTGATCCACCTGCCTTGACCTCCCAAAGTGTTGAGATTGCAGGGGTGAGCCTTCTTTCAGCCTTACAGCTGAAAACCTTCCTTTTCTTTTCTTTTTTTTTTTTTTTTTTTTTTTTTTTTTTTTTTTGAGACAGGGTCCCACTCTGTTGCCCAGGCTGAAGTGCAGTGGCATGATCTCTGTTCACTGCAACTTCTGCCACCCACGCTCAAGCAATCCTTCCACCTCAGGCTCCCAAGCAGCTGGAAACACAGGCATGTGCCCCCACGCCCAGCTAATTTTTTACTTTATTTTTTGAGATGGAGTTTCACCCATTGCCTAGGCTGGAGTGCAATGGCAAGATCTCAGCTCACTGCAAACTCCCTGTCCCAGGTTCAAGTGACTCTCCTGCCTCAGCCTTCCAAGTAGCTGGGATTACAAGCATGCGCCACCACGCCTGGCTAATTTCTGCATTTTTAGTAGAGACAGGGTTTCACCATGTTGGTCAGGCTGGTCTCAAACTCCTTACCTCAGGTGATCCACCCACCTCGGCCTCCCAAAGTGCTGGGATTACAGGCATGAGCCACTGCACCCAGCCTGTCTTTGTTTCGACTATAGTAAAGAACTGGTCAGATGCAGTAGCTCACACTTGCAATCCCAGCACTCTGGGAGTCCAAGGCAGGTGGATCACTGTGAGCCTGGGCTCAAAGTAGAGCCTGGCCAACATGGCAAAACCCCGTCTCTACAAAAAATACAAAAGTAGCCGGGTGTAGTGTTGCAAACCTGTAGTCCCAGCTACTCAGGAGACTGAGGTGGGAGGATCGCTTGAACCAGGGAGACCGTGGTTGCAGTGAGCCAATATCATCATATCACCACACTCCAGCCTGGATGACAGAGCCAGACCTTGTCTCAAAAAAAAAAAAAAAAAGAAAAAGAAAAAAAAAAAAGGGCTGGGCATGGTGGCTCACACCCGTAATCCCAGCACTTTGGGAGGCTGAGGCAGGTGGATCACATGAGGTCAGGAGTTCAAGACCAGCCCGGCCAACATGGTGAAACCCTCTCTCTGCTAAAAATACAAAAATTAGCCAGGTATGGAGGTGGGTGCCTGTAATCCCAGCTACTCGGGAAGGTAAGGCAGGAGAATTGCTTAAACCTGGGAGGGGGAGGTTGCAGTGAGCCGAGATTGTGCCACTGCACTCCAGCCTGGGCGACAGAGCGAGACTCCATCTCAAAAAAAAAAAAAAAAAAAAAAACAACTATGGTTCACTTTTGGGGGGATCAGAGGAAGTATAATAAAATCAGACTTGCAGGTATGTTTGTACCTGATTTTTTCTGAAGTAAAACAGAAGCACTAGAAGCCTAATGAAAAATGTCAGTTCTCGCTAATCAGTACTGACGGGTGACACAAAATGAACCTTTCCAAATTCAACCTATACCCAATTTCAAAGAATACCCTGATCAAAACAGTCTAATCTTTTGGTTGGTCATTATCAAGAAATCAGGAAACATGGATAAGGCTAACCTCTCTTCTCAGTAAAATATGCTATGATTCCCACTATGGTTTTAGATTAATAAGACTGAACATGTTAAAATTAAAAATTAAACAATAACAAGAGGACAAAGGTGGTTAAAACCTAAAAGCCACAACCACTTCTCTCTGACACAATATATCAGTCCCATTTCAAATAAATTTCACTTGAGCAGCTGATGTTATCAACTTCCCCCTACTTTCAACTACAACATCTTAAAATCAAGTCACCCACACCCAAGAGAAAAGATTCAAAAATATGTATCTATCCTATAAACAACCCTAGCAGTTCTTATGTCAACAGTAAAAAAAAGAATCCTTTGTTCCAAAAAAAGTGTTCTTAAAAATGCGTTGTAGGCCGGGCGCAGTGGCTCACGCCTGTAATCCCAGCACTTTGGGAGGCCGAGATGGGTGGATCACGAGGTCAGGAGATAGAGACCATCCTGGCTAACACAGTGAAACCCCGTCTCTACCAAAAAAAATACAAAAAATTAGCCAGGCATGGTGCGGGCACCTGTAGTCCCAGCTACTCGGGAGGCTGAGGCAGGAGAATGGCATGAACCTGGGAGGCGGAGCTTGCAGTGAGCAGAGATCGCGCCAGTGCACTCCAGCCTGGGCAAAAGAGTGAGACTCCGTCTTAAAAAAAAAAAAAAATGCATTCTATAGGCCGGGCGTGGGTGGCTCACAACTGTAATCCCAGCACTTTGGGAGGCCGAAGCGGGCAGATCACTTGAGGTCAGGAGTTCGAGGCCAGCCTGGACAACATGGTGAAACCCTGTTTCTACTGAAAATACATAATCAGCCAGGCGTGGTGGTGCACACCTGTAGTCCCAGCTACTCAGGAGGCTGAGGCAGGAGAACTGCTTGAACCTGGGAGGCAGCAGCTGCAGTGAGCCGAGATCAAGCCGAGATCAGGCGACTACACTCCAGCCTGGGTGACAGAGCAAGACTCTGTCTCAAATGAATGAATGAATGAATGAATTGGCTATTTACTATTTAGCACCAGAATGATAAATGACCCAGTAACAGTATTACAATGATCAACCTTTATAACAAGTAACTGTTTGTACCAAATGAAATCAGCAATTTAAGTTTTTAAAGACATTCATTGAAAGCAGATATCCTAAGTGGACAGTGATTATAAAGGAATGTCAAAGCTAAAATAGTGAACTTTTTTTTACCTGATGTTCTGCATGAATGTTATCCCCAGTAGGCCATCGATGTTTGCTATTATTATAGCCGCCTCCTCCACTTCCTCCTCCCCCAAGCTGCTCACCATGCTGCCTCTGAAAGAAGTAGTCCACCATAGCGTCGTCCTGGGAACGGCCTGCAACTCCTATAGATCCTGGGACAGGGCTGGAGTGAGTCCCAGCTGCAAGAGCCTGATTTGCAGCTGGTTGTGGCTGCGCTTGCGACCCTGTTCCAGATGTCAAAACAACAGGCATGTTGGGATTAGCTGGTTCTTGAGGGTGATGTTTCAGGTGGGGGCTGAAAGAGTCCTGCCAAAGCACTGCTTTTCTCTTCAAGACACATGCAACGCTCATTCCACCAACACCTAAGGACAAACAGGTTACAAATATTTAATATTTCCATCTTTTGAAACATAAAACACACTAAGATAAAAACATGAACCCCATGTCTTTTACAATAAATAAATGTCGTTGGTGGCATGCACTCTGGCAAGGTATTGGGATCAGAACTCAATACTACCACTTCAGAGAAGTTTATGTTGTTAACCAACACATAGCAATACAGAATTAGACTTCTATCAGTCTACCCAACTTACTTATACCTCAAACCAACTGACAGTTTTTAAATGAACAAAAGCTTTTTTTTTTTTGAGACAAGAGTTTTGCCCCTGTTGCCCAGGCTAGGGTGCAATGACGCGATCTCGGCTCACTACAGCCTCCGCCTCCTAGACTCAAGCGACTCTCCTGCCTCAGCCTCCTGAGTAGCTGGTACTACAGGCGCCCACCACCACGGGTGGCTAATTTTTTGTATTTTTAGTAAAGACGGGGTTTCACCATGTTGGCCAGGCTGGTCTCGAACTCCCGACCTCAGGTGATCTACCCACCTCGGCCTCCGGAAGTGCTGGGATTACAGGCGTGAGCCACCGCGCCCAGCCCCAAAAGCCTTTTTAAAACTATCACAACTTCGGCCGGGTGTGGTGGCTCATGCCTGTAATCCCAGCACTTTGGGAGGCCAAAGTGGGTGGATCACCTGACGTCAGGAGTTCAAGACCAGCCTGGCCAACATGGTGAAACCCCATCTCTACTAAAAATATAAAAATTAGCCAGGTATGGTGCTGGGCACCTGTAATCCCAGCTACTCGGGAGGCTGAGGCAGGAGAATGGCTTGAATCCAGAAGGCAAAGGTTGCAGTGAGCCGAGATCATGCCACTGTACTCCAACCTGGGTGACAGAGCGAGACTCTCTCTCAAAAAATCAATCAATCAATCAATCACAACTTTACAGCTGGAGCAGACATATGCTAATAACTAAACAAAAGCCTAAACCCATATATAAGTAGCAATGGCTCAGATTGTGTAATTTGAAAGGATCCCTTAAAGTGTCCAACATATTGGCCAGGCGAGGTGGCTCACGCCTATAATCCCAACACTTCGGAGGCCAAGGCAGGTGTATCACTTGAGGTCAGGAGTTCGAGACCAGCCTGGCCAACATTATGAAACCCCATCTCTACTGGAAATACAAAAATTAACTGGGTGTGGTGGTACACACTTTTAATCCCAACTACTTGGGAAGCTGAGGCAGGAGAATCGTTTGAACCCGGGAGGCAGAGGTTGCAGTGAGCCAAGATCGCACCACTGCACTCCAGCCTGGGCGACAAATCGAGACTCTGTTTCAGTAAAAAAAAAAAAAATAATAAATAAATAAATAAATAAAACCTCCAATATATTGATAGGATATTTCTTAAAGAAACAATAAAACCCTCTGACCAAGAACAGCAGCAGAATGCTTTTAGCCTAAGCCCTCTCCTCAGTTGTCACTGATTTTTAAAAGCATTAATATTTTTACCAGTAACTTACAACTATTAACTGTAATCACATTATGCCATTAGTACTTCAACTACTATAAACAGGATGAGACCAAACCAAATTTAAACACTTCATATTAGTGTAGAAAGCCTCACTACAGGCTGGGCACAGTGGCTCACTCCTGTCATCCCAGCACCTTCGGAGACTTAGGCAGGGAGAATCGCTTGAGCCAGGAGCTGAAGACCAGCCTAGGCAACACAGTGAGACCCCCATCTCTATTATTTTATTAAAAAATAAGGCTCTAAGAAGGCCAATGGAGGTTGGGCACGGTGGCTCATGCCTGTAATCCCAGCACTTTGGGAGGCCGAGGCGGGTGGATCATGAGGTCAGGAGATCAAGACCATCCTGGCTAACATGGTGAAACCCCGACTCTACTGAAAACACAGAAATTAGCCAGGCTTGGTGGCACGCGCCTGTAATCCCAGCTACTTGGGAGGCTGAGGCAGGAGAATCACTTGAACCAGGGAGGCAGAGGTCGCACCACTGTGCTCCAGCCGGGCGACAGAGCGAGACTCTGTCTCAAAATAAATAAATAAATAAAATAATTTTTTTAAATTATAAAAAAAAAAGAAAGCCTCACTATACAAACCAGAAGCCTCAGTTGGGTGTGGTGGCTCATACCTACAATCCCAGCACTTTGGGAGGCTGAGGTGGGCAGACAGCTTGAGCCCAGGAGTTCAAGACCAGCCTGGGCAACATAGCAAGACCTATCTCTACTAAAAATAATTAGCCAGGCATGGTGGCATGTGCCTATAGTCCCAGCTACTAGGGAGGCTGAGGTGGGAGGATCATTTGAGCCCAGGAGCGGGAGGCTGCACACCCGCTTGGGCGACAGAGTGAGTTCCTGTCTCAAAAACAAACAAACAAACAGAAGCTTCAACACGGTAATAGTGTAATGAATATATCGCAGACATTGTCTCATCACAAAAGCATTGAAAGGTAGCCATTATTATTTCTATTTTACAAATGAAAACACTAAGGTACAGGAGGAAAATGGGATGTTTCCAAGGCCATTCAACTAGCAAGTAGCAGAGAAAGGATTCAAACCCTAATCGTTCCCAAGCTTACTTCTTTCTACTAACCCCTTGCAGGAGTAACTCAACAATATGTCTCATTTGTATCCTCTACTCCTCTGGAAGACCAACAAAGAATCCCTCAAATGTTACTATGAAACACTAAAGTTCCTTAAAACCAAAAACTGCATCTGTACTTAAGATAGAACACTTGCCAGCCTGTGGGTGCTTTTAAAAAATGCTACAAAGTGTCCGGACACGGTGGCTTACGCCTGTAATCCCAGCACTTTGGGAGGCGGAGGCAGGCGCATCTCCAGGTCAGAATTCCAGACCAGCCTGGCCAATATACTGAAACCCCGTCTCTACTAAAAATATAAAAAGTAGCCAGGTGTGGTGGCACGCACCTGTAGTCCCAGCTACTCGGGAGACTGAGGCAGAAGAATCGCTTGAACCCAGGAGGCGGAGGTTGCAGTGAGCCGAGATCAAGGCACTGCACTCCAGCCTGGACGACAGAGTGAGACTCCATCTCAAAAAAAAAAAAAAAAAGCTACAAAGTAAATAAATCAGTTACCAATTAGGACACACCTGTCCACAGCCACGGTCTAATTTCAAAGCCATCGGCCTAACAGTCTACTGCTACAAATGCTTTATCTCTTCTCCCAACCCCCACTGTGATGCTTCAAAAACACATGAATAACAAATCTACTATCTCTCTGTTGAATAAATAAACCTTCTGATAAAGTAGCATTTGCTTCTCACAACTAAATTCATGTTTTTGAAGCCAGCCTAAGAAGACACAATGGAATTTGTAATTTGTTTAAAGCCTAATTTGGAAATGCCTAGTCTAGGTTAAGAATTCCAATCCATCAGAACCTTAGCAGGGTACTGGAGTAGTCTAACCTAGACACTAGTCCCTGCTCAAGTACCAAAACCAAAAAGTCATAGCCCGGTTTCACCATCGGTCTTTCAAAAGTGCAAACCAGCCTAATGCCTCCCTGCTTGGTTTTTTAAAGAATTCATTACTCTCTTAGTACTAATACTAGACAGTCCCATTCTGTTCTAAAAGGAAATCTCGACCTAACAATCTTTGTTCTAGAGCAGGCCAAGAGTTCCAAAACCCAAGTTCTTTCACTAAACAAAACTACCTGTTTCCTCATCTAGAAAATGAAAGAAATCCTTCCTCTATGACTCTCAATGTTTTGGGTTTTTCTTAATGAAAATGAGATAAATATAAAAGTTTTTGGTAAATTTAAAGTCATCGTGCTTAAGACTCTTAGAATTTAGTTACCCCTAGTTAAGGCAACTCCAGTCCCTAACAGAATTCCTAAAACAGCAAATGCAATCTTTTCTGAAATAAAAGCCTTCTCAAAATAGTTATCTAGGAGGCTGAGAGAAGGATAATGAGAGATTACCTAAGGAGGACAATGTACGTTATTCCAGTGATGGACACACAAAAAGCCCTGGCTTCACCACTACGCAATACACGCATGTACAAATTACACTTGTACCTCACAAATTATACAAATAAAAATTTTTAAAAGAAAAAAGTTATCTAACAAAGAATATCCACATAAAAGAGGAGTTTATCACTGACGCACACTAAACACACCTTCATTCTAAAAGGAATGGGGGAAAGAAAAGACTCCTATAAAAATGTTCAAACGAAACAATTGGCTTTTGTAAAGCTATCTGTATGCCCTAAGACTTCCTGCTTTACCTAAAGAGGCAAGGCAGTTTCTCAAACCAGAGAAAACCTGGCAGAACAGTTTCAAAGTGAGCAAATACCTAAGCAATTAACATGTTATCTTGGGTAGTTTTGTGGTATTTTGGCAAATACGGCACAAAAATTAAAAACTCAGTATCCTAAATATCAGAAAAGCTCACTAATACGTGTAGCATTTAAAATGTGATTTTTTTACAAATGACACCTTATAAGTACTTTAAGCAACTAGAAGTGCTCAGTCCAGCTACTCTTTCACAGCTTTCAAATGTTTACAAAGTTTTTTAAAATATCACTAATTGAGTTGAATTCAAAGGAACACGGTTTACTTTATTTCCATGGCTCACCTTTTACTAAAATGCTTAGTGGTTTAAAAGGTGTTTATTTTTACCACACTTAACAAACATTCTGTGGTCATAAATTTATCTTAAAACAGTTCATTTTAAACCTAAACTAAACAAATTCCAACTTCAAAAAGCTGTGGCCTTGAACAAAATGAATTCAATTGTCGCTAAAGCAAAACACTAACTCAAAGTTCAGAATCCGGAGAGCGTTTCCCAAGAGCCCAGATAAAGAATCAACAGCCCCCCAGTGTTTTATAAAGTTAAAATTAGCAAAGGGTCAAAATGTTTATTTTGCTTACGAAAACTGCATCGGAAGCCACATTTCTTGGGGTTGGGCCTGTCTTAGTAAGTTTTTAGGTGCTTTCAAGAAACAAAATGCTAAGCCTATTGTTTCAGAAGTTAACTGACTTTAAAACAGAACCCAGGAAAAGCTTCATAAAATCTTATTCTTAATTAATCCCAGTAATAACAGGAATTGAGCAAAATGGTATCGAGGGCTGAGAACAGTGTTTTCTTAATTGAACAATAAAAGGTAACAATCTAAGTTACGGGAGAATAAAGCCTTCTCTGGTAATGCTGTGTGTGGGTTTCTGGCTTTGTTTTTTCAGCGGGGGGGGGGGGGGGGGCTATAGGAGGGAAAAGTTACAGGAGTGTATTCCTCACTTGACGTGGGAATGGTACTGACAAGTAAAACAAATGATCTATGTTTACCAAGCATGTTTGTGAGGACTAAAACTAGTATTGTGTATCTAGATTTTCCTACTAGCAAGGGGTGAACCCCTCTTTGAGTGAAGAGAGACACCAACACCGGGAGGCTCAAAAAGGAAGAACCCACCAAAAACACAAGCTCACACGGAAACAAAAGGCCACAGCAACCCAGGAGCCTAAAAAGCATTCTGAAACTTCCTGATCGCCACTTCTCCACATTTAAGGCTCGCAAAGTTCCCCCACGGTGAATCTCGCCTGTGGACAAGGGCCACGGCTGCTTCTAAAGCGATTTATTGTTCCTCCTCCTCCGGCGCTGCCACGGAAGCTCAAGAAGTCGAAGAAATCGGGGTGGCACAGAATTACACTTCATGGCCACACAGAAGACTCGGGGCTTCGCAAACCCATCAAAAAAAGCAACCCGAATGGCAACATCAATCTTCGGTGGTTCCCAACAGGGCCAGGCAAAAATGTAGAGGCACGTCTACGCCCTGGGCTCGGGCCTAAACCCCCAGCATTTTCCTAGCTTCGACCCCGCTCCCCACCCCCTCCCTCCTTTGATAACAATAGGGGCCTTGCTGCTGACTCCAAAACATGTACGAGGAACAGCGAGTGAGAAGCCTCAGCCAGGGCCCCGGCGGCTTTTCCAAAGCCCTTCTCACCCCCACAACCACTCTCAAACACCAATATGAAGGGACAATCTGCTCGTTAGGGGTCCGGAGCAGCGTTTGGGGCCGGTGGGGTGCGGATACTCACGGGCGGAGCGGTAGGATGAAGATGGATTTCAGCCCCCCGATCTTCTCTCTCTGGCGCTCTCGCTCCCCCTTACCTTTCACTCCGACAACATGGCGGCCCACTGGGGACTGGGTTGGCGCGGTGCATCCTGGGATAGGCTCCGGCCCCGGCCCCGGCGGTGGCAGCGGCATGTGCGGAGAAGGCTGGCGGCTCTGGAACAGGTTGCCTGGTTGCCATGCCAACCCAGGGCCTGTGTGAACTCGGGAAACTCGCAGGCAACACAAACGCTGCGCGCGAGTGCCCGCCCGCTAGGCGAGCGCGCGCCGCCAGGGCCGAAGGCGGGGTCCCGCCGGCCCGCACCTGGGAGAACACGGCCTGGAGCTGGGCACGCGGGGTTGCGCCGGTGACGCTCCACCGAGTCTCGGACGCGCTCCTCGCGCCCGCCGCGCCCTCGGAAGCTTGCCCCCGAGCACCACAGCTAGCAGGGTTCGCGGACGGCCACCCGCACTGCCCTGGCCCCAGAGGTGCAGGGTTCAAACCCCTTCTCTGCAGCTTTCTAGCTCTGCGGCCTTATTTAAATCGACCTGCCTCCATTTCCACATTTGTACAATGAAGAAGAAAATAACCCCCACTTAACAGAATGGCCTGGAGGATTAAGTGGAATAATGTATGTTAAGTGCTTTTAGTCTTACTGTCTCAAACTAAACTCAAAATAGATTGAAGGCCGGGCGCGGTGGCTCACGCCTGTAATCCCTGGACTTTGGGAGGCTGAGGCGGGCGGATCATGAGGTCAGGAGATCGAGACCATCCTGGCTAACATGGTGAAACCCTGTCTCTACTAAAAATACAAAAAAATTAGCCGGGCGTGGTGGCGGGCACCTGTAGTCCCAGCTACTCGGGAGGCTGAGGCAGGAGAATGGCCTGAACCTGGGAGGCGGAGCTTGCAGTGAGCAGAGATCGCGCCACTGCACTTGAGCCTGGGCGACACGGAGAGGCTCCGTCTCAAAAAAAAAAAAAAAATAGATTGAAAACAGACAAATCGCAATACTGTAAAAGACCAGAAGAAGATATGGGGAGAAGCTCTATAATTGGAGGAGGGAAAATGTTTATACTCATGAATCAAAGTCAAAAGATCATAAAAGAAAATATTGAAAGAAATATAAACATCTGTACGAGAAGAGATGCCATCAACAAAGTAGAACAAATGGATAAAAAATATTTGCAGTACACGGCCAGGCGCGATGGCTCATGCCTGTAATCCCAGCACTTTGGGAGGCCGAGGCGGGTGGATCATGAGGTCAAGAGATCAAGACCATCCTGGCCAACATGGTGAAACCCCGTCTCTACTAAAAATACAAAAAAATTAGCCGGGAGTGGTGGCGGGCGCCTGTGGTCCCAGCTACTGGGGAGGCTGAGGCAGGAGAATCACTTGAACCCAGGAGGCAGAGGTTGCAGTGAGCCAATATTGTGCCACTGCACTCCAGCCTGATGACAGAGCAAGACTCCGTCTCAAGAAAAAAAATATATATATATACACATATATGTATATATACATATATACATATATATACACATATATACATATATACACATATATACATATATACATATATACACATATATACATATATAAACATATATATACGTATATATACATATATATATATTTGCAATACACATGATAAGGAAATGGTTGATCATCATGATAAATGCAAAATTTCTCCCATCAGGGTCCTGGTGGGGTGGCTCACACCTGTAATCCCAGCACTTTGGGAGGCAGAGGTGGTAGAATTGGTTGAGGCCAGCAGTTTGAGACCAGGCTGGGCAACATAGTGAGGCCTCGTCTCTACAAAAAGTTAAAAATTATCTGGGCATGGTGGCACACATCTGTAGTCCTAGCTACTTGGGAGCTAAAGCAGGAGAATTCCCTTGAGCCCAGGAATTGAGCTGCAATGAGCTATGATTGGGCCACTACATTCCAGCCTAGGAGACAGAAAGAGGCCCTGTATCAAATAAATAAATAAATAAAATCTGTAATCAATTTCTAAAAATCCGAAATGGGCTGGGCGCAGCGGCTCATGCCTGCAATCTGAACACTTTGGGAGGCCGAGGCAGGCAGATCACTTGAGGTCAGGAGTTCGAGACCAGCCTGGCCAACATGGTGAAACCCCATCTCTACTAAAACTACAAAAATTAGCCGAGCGTGGTTATGGGCGCCTGTAATCCCAGTTACTCTGGAGGCCGAGGCAAGAGAATCGCTTGAACCCAGGAGGTGGAGGTTGCAGTGAGCTGAGATGAAGCACTGCCTGGGAAACAGAATGAGATTCCATGTCAAAAGGAAAGAAATAAATCCAAAATAAAATAAATCCAAAATAAACAAACATAACAAAATCACATACAGCCAAGAAACATAAAAGTAGCCTGGGGTTGAGGGATGAAAGAGCAGAAATGGGAAGGTACTGCTAATGGGTATGGGGTCTCCTTTTGGAGTGTTGAAAACCTTTTAAAATTAGAGTGCGATGACGGTTGCAAAACTGTGAGTATACCATAAACCACCAAAGTAGACACTTTATGATTTAAATGGTGAATTTGTATTTTACTTTTGTTTTTCGAGACAGGGTCTCCCAGGTTAGAGTGCAGTGGTGTAACCATGGCTCACTTGTAGGCTTGAACTCCAGGGCCCAAGCGATCCTCTCACCTTGGCCTCCTAAGAAGTTGGAACTTCAGCCATGCACCAACACACTTAGCTAATTTTTTTGTTTTTGTTTTTGTTTTGAGATGAGTTCACCCTGTGTTGCCCAGGCTGGTAAATTAGTGAATTTTAGGCCGTGTATGGTGGCTCATGCCTGTAATCCCAAAACTTTGGGAGGCTGAAGCAGGCTGATGACTGGAGGTCAGGAGTTCAAGACCAGCCTGGCCAACATGGTGAAACCTCATCTCTACTAAGAATACAAAAATTAGCTGGGCGTAGTGTCAGGTGCCTGTAATACCAGCTACTTGGGAGACTGAGGCAGGAGAATCACTTGAACACGGAAGGCAGAGGTTGCAGTGAGTAGAGATTGCACCATTGCACTCCAGCCTGGGTGACAAGAGCCAGACTCCGCCTCAAAAAAATAAAATAAAATAAAATAAAATAGTGAGTTTTATGGTATATGAAATATATATCGGCCGGGCACGGTGACTCATGCCCGTAATCCCAGCAATTTGGGAGGCCGAGGCAAGCGGATCATGAGGTCCTGAGATCGAGAACATCCTGACCAACATGGTGAAACCCTGTCTCTACTAAAAATACAAAAATTAGCTGGGCGTGGTGGTGTGCACTTGTAGTCCCAGCTACTTGGGAGGCTGAGGCAGGAGAATCACTTGAGACTGGGAGGCGGAGGTTGCAGTGTGACGAGATCTCGACACTGGATTCCAGCCTGGCGACAGAGCAAGTTTCCGTCTCAAAAAAAAAGTTTTATATATATATATAATCTCAAAGCTGTAAAAGATGAGAAAAAATAACTAATAAAAGAAATGCAACTTTAAAGTATAATATTTTCATCCATTAAACACACTGGCCAAAATTAAAATGATTATTAACATAGTGTTTCTACAAGTGTATAAGAAAATTGGTATCCATGTTGTTTACATTGTTTGAGCATGTATTATCTTTTTTTTTTTTTTTTAATTTTTTTTGAGATGGAGTCTCACTCTGTCGCCCAGGCTGGAGTGCAGTGGCACAATCTCGGCTCACTGCAACCTCTGCCTCCCAGGTTTAAGCAATCCTCCTGCCTCAGCCTCCTGAGTAGCTGGGATTACAGGTGTGCACCAACACGCCCAGCTAGTTTTCCTATTTTTAGTAGAGACGGGGTTTCGTCACGTTGGCCAGGCTAGTCTTGAACTCCTGACCTCAAGTGATCCGCCTGCCTCGGCATCCCAGAGTGCCAGGATTACAGGCATGAGCCACCACGCCCAGCCTATCTTTACTTTAAAAAACAGAATGTTACTTTTGTTTAAAAAAATAGAAGACAGAGATTTTAATCTCTGAATGAGTTGGAAGTTAAAGATGTGAGCTTTGCTATTTTCTAGCCATGTGACCTTGAGAGCATGAGTCCAGCTCCCTCATCTGTTAAATGAGGATATCTATACTTTTCTTGCATGTTACGATGGTTAAATTAACTAGCACACGGTAGTGTCTGATACAGCCAGGTGCAGTGACTCACATCAGTAATCCCAGTTATTCCAGAAACTGAAGAAGTAAGATCTTTTGAGCGCAGAAGTACGAGACCACCCTAGGCCATATAGCCAGACTCCCTCTCAAGGAAAAAAAAAAAAAGTATCTGATACAGAATTATTATTATTATTATTATTTTAAAGAATAGAGATTAGGTTTCCCCATGTTGCCCAGGCTGGTCTGGCTCAAGAGCTGGATTTCCGAATACAACACCTTATGGGGTTGTTGAATTTGAGTGTTGACACTTTTATTTTTTTGAAATGAGGTCTCATTCTGTCACCCAGGCTGGAGTTCAGTGGTGATTACTGCTCACTGTAACCTCAAACTCCTGGGCTCAAGCAATCCTACTGCCTCGGCCTCCCAAAATTCAAATTCAACAACTCCATAAGATGTTGTATTCGGAAATCCAGCGCTTGAGCCAGACAAGAAATCATTTACTTAATCTCTCTGAGCCTCCATTTTCTCCCCTATAACATGGGTCTAATAGAATAGCACTGAATGAAATAAAGCTGATAAAGCATTTAGCCCCATCGGGCCAGGACATTGCAAAGTGCTGGTAACTATAATAGGAAAACCTGCAGGGGGAAATTGAGCAAATGAGCACACATGAGAAAGTTACAAAGATTTCAGTTTTCAGAACCTTACCACACGTTCTGTGCTCCATGATTTCATTCTGAGATCCATGACTAACTCCTTAGGTTTTGTTTGTTTGTTTGTTTTGAGCCAGAGCCTCGCTCTGTCGCCCAGGCTAGAGTACAGTGGCGTGACCTCAGCCCCCTGGGTTCAAGCAATTCTCCTGCCTCAGTATTCCTAGTAGCTGGGATTACAGGCCTGCGCTACCACACCCAACTGATTTTTGTATTTTTAGTAGAGACGGGGTTTCACCATGTTGGCCAGGCTGGTCTCGAACTCCTGACCTCAAGTGATCTGCCCGCCTCAGCCTCCCAAAGTACTGGGATCACAGGCGTGAGCCACCGTGTCCAGCCACTCCTTAGTTTTAACTTTAGCTTTTATTATTCAGGTGTAGAGATTCTTTTTTTCTTTTTTTCTTTTTCTTTTTTTTTCTTTTTTTTTTTTTTTGAGATGGAGTTTTGCTCTTGTTGCCCAGGCTGGAGTGCAATGGCATGACCTCGGCTCACTTCAACTTCCGCCTCCCGGGTTGAGGCAATTCTCCTACCTCAGCCTCCGGAGTAGCTGGGATTACAGGCACCCGCCACCATGCCAGGCTAATTTTTTGTATTTTTAGTAGAGATGGAGTTTCACTATGTTGGCCAGGCTGGTCTCGAACTCCTGACCTCAGGTGATCCACCCGCCTCGCCCTCCCAAAGTGCTGGGATTACAGGCGTGAACCACCTCACCAGGCCTGGTGTATAGATTCTAAAGTCAGTTTAGCCACAGCCACGTGGAACCAACCTTCAGCTGCCTCCCCATCCAGTCAAATGATGCAATCCCAACAGAACACTTGACACTCATCCATAGATTTCCCTTAAAGAATTACCTTCCAGGGCCTGAGGCACCAGCTCAGCACCCAAATAATCCTATCAGAGCAGTGCCTCCAACAAACACTAGAGACTGTCCTGTTAGCAAATGTTTACCTGTGCCACACACCGTGTTAAGACTTCTATAATTGCCTGGCGCGGTGGTTCACGCCTGTAATCCCAGCACTTTGGGAGGCTGAGGCAGGCAGATCGCTTGAGCTCAGGAGTCTGAGATCAGCCTGGGCAACATGACAGAACTCTGTACTAAAAAGTACAAAAATTAGCCTGTAATCCCAGCATTTTGGGATGCCAAGGCATGCAGATCACTTGAGGTCAGGAGTTCAAGACCAGCCTGCCGGTGTGGCAAAATCCTGCCTCTACTAAAAATACAAAAAAATTAGCCAGGTGTGGTGCTGCATGCCTGTAATTCCAGCTACTGAGGAGGCTAAGGCAGGAGAATTTCTTGAACCTGGGAGGCAGAGGTTGCAGTGAGCAGAGATCACACCACTGCTCTCTAGCCTGGGTGATAGAGCAAGACTCTGTCAAAAACAAACAAACAAACAAACAAAAAAGACTTTTATAGTCATTATTTCATTTAAAACTCCCAAAATATCTATGACATGGACAAAATTATTATTCCCATTTCCCATGAGAAAACTGGCTGGGCATGGTGGCTTATGGCCTGTAATCCCCAATTGCTTGAGCTCAGGAGTTCAAGACCAGCTTGGGCAGCATAGTGAGATCCCCATCTCTACAAAAACAATTTAAAAATTAAAAAAATTAGCCAGGCATGGTGGTGCATACCCGTGGTCCCAGCTACTCAGGAGGCTGAGGTGGGAGGATGGCGTTGCAGTCTTTCTGCTCCTTAGCTCAGCTAGGTCTGAGTTCTTTACCTAGAAAAAGGAAAAATTAGGAATATGGACACTGGAGAGTGAGTGGAGTAGAATTTATTAAGCAAAAGGAAAGCTCTCAGCAGAGGGGATGTGAGGGGTGGTTCCCCTACCCTACTTGAAAGCGGGCAAGTCCCCCAGGTGGTTGGGTCTGGGGCCCTTTATGGACTTAGAATGGAGAGTGTGTGCTGACTGGTTTGTGAGTATGCAAAAAAGGTTCAAGTAAAGACACCACTCAAAGGTGGGCACAACAGTGTAGAAAAACCAATTAGGAAAGGGTAGGTATATGTAAAACAGGTGAAGGGTGGGGCCCAATCAGAGGAAAGTACACCAAACAGGAAGAAAGTTCTCAATACAGTCGGAGGATTTAACTTGTAGCTTGGGCTTCAGGCTTTAAACGGTCTTCAGCTTGGAGGTGGGGTTTCACCCGGGACTCACCCTTATCTGCCTAGGCATTTGTCTGCCTCCTGCCACTCTCACTGGCTTAGGCCCTGGAGGTCAAGGATGCAGTGAGCCATGATGACACCACTGCTTGCCAGCCTGGGCAACAGAGACTCTGTCTCTAAAAAAATAATAATTTAAACAAAATTAAAAACTAATTTTAAAAAAGATGAGAAAACCAAAACTTGAAGAGGTAAAGGAAACGGATTAGTATTTATCCAAACATTGTCTAAGGCTGTTTGCTGAGTGTTGTCTGATCAAGACAATGTGGAAATCATGTCTAAAACTTGGCAATCTTCTCAATTCATCTGGTTAAGCGGATACATAATAGACAATATCATCAAACTTTGGGGGTTTGTGAAACTTAAAATCTAATCAAGCTGACCCAGGGAGAGGATTAAGGTGGATTTGAGAAGGGTATTTTTATTTATCTAATCAGTAAAACCTAATCCATTCCATTGTAACCTAATCAGAGAATGATAGAAATCTCAAAATAGAAACTTTTAGTGTAGGTCATTCTAGAAAGCCTGGGTTCAGGAATTTTGAATGCTACTTCTTCATAGGGTAGCGGTTCTCAAGGTGTGCTCGGAGGCTTAGTGGTGAATCAGCCAACCTGGCCCTGCTGACCATGAGAACAAAGTCCACAATAGACAACTGTGATACAATTCCACAGATTTTCATTCTCTTACAACCACCTGTACTTGGCTAGTATGTTACTATCATCTGGTATTTGTAAACTGAATGTAAAGCATTCCCAAGTAAAGTTTACATCCCTCAATTTTCAGAAAGGATTTTTCTCTTTGGGGGAGGTGGATATTTTGTTATAAGTGTTTGAGTTGCTTTTTCAACTATGTTACACTTGTGTTCTTCTATTTGTAGAATCTCCCTTGGATGGCACTTCAGTTCATTGTTTTGGTGCTTAGGTAATTGTTACACTGTTAGCATTTCCACTGTCATTTTGTTTCATAGCAAGTCGTGATTCTTAGAGTGCTTTTCCCATGGGAAAGTAGGAGTGAGGAAGAATTTGGACGTCTGGTATTGGTAACTATGTAATTCTGACCAACGCTGGTAAAATTGGAAAAATATTTTAAAGATCTCTGCTTGATATTATTGGAAAGCCAACAAGGTAGTGAAGAATTACCGAGCCAGGATTTCTGAAAGGAAGGAAACTGAGGGATGTAAACCCCATATTTAGAACTACTTTTCCAGGTGAGGTATTTCCTGACAGATAGCTAAGACGGTGAATGGTGTTTGGTCTTTGTTTTTGTCAAAGACTTGTTTGAGATCTGGAGTGGTGTTTTTATTTTATTTTGTTTTTTTGTTATTTGTTTATTTGTTTATTTATTTTTGAGGCAACATCTCACAGTGTCACCTAGCCTGGAGTGCAGTGGCACCATCATGGCCCACTGAAGCCTCAACCTCCCAGTCTCAAGCAATCTTCCCACCTCAGCCTCCTGAGCAGCTGGGACTACAGGCAGGCACCATCACACCCAGCTAATTTTTCAGTTTTTTGTAGAGACAGAGTCCCACTGTGTTGCCCAGGCTGGTCTCCAACTCCTGGTCTCAGGTGATCTGCCCACCTTGGCCTCCCAAAGTGTTGTGAACCACAATACCCAGCGTATTTTGACTTTTTTTTTTTAATTTATTTTATTTTGACACAGGCTCTCTCTCTGGCACAATCATGGCTCACTGCAGCCTCGATCTCCTGGGCCCAGGTGATCCTCCTGCCTCAGCCTCCCCATTAGCTGGGACTACAGGCATGTACCACCACACCTTCCTAATTTTTTTATTTTTATTCTGTAGAGCAAAAGTCTCACTGTGTTGACCAGGCTGATTTTGAACTCCTGGGTTCAAGATATCTTCCTGCTTTGGCCTCCCAAAGTGCTGGGATTACAGGCATGAGCCACCATGCCCAGCTATTTTATTTATTTATTTATTTATTTAGGGATGGAGTCTTACTCTGTTGCCCAGGCTGGAGTGCAGTGGCGCGATGTTGGCTCACTACAACCTCTGCCTCCCAGGTTCAAGTGATTCTTCCTCAGCCTCCTCCTGAGTAGCTGAGATTACAGGCACCTGCCACCACAGCCAGTTAAATTTTTTTTTTTTTTAATTTAGACGGAGTCTAGCTCTGTCACCCAGGCTGGAGTGCACTGACACAATCTCGGCTCAGCCTCCCGGGTTCACACCATTCTCCTGCCTCAGCCTCCCAAGTAGCTGGGACTACAGGCACCTGCCACCACGCCCAGCTAATTTTTTGTGTTTTTAGTAGAGACTTTCTCCATGTTGGTCAGGCTGGTCTTGAACTCCTGACCTCAGGTGATCCACCCACCTTGGCCTCCCAAAGTGCTGGGATTACAGGCATAAGCCACCTCACCTGGTCTTTTTTTTTTTTTTTTTTTTTTAGATGGATTCTCGCTCTGTCGCCAGGCTGGAGTGCAGTGGCGTGATCTCGGCTCACTGCAACCTCTGCAGGGATCAAGGGATTCTCCTGCCTCAGCCTCCCGAGTAGTTGGGACTACAGGTGCACACCACCATGCCCAGCTAATTTTTGTATTTTTAGTAGAGACAGGGTTTCACCATGTTGGCAGGATGGTCTTGATTTCTTGACCTCGAGATCCACCAGCCTTGGCCTCCCAAAGTCCTGGGATTACAGATGTGAGCCACCAAGCCCAGCCTAATTTTTATATTTTTAGTAGAGACAGGATTTTGTCATGTTGGCCAGGCTGGTCTCAAACTCCTGACCTCAGGTGATTCGCCTGGTTCGGCCTCCCAAAGTGCTGGGATTATAGGCATGAGCCATGGCACCTGGCAGTATTTATAACTTTTAAACCAGAAGAAGAAAACTTTGTTGTGAAAAGAACAAAAACAATGTACAGTAAATAGGAGATATAAAATATAGCAGAAAAAAGTCTTAAGAGTAATTCCAATAAATATAGAAGGGTTAAACTTACCACTAAATACAAGAATGCTATGATGGGGCTGGCTGGGCATGGTGGTGCACTCCTGTAATCCCAACATTTTGGGAGGCCAAGGCAGATGGATCACTTGAGGTCAGGAGTTGGAGACAAGCATGGCCAACATAGTGAAACCCCATCTCCACTAAAAATACAAAAATTAGCCTGGGCATGGTGGTGCGCGCCTGTCATCCCAGCTACTTGGGAGGCTGAGGTGGGAGAATCACTTGAACCCGGGAGGCGGAGCTTGCAGTGAGCTGAGATCGTGCCACTGCACTCCAGCCTGGGAGACAGAGCAAGACGCCATCTCAAAAAAAAAAAAAGCTATGATTGGGTAAGATTATAAGAGGGATAGTTAAAAATAAATACCACCTAAATATGAACCTAAAGAAAGCGAGTATAAAAATGTAAATATGTGATATGATAAACTTAGGTTTAAAAATATCAATAAGGGCTACTCTGTATGATAGTATACAAGTGGACATGGCTGGGCCCAGTGGCTCACGCCTGTAATCCCAACACTTTGGGAGGCAGAGGCAGGCGGATCACCTGAGGTCAGGAGTTCAAGACCAGCATGGCCAACATGGTGAAACCCCGTCTCTATTAAAAAATAATAATAATACAAAAATTAGCCAGGTGTGGTGGCACTTGCCTGTAATCCCATCTACCCAGGAGGCTGAGGTAGGAGAATTGCTGGAACCTGGGAGGCAGAGGCTACAGTGAGCCGAGATCGCGCCACTGCACTCCAGGCTGGGCGACAGAGAGAGACTCTGTCTCAAAAAAAAAAAAAAAAAAAAAGAGTATACATGCCATTATACATTTGTCAAAACTCATAAAATGTGCAAAACCAATTGTGAACTCTAATGTAAATATGGATTTGGGGTGGTGATGATGTGTCAATGTAGGTTCATTGATTGTAACAAATGTACCATTCTGGTGCTGGATGTTGATAGTGGTGGAGGCTGTGCGTTTGTAAAGGCAGGGGGTGCATGGGAACTTTCTGTACTTTCTGCTCAATTTTGCTGTGAGCCTAAAACTACCATAGAAAATTGACTCTAATTTAAAAATATATGTAGGTGGGCCCAGCACGGTGGCTCACACCTGTAATCCCAGCACTTTGGGAGGCCAAGTCAGGCAGATCACCTGAGGTTGGGAGTTCGAGACCAGCCTGACCAACATGGAGAAGCTCTGTCTCTACTAAAAATACAAAATTAGCCAGACGTGGTGGTGAATACCTGTCATCCCAGCTACTCAGGAGGCTGAGGCAGGAGAATCGCTTGAACCCGGGAGGCAGAGGTTGTGGTGAGCCGAGATTATGCCATTGCACTCCAGCCTGGGCAATGAGAGCAAAAATCTGCCTCAAAAAAAAAAAAAAAGTATGTATACATACATACGTACACACACATATATATACTAAGGGTAGAGGGTAAATAAGTATGTTATATATTGATAAAATGAATATGTGGGCCGGGCATGGTGGCTCACCCCTGTAATCCCAGCACTTAGGGAGGCCAAGGCTGGTGGATCACCTGAGGTCAGGAGTTCGAGACCAGCCTGGCCAACATGGCAAAAACCCATCTCTACTAAAAATACAAAAATTAGCTGGGTGTGGTGGCAGGTGCCTGTAATCCCATGTACTTGGGAGGCTGAGGCAGGAGAATTGCTTGAACCCAGGAGGCGAAGGTTGCAGTGAGCCGAGATCCTGCCACTGCACTCCAGCCTGGGCAATGGAGAGAGACTCCGTCTCAAAAAAAAAAAAAAAAAAAAAAAAAGAATATATGGCCATGGTAAACTTTATTTACTTTTTTACAAACAAGGTCTTGCTCTGTCACTCAGGCTGGAGTGCAGTGGTGTGATCATAGCTCACTGCAGCCTCACCCTCCTGAGCTCAATCAATCCTCCCATCTCAGCCTCCTAAGTAGATGGGACCACAGGTATACACCACCATGCCTGGCGATTTCTTTTTTTTTTTTTAAGATGGAGTCTCGCTCTGTTGCCAGGCTGGAGTGCAGTGGTGAAATCTCGGCTCACTGCAACCTCCGCCTCCTGGGTTCAAGTGATTGTCCTGCCTCAGCCTCCCAAGTGGCTGGGACAACAGGCACCCACGACCATGCCCAGCTAGTTTTTTGTATTTTTAGTAGAGGCTGGGTTTCACCATGTTGGCCAGGATGGTCTCGATCTCTTGACCTCATGATCCGCCTGCTTCAGCCTCCCAAAGTGCTGGGATTACAGGTGTGAGCCACTGCACCTGGCCAATTTTTGTATTTTTAGTAGAGACAGGGTTTCACCATGTTAGCCAGGCTGGTCTTTGACTCCTGGGGTCAGATGATCCACCTGCCTCAGTCCCCCAAAGTGCTGGGATTACAGGCATGAGCCACTGCACCTGGCAGATGCCTGGCTAATTTTTTTTGGAGCAGGGGAGTAGGAGAGTCTCACTGCATTACCCAGGCTGGTCACAAACTCCTGGGCTCAAGTGATCTGTCAGCCTCCCAAAGTGCACAGCCCTCTCCCAATCATTTTGCTTATTATATCCTTCAGTCTATGTTTCTGTTTCTGGGGTTATTCTGTTGTTTTTTTCCTTTCTATTTATCTCATCATTTTTCGACTAGCTTGTCTTTTTTTTTTTTTTCGGTAGAGATGGGGGTCTTGCCATGGTACCCAGGCTGGTCTCAAATCTTGGGCTCAAGCATTCCTCCTGCCTTGGCCTCCCAAAGTGCTGGGATTATAGGTGTGCGCTACTGTGCCCAGCTGTTCATGATAAACTATAGTATCAATAACACAGCCTGAGCCGGGTGCAGTGGCTCACGCCTGTAATCCCAGCACTTTGGGAGGCCGAGGCAGGTGGATCACCTGTGGTCAGGGGTTTGAGACCAGCCTGGCCAACGTGGTGAAACCCTGTCTCTACTAAAAATACAAAAATTAGCGGGGCATGGTGGCACACACCCATAATCCCAGCTACTCGGGAGGCTGAGGTGGGAGAATCTCTTGAGCCTGGGAGACAGAGGTTGCAGTGAGCCAAGACTGAGCCACTGCACTCCAGCCTGGATGACAGAGTGAGACCCTGTCTCAAAAACAAACAAACAAACAAACAAACAAAAAATAACAACAACAACAACAAAATTAACACAGCCTGCAAATACAGAAATGTGACCGACAGAGCTGCAGGAAAAAACAGATACATTAACCATTATAGTTTTCAACATACTTCTTTCAAAATAGAGCAAATAGACAAAATATGTAAAATCTGTCTAGATGCAGTGGCTTATGCCTGAAATCCTAACACTTTAGGATGCTGGGGCAGGATGCTTGAGCCCAGGCATTTAAGACCAGCCTAGGCAACATAGCAAGACCTGTCTGTACTAAAAATTTAAAAATTAGCTGTGCACAATGGCATCTGCCTGTAGTCCCAGCTTCTCCAGAGGCTGAAGTGGGAGGATTGCTTGAGCTCAGGAGGTTAAGGCTGCAGTAAGCTGTGGTCATGCCACTGCACTCTAGCCTGAGCAAGACCCTGTCTCAAAAAAGAAAAAAGAAAAGAAAAGAAGAGGCCAGGCGCGGTGGCTCACACCTGTAATCCCAGCACTTTGGGAGGCCGAGGTGGCCGGATCACGAGGTCAGATCGAGACCATCCTCGCTAACACGGTGAAACCTTGTCTCTACTAAAAATACAAAAAATTAGCCGTCATGGTGGCGGGCGCCTGTAGTCCCAGCTACTCAAGCGGCTGAGGCAGGAGAATGGTGTGAACCCAGGAGGCGGAGCTTGCAGTGAGCTGAGATTGAGCCATTGCACTCCAGCCTGGGCGACAGAGCAAGACTCCGCCTCAAAAGAAAAAAGAAAAGAAAAGAAGAAAGAAAGAAAACCACAAATCCTGTACTTGAAACTAAACAACGTTATTAAAAAACTATTGAGTTAAGATAATTGTAGAGGAGGCCGGGCATGGCAGATCATGCCTGTAATCCCAGCACTTTGATAGGCCGAGGCGGGCGAATCACTTTAGGACAGGAGTTTGAGACCAGCCTGGCCAACATGGTGAAACCCTGTCTCTACTAAAAATACAAAAATTAGCCGGTCGTGGTGGCGCACACCTGTAATCCCAGCTACTCGGGAGGCTGAGGCATGAGAATTGCTTGAACCCAGGAGGCAGAGGTTGCAGTGAGCTGAGATTATGCCACCGCACTCCAGCCTGGGTGACAGAGCGAGACTCCTCTCAAAAAAAAAAAAAAAAGACAATTGTAGAGGAAATTGCTTAGAAATGAATAATGAAAACACTACACATCAAAATTTGTGGGTCAGAGCAAAAACGGAACTTGGGGGAAAATATGAAATTTAAATACATTTTTTAGGAGATAAAATTGTTCAAAATGAACAGGCTAAGGAATTCAATCAAGAAATAAGAAAAAGTTACAGAGCAAAAGCCTAAAGGAAAAAGAAAGGAAACCCATGTGGATTCTTACAAGGCAAAAGCCAAGAGAATATTAACATAAGAATTAAAACTGCAAAAGATTTGTTGGCTGTTACTCTCCGTGGAGATACCCTTGGTCAATTTTATGATCTTGCGGAACATTTTTTAAAGTGTAGAAAATTACTAGACATATCTGTTCAAGGGAAAATATGTATATAAACACTGTTGTTCAGTGGACACCGTGACTCTGTTTGTGATATTAAAGATATATTATCCAGGCTGAGTGCATTGGCTCATGCCTGTAATCCCAGCACTTGGGGAGGCCGAGGCAGGTTGATCAGTTGAGCCCAGGAGGAGTTCAAGATCTCAAATGATTCACCTGCCTCGGCCTCTCAGTGTTGGGATTACAGGTGTGAACCATCGCAGCTGGCCAATTTTTTTTTTTGTAAAGATAGGGTCTCACTAAGTTGCACGGGCTGGTCAACCTATTATTATTATTATTATTATTATTATATTATTATTATTATTTGAGATAGCATCTGGCTCTGTGGCCCAGGCTGGAATGCAGGCCCAAGATCACAGTTCACTGCAGCCTCAATCTCCTGTGCTCGAGCAATCCTCTGTGTAGCTCAGATGTATTATATACATACATACATATATATATATATATATATATATATATATATATATATATATATTTTTTTTTTTTTTTTTTTTTTTTTTTTTTTTTTTGGCACAAAGTCTCACTCTGTTGCCCAGACTGGGGTGCAATGGCACAATCTCGGCTCACTGCAACCTCTGCCTACAGGGTTCAAGCGTTTCTCCTGCCTCAGCCTCCTGAGTAGCTGGGATTACAGGTGCACGCCACCACGCCCGGATAATTTTATATTTTCAGTAGACATGGGATTTCTCCATGTTGGTCAAGCTGATCTCAAACTCCTGACCTCGTGATCTGCTCACCCCAGCCTCCCAAAGTGCTGAGATTACAGGCGCAAGCCACTATGCCTGGCTATATTTTTTAAGCTCAGAAAGCTGAGAGTAGAATCTTAACTTGGTAAATGTTTTATACCAAAAATCTAAGCCAATATTGCATTTAATGGAGACTTTTTTGGCACACTTCTTTTAAATTGAAAACAAAGGCCAGAGGCCCAGCATAGTAGTGCGGGTCTATGGTCTCAGCAACTCATGAGGCTGAGGTGGGAGGATCGCTGGAGCGCAGGAGGTCGAGGGTGCGTTGAGCCAAGATTGTGTCACTGCACTCCAGCCTGGGTGACAGAGAGGGGCCATATATTTGCAATTTTTTTTTTTTTTTTTTGAGACAGAGTCTCCCTCTGTCACCCAGGCTGGAGTGCAATGGCACGATCTCAGATCTTGGCTCACTGCAACCTCTGCCTCCTGGGTTCAAGTGATTCTTATGCCTCAGCCTCCAGAGTAGCTGGGATTACAGGCGTCTGCCACCACATCTGGCTAATTTTTGTATTTTTAGTAGAGACAGGGTTTCACCATGTTTTTCAGGCTGGTCTCAAACTCCTGACCTCAGGTGATCCACCTGCTTCGGCCTCCAAAAGTGCTGGGATTACAGGCATGAGCAAAAATTTTTTTAAATAACAATAATAATAAAGAAAATAACCAGGATGCCCAATCACCACTCTTGTTTACCACATGACTAGAGATCTGGGCAATGCTGTGAGGAAAAACAAAGGACTTAAAACGGATGAGGTTTCAGGGCGAACGTGGTGGCTCACAACTGTAATCCCAGTACTTTGGGAGGCTGAGGCGGGTGGATCACTTGAGGCCAGGAGTTTGAGACTAGTCTGGGCAACATGGCACAACCCCATCTCTATGAAAAATACAAAAATTAGCTGAGTGTGATGGTGCATGCCTGTAGTCCCAGCTACTAGGGAGACTGAGGCATGAGAATTGCTTGAACCTGGGAGGCGGAGGTTTCAGTGAGCCAAGGTAAGCCGAGATTGGGCCACTGCATTCCAGCCAGGGTAACAGAGTGAGACTCTGTCTCAAAGAAAAAAAAAAGGATAGGAGGCCAGGCACGGTGGCTTACACCTGTAATCCCAGCACTTTGGGAGGCTGAGGCAGGTGGATCACCTGAGATCAGAAGTTCAAGACCAGCTCGGCCAATATGGTGAAACCCCAACTTCACTAAAAATACAAAAATTAGCCGGGTTTGGTGGCACGCGCTTGTAATCCCAGCTACTCAGGAGGCTGAGGCAGGACAATTGCTTGAACCAGGAAGGTGGAGGTTGCAGTGAGCCAAAATCATGCCACTGCACTCCAGCCTCGGTGACAAAGTGAGACTCTGTCCAATAAATAAATAAATAAATAAGGATTCAAAGGAAAGAGCTGAAATTATCACGGCTTGCATATATCTATCTACTGGGAAAAGCCAACAGAATCATCAGAAAAACTATTAGAACCTATGCAAAGGCTACACAATGTTGCTGAATATATTATCAAACCACTAACATCAAGAAAATTTCTCTACCAGCAATAACCAGAGAAAATACAATTCAAAAAATAAGAGGCTGGGTGTGGTGGCTCACACCTATAATCCCAGAACTTTACGAGGCTGAGGCAGGAGGATCATCTGAGGCCATGAGTGTGAGATCAGCCTAGGCAACATAGGGAGACCTCCTCTCTACCAAAAATAAAAATAAGGCTGGGCGTGGTGGCTCATGCCTGTAATCCCAGCACTTAAAGGGAGGCCGAGGCAGGTGGATCACCTGAGGTCAGGAGTTCAAGACCAGCCTGGCCAACATGGTGAAACCCCATCTCTAATAAAAATACAAAAAAAAAAAAAAATTAGCCAGGTATGGTGGCAGGCACCTGGCTACTCAGGAGGCTGAGGCAGGAGAATCACTTAAACCTGGGAGGCAGAGGTTGCAGTGAGCCAAGGTTGCGCCACTGCACTCCAGCCTGGGCAACAAAAGTGAAACTCCATCTCAAAAAATAAAATACAATACAGTAAAATAAATAAAAATAAAAATAAATTAGCCAGTGTGGTGGGGCACACCTGTGGTCCCAGCTATTTGAGAGGCTAAGATCATAAGCTGGCTTGAGCCTGGGAAGTCAAGGTTGCAGTGAACTGTGATCTTGCCTCTGCACTCCAGCCTAGACAACAGAAAGAAAGAAAAATGTCAGAATACTAACAGAAACCTTAATGTATTTAAGAACTAAGCAAAAACATGCAGACATATACAGAGAAAACTTAAAGATTATATTGAAAGGCTGGACATAGTGGTTCATACCTGTAATCCCAGCACTTTGGGAGGCAGAGGTGGGAGGACTGCTTGGGCCCAGGATTTAGGGACCAGACTGGGAAATAATAGCAAGAACTTGTCTCTACAAAAAAAATTAAAAAAAAAAAAGCATAGTGATGAACATATAAACAAAGAGACTAGTCTTAGATGAAATAACCAAACATTATATACATGTCACCACTCCCTAATATTCCATAAATTAATTGCAGTCCCAATAACAATAATTCCAGATTAAAGGTCCACAAATAAAGTTCCATCTTGGAAAGCCTGAATGGGCCAGGCGCGGTTTCACATGCCTCTAATCCCAGCACTTTGGGAGGCCGAGGCCGGCAGATCACAAGGTCAGGAAATCGAGACCAGCCTGGCCAAGATGGTGAAACCCCATCTCTACTAAAAATATGAAAAAAAAAAAATTAATCGGGCATGGTGGCAGACACCTGTAGTCCCAGCTACTCGGGAGACTGAGGCAGGAGAATGGCGTGAACCCAGGAGGTGGAGCTTGTGGTGATCCGAGATCACGCCACAGCACTCCAGCCTGGGTGACAGAGCGAGACTCCGTCTCAAAAAAAAAAAAGAAAGGCTGAATGAACAGGGAGGATTGGGCTTCCTAGATATTAGGGCATACTACAAAACCATAGCAACAAAATTCATTGTGGCATTGTTCAAGAACAGACAAATAGACCAATGGAATAAACTAGAAAGCTTGGAGCCAAGCCTATGTAGATATGAGAACTTAATACACAAGAAAAGCAACACCACAATCACCGGGGAAGGGATGGCTTACTTAGGAGGTGGTGCTGGCAAAGCTGGCTCTCAATAAACCTGGTGACTGCTTAACACAAAAACAAAGGTAGGCTCCTGATGGAATAAAGGCATAAATGTGAAAGGCAAAAATCGCCAGTTAATCAAAGAAAATACTGTAGTCCCCCCACTTATCCACAGGGGACACAGGTAACACCTCCCAGTGAATGCCTGAAACTTCAGATAGTACCAAACCCTCTATAAACTGTTTTTTCCTACATGTATATACCTATCACAAAGTTTAATTTATGAACTAGGCACAGTAGGAGATTAACAACAAATAATAAAATGGAACAATTATAACAATGTACTGTGAGGACTAAAAATAAAAATTTTAAAACCAACCAGACTCCCTCTTGGCCTAGAGGATCCAAGAGAACCCTTAAAAACTGGCAAGAGAGGTTAGACACACCTCACTATACCACTCCTTTTTGGACACAGGTGGCCAGCATTAATGCGAAAATAGAAATCATAAGACTGATGAAACAGACTCTTTGTGACAATAAGATACCAAATTATAAACAATACTCGACCGGGCACCATGGCTCACGCCTGTAATCCCAGCATTTTTGGAGGCGAGGCAGGCGAATCACCTGAGGTCAGGAGTTCGAAACCAGCCTGGCCAACATGGCAAAACCCCATCTCTACTAAAAACAAAAAAAACAAAAAAACAATACTCAAGGCCATGCTAGGCAAGGGTTAAGCCATCCACCCCTACACTTAAAGAACAAACTATGTTCTAACTGCCACAGGTTTTTCTTTCTTTCTTTTCTTTTTTTTTTTTTGAGACGGACTCTCACTCTACTGCCCAGGCTGGAGTGCAGTGGTGTGACCTCGGTTCACTGCAACCTCCGATTCCTAGGTTCAAGCGATTCTCCTGCCTCAGTCTCCTGAGTAGCTGGGATTACAGGCATGCACCACCATGCTAAGCTAATTTTTGTATTTTTAGTAGAGACGGATTTCACCATGTTGGCCAGGTTGGCCTTGAACTCCTGACCTCAGGTGATCTGCCAGCCTTGGCCTCCCAAAGTGCTGGGATTATGGGTTTGAGCCACTGCGCCCAGCCACAAGGTTTTTCTTTTTCTCTGACAGCCAAACAAGCACTGGTCTGGAGATAAACAATCTTAAAACAATTACAACTCATCCAACACCAGACGCTGACAAACTGACCCCCCCTCCCCACCCCCCGTACCACAAACCGTAACTACAGCTTTAACTGGGCTAGTTCAGTGACTTTCTCTTGATAAGAGACCACCAACCGTGGAGTGGCTCTGGTGGTTTACAGAGGCTGTGCACTTTGAGTGCCTTCGTGTCCCTGTTTTACCCTATGTCATATAGGGCCAGATTGTAATGTATTTAAATGTTAAGTCTTCACTCTAAAGTAAACATGAGATGTATGTAACATGCATGTTTATTTAATATACATGTATCAGGACTCCCTTCATAAATATTCATAGCTCCTCCTAGGCCGGGCGCGGTGACTCACACCTGTAATCCCAGCGCTTTGGGAGGCTGAGGCGGGCAGATCACGAGGTCAGGAGATTGAGACCATCTTGGCTAACATGGTGAAACCCCGTCTCTACTAAAAATACAAAAAATTAGCTGGGCGCCATGGCAGGCGCCTGTAGTCCCAGCTACTCGGGAGGCTGAGGCAGGAGAATGGCGTGAACCCGGGAGGCAGAGCTTGCAGTGAGCCGAGATCACGCCACTGGACTCCAGCCTGGGCAACAGAGCAAGACTCTGTCTCAAAAAAAAAAAAAAATTCATAGCTCCTCCTATAACCTGTTGAATATGCATACATGACCAACCTGTTCAACATAAATCCCTGTTCCACTCTCCACTTGCTCAAAGTGCCTGCCTTTCAGTCTGTACTGGAGGCCACACTTCCCAGTCTATCAGAAAGGCCCCCTTACGGGCTGTAACCCATGTAAAAAGTAAAGCTCTGCTTTCTAAATTTATAATTTGTTGGCCAGCCACAATGGCTCACACCTGTAATCCCAACACTTTGGGAGGCCAAGGTGGGAGGATCACTTGAGTCCAGGAGTTCAAGACCAGCTTGGGCAACACAGTGAGACCTCATCTCTACAAAAAATACAAAAATTAGGGGCTGGGTGTGGTGGTTCATGCCTGTGATTCCAGCACTTTGGGAGGCCAAGGCAGGCGGATCACTTGGGGTCAAGAATTCAAGAACAGCCTGACCAACATGGTGAAATCCCGTCTCTACTAAAACTACAAAATTAGCCAGGCATGGTGGCACATGCCTGTAAACCCAGGTACTTGGGAGGCTGAGGCGGGAGAATCACTTGAACCCAAGAGGCAGAGGTTGCAGTGAGCCGAGATCAGATCATGCATTTGTACTCCAGCCTGAGCAACAAGAGCAAAACTTCGTCTCAAAAAAAATAAAAAATAAAAAAATAAAAAAATATGTATATATACACACACACAAAAATTAGCCAGTGTGGTGGTATACTCCTATAGTCCTAGCTGCTGGGGAGGCTGAGACAGGAAGGTCACTTGAGCCTAGCAATTTAATGCTGCAGTGAGCTATGATTGTGCCACTGCACTCCAGCCTGGGCAGCAGAGTGATACTCTGTTTCAAAAAATATATGTATTATTTTAATTTGCAATATACTTAATTACAATTCCAAGAGTATACATATGTTAAATGATTGTCTTTGAGGGCAGTGGTGGCGGGGGAAGGCGATGGAAATGGTGGGAGCAGAAAGAACTAGGGAGTGAGAAGGAAGAGTAGGATAGGAGGTCAGGCCTCTGGGGCCACTGCAAGGCTAGCTAGCCAAGATATTGATCAGGGCTGCGTGATGCAGTCTGACTTAGGTTTCTCAAAAATCACTCTGTATGTTGCATCAGGAATAGACTGTGGCAGGCCGAGGTAGAAGCACAGAGACCTGTTTAGAGGCTATTTACAGTAAACCTGGAAAAAAGATAATGACAGCTCAGACAAAAGTGGTATGAGTGGGACTGGTAAGAAGAGTCTGGATTCTGGATATTTTTGAAGGTAGAGTAAATAAGATTTCCTAAATGAAGGAGTCATGGAGAAGGTAAAAGAAAATAAAGGAATCAGACCAGGTGTGGTGGCTCACGCCTGTAATCCCAGAAGATGCCCAGCTGGGTGGACCACCTGAGGTCAGGAGTTCGAGACCAGCCTGGCCAACATTCTGAAACCCCATCTCTACTAGAAATACAAAAATTAGCCAGGCGTGGTGGCAGGTGCCTGTAATCCTGGCTACTTGGGAGACTGAGGCAGGAGAATCGCTTGAACCCGGGAGGTGGAGGTTGCAGTGAGCCAAGATCATGCCACTGCATTCCAACCTGGGTGACAGAGTGAGACTTGGTCTCAAAAGATAAAAAGAAAAATAAAAAAAGCAAATAAAGGAATCAAAGACAATAATACACCAAGGGAGTTAGTTGTGGTGATAAGGTGGTCTTCACTGGGTTTAGGCAACAAGAAATAAAGATGTGCATTGTCAGTAAATAATTCTAAAATAGACTAAATGTTACTCTGCTATTCAATATCATCATGTACTAGCAATTTTAAACAATGTCTAAAAGTTATAAAATATTTCTCGGCCAGGCGCGGTGGCTCATGCCTGTAATCCCAGCACTTTGGGAGGCCGAGGCAGGTGGATCGCCTGAGGTTGGGAGTTCGAGACCAGCCTGACTAACATGGAGAAACTCCATCTCTCCTAAAAATACAAAATTATCCGGGCATGGTGGTGCATGCCTGTAATCCCAGCTACTCAAGAGGCTGAGGCAGGAGAATCACTTGAACCCAGGAGGCAGAGGTTGCGGTGAGCTGAGATCACACCATTGTACTCTAGCCCAGGCAACTGAGCGCAACGCCATCTAAAAAAAAAAAAAAAAAAAAATTTCTCCCCACCTTAGCAGACCACTCCTACTGCTCATTTCCATCAACCTTGGTGTGCCCTAAGATGACTTAAGGATTTGAGGACTAGAGTACTAGAAAGTTTTACTGAGGGCTGGGCAAGGTAGCTCACACCTGTAATCCCAGCACTATGGGAGGCGGAGGCAGGCAGATCACAAGGTCAGGAGTTTGAGACCACCCTGGCCAATATGGTGAAACCCCATCTCTACTACAAATACAAAAGTTAGCTGGGCATGGTGACGGGCACCTGTAGTCTCAGCTACTTGGGAGACTGAGGCAGGAGAATCACTTAAACCCGGGAGAGGTTGCAGTGAGCCAAGATTGCATCACTACACTCCAGCCTGGGTGACAAAGTGAGACTCCATCTCAAAAAAAAAAAAGAAAGTTGTTCTGAATTTTGTTGGGAAAGGCTATGATCAGAGCAGGTTTTAGGGGAGGGGAGGGGTGCAGGTGAGATTGGGAGTTCAGTTCTGAACATTTTAAATTTGAGCTATTTATTCAACATTCAAGCAGTTCAAGCAGTGTTGTTGGGTAGAATAAGTAAGTCTGGAGTTTAGGGAAAAGATCTGGGCTAGAAATGTACCTTTGGAAGTTGCTGGCATACAAACGGTTTGGTTTTTTGGTTTTTTGGTTTTTTGTTTGTTTGTTTGTTTGTTTTTGAGACAGGGTCTTAACACTGTGGCCCAGGCTGGAGAGCAGTGGCGTAATCTCGGCTCAGTGCAATCTCTGCCTCCCGGATTCAAACAATCCTTCCACCTCAGCCTTCTAAGTAGCTGGGACCACAGGCACGCGCCACCACACTCAGTTAATTTTTGTATTTTTTGTATAGACAGGATCTTGCTATGTTGCTTGGTCTGGTCTTGAATGTCTGAGCTCAAGCAATCTGCCGTGAGCCACGGTGCCCAGCCTTAGTTTGCATTTGTTTTTTTGTTTGTTTTTTTTTTTTGAGATGGTGTCTCGCTCTGTCACCCAGGCTGGAATGCAGTGGTACAATCTCAGCTCACTGCGATCTCTGCCTCCCGGGTTGAGGCGATTCTCCTGCCTCAGTTTCCTGAGTAGCTGGGATTACAGGCCCTTGCCACCATGTCCGGCTAATTTTTGTATTTTTAGTAGAGACAGGGTTACACCATGTTGGTCAGGCTGGTCTTGAACTCCTGATTTCGTGATCTGCCTGCCTCGGCCTCCCAAAGTTCTGGGATTACAGGCGTGAGCCACGGTACCAGGCCCTTAGTCTGCATCTTATATGTTGCTGTTATTTGTGTTTTTATCCTGGATTCTTTTCTTTTTCATCCATGAAAAAGATTCCATGTGCTCAAATTCATGTACTAATTGTGCTCAAATTTAAATCTCTAGTACAGACTTCTCTGCCCAGATCCCGGCTCCCACAGCCATCAACTGCTTATTAGACTTTTCCACACATGAATATCCAACAGATAGCGAAAATCCAACATATCTAAACATTCACATATCTTTGCCTCCTCTCCAAGTGTACTGATATTTTTGTTTGTTTGTTTGTTTGTTGTTTTGAGACGGAGTCTCGCTCTATTGCCCCAGCTGGAGTGCAATGGCATGATCTCGGCTCACTGCAACCTCTGCCTCCGGGATTCAAGTGATTCTTCTGCTTCAGCTGCCCAAGTAGCCAGGACAACAGGCAGGCGCCACCATGCCCAGCTAATTTTTGCATTTTTGGTAGAGATTGGGTTTTGCCATGTTGGCCAGGCTGGTCTTGAACTCTTGACCTCAGGTGATCCAACTGCCTCGGCCTCCCAAAGTTCTGGGATTACAGACGTGAGCCACCGCACCTGGCCGCCAAACCTACTATTAATCCCCATGTCTGTGAGTGACACCAGCATTCACCCAGTTGCCAAGAAAATTATATTTGACTTCTCTCTCTCACCCAGTGATCCCAGAAATCTCAGGTATTGTATTTCCTTTACCTACATTCCTTCCTCCAAGTCACCACTGAGTGTGGTAAGGATTAAATAAGCTAATCCATACAAAGCATTTAGAATAGGGTCTGAAACATAGTAAGTTAACCTTTCTATGTCTTCCATTAGGCCAGGGGCCAGGGGCCAGGGGCCAGGGGCCAGGGGCTGTGAGTGGTCCATCTTTAAATCTCTGGTATCTACGCTGGGCGCAGTGGCTCACGCCTGTAATCCCAGCACTTTGGGAGGTCAAGGCGGGCAGATCACGAGGTCAGGAGTTCAAGACCAGCCTGGCCAACATGGTGAAACCCCGTCTCTACTAAAAATATAAAAATTAGCTGGGCATGGTGGCGCGTGCCTGTAATCCCAGCGACTCGGGAGGCTGAGGCAGGAGAATTGCTTGAACTGGGACCTGGGAGGCAGAGGTTGCAGTGAGCCGAGATCGCACCACCGCACTCCAGCCTGGGCTACAGAGCGAGACTTTGTCTCAAAAAAAAAAAAAAAAAAAAACCCTCTGGTATCCTTATTGAATGGATGAATAATGAGATCGTAGAAGAAGACAGACTAGAGAAGCTATTCAAAGATACATTGTAGCAGTGTTGAGGAAGATAGGAAAAAGAACCAATAAAAAAAAGCTTTGAGGAAGGGAATAGATGAAACAAGATAGTACTGCATTTCAGGAAGCCCAGACAGTGTGAACTTGGGAAAAAACAAGACTGCCAATAGGGTCCCGTACTTCAGGAGACAGAGAAAACGAGAGTAGAAAGAAGCCACTCTGTAGAATGATTGGGGGTACTCCTTGCAGGGAGTCATTTCAGGCTCTCCCTGTAGCCCACACCTCTCTTTCCATCCCCTCCTGGAAGCAATGGTCATGGGATAAGGATAGAATAATAAAATAAAATGAATAAAATAACATTTTTAAAAGGTGAGGCATGGTGGCTCACACCAGTAATCCCAGCACTTTGGGAGGCCAAGGCAAATGGTTCACTTCAAGTCAGAAGTTTGAGACCAGCTTGGCCAACATGGTGAAATCTCATCTCTAGTAAAAATACAAAAATAAGCTGGGCATGCTAGGAGGCACCTGTAATCCCAGCTACTCAGGAGGCTGAGGCAGGAGAATTGCTTCAATCTGGGAGGCAGAAGTTGAAGTGAGCCGAGATCGTACCATTGCACTCCAGCCTGGGTGACAGAGTGAGACTCTGTCTCAAAATATAAATAAATAAATATGTAATTTAAAAGAATCTACAAAATGAGAGTTACACAGACATAACTTCACAATTACTATGCAAGGACCTGCTAATTGTATCATGTCAACTGTTTATTATTATAGAAACTCTATGACCAGCGAGGTGGCTCACGCCTGTAATCCCAGCACTTTGGGAGGCCAAGGCCAGAAGTTCAAGATCAGCCTGGCCAACATGGCAAAACCCTGTCTCTACTAAAAATACAAAAATCAGTCGGGTGTAGTGGCACACACCTGTAATCCCAGCTACTCGGGAAGCTGAGATAGGAGAATCGCTTGAACCCAGGAGGTGGAGGTTATAGTCAGCCAACATTGTGCCACTGTATTTCAGCCTGGGTGACAAAGAGACTCGGTCTAAAAAAAAAAAAAAAAGAAGGAAACTTTATTACTACAAATATTAAGTACTGCTAAAGTTTATTAGCATATAACATTGACATGATTTCTTCCTATTTTTTTATTATGTTAAAATACGTGGGCTGGGCATGGTGGCTCACACCTGTAAGCCAAGCACTTTGGGAGGCCAAGTCAGGCGAATCACATGAGGCCAGGAATTTGAGACTAGCCTGGCCAACATGGTGAAACGCTGTCTCTACTAAAAATACAAAAATTAGCTGAGTGTGGTGGTGCATGCCTGTAATCCCAGCTACTTGGGAGGCTGAGGCACGAGAATCACTTGAACCTGGAAGTCAGAGGGTGTGGTGAGCTGAGATTGCGCCATTGCACTCCAGGCTGGGCAACAGAACAAGATTCTGTCTCAAAAAATAAATAAATAAATAAAATAAAATAAAATGCATGAGCTGGGCATGGTGGCTAATCCCTGTAATCCCAGCACTTTGGGAGGCTGAGGTGGGAAGACTGCTTGAGCCCAGGAGTTTGAAACCAGCCTGGATAACATAGCAAGACCCCATCTCTTAAAAATAAATAAATAAATAAATAAAAAATTAGCCAGGCATGGTGGCTCACGCCTGCTTGGTGCTACTTGGTTTTTCTGCTTGTTTGTTTGTTTGCTTTGAGATGGAGTCTCGCTCTGTCACCCAGGCTGGAGTGAGTGGCCCAATCCTGGCTCACTGCAATCTCTGCCTCCTGGATTCAAGCGATTCTCCTGCTTCAGCCTCCCGAGTAGCTGGGACTACAGGCGTGCGCGCTACTATGCCCAGCTAATTTTTTTGTATTTCTAGTAGAGACAGGGTTTGGCCATATTGGCCAGGCTGGTCTTGAACTCCTGACCTCAAGTGATCTGCCAGCCTTGGCCTTCCAAAGTGCTGGGATTACAGGGGTGAGCCACCACACCAAGCCCTTGGTGCTTGCTTGGGAGGCTGAGATGGGAGGATCATTTGAGCCCAGGAGGTCAAGGCTCCAGTGAGCTACAGTCACATCACTGCACTCCAGTGTGGGTGACAGAATGAGACACTGTCTCTAAAAAACAAAAAACAGAACATAAAATAAAATTGATGAAGTGAACTATTGCTAAGTGTACAGTTCAATTGCACTGAATACATTTATAGTGTTCAACCATCACCACCATACATCTTATTTTCTCTTGTAGAACTGAAACTCTCTACCAGTTAAACAATTATTCCTCATTTATCCCTCCCTCCAGTCCCTGGCAACCACCATTCTACTTTCTGTCTCTATAATTTTGACTATTATAATTATCTTATATAAGTAGAGTCATATAGTATTTGTTGTTTTGTGATTGGCTTATTTCATTTAGCATAATGTCCTAAAGTTTCATACGTGTTGTAGCATACTACAAAATCTCCTTCCTTTTTAAGCCCAAATCATAGTAGTTCATTGTGTGTATCTATCACATTTTGCTTGTTCATTCATCTCTAGATGGACACTTGGATTGTTTCCATATGTTAGCTATTTCGAATAATGCTACTATGAACATGGGAATACAAATATATATTGGAGACTCTGCTTTCAATTCTTCTGGGTATATACCTAGAAGTGGAATTGCTGAATTATAGAGTTAAACTTCTATTTTTTTTTTTTGTTTGTTTAGACAGAGTCTTGCTCTGTCGCCCAGGCTGGAGTGCAGTGGCTTGATCTCGGCTCACTGCAAGCTCTGCCTCCTGGGTTCATGCCATTCTCCTGCCTCAGCCTCCCGAGTGGCTGGGACTACAGGCGCCTGCCACCATGCCCGGCTAATTTTTTGTATTTTTAGTAGAGACGGGGTTTCACCATGTTAGCCAGGATGGTCTCGGTCTCCTGACCTCGTAAATTCGCCTGCATCGGCCTCTCAAAGTGCTGGGATTACAGGCGTGAGCTACCGCGCCCGGCCTAAACATCTATTTTTAATTTTTTTGAGGAACCATCATACTGTTTTCCACAGCAGCTGCACCATTTTACATTTTCATCAAAAGTGCACCAAGGTTCCACTTTCACCACATCCTCACCAACACTTATTTTCTGTTTTTTGAAAGTAGCCATCCTAATGGGTGTGAGGACACTGATATTATTTTAGACTGTTGTAAATAATAAAATCCTAAATCACGAAATAATTTCTCCCCAGACATCAGAAAAAAATGTTTACTTAATTTGTTTTCCATTTAAAACTTTTTTTTTTCTTTGGAGGCAGTCTTGCCATGTCTCCCAGGCTGGAGTAGAGTGGTGCAGTCATCGCTTATCACAGCCTCAAACTCCTGGGCTCAGGCAATCCTCTAGCCTCAGCACCCTGAGTAGCAAGGACTACAAGCACATGCCACCACACTTGGCTAATTTAAAATTTTTTTCTTGCGTAGAGATGAGGTCTTGCTGTGTTACCCTGGCTGATCTTAAGGTCCTGCCTTCAAGCGATCCTCCCTCCTTTGGCATTCCAAAGTGCTGGGATTACAGGTATGAGCTACAGTGCCCAACAACAACAAAAAAATTTTAAATCATGAGATCCAGGAAAAAAAAAAAAAGCCTGTTAAAAAAATTTTATTGGCCGGACATAGTGGCTCACACCTGTAATCCTAGCACTTTGAGAGGCTGAGGCAGGAGGATTGCCGGAGGCCAGGTGTTTGAGACCAGCTTGAGCAACATAGCAAGACTCCATCTCTACTGTGTAAAAACATGGGCCAGGAACGGTGGCTCACACCTGTAATCCCAGCACCTTGGGAGGCTGAGGTGGATGGATTGCTTGAGTTCAGGGGTTTGAGACCAGCCTGGGCAACACGGCAAAAACCCATCTCTACCAAAAAAAAAAAAAGAAAAAAGAAGGAGAAGAAAATTAGTGGGGTGTGGGGGCATTCCTCTGTGGTCCCAGGTACTCAAGAGGGTGAGGTAGGAATGGATCACTTGAGCCAGCGAGGCAGAGGTTGCAGTGAGCCCAGATGGTGCCACTACACTCCTGCCTGGGTGACAGAGTAAACCCTGTCTCAAAAATAAATAAATGCATACATACATAAATACATAAATAAATGCAAGAAACTTATTTTTCTCTAGACAGCAGGGCAAATTTCTTTTTTTTTTTTTTTCGGTTAAATTCGTCCAATATTTGTTGAATTGTGAATGGTTGCAAACGTTGCTGCAATCAGAGACTCACCCATCCTGTTGCCTCTCCTGGCTTCCCTTTGAGAAGGAAGCCTGAGGCGGGACATCCCCCAAACTCTGGGAGACAACTGGGGAGACATGGGGTATGCATAGAGATATGATGAAATCGGGGAACAGGTAGGGCGGTGTGGATTCCGGGGAAGACACATACAAACAGACTCTACCACACAGAGGTAAAGACCAGGGGTGTCAACCTCTGCCCCCAACAGCAGCTGCGAGAACAGGGGAAGACCAGGCGTCCATGAGACATTTCAGTTCTTCCTGTCATGAAGCATCTGCTGAGAGGAGCTGGGTCAAGGTCCCTGGACTCTGCCTTCAGGGCACATTAGCCCTGAGCCAAGGCAGCTTTGATGGCAGCCACCAGCTTCAGAAACTTGTTTTCTGTGTCCACATAGCCATCACCTTTCTTCTTAGAGTGAATCAACTTCCCAGCTACCATTACGTCAAAGAACCCGGTGGCCTGGGGAGTTCCCTTGCTGCAGATGTCCAAAGTCCAGAGGAACTCATCTTCTTTTTCTTTTTTTTTCTTTGAGATGGAGTCTCACTCTGCTGCCCAGGCTGGAGTGCAGTGGTGCGATCTCGGCTCACTACAACCTCGACCTCCTGGGTTCAAGTGATTCTCCTGCCTCAGCCTCCCAAGTAGCTGGGACTACAGGCGCCCGCCACCGTGCCAGGCTAATTTTTTTTGTATTTTTAATACAAACGGTGTTTCATTATGTTGGCCAACATGGTCTCGAACTCCTGACCTCATGGTCTGCCCACCTTGGCCTTCCAAAGTGCTGGGATTACATGCGTGAGCCACTGTGCCGGCCGGGGGAACTCATCTTCTAACTTCTTCTTGAGCTGAAGATACTTGGACTTGTAGCCTCAAGTGCCACATAAACCACTCGCGAGAGCCATGGCTCTGGGCTGCCACCCTCGCTGGGGAGCAGAGACCTGGGTCACAGAGACCTCCTGCCTGGACGCATGAGGTCTGCACCACAAATTTATTTAAAAAGGAATTTTATTCATTTAAAATATATGCATACAGTTGCTTACTATAATCTAGGCACTGTCTTAAGCATTTGTTTCCACCAGCTACACTAAATGACTCATCTACATCACCAGATTTCAGGAGAAATTAGATGCACTGCCAGAAGAAAAGGAAATACTTTAGATACTAGTTTTAGCAAAACATGGCATTAATACATTGCAGATGGAGCAGGATGTGAATTTACCTACAACTTCCACACTCTGTAACTGATGGATTTTGAGAAAAACTAGGAAAAAACAGTGACAAAGAATTCATTAAACCAAATTACTTTTTGACTATATATCTACTTGGCCACATAATTTTGCATATTAAACAGCAACTGTAGTTAAAATTATCTATCTCAGATAAGAATCTTTTTCTTTTTAGTTTGTATGTATGTATGTATGTATGTATTTTGAGGCAGGGTCTCACTCTCTTACCTAGGCTGGAGTGCTGGAGTGCGATCACAGCGCACCGAGGCTTTCCCTCCCAGGCTCAAGTGATCCTCCCACCTCAGCCTCCCCAGTAGCTGGGTACACAGGCAAGGATCACCACATCTAGCTAATCGTGTTACTTTGTGTAGTGACAGGTTCTCCCTATGTTGCCCAGGCTAGTCTCGAACTCTTGGGCTCAAACAATCCTCCTGCCCCAGTCTCTCAAAGTGCTGGATTACAGGCATGAGCCTCTGTGCCCGGTCTTTTTTTATTTTAGGTATTTTTGTATTTATTTATTTTTGAGACGGAGTCTTGCTCTGTCACCCAGGCTGGAGTGCAGTGGCACAATCTCAGCTCACTGCAAGCTCTTTCTCCCGGGTTCACAACATTCTCCTGCCTCAGCCTTCTGAGTAGATTGGGACTACAGGCGTCCGCCACCACGCCCAGCTAATTTTTTTGTATTTTTAGTTGACACGGGGTTTCACCGTGTTAGCCAGGATGGTCTCAATCTCCTGACCTTGTGATCCTCCTGCCTTGGCCTCCCAAAGTGCTGGGATTACAGGCATGAGCCACTGTGCCCGGCCGCCTTTTTTTTTATTAATAAGAGATGGAGTTTTGCTTAATTGCCCAGGCTGGTGTGCAGTGGTCTGATCATGGCTCACTGCAGCCTTGAACTCCTGGACTAAAGCAATCTTCCTGTTCCAGCCTCCCCAGTACCTAGGACTACAAGCATGTGCCACCACGCAGGGTGATTTTTAAAAATCTTTTTGGGCCGGGCGCGGTGGCTCATGCCTGTAATCACAGCACTTTGGGAGGCCGAGATGGGCAGATCACGAGGTCAGGAGATCGAGACCATCCTGGCTAACACGGTGAAACCCCATCTCTACTAAAAATACAAAAACTTAGCTGGGCATGGTGGCACACGCATGTAGTCTCAGCTACTCAGGAGGCTGAGGCAGGAGAATTGTTTGAACCCAGGAGTCGGAGGTTGCAGCGAGCCAAGATGGCGCCATTGCACTCCAGCCTGGGCAACAGAGTGAGACTCCATCTTAAAAAAAAAAACAAAAAAAACTGTAGATATGTGGTCTTGCCATATTGGCCAGGCTGGTCTCAAAATCTTGATTGCCCAGGATGCCAAAAATCTTGTTATTTTCTAGAATCTAATATGAGAACCATTGAATAATTACAACATATTTGCAACAATGATAATTTTCTATTACCTTATATTCAATATTTGATTTGTATAATTTTTACAGAATGATTTAATGCTTGTCATAATTGTTATTCTTTAAAAAAATTTTTTTGTAGAGCTCTTACTATGTTGCTGAGGCTGGTCTGGAACTCCTGGCCTCAAGTGATCCTCCTGCCTCACCCTTCCAAAATGTTGGGATTATAGATGTGAGCCAGTTCTATGCCCAGGTATGCCCAGTCTTATAATTGTTATTCCCCAGAAATAATAAACTAACTTATATAATGTCTTACTGGAGGATGGAGCAACTTTTTGTAATTCTCTAAAACAGGGATCAGCAAGTACAGGCCACAAGCTAAATTCTCAGCTTGCTTCCTGTTTTCTTTTCTTTCTTTCTTCTTCTTTTTTTAATAGGCTTTATTTATTTATTTATTTATTTATTGAGATGGAGTCTCACTCTGTCGCCCAGGTTGGGGTGCAGTGGCATGATCTCGGCTCACTGCAGTCTCTGCCTCCTGGGTTCAAGCGCCCGGCTAATTTTTGTATTTTTAGTAGAGACGGGTTTTCACCATGTTGGCCAGGCTGGTCCTGAACTCCTGACCTCAAGTGGTCTGCCCGCCTCGGCCTCTCAAAGTGCCGGGATTACAGGCATGAGCCACCATGCCCGGCCTATTTATTTTTTGAGATGGAGTATTGCTCTCGTTGCCCAGGCTGGAGTGCAATGGTGCAATCTCGGCTCACTGCAACCTCTGCCTCCTGGGTTCAAGCAATTCTCTTGCCTCAGCCTCCTGAGTAGCTGGGATTACAGGCGTATGCCACCGTGCCTGACTAATTTTGTATTTTTTTTTTAATAGAGATGGGGTTTCACCATGTTGGCCAGGCTGGTCTCAAACTCCTGACCTCAGGTGATCCCCCCCCCAACCTTGGCCTCCCAAGTGCTGGGATTACAGGCGTGAACTACCGCACCTGGAAGACAGGCTTTATTTTTTAAGATCAGTTTTAGGTTTGTGGCAAAATTGAGCAGAAGATACCATATTTCCTGTATACTTCCTACCCCTATACATGAATAGCCTCCTCCGTTTTCAATATATCCCCCATCAGAGTGGTACATTTGTGACAACTGATGAATCTACATTGACACGTCATTACCACCTGACTCCCTGTTTTTGTAGGACCCCTGCAAGCCAAGAATGATTGTAACATTTTTAAAGGTGGGGAAAAAACTTTAAGAGTACTATTTCTTGACATTTTTCTGCAAATGATATGAAATTCAAATTTCAGTGTCCATAAATAAAGTTTTGTTGGAACACAGTCAGACCCAGTTGATTAAGTAGTGCCTGTGGCTCCTTTTGTGCCCCACAGCTGAGTTGAGTAGGTACCACCATGACCATATGGCCTACAAAGCCTTTGGGAGGCCGAAGTAGGCAGACCAGTTGAGGCCAGGAGTTCGAGACCAGCCTGGCCAACATGGTGGCCATGCTCTCCAGCCTGTGTGACAGAGGCTGGATCATAGTTCACTGCAACCTTGAACTCCCACCTTGATCCTCCCACCTCAGTCTCCCACGTAGCTGGGACCAGGCACACGCCACAGTGCCCAGACAATTTTTTTTTTTATTTTTTGAGATGGAGTTTCGTTCTTGTTGCCCAGGCTGGAGTGCAATGGTGCGATCTCGGCTCACTGCAACCTCCGCCTCCCAGGTTCAAGCGATTCTCCTGCCTCAGCCTCCCGAGTAGCTAGGATTACAGGCACGCTCCACCACGCCCAGCTAATTTTGTATTTTTAGTAGAGATGAAGTTTCTCCATGTTGGTCAGGCTGGTCTCGAACTCCTGACCTCAGGTGATCCGCCCTCCTCAGCCTCCCAAAGTACTGGGATTACAGGTGTGAGCCACTGTGCCAGCCAATTTTTTTATTTTTTGTAGAGACTGGATCTCACTTTGTTCCCCAGGCTGGTCTTGAACTCCAAGGCTTAAGTGATCCTCCTGCCTTGGCCTCACAAAATGCTGGGATTATAGGAGAGAGCCACTACACGCAGCTATGTGTTCCTGAATTTGCCAACCTCTCCCTTTGACTCTCAGGACCCAAATTCTTGGCTCTCCAATCAGGTATGTCCTCTTCCCATTCCTGCACCCCTGCCCTTGCCATTCTGGTAAATAGAAATAGGTCACGTTCTACTGAGAGGCCTCTGGAGAGTGGCAAGGCCTGCCCTACTCCCTGCCTTCCCCACAGGCTTAACTGAAGGGACCCATGATAAACCCCCAAGGGCCAAGATTTCCTCACAATTTACTTTCCATAGTCTGCATTAAGAACAAAGTTAGAGTTTTGTTTTGCATTTTCCAAAGAAAAATGCTGTTGTAATATGTAATATTCTTTTACAAATTGTTCACTCATGCGGGGAATACTGCTACACGCCCTTCCTTTCTCTCCCTTTTTCCTCCTCCCTTCCCCTGCTTTCCTTGGGCACATTTCTTGTATCTTACTTTCCCCAGGTCAGAAGCAGGCTGTTGGAGGGCCCAGTTGGCAACTTCTCCACCTGAGAGGCCCCAGAGCCTGCCCAGGGTGGACAGCAGTTAATGTTTAATGAGTGAGTGAATGAATACATTTTAAAAGGTATGAAGGCCAGGCCTGGTGCCTCACGCCTGTAATCCTAGCACTTCAGGAGGCCCAGGTGGGCAGATCACTTGAGCCTAGGAGTTCGAGACCAGCCTGGGCAGCAATAGGGAGTCCCCTGACTCTACAGATAATTTTTTTTTTGAGACGGATTCTTGCACTGTTGCCTGGGCTGGAGTGCAATGGCATGATCTCAGCTCACTGCAAACTCTGCCTCCCGGGTTCAAGTGATTCTCCTGCCTCAGCCTCCTGAGTAGCTGGGATTACAGGTGCACACCACCACACCTGGCTAATTTTTTTTTTTTTTTTTTTAAGACAGAGTCTCACTCTGTCGCCCAGGCTGGAGTCCAGTGGCACGATCTCGGCTCACTGCAAGCGTTGCCTCCCGACATCCGGCTAATTTTTTTTGCATTTTTAGTAGACACAGGGATTTACTATGTTGGCCAGACTGGTCTCAAACTCCTGACCTCATGATCCACCTGCCTCGGCCTCCCAAAGTGCTGGGATTACAGGCGTGAGCCACCGCACCTGGCCCAGATAATAAAAATTAGCCGGATATAGTGGCACATACCTCTAGTCCTAGCTACTTGGGAGGCTGAGGCAGGAGGATTGCTTGAGCCTCGGAAGTTGAGGCTGCAGTGAGCCATGATTGTGCCACTATACTCCAGCCTGGGTGACAGAGCAAGACCATGTTTCAGAAAAAAAAGGAAAAAGATAAAAAATATAAAGGAAATTGGGGAACTATGCTGTCTCCCCGGGGACCTTTCTGCTGAGTCAAGGTGGCCTCTCTGGGCAGTAGGATGAAGCCCGACTCTCTGGTCAACTCATTGTTCACGAAGTCCTTTCCCACAGCAGCTGAGGGACAAAGTCACAGTCCCTGCCCAGTCCTCTGCACCAGCCACCCCTCTGGTTTAACCTGTCCCAGGTCTTCCCCCTTGACTACACCCTCTAAATCCTAGAGTGGGGAGAGAATGAAGATGTGAGGTGACAGATGAGGTCTCTTCCCCAGCCAGAGGGTGCAGAAAGCCCCAACATAACACATGTCCTGAAACCCAAAGAGAAGACAGAAATTGTCAGCAAAGGTTAGCTAGCTCCTGAGGTCATAAGCAACCTTATTTTTATTTTGTGTTCCCAAATGTGTTGTCTGGAACATGTATACATATTACGTATTAAAGCAAAAGCAAAATCAGAATAAATATTGTCTTCCAAGTTGTCTTTGTGTGTGTTTTGGTTTTGTGGTTTATTCCTCTTTCTTTTCAGTTGGATAGAAGCCAGGCTCCTTTCTCCCAGCACACGCACAGACTCAGCACACACAGAAACCCCAGGAATTAAATGACTCTCCAAAATGATAAGTAGGAAGAAGGGGGTGGGGTAGAGAGGGAGGAAGGGGGAGAGAGGAGGCCTTTTCCCCTGACCTGGGGAGGAGCCCTAGTCCAGGAGAGGTCAGGGTGTGCAAAGGCCTCTGGGTAGGAATAGGAACAGGGCCATTGGCCAAGTGCCCTCTGCTCTGTTACTCCCAGAGCCGGCTCCTACCCTCAGGCCTGGGAGCCCGCCGTCTGCTAGTAAGGGGCTTCAGGAGTTGGGGGAGTGCAGATGAGGAGTAGCTCTCTTTTTCTCACATTCCCTCTTAAACCTCAGTTTTTTTGTTTTTTTTTTTTAAAGAAATGATTCTAAAATTAGCCAGGTGTGGTGGCATGCGCCTGTAATCCCAAATGTGTTTCTACTTGGGAGGCTGAGGTGGGAGAATTGCTTGAGCCTGGGAGGTTCAGGCTGCAGTGAGCTGAGATCAGGCCACTGCACTCCAGCTGGGGAGACAGAGGGAGACCCTGTCTCAAAAAAAAAAAAAAGAAATAATTTTTGTCCTTTTTCTATAAGCATCTTTTAAAACTTTTTTCCAGGCAGGGAGCGGTGTCTCACGCCTATAATCTCAGCACTTTGGGAGGCCGAGGTGGGCGGATAACCTGAGGTTAGGAGTTCGAGACCAGCCTGACCAACATGGAGAAACCCCATCTCTACTAAAAATACAAAATTAGCTGGGCATGGTGGCGGGTGCCTGTAATCCCAGCTACTTGGGAGGCTGAGGCAGGAGAATCTCTTGAACCCGGGAGGTGAGCCGAGATTGCGCTATTGCACTCCAGCCTGGGCAACAAGAGCGAAACTGTCTAAAAAAGAAAAAAGGCAGCATTTTGGGAGGTGGAGGTGAGAGGACAGGAGTTTGAGACCAGCCTGGCCAATGTGATGAAACCCCATCTCTATTAAAAACACAAAAATTAGCCGGGTGTGGTGGTGCACACCTGTAATCCCAGCTACTCGGGAGGCTGAGGCAGGAGAATTGCTTGAACCTGGGAGGCGGAGGTTGCAGTGAGCTGAGATCATGCCACTGCACTCCAGCCTGGTGCCAGAGCAAGACCCTGTATCAAAAAAAAAAAAAAAAAAGAACTTTAAAATAAATAAATAAATAAATAAATAAATAAATAAATAAATAAATGATTTGCACAGCAACTTTGTGAACAGAGCCCCCTTCCCTTTCATTTTCTGCCTGACTACCCACAACAGAGTCCCGGGTGGGGGTGGGAGGGTCAGGGATGGGCTGTGGCGTCTGCATGCAGGCTTGCCTCCACTGGCCTGAATCTCAGCAGGAAGAAGCAGCTCTTCCCTCAGGCCAAGCAGGAAATGATTCTCCCACAAAACACCTGACCCTGAGACCTTCCCAGGGAGTTGCACAAATTCGTTTTATAACCAGCAAAGCAATTCTGAGGGTTTTAGAGTGGGAAGGGCTTGCTCCTAGTTCTCCTAAGACTGTCTACTGTTTAATTACGAAAGCCACTGTTGTGCTCAACAGCTGAGGAAACACAGGAAGGATCAAGAAGTGAACTTTCCCTGACTCCACCTCCCCATACTGCCTCAGAGACCCAGGAACAGGCTGTCCCCCAGAAAGGGATGCCTGGGAGGACTGAGCAGGCACTGACCGCTCATGCTAGGGAACCAGGCCAGTGAATGCAGCTTTGAATCTACGCTGGATCACCTCCATGTCCTCATCTGTAAAATCATGCCAGGCACGTCACATGCTTGGTACACATTCATTCATTGCATTTGGGCCACAACCCTATGAGGGAGGTGTTATTATCATCTTTGTTTTACCGAGAAACCTAAGGCACAGAGAGGGTAAGAATGTTACTGGGCCAGGTGCAGTGGTTCATGCCTGTAATCCCAGCACTTTGGGAGGCTGAGGCTGAGCCTGGAGTATCGCTTGAGCCCAGGAGTTCAAGACCAGCTTGGGCAACATAGTGAGACCCCCATTTCTACAAAAAGTAGAAAAATTAGCTGGGCTGTTGCACGAGACTGTGGTCCCAGCCACTTGGGAGGCTGAACAGGAGGATGAGGATCACTTGAGCCCAGGAGGTAGAGGCTGCAGGGAGCCATGATGGTGCCACTGCACTCCAGCCCCAGTGAGAGTGAGACCATGTCTCAAAAAAAAAAAAAAGTTACTAAGGCCATATATCTTGTGCATGTATACCTGAAATTTGAGACCAGGCAACCGGGTACCACTAGGCTGTACTGCTCCTATGAGGAGCACACACTTACCTGTACCTGTCTCAGAGAATCTCTTCGAATTAAAGGAGATAATGCACGTAAGGTGCTCTGAACAGAGTCTGGGACTTAGTACTCTCAGTAAACACAAGTCCAACATCATCATCATCATCAATAGTCTTACCTATTCAGAATTCTTTATTATTATTATTGTTATAGAAAGGGTCTCACTGTGTCACCCAGGCTGGAGTGCAGTGGCATGTTCATAGCTCACTGCAGCCTCAAACTCCTGGGCTCAAGCTATCCTCCCATCCCAGCCTCCCAAAGTGCTAGGATTACACCAAACCTGGCCCAGTCAGAATTCTGAAGCAGTCGCACTCCTGGTCCTGGCTGCACAAACATGGTGGAAACTTATATGCTTAAAAAAAAAATTGTACTGGGGCCGGGCACGGTGGCTCATGCCTATAATCCCAGCACTTTGGGAGGCCGAGGCAGGCAGATCACGAGGTCAAGAGTTCGAGACCAGCTTGGCCAACATGGCGAAACCCTGTGTCTACTAAAAATACAAAATTTAGCCTGGCATGGTGGTGGGCACCTGTAATCCCAGCTACTCAGGAGGCTGAGGCAGGAGAATCGCTTGAACCCGGGAGACAGAAGTTGCAGTGAGCCAAGATCACACCACTGTACTCTAGCCTGGGCGACAGAGTGAGACTCCGTCTCAAAAAAAACAAAACAAAACAAAAAAACCAAATTGCTTTTAGTGGTTATTGCCAAGCAGGGTTGTAGGGGAAACTCATTTTCATAGACCTCTATAATCATAACTATTTTATATAGTAATCATGTATTATTTTGTAATTAGAAAAATATGCATAGATAGGCCAGGTGCAGTGGCTCATGCCTATAATCCTAGCATTTAGGCCGAGGCAGGCAGATCACTTCAGGTCAGGAAGTCGAGACCAGCCTGGCCAAAATGGTGAAACCCCTTCTCTACTAAAAATACAAAAATTAGCAGGGTGTGATGGCATGCGCCTGTAATCCCAGCTACTCAGGAGGCTGAGGCAGGAGAATCACTTGAACCCAGGAGGCGGAGGTTGCAGCGAGATCGCACCATTGCACTCCAGCCTAGGAGACAGAGTGAGACTCCATCTAAAAAAGAAAAAAGAAAGAAAAAGAAAAAATAATAATATGCATAGATGAAGACATAATATATAAATGCCAAGTGCATGTACTGAGCACTCAGTTCACTTGTTTGTGTATGTTTCTTTCTTTTCTTTTCTTTTTTTTTTTTTTTTTGAGACAGTCTCTCTCTGTCACCCAGGCTGGAGTGCAGTGGCAAGATCTCAGCTTACTGCAACCTCCGCCTCCCAGGTTCAAACAGTTCTTCTGCCTCAGCCTCCCTCATAGCTGGAATCACAGGTGCCCGCCACCTTGCTCAGTTTTTTTTTGTATTTTTAATAGAGATGAGGTTTTACCATGTTGGCCAGGCTGGTCTCGAACTCCTGACCTCAGGTGATCTGCCCAGCTTGGCCTCCCAAGCTGCTGGGGTTACAGGCGTGAGCCACCGCACCCAGCCCCTCTGTTTGCTTTTTTTTCTTTTTTGTATTTTTAGTAGAGACAGGACTTTGCCATGTTGGCCAGGCTGGTCTCTAACTCCTGGCCTCAAGTGGTTCACCGGCCTCGGCCTCCCAAAGTTCTGGGATTATAGGTGTGAGCCACCATGCCTGGCTTGTTCATGTGTTTCTCTCTCTCTCTCTCTTTCTTTTTTTTCTTTTTGAGACAGAGTTTTGTTCTTGTTGCCCAGGCTAGAGTGCAGTGGCGGGATCTCGGCTCACTGCAACCTCCGCTTCCCGGGTTCAAGTGATTCTCTTGCCTCAGTGTCCTGAGTAGCTGGGATTATGGGTGCCCACCACCATGCCCGGACACTTTTTTTGTATTTTTAGAAGAGACGGGGTTTTGCCATGTTGGCCAGGCTGGTCTCAAACTCCCGACCTCAGGTGATCCACCCGCCTCAACCTCCCAAAGTGCTGTGATTACAGGCATAAGCCACCGCGGCCAGCCCATGTATGTTTCTATTCACCATTTATGGAGCATCTATTGGCTACCAGGCCTTGGCTACAGGAACTGCCATGTGGCGTCAGAACCCTGAAGAAGTTCCCAGTGTGATTCACTGGATGGGGTGGGAAGAATCTTCTATCTGCTATGGTAGGAACAGAGGGCTGTGTGCAGGTGACAGGCCAGGCCTGGAATGTGAACCTCTAATTCCCCATCAAGTGTGATAGAAGATGCTGAGTGCGGTGGCTCACGCCTGTAATCCCAGCACTTTAGGAAACCAAGGCAGGCGGATTGCTCGAGCTCAGGAGTTGAAGACTGGCCCAGGCAACATGGCAAAACCTCATCTCTACACAAAATACAAAAATTAGTCAGGCATGGTGACTCGTGCCCGTGGTCCCAGCTATTTGTGGGGCTGAGATGGGAGGATCGCTTGAACCCAGGAGGTCCAGGCTATGGTGAACTGTGGAAGCACCACAGCACTCCAGTCTGGACGACAAAGTGAGACCCTGTCTCAAAAAAAAAAAAAAAAAAAAAAGAGGTGTGATAGAAATACTGAAAGAAGCAGGCTCTCAGAACAAAGGTTAGGTTTTTGGTTTTTGTTTTATGTTTCTTTTTGAGACAGAATCTCACTCTATTGCTGAGGCTGGAGTGCAGTGACATGTTCATAGCTCACTGCATCCTCAAACTCCTGGCCTCAAGTGATTCTCCCACCCCAGCCTCCCAAAGTGCTGGGATTATACCACACGTGCCCCAGTCAGAATTCCAAAGCAATCACACTCCTGGCCTTGGCTACACAAATATGGTGGCACCTTATATGCTTAAAAAAATTGTACCAGGCCGGGCGCAGTGGCTCACGCCTGTAATCCCAACATTTTGGGAGGCCGAGGGGAGTTGATCACCTGAGGTCAGGAGTTCGAGACCAGTCTGGCCAAAGTGGCAAAACCCCGTCTCTACTAAATATACAAAAAATTAGCCAGGCATGGTGAGGGGCACCTGTAATCCCAGCTACTTGGGAGGCTGAGGCAGGAGAATTGCTTAAACCTGGGAGGCGGAGGTTGCAGTGAGCTGAGATCATGCCATTGCACTCCAGCCTGGGCAACAGATCAACACCTTGTCTCAAAAAAAAAAAAAAAAAAAAAAAAAAGAAGGCCAGGAGCAGTGGCTTACGCCTGTAATCTCAGCACTTTGGGAGGCCAAGGCAGGCACATCATGAGGTCAGGAATTCAAGACCAGCCTGGCCAACATGGTGAAATCCCATCTCTACTAAAAATACAAAAATTAGCCAGGTGTGGTGGCGGGCGCTCATAATCCCAACTAATTGAGAGGCTGAGGCAGGAGAATCGCTTGAACCTGGGAGACGGAGGCAGTGAGCCTAGATCGTGCCATTGCACTCCAGCCTGGGCGACAAGAGCAAGACTCCGTCTCAAAAACGAAAAAAAAAAAAAAAAAAGAAGAAGAGGAAGAGCAAGAAGAAGAAGAAGAAGGAGAAGAGGAAGAAGAGGAGAACACTGGGGGAAAAGGAGAGAAGTACAGAATAGGAAAACAAAACTAGACTCTGGTGATTTAGGCAATCTGCTGAGTTTTTCTCCTTGGTTCTTATGTTTTATTTTTTTCTTTCTTATTTCTATTTATTTATTTATTTATTTATTTATTTATTTTGAGATGGAGTCTCACTCTTCCAGACTGGAGTACAGTGGCATGATCTCTGCTCACTGCAACCTCTGCCTCCCGGGTTCAAGCGATTCTTGTGCCTCCGCCTTCCCTGTAGCACCTGCCACAGCTTGCCCCAGCTAATTTTTTTTTTTTTTTTTTTTTGAGAAAGAGCTTTATTCTGTCACCCAGGCTGGAGTGCAGTGGTGCGATCTTGGCTCACTGCAAACTCCACCTCCCAGGTCAAGCAATTCTCCTATATCTGGAGTAGCTGGGACTACAGGCGTGCACCACCACACCTGGCTAATTTTTGTATATGGATATAATTTTTGTATACTCTTTGTACTTATCATTCTGTTGTATTGGAAATAACTTGTTACCAGTTTGGTGCCTTTGATAATTTTTTTTTTTTTTTGAGAAGGAGTCTTGCTCTGTTGCCCAGGTTGGAGTGTCGCCCAGGCTGGCTCACTGCAAGCTCCACCTCCTGGGTTCACACCATTCTCCTGCCTCAGCCTCCTGAGTAGCTGGGATTACGGGCGCCCGCCACCACGCCCGGCTAATTTTTTTGTATTTTTAGTAGAGACGGGGTTTCACCGAGTTAGCAAGCATGGTCTTGATCTCCGGACGTGATCTGCCCGCCTCGGCCTCCCAAAGTGCTGGGATTACAGGCGTGAGCCACCACACCCGGCCCAGTTTGGTGCCTCTGAAAGAAGAAAGGGAAGTAATCTATGTAAATAAATATATACTTAAAATGGTGACTGGGGAAAACAAACAAAAGAAATATATACAAATGCCATGTCCTGCGTTTGCATGAGGTTTGTTTCACAGCAAAGTAGTTACGCTTGCAAACTCTAAACTCCTGGGATCAGACATTTGGGCTGAATTGTATTTGCTTATTATAATAGCATTTCTCACTATTTACCAACCTCCATTTTCATTTCCTTTTTTTTTTTCTTTTTAACAGCCCAGAGGTCTTTTTTTTTTTCTTTTTCTTTTTAACACCTATTATGCCATGAATTCATGGGGAATAGGTTCCAGCAGCTCAGGCTCCTTCCCACTGGTTCTCACAAAGTGCGTTTCTCTGGGTGGAACAGGCTGGCGCTTCAGTCGAACCCAGGTACCTTTCTCTTTGGCTTCTTTCTTTTTCTGATCATTTTCCTTCATGCACTTCAGGAAGCTATCCTGACTCTTAGAATGCTTAATATGCTCAATACGCACATCAATTCTCCGGCAAGAATCTTGCCCTTAACTTGTTTGTTTACAACAATGCCAACAGGACGCTGAGGAACATTGTAGACTCTTCCAGTTTAGACATGGTAACACTGTGGGGCATTCCTTTTTGAACAGTGCCCATTCCCTTGATGTCTACAATATCACCTTTCTTATAGGTTTGCATATATGGGGCCAAAGGAACAACTCCATGTTTTCTCAAAGGCCTAGAGAACATATATCGGATGCCTCTCCTCTTTCCCTTTGTGTTCATCATTTTGGCAAATTACTGGAAGACGGCAGTTCTGGCCAAAAGACTCTATTTTCATTTCTCACCAATCTCTATTTTCATCTGTATATTTTTCATCTGTACATATTTTTCTTCTCATTTCTACTAAGCCTGTTTCAACTTTGAGCATTTTCCATGAGCAAAATTATTCTACAGCGCTTTACATTCATAATCCCAGCATTTTGGGAGGCTGAGGCGGGCAGATTACCTGAGGTCAGGAGTTCGAGACAAGCCTGACCACTATGGTGAAACCCGTCTCTACTAAAAATACAAAAATGCGTGGTGGCGGGTGCCTGTAATCCCAGCTACTCAGGAGGCTGAGGCAGGAGAATTGCTTGAACCCAGGAGACAGAAGTTGCAGTGAGCGGAGATTGCGCCACTCAACTCCAGCCTGGGTGACAGAGCAAGACTCCTTCTTGGGGAAAAAAAAAGAAAAAGAAATTGGACTTTTAAACTGAACACTCTTCCTTTCCTTTGCTTTGCTTTGCTTTCCTTTCTTTCTTTCCTTTCCTTCCCTTCCTCCTTCTCTTCCCTCCTTCCTTCTATTTCTTCCTTCTATTTGTTCTTTCTTTCACAGATTTATTGAGCTATAACTCACATTCATATAATTCACATATCTGAAGTGTACAGTTCATTGTTTTTTGGTATACTTGGAGTTGTGCAACCATCACCACAATCAAGTTCAGCATAATTTTTTTTTTTTTTGGGATGGAGTTTCGCTCTTGTTGCCCAGGCTGGAGAGCAATGGCTCGATCTCGGCTCACCACAAGCTCTGCCTCCCGGGTTCAAGTGATTCTCCTGCCTCAGCCTCCTGAGTGGCTGGGATTACTACAGGCATGCGCCACCACACCCAGCTAATTTTGTATTTTTAGTAGAGATGGGGTTTCTCCGTGTTGGCCAGACTGGTCTCAAACTCCTACCCTCAGGTGATCCACCCGCCTTGGCCTCCCAAAGTGCTGGGATTACAGGCGTGAGCCACCATGCCTGGCCTTTTTTCCAGTCTTTTAGATATTATCATGAACACTACATTTAAAAACATTTGTGCACAAGTTTTTGTATGGACGTATGTCTTTAATTCTCTTCAGCATATTCTTAGGAGTGGAACTACTGGGTCACGTGGTAACTCTATGTTTAACATTTTGAGGAAATGCTCAACTGTTTTCCAAAGTTGCTGCATCTGTTTTTTTTGTTTGTTTGTTTGTTTGTTTTTTTGGACTGGGTCTCACTCTGTCACCCAGGCTGGAGTGCAGTGGTGCAATCATGGGTCACTGCAGTCTCCACCTCCCAGGCTCAAGGGATCCTCCCACTTAAGCCTCCTGAGTAGCTGGGACCACAGGCATGCACCACCACACCCAGCTAATTTTTGTGTTTTGTGTAGAGATGGGGTTTTGCCATGTCACCCAGGTTGGTCTTGAACTCCTGGACTAAAGCGATCTGCCTGCATCAGCCTCCCAAAGTGCTGGAATTATAGGCATGAGTCACTGCACCCAGGCTAGCTGCATAAGTTTCTTTATTTATTTTTGAAATGGAGTCTCACTCTGTCCCCCAGGCTGGAGTACAGTGGCACTCTGCAACCTCTTGGCTTGCTGCAACCTCTGCCTCCCAGGTTCAAGTGATTCTCCTGCCTCAGCCTCCCGAATAGCTGGGATTACAGGTGCCCACCACCACATCCAGCTAATTTTTGTATTTTTAGTAGATATGGGGTTTCACCATGTTGGCCAGGCTGGTCTTGAACTCCTGACCTCAGGTGATCTGCCTGCCTCGGCCTCCCAAAGTGCTGGGCTTACAGGCATGAGCCCCCGCTCCCAGCCAGCAGTTACTCAATTCTAATGATGTAGTGCGGAAGCAGCCATAGACAATATAGAATGAGTGAGGTGTGACTGTTTCAATAAAACCTTATATATAAAATTAGAGTGAGCAGATTTGGCCCATAGGCCATAGTTTACTGATCCTTCCAGTAGTCTGTTGTAATATGTCAAACTGGACACATCTTTAATAGCTGAAAGAGACTGAGAAGTTATGGAATCTGATCTACATGTCATTAAAGACTCTATTACCGTCTGCGGCCATACCACCCAGAACGCACCCAATCTCGTCTGACCTCAGAAGACTCTACTACCCGGGGTAAAGGGAAAAGATGGAAGAAATATGTAATTACCGTGTTTGTTTCACCAGCAATAACAGTGAAATGGGATAAGTGCTGTGATAACTCATTCTATGAGTGCCTTAACCTAGTTCAGGGTGGGGACAGAAATATGAGGGGAGAGGAGAGTGATGCGGAGGCTGAGGTCTGAAGGGTGAATGGGAGCTGGTGGTAGGAACAGGAGAGTGTTCAGGTGAAGAAAACCGGTGGCAAGAACAGGATTACTGTGTTGAAAGGAACTGAGAAAACGTCAGTGTTGCTGGAGCCCACAGTGTGTGAGGTGAGTTCAGAGCTGTAGAGGCCAGGCGATGAGTCTCTTGTAAACCAAGTTAAGGAATTTTTACTTTGATTTTTATTCTGAGGGCAACAGAAAGCTATGAAAGGGTCGGGCACAGTGGCTCATGCCTGTAATCCCAGCCCTTTGCAAGACCAAGGCGGGCGGATCACTTGAGGTCAGGAGTTTGAGACCAGCCTGGCCACATGGCAAAACCCCGTCTTTACTAAAAATACAAAAATTAGCTGAGCATGGTGGTGTGTGCCTGTAGTCCCAGTTACTCAGGAGGCTGAGACAAGGAGAATCACTTGAACCCAGGAGGCGGAGGTTGCCATGAGCCAAGATTGCACAACTGCACTCCAGCCAAGATTGCGCAACTGCATTCCAGCCTGGGCGGCAGAGTAAGACTCTGCCTCAAACAAAAGAGAAAAGAGAAAAGAAAGAAAGCTGTGAAAGGACTTGGGGTTTTAAGAGCTGTGTTTCAAAAGGATGACTCTGGCTAGGCAGACGCACTCACCTATAAAATGGAAATAATACCTACTTCCCAGTGTTGCTGTGGCAATGAAATAAATATGAGCACAATGGCTCATAGTAAATACACAGTAGAATTGTCATCAGAAGCAGTAGTAGGAAAAGTGACCCATAAATCAGATTTTGATTAGACACCTAAGAGAGTAAATCAGAAGTAACAACTGTGGCTGGGCACGGTGGCTCACACCTGTAATCCCAGCACCTTAGGAGGTCAAGGCAGGCAGGTCGCTTGAGGCCAGGAGTTCGAGACCAGACTTGAGCCCAGGAGTTTAAGACCAGCCTGGGCAACATGGCAAAACCCCATCTTTACAAAAAAAAAAAATTACAAAAATGAGCCGAGTGTGGTTGTCTATTCCTGTGGTCCCAGCTCCTCAGGAGGCTGAGGTGGGAGGAACGCTTGAACCTGGGAGGGAGAGGTTCCAGTGACCCAAGATTGTGCCATTGCATTTCAGCTGGGTGACAGTTTGGGACCCTGTCTCAAATAAATAAATAAATAAATATAAAAATGAGATACCTACACCTAAAAGAAGCAGAGGAGGCAATTCATTCACCAGTGAACTAGAGGTGTTTTTTTTTTTTTTTTTTTGAAACGGAGTTTGGCTCTCGTCGCTCGTCGTCCAGGTTGGAGTGTAATGGCACAATCTTGGCTCACTGCAACCTCGCCCTCCCGGGTTCAAGCGATTCTCCTGCCTCAGCCTCACAAGTTGCTGGGATTACAGGGCCTGCACCACCACGCCCGGCTAATTTGTGTGTATTTTTAGTAGAGACGAGGTTTCGCCATGCTGGTCAGGCTGGTCTCAAACTCCTGACGTCAGGTGATCCACCCCTCCTTGGCCTCCCAAAGTGCGGGGATAATAGGCATGAGCCACCACGCCCAGCTGAACTAGAGGTTTTAACAAATGTCCCGGTGACGGAAACTGAATGGGTAAAAGTTAATAATGAACCATATTGGAGAAAGCGACAAATTAGAAAATGGGGGGGTGGGAAGGACGTTGGAAAAGAGAGTCTCCTTTAATGGTAAAATTCTAGAGAAGTTTCTGACTGGGAAATGAGAATTGAGATAAAGAGTTGAAGTAATAAATGGGCTGTAAATCTAAGTGTTAATTGAATGCTCCACTCAAACAACCCTCCACCACACAGCACAGCAGACTAGAACGGGAGGGTTCTTTTCTAAAGAAATTGACCTTGTCAGGCAGTGGGGTGGGGGAGAGAAACTAAACACTCTCTGAAGATAATGAAGACAGTTGAAGCGGGAGCTACCGTCCCAAATAAATTCCTCCTTTAGAGGTACCCTTTCACCGTCATGGCCCCTCCCATTCCTCCAGAAATGAAGCCTTCAGTCAGAAATCAAGTACACGCGAAATCCTGGAGAGCCTTTGCATTCACTCTTTTTTTCTTTCTTTCTTTCTTTTTTTTTTTTTTTTTTTTTGAGACGGAGTCTCGCTCTTTCACCCAGGCCAGAGCGCAGTAGCGTGATCTCGGCTCACTGCAACCTCTGCCTCCCAGGATTACAGGAGTCAACCACCGCGCCCGGCCTGCCTGATGTACATTTTTAAGAAAGAGTGAATGCAGCCAGTCCCGGTGGCTCATGCCTGTAATCCCAGCACTTTGAGAGGCCGAAGCAGGCGGATCATCTGAGGTCGAGAGTTCGAGACTAGCCTGGCCAACATAGTGAAACCCTGTCTCTACTAAAAATACAAAAGTTGGCCGGACACGGTGGTTCACGCCTGTAATCCCAGCACTTTGGGAGGCCGAGGCGGGCGGATCACGAGGTCAGGAGATCGAGACCATCCTGGCTAACACAGTGAAACCCCGTCTCTACTAAAAAATACAAAAAATTAGCCGGGTGTGGTGGTGGGTGCCTGTAGTCTCAGCTACCCGGGAGGCTGAGGCAGGAGAATGGCGTGAACCCGGGAGGCAGAGCTTGCAGTGAGCCGAGATCGCGCCACTGCACTCCAGCCTGGGCGGCAGAGCGAGACTCCGCCCCAAAAAAAAATAATAAAAAAAAAAATACATCAGGCCGGGTGCTGTGGCTCATGCCTATAATCCCAGCACTTCGGCAGGCTGAGACAGACAGAATGCTTGACCTCAGGAGCTCAAGACCAGCCTGGGGCCACACACAGTGGCTCACACCTGTAATCCCAGCACTTTGGGAGGCCGAGGCAGGTGGATCACTTCAGTTCAGGAGTTCGAGACTAGCATGGCCAACATGGCAAAACCCCGTCTCTATTAAAAATACACAAATTAGCTGGGTGTGGTGGCACATGCCTGTAGTCCCCGCTACTTGAGAGGCTGAGGCAGAAGAATCGCTTGAACCCAGGAGGCGGAGGTTGTAGTGAGCCAAGATCGCACCACTGCACTCCAGCCTGGGTGACAGAGCGAGACTCCATCTCTAATAATAATAATAATAATAAAAGACCAGCCTGGGCAACATAGTGAGACTCTGTCTCTATAAAAAAACACAAAAATTAGCCAGGTGTGATGGCACACGCCTGTAGTCCCAGCTATTCAGGAAGCTGAGGTGGGAGGACTGCTTAAGTCTAGGAGGTGGAGGCTGTTCATACCACTGTACTCCAGCCTGGGTGACAAAATGAGACCCTGTCTCAAAACAAAACAAAACCCCAAACAAACACCAAACAAGACTTTACAGGCATTTGAGGAAAGCTTGCTATGTGAAAGAAGACCAATATAAACAAGTATAAAAAAGGATTTCAGAGGTAGCACAGATAATTTAAGAGATCCTAGTTAGTATTTTTAGGGAAATGTGAGGCTATTGCATCCATTAAACAACAACAGGGTGCTCTGAAAAATGAATAGAGAACAAGAAAGTCCTCTTGGAACTAAAAACCTGGTTGCTAAAATTAAAAAACAAATTGTAGTTGAAGGATTTGAAATAAAAGGTGGTAAAATTTCCCAGAATGCAGGAAGTTTGAGAACTGACCCCAAAATAAATAGAAAACTTGAAAAGGCCAACCATCAAGAAGAGATTTATCCAAGTCACAACATAAGAAGGAGGAGGAGGAAGAGGAGGAGGAGGAGGAGGAGGAGGAAGAAATAGAGATTGGAAAGTGACTAAATTGCTATTATTTTCTTTTCTTTCTTTTTTTTTTTTTTTTGTTAAGACAGAGTTTTGCTCTTTTTGCCCAGGCTGGAGTGCAATGGCGGGATCTTGGCTCACTGTAAACCTCCACCTCCCGGGTTCAAGCAATTCTCCTGCCTCAGCTCCCCAAGTAGCTGGGATTACAGGTGAGCGCAACCATGCCCGGCTAATTTTGTATTTTTAGTAGAGATAGGGTTTCACCATGTTGGCCAGGCTGGTCTCAACCTCCTGACCTCAAGTGATCCTCCTGCATCCGCCTCCCAAAGTGCTGGGATTACAGGCGTGAGCCATCACGCCCTGCCTATTATTTTCTTTTTTTTTGAGACGAAGTCTTTCTCTGTAACCCAGGCTTGCGTGCAGTGGTGCAATCTCGGCTCACTGCAACCTCTGCCTCCCAGGTTCAAGTGGCCCAGGTTCAAGCGATCCTCTTGCCTCAGCCTCTCAAGTAGTTGGGACTACAGGCGCCTGCCATGACACCTGGCTAATTTTTGTATTTTTAGTAGAGACGGGGTTTCACCATTTTGGCCAGGCTGGTCTCGAACTCCTGACCTCAAGTGTTCCACCCGCCTCAGCCTCCCAAAGTTCTGGGATTACAGGCGTGAGCCATTGCGCCCAATCTTGGTATTGTAGTTTTGAAAGACAGGGTCTCTCTATTGCCCAGGCTGAGTGCACTGGCACCATCATAGCTCACCGCAGCCTCAAAATCCCGGGCATCAGCGATCATCCTGTCTCAGCCTTCCATGTCGCTGGGACCACAGGCACATGCTACCACACCCTGCTAAATTTTTAATTTTTTTGTAGAGACGGGGTTTCATCATGTTGCACAGGATGGTCTCATACTCCTGGGCTAAAGCTGTCCTCCTCTGTCGATCTTCCAAAGTGCTTGGACTACAGATATGAGCCACAATGCCTGGCTAAATATGATTTCTTTTCTTTTCTTCTTTCTCCTTTTTTTTTTGGAGATGGAGTGCCGCTCTGTCACCCAGGCTGGAGCGTAATGGCACGATCTCGGCTCACTGCAACCTCTGCCTCCCAGGTTCAGCGATTCTCCTGCCTCAGCCTCCTGAGTAGCTGGGATTACAGGCGCCCACCACCATGCCCAGCTAATTTTTGTCTTTTTAGTAGAGACGGCGTTTCACCAAGTTGGTCAGGCTGGTCTTGAACTCCTGACCTCGTGATCCGCCCACCTCAGCCTCCCAAAGTGCTGGGATTACAGGCATGAGCCACCGCGCCTGGACTCTCTCTCTTTCTTCCTTCCTTCCTCCCTCTTTCCTTCCTTCCTTCCTTCTTTCTTTTCTTTCTTTCTTTCTCTCTCTCTTTCTTTCTTTCTTTCTTTCTCTCTCTGTCTCTCTCTTTCTTTCACAGTGTCTTCTTGCTCTGTCACCAAGGATGGAGTGCAGTGGTGGATCATAGCTCAAGCAATTCTCTTGTCTCAGTCTCCTAAGTAGCTAGGACTACAGGCACTTACCACTACACCCTACTAATTTTGTTTATTTTTTGTAGAGATGGGGTCTCACTATGTTGCCCAGCCTGGTGTCAAACTACTGGGCTCCAGTGATCTTCCCACCTCAGCCTCCCAAAATGCTAGGATTACAGGTGTAAGCCACCACCTCCTCACTTTTTCAACCTCTAAATGGTGACAGTCCCCAAGATACAGCCCTTGGACTTCTTACCTATATTCCCTTTGGAGGCACTGTCATCCAATTCCATGGCTTTCAATCCCATTGTTATTCCAACAACCCCAGATTTGTGTCACCAACTCTCTCCTCTCCCCTGACCCCCTGGTAACCTTTTCCACTTGGTGATATAAAAACCCTGTCAATTAAAAAAAGGAAGAAAAAAAAAAGTAAGTCATGGTGGTTCAAACTGAATATAACCAAAATTAAATCTTTACTTTCCCCACAAAACCTGTTCTTCTCCCACTCTTCTCCCATCTCATTAGTGACAGCTCTATTCATCTGATTTTTCAGGCCAAAAATACTGTGTCCTTCTTGATTCTTCTCTCATATCTCCCTTCTCTATCCATCAGCAATGCTGTCAGCTGTCTTCAAAATAGATCCCTAGCAGGATGCAGAAGCACATTCCTATAATCCCAGCTACTCAGGAGGCTAAGGCAGGAGGATTGCTTGAACCCAGGAGTTTGAGATCAGCATGGGCAACATAGTGAATATCCTATATACATATATATAATATGTATAATATGCATATAAAATAGATAATATAGATATATAATACATTATATATTATATATGCATATAACATATACATATATTTATATATATTTGTATAAATATATATTATATAATATATATAATATAAATATAGGCTGGGCATGGTGGCTCACACTTGTCATCCCAGCACTTTGGGAAGCTGAGGTGGATAGATCACCTGAGGTCAGCAGTTTGAAACCAGCCTAGCCAACATGATGAAACCCTGTCTCTACTAAAAATACAAAAATTACCTAGGCACGCCTATATTCCCAGCTACTCAGGAGGCTGAGACAGGAGAATCGCTTGAACCCAGGAGGCACAGGCTGCAGTGCGCTGAGATCGTGCCACTGCACTCCAGCCTGGGGCGAGACAGAGCGAGACTCCATCTCAAAAAATATATATACATACATATATTAAACATATATATATTATATATATTAAAATATATATAATATATATAAAGTATAAATATATATAATATAAGGCCAGGTACTGTGGTGCACACCTGTAATCCCAGCACTTTGGGAGGCCAAGGCAGGTAGATCACCTGAGGTCAGGAGTTCGAGACCAATCTGGCCAACTTGGTGAAACCCCATCTCTACTAAAAATACAAAAATTAGCTTGGCGTGGTGGCGGGTGCCTGGATCCCATCTACCTGGGAGACTGAGGCAGGAGAATCGCTTGAACCCAGGAGGCAGAGGTTGCAGTGAGCCGAGATCGTGCCACTGCACTCCAGCCTGGGTGACAGAGTGAGACTCTGTCTCAAAAAATATATATATATATTAAATATAATATAATATATATATTATATAATATATATATTATATATTATATATTATATATATTTATATATAATATATATAAATATGTATGTATGTATGTAGGTGAGCAAAAGTGAAAATAGTTAAGAGCCAAATTAAATAATCCAGGAGAGAGATGAGGTGGCTTGCACTAGGGTGGTGACTGTGGAGGTATAAGACATATTATAGATGCATACATATATTATACATATATACATAAACATACATCTATTGTATTTATATATTATATACATGTATTTTATATTATATATAACATGTATAACATACATTATATATGTATATACATATATAATGTATATTTTTATATGTATATACATATATAATGTATATTTTTATATGTATATAAAATATATGTATGCTTATGTATGTATATGTATGCATGTATATGTATGTTATAAAAAATGTATGTGTGCATAATATGTAAGTATAATACATAATATATATGTGTAATATGTATGTATCTATCTATACACACACACACACACACACACACACACACACACACACATACATGTATATCTGGTACCTCCACAGTCAACACCCTAGGGCAAGCCGCCCTCATCTCTCTCCCAATTATTTAATTTGGCTCTTAACCATTTTCACCATTGCCCACCTATAGTCTATTCTCCACTCAGCAGCCACAGTGACCTTCGAAAACTGTCCCTTCTGTGCTTAACCCCTAATCCACAAAGCACATCATCACATACTCACCTCCAGCCCTTCACTTCTGCCAAGAATATTCTTCCAGTGATTCACATGATTCAAATCACTGCTCAAATGTCACCTGATCAGAGCAAATGTATCTAAGATTGTCTTTCTGATCACTTCCTACCCCTAAGCCTGCTTTACTATCTTTTATGGCAGTTATCATCCCTTGATATATTTTATATTTATTTATTCATGATGATCTCTCCCCATGTATATTTATAACCTGAATGTGTCTAAGATATACATTGTCAAGGGAAAATAACAGGCTACATACAGCACATCTTCAGTAAGTCCTCTTCTACATCCATATTTGTATATAACTGAAAGGCAGCCTGAATGGATATGGGCAAGGAGTTCATGGTGGTATATGTGCTTGTGAATTTGGAGTGGTCATCTCTCATAATGCCTGCTTTGCCCGCCTTAATTTTGTTTACCTATATTTTCTATTTTTTTTCAAATTAATTTCGAATCTGAAAGGAAAGATAAGGGATAAATACATTCAGAAGGAGGGATAAGATCTACTAGGAATACCAGAGAGAATAGAAAGAGAAAAGGCATTGTAGGGCTTCACAGATAGTCGAACCACACAGACCTTCAAAGGGAAGGGGTTAGCATCTCCAGCTGATTATTCCTAGAATGCAAATTTTGGGTGGGTTCAGTGGCTCATGCCTGTAATCCCAGCACTTTGGGAGACTGAGGCGGACAGATTGCTTAAATCCAGTAGTTTAAGGCCAGCTTGGGCTGGGCAAGGTGGCTCACACCTGTAATCCGAGCACTTTGGGAGGCCAGGGCGGGCAGATCACCTGAGTTCAGGAGTTCCAGACCAGACTGGCCAACACGGCGAAACCCCTGTCTCTACTAAAAATACAAAAATTAACCGGGCATGGTGGCGGGCACCTGTAATCCCAGCTAATCGGGAGGCCGAGGCAGTAGAATCACTTGAACCCGGGAGGCGGAGGTTGCAGTGAGCCTAGATTGCACCACTGCACTCCAGCCTGGGCGATAGACAGAGCGAGACTCCATCTCAAAAAAAAAAAAAAAAAAAAAAAAGACCAGCTTAGCCAGCATGGTGAGATCCTGTCTCTACAAAAAATATAAAAATTAGCCAGAGGGCCAGGCGCAGTGCCTCACACCTGTAATCCCAGCATTTTGGGAGACTGAGTTGGGCAGATCACCTGAAGTCAAGAGTTCGAGACCAGCCTGGCCAACATGGTGAAACCCCATCTCTACTAAAAATACAAAAACATTTAGCTGGGTGTGGTGGTGCATGCAAATAGTCTCCACTACTTGGGAGACTGAGGCAGGAGAATTACTTGAACCTGGGAAGCGGAGGTTGAAGTGAGCCAAGATCACGCCACTGCACTCTAGCTTGGGTGACAGAGCATGACTCAGTCTCAAAAAAAAAAAAAATTAGCTGGGTATGGTGGCACATGCCTGTAGTTTCAGCTACTGGGGAGGCTGACATGGGAGGATCACTTGAGCCCCGGAAGTGGAGTTTGCAGTGATCAGAGATCACACCACTGTACTCCAGCCTGGGCAACAGAGTGAGATCCTGTCTGATAAAAAAAAAAGAAGGCAAATTTTTTTCCTTGCTCCTGTCTTCATAGACACCAGTTTAGAGAGGCAGCTTCTGTCAGTGTGCAAAGGATACTTTCACACACACACACACACACACACACACACACACACACACACACACACAGAGAGAGAGAGAGAGATTGGGAGCAAAGCAGCCCTGGACAGCTCAGCCTCCAAGTGACTTTCCGTGTCCTTCCAGGCTGAAAAACAACCAGTAACTTTTAAATAGCAGCTTCTCTTGCCAAACCAAAATTAAGATCTGTCTCTCCAGGCAGCTTTCTTCATTATTAATGGCTAAGAGACTATTAAAACCTGCCTGGTCCTGCCCTTCTCTAACTCCACCCTATAGCCTGGGAGAAGCAGAAAGCTGGGGCCAGACACGCTATTAGGACCCTCACTCCATGTGCCTTGGCTGTTCTTCTTTTCATTGCAGAAAACCAACCTGAAACTCCAGAGTAGGAGCACCATGCTCACAGTTGCATGCCCGGTGGGCTCCCAAACTCAGATCAGACCCTAGGCTCCTGTGCCATTTCACTCAACCATGTAGGAAGGCTTATCAGATTGTGGATGATTCCACTCAGAAAACCATAGTCAGCATGGTGCGTATCCCCAGTGGCGTGCTGGTACGTGTTTAACAACCAGCTCTCTGGGGTACAAAGGCAGCCCTGGTTTGTAGCATGTGTCAATTTCCTTGGTGTGAAGTCTTTCACTGTGGCCGATTTCAAGCTACCAACTTGACATCAACCTGAAAATTAAGCAGTCAGCGCTCAGGAGCTGAGGTGCGCAGACTCCAGCACATTACGGTCAACTCAAGGCCCTTCCCAAGGACGTACAGACCCAGGGTTCTGACACCTTCTAGATCAAGTCTTGCCTGTGTCCCACCTGCACAGGACCCTGGTATTTCAAAGACTGTCACTCATAAGGGTTTTTATTGAGGCAGTGTGGACAGGGTGGGGGCAGGAACTGGGGAATTGCACAGGCTTGGTTCCTAATAATAGCCCCACCATATAAGGCCCATGCTGCCTAGCTAAGCAGCTCCACCTTTCTGGGTCTCAGCTGCCTCATCTGTAAAACTGGGATAATGATACCTGAGAAAGTTGTTGTGAGAAATAAATGAGATAATATTCACAAAGTACTTGACAGTCAGTCAATATGGCTTCCTTCTGTGTATTACCATGAACAATTGCTTACAATATAAAACAAAGATTAAAAATCATAATGCGGGCTGGGCACAGTGGCTCATGCCTGTAATCCCAGCAATTTGGGAGGCCGAGGCGGGCAGATCACTTGAGGTCAGGAGTTTGACACTAGCCTGGCCAAGGTGGTGAAACCCTGTCACTACTAAAAATACAAAAAAAAAAAAAATTAGCTAGGCATGGGGGCAGGCACCTGTAATCCCAGATACTCGGGGAGGCTGAGACAGGAGAATTGCTTGAACCTGGGAGGCGGAGGTTGCAGTGAGCTGAGATCATGCCACTGCACTCCAGCCTGGGCAACTGAGCAGAACTCTGTCTCAAAAAAAAAAAAAAAAATCATAATGTGGCCAGGTACAATAGCTCATGCCTGTAATCTCAGCACTTTGGGAGGCTAAGGTGGCTGGATTGTTGGAGGTCAGGAGTTCGAGACCAGCCTGGGCAACAAGGTGAAAGCTTGTCTCTACTAAAATACAAAAACTGGCCAGGCGTGATGGTGCATGCCTGTACTCCCAGCTACTCGGGAGGCTGAGGCACAAGAATTAATTGCTTGAACCTGGGAGATGGAGGTTCCAGTGAACTGAGATCATGCCAGTGCACTCCAGCCTGCTGGACAGAGTGAGACTCCGTCTCAAAAGAAATAAAAATAAAAATAAACTAACCAAAAAAAAACAGAAAAAATTCAGGACACCAAACTCTTCCTGTGGCTTATTGTACTGGGATGGGGGTGTGGGAGATGAACAGAGAAGGGCAGGGAGTGACTTCCCAGGGCAGTGGAGGTGTTTTTATCTTGAGAACGGTGTGGGTTACAGAAGTGTATGCTTCTGTCAAGACTCAACCAACTCCACTTAAAATCTAAGGATTTCATTCTAAGAAAATTATACCCCTGTTAAAAGATGTTAAAAAGTGGAGGAGCATGATTATAGATGACAAGTAAGTGTGCAAGTGAGTTAAAAGACTTACCAACTCTGCCCATCCCCCCTCCAAAAAAGGCATGCAAATTAGCAAGTGAAGATGAGAAAGAGCTGGGTGAGCAGGCCAGGCAGGCCAAAACTCTCCTCCCGGTCTGCCTGGAGGCAGCCTGATTTTCTCTCCAGCACAGATGTCTCTAAGCAGCTGCTGATCACAGTGAGCCTGGGGGCCCTAGGCTCTGGCAAGTACACTCTGTTGTCCAGCATCATCGCACTCCAGCTAAAATGTGTCTCCAGCAGGCAACTGCTCCAAGACCACGTGCTGAAGGAACTAGACGTCGGTGTTCAGTGGAGATGTTCATTGTTGGGTGGGTATGGTGGCTCATGCCTGTAATCCCAGCAACTTTGGGAGGCTGAGGTGGGAGGACCTCTTGAGCCCAGGAATTGGAGGCCAACTTGGGCAACATAGCGAGACCCCATCTCTATGAAAAATTTAAAATTAGCCAGGCATGGTGTTGTGTGCTTGTAGTCCCAGGAGGAAACAGGAGGATCACTTGAGCCCAGGAGGTCAAGGCTGCAGTGAGCTGTGATTGCACCACTGCACTCCAGCCTGGTTAACAGAGACCCTGTCTCAAAACAAAAGAGCAAAAAAACAAAAAAAAAGCCTTCCATTGTCCATGGGATGCTCCACAATGTGATGCAGCTGAAAAGCCGCACCTACTAGAGCGGCTAATGGATGAGGTTTATCTGACAGGCACAATATTCAACCCCAGCCTGCCTTCGAAGACTGCTAAGCACAGCATTCCCACTCCCTGGATCCCTGGAGCCAGTGCTGTGTGTGTCGTGCTGAATTCGACCCTCCACAGCCTATTGGTAACTGTGCTCTGACCGAAGTCTGTTGCCAAGAGACCAAAGCTTGGGAAGCCCCGAGGAACGCTGTTTTGCAATATTAATAGGAAAAAAAAGGTCAGAAACATTCTCCTGAACATAAACCAAGAAGATCTACCCCCATTTACACCATTTCCTACAAAGAAAAAGAAAGTGGCACAAATAAACCAGCCAGAAAGCAGCAGTTACTTCCAGATAAAAAAGGGATAATTAGTAAGATGAGCAGAACCTCCTTTCCCTGCCATTCAGATTCTGGGCCTAAGAATCTAGCAGACAGAAATACTTTTAGATTATATTTCCATTTCACTTCCACTAATTTTGATCTGGATACCAAAAGATGTGCAAAATAGCCCAATAGTAAGATTTAGTTTTTAGGCTGGGCACAGTGGCTCACGCCTGTAATTCCAACACTTTGGGAGGCCAAGGCAGGCAGATAGCATGAGGTCAGGAGTTCGAGACCAGCCGGGACAACATGGTGAAACCCTGTCTCTACTAAAAATACAAAAAAAAAGAAAGAAGAAAAAAGTTAGCCCGGTGTGGTGGTGCACACTTGTAATCCCAGCTACTCCGGAGGCTGAGGCAGGAGAATTACTTGAACCGGGAGGCAGAGGTTGCAGTGAGCCGAGATCGCACCACTGCGCTTTAGCCTGGGTGACAGAGCGAAACTCTGTCTCAAAAAACAAAAACAAAAACAAAAAACCATCAAGTGACATTTAGAAAAAAAAATTTTTTTTTGGTTTTTATGTTTTATTTCATTTTTTGAGACAGGGTCTTGTGCTATCATCCAGGCTGAAGTGCAGTGGTGCGATCATAGCTCACTGCAGCCTCTTAACTCTTGGGCTCAAGGGATCCTCTCACCTCAGCCTCCCAAGTAGCTGGAATTATAGGTGTGTGCCATCAAGCCTGATTAATTTTTTAAATTTTTTTGTAGAGATGGAATCTCCCTGTGTTGCCCAGGTTGGTCTCGAACTCCTGACTCAAGCAATCCGTTCACCTTGGCCTCCGAAAGTGCCGGGATTACAGGGACAAGCCACCATGCCTGACCAAAAATATTATTTTTAAATGGCTTGCTTTTATTTTTCTTTTAAAAGTACGTATGTTTTGAGTGTTATAATTTATGCTAGAATTTGACACCATGATAAGAGTGCTTGAACAAGCACCAAATTTGCTTTTTTTTTTTTTTTTTTTTTTCAGACAGTCTGGCTCTTTCGCCCAGGTGGAACTGCAGTGGCGCTATCTCGGCTCACTGCAAGCTCCGCCTCCCGGGTTCACACCATTCTCCTGCCTTAGCCTCCCGAGTAGCTGGGATTACAGGCGCCCGCTACCGCGCCCGGCTAATTTTTTGTATTTTTAGTAGAGACGGGGTTTCACCGTGTTAGCCAAGATGGTCTCGATCTCCTGACCTTGTGATCCACCCGCCTCGGCCTCCTAAAGTGCTGGGATTACAGGCGTGAGCCACAGCGCCCGGCCCTAATTTTTTTTTTCTTTTTTATTTTTGAGAAAAGATTTCACTGTCACCCAGGCTGGAGACAGTGGCACGATTTCAGCTTACTGCAACCACGACCTTCTGGGCTCAGGTGATCCTCTCACCTCAGCCTCCTGAGTAGCTGGGACTACAGGTGTGTGCCACCACGCCTGGCTAATGTTTGTATTTTTTTAAGAAATGGGGTTTTGCCACATTGCCCAGGCTGGTCTTGAACTCCTGGGCTCAAGTGATCTGCCTGCCTCAGCCTCCCAAAGTGCTAGGATTACAGGTATGAGCCACCACACCCAGCCTCTTTAATTTTTTTCTAGGGAAAAGCTGAATTAGATCACATGTTTTCAGAGGTTTCTCAGTTTAAGGAATTTGTGTGTTGGCCAGGCGCGGTGGCTCACACCTGTAATCCCAGTGCTTTGGGAGGCAGAGGCAGGCGGATTACCTGAGATCAGGAGTTCGAGACCAACCTGGACAGCATGATGAAACACCATCTCTACTAAAAATACAAAAATTAGCTGGGTGTGGTGGCACACATCTGTAATCCCAGCTTTCGGGAGGCTGAGGCAGGAGAATCGCTTGAACTGGGAGGCAGAGGTTGCGGTGAGCTGAGATTGTGCCACTACTGCACTCCAGCCTGGGCGACAGAGCGAGACTCCATCTCAAAAAAAAAAAAAAGAAAAGAAAAGAAAAGAAAAGAAAAAAGAAATGTGTGTGTTGGCAGGGTGCGGTGGCTCGCTCACTCCAGCACTTCGGGAGGCCGAGGTGGGCGGATCACCTGAGGTCAGGGGTTTAAGACCAGCCTGGCCAACATGGCAAAACCCCGTCTCTACTAAAAATACAAAAATTAGCCGGCCGAGGTGGCGGGCACCTGTAATCCCAGCTATTCAGGAGGCTGAGGCAGGACAATCACTTGAACCTGTGAGGCGGAGGTTGCAGTGAGCTGAGATCATGCCGCTGCACTCCAGCCTGTGTGATAGAGCGAGACTCCGTCTCAAAAAAAAAAAAAAAAAGAAAGAAATGTGTGTGTTGCAATCCACTTCCCAGTTTTTCTTTTTTCTGCCCAAATATGCCTTAATGGGTAACAAATCAGAGCACAGTAAAAGGAACAAAAGATAACCCATCGCACTGTGCACATCAAGCCTTCTTTGTCATTAGGAAATAGAAATACATTGAGCATATCTGGATTAAAATATCTCTTGCACTCATAATTAGTAAACAAGAATAGCAACAAAGAGACCACACGTAGTTAGGTCCCAGGTTAAGGAGGTATTGGAAAATAAGTTAGTTTGCTGGAGAATGATCATTAAGTTCTTTGTTCCTGGTGAAAGTCGTTGAAACTGGCTAGCTTTCAGGCTCTCCCATCTCAGGGCTATTGAGTATAATCTGAGCAGCCATTCTGTAATCATTATGGGACTTGGATTCCTGAGTGAGGTAAAGAGGATGTGCATTTATGATGGTCAGACTTGGGGCGGGATAGGTTAGGGAGCTGTGAGCTGTGTAGCAGAGATGGAGGGGCCACTCAGTTATGTGCAAAATTACACATTTCACGCTGAGATTATTGTGCTAAATCAAATGACTGTTCATATGGCGAATGTTATTAACTGCCTTTGAAAGTGTGTTCCACCTCCTAATACTTTAAACATTTTAATACACTGTCAGTCTTTCATCACGGACAAGACTCTCTGCTTGTTCTTGGCAGACGAAAAAAGAAAATGGACAAGGCCTTTAATAGGATTACAACTACATTTTACTCTCCACATTTCCTTCTTTATTAAACTTTCTATATGCCACAATTTTAACATTGATATCAGCCGGGTGCAGTGGCTCACGCCTGTAATCCTAGCACTTTGGGAGGCTGAGGCAGGTGGATTACCTGAGGTCAGGAGTTCGAGACCAGCCTGGCCAACATGGTGAAATCTCATCTCTACAGAAAATACAAAATTAGCCAGGCATGGTGGCGCATGCCTGTAATCCCAGCTACTTGGGGGGCTGAGGCAGGAGAATCACTTGAACCGAGGAGGCGGAGGTTGCAGTGAGCCAAGATCGTGCCACTGCACTCCAGCCTAGACAACAAGAGTGAAACTTTGTCTCAAAAACAAAACAAAACAAAACAAAAAAATTTGATATCTTGTGCTTTTCAAAGTTGTTATGAGATGTTAGACTAAATGATCCATCACTAGGCTCTGAAACATTCTTTATTGCTTTATTATAATATAATTAAATTGTGGCCAGGCACGGTGGCTCACACCTGTAATCCCAGCACTTTGGGAGGCCAAGGCGGGCAGATCATGTGAGGTCAGGAGTTTGAGACTAGCCTGGCCAATATGGTGAAACCCCATCTCCACTAAAAATATAAAAATTAGCCAGCATGGTGGCAGGTGCCTGTAATCCCAGCTACTCAGGGGGCTGAGGCAGGAGAATCGCTTGAACCTGGGAGACAGAGGTTGCAGTAAGCCGAGATCGTGCCATTGCACTCCAGCCTGGATGACAAGAGTGGAACTCCATCTCAAAATAATAATAATAATGATAATAGTAAAATTGCAGGAAAAAATGTAGTACTAAGAAATTGACCCAGAAGGAAAAGGGAAGGAAAAGGAAAAGAGGGAGAAAATAAGAAATAGGGAGGCCATTCTGAGAGCATCTAACATACAGTCCAGGAGTTGAGAATGGGGTGGATGGCAAATACTTTAAGAAATAAGATCTGAGGATTTTTCCAGAATAGAAGAAAGACATGAGCCTTCAGATTAAAAGTACCTAAATACTGAGTAGCTTCAATAAAAATAAGTCATCAAACACATCAAACTGATAGCTGTGGTAGCCTCTAAAAGGGTTGGGATTGGTTTGATGCTCATAGGAGATCTTTGCCTTAGCTGTAATGCATACATTTTTTATAAGGAGACTGGATCGGTGCGTCTCACATGCAGTCAGGAACTATTTTTAAAATAACCTAACCAGACTCAAATGTTGAATTCCTAACTGGAAAGCTAATCACTTGGAAGCCAGGGGGAGACGTCTTAAGCGAGCAGCCACTTGAATCATCACATAGGGTATCTGCCCTCAAAGAGCCAGAGCCTAGGGGAGGAGACAAAGCCCCAGAAAAATATACTGGGAAAACTCCCAATATAGACGGAGATATCAATTGCTGGCACCACCAGCCCGTGTTGATGATACGCTATGTGCCTAACAAACAGTAGCTGATCTAAACTTCATGGCAATCCTACAAGGCTGGGCTATCATTATTTCCACATTATAAAGAATCTGAGGCTGGGCGCACTTTGGGAGGCCAAGGCAGGCAGATCACTTGAGGTCAGGAGTTTGAGACCGGCCTGGCCAACATGGTGAAAACCCGTCTCTTTTAAAAATACAAAAATTAGCCAGGCATGGTGGCACATGCCTGTAGTCCCAGCTACTTGGGAGGCTGAGACAGGAGAATTGCTTGAACCTGGGAGGCAGAGGTTGCAGTGAGCCAAGATTGTACCATTGCACTCCAGCCTGGGTGACAAGAGTGAAACTCCATCCCCTGTGCCAAAAAAAAAAAGAGAATCTGAGGCTTAGAAAAAGTAAGGTGGCCAGGTGTGATGGCTCATGCCTATAATCCCAGCTCTTTGGGAGGCCAAAGTAGGTGGATGATATACCCCAGAAGTTGGAAACCAGCCTGGGCAACATGGTGAAACCCAGTTTATACCAAAAATACAAAAATCAGCCTGGCATGGTGGTACATGCTTGTGGTCCCAGCTTCTCAGAAGGCTGAGGTGAGAGGATCTCTTGAGTCCGGGAAATCGAGGCTGCAGTGAGCTGTGATCACACCACTGCACTCCAGCCTGGGTGACAGAGTGAGACCCTGTTTCAAATAAATAAATAAATAAATAAATAAATAAATAAATAAATAAATCAGAGCTGTGCTCTTAATTAATTAATTAATTTTTGAGAGGGAGTCTTGCTCTGTCTCCCAGGCTGGAGTACAGTGGCGTGATCTCAGCTCACTGAAACCTGTCTCCTGAGTACAAGCGATTCTCCTGCCTCAGCCTCCCAAGTAGCTGGGATTAGCACACCTGGCTAATTTTTGTATTTATGGTAGAGATGGGGTTTTGCCATGTTGGCCAGGCTGGTCTCAAACTCCTGACCTCAGGTGATTTGCCTGCCTCAGCCTCCCAAAATTCTGGGATTACAGGCGTGAACCACCGCACCCAGCCCGCTCTCAATTTCATATTTTGCAAATGCAGTGAGGACACAGAGGAGACGAGGTTTTAACTTGCATTTGTGGATGAGGGGCCTAGAGAGGAGCAGGGCAGGAGACATTTGAGTGGGCCTTGAAGGGCAAATAGGATTTTGCCGGAGCTGGAAGAAAGGACCGTCTCACAGAAGATAACTCATGAGCAAAGTGGCAGGGCTGGATGTGGCCTGGGGGGAGTAGGTGAAGTAGATGTGAGCAGGAGGCGAGTGTCCCAGTGAGGGGAGGTCTCTGATGGTCTTTTATGTACTTGAGCTTAAACCCCAGACTATGAATGAGTGACCCACCTGCTCTGTCCTGTTTCTTTTCTTTTTTTTTTTTTTTTGAGATGGAGTCTCGCTCTGTTGCCCCGGCTGGAGTGCAGTGGCACAATCTCGGCTCACCACAACCTCCGCCTCCCAGGTTCAAGCTATTCTCCTACCTCAGCCTCCCCAGTAGCTGGGACTACAAGCATGTGCCACCATGCCCGGCTAATTTTTGTAATTTTAGTAGACACGGGATTTCACTATGTTGGCCAGGCTGGTCGAGAACTCCTGACCTCGTGATCCACCCGCCTCGGCCTCCCAAACTGCTGGGATTACAGGCGTGAGCCACCGCGCCCAGCCTCCTCAGTTTCTTTTCAGTTCAGAGTACATGAGACAAAAGTGCTCAGACAGCGCCTGGTGCATCCTAATTCTCAGTATGTTCGTTATAATTAGTTTTGATACAAGCAAGAGTAGTTGCCTTCTCACATTTCTGTATCAGCCATGACTTGTTTCAAGTGACAGAAACCCAGATCAGACAAATGGTTTTTATTTTGTTTTCTTTTGGAAGACTGGCATCACCATGGAAAGTGCAAGGGTCCAGGTTGCAAGGGTTCAGGGATGGCTAGATCCAGGGTCTCAGACGCTGCCCAGTCTCTCATCTCTGCTTCTTTCCACCTGAACTCTATTGTTCCAAACCTACGCTGGAGTCATGGTGGCCAGTGGCCATAGAGTCTCCCATCTTCACCACTGAACTGGAAGTCAGAGTCATTCTCTCTAGCTCCAGGTTTAAGCAATCTTGGGGTTAAATACACTTTGACGTAACATGGCCAGGGAGGTGGGGCCTGTAAGACTTGGGGGCACCCATTTGGAACACATGGTGTATGTCGGGGAAAGGAGGATAGGAACATTCCCCAGAAGAGTGAGGTGTAGTTTCTGGGCAGATAAAACAATAGAATTCACTGTAACTTCACTTACATCCAAAAAAAAAAAAAAAAAAAAAAAAAAAATTCTTGCCCATACTGTTTTTTGTCTAGTAACAGAATGGGTGTCTTTTGTTTACAAAGATTTAACATCAATGGCCAGATTCTGTGTGTGCATGCTTGTGCAGTTTACATCAGCATATTTTCTTCTGTACACAGGATTGGAAAACTTGTTTTTCTCTCTGTAATCTTGTAACATCTTCTTTTTGTCTCTTTGTTCTGAAATTTTTGCCAGGTTACCTTGGCATGAACCGATTTTCATCCAATTTTCTAGGAACTTAGTAGATCCTATGGAAACCAATGTTCTTTAAACTTCTTGAGTTTTCTTTGAGGATTTCCTTCCCTCTGTTTCCTCTGCTTTTTCTGGAACTCTTGAAACTGAAATATTACACTTCCTAGACAGGCCCTCTGATTTTCTCATTTCTGCCCTATTTTATTTATTTATTTATTTATTGAGACATGGTCTCGTTTTGTCACCCAGGCTGGAGCACAGTGCCATGATCTCTGCTCACTGCAACCACCACCTCCCAGGTTCAAGCGATTCTCCTGCCTCAGCCTCCCAAGTAGCTGGAACTATAGACACATGCCACCATGCCCAGCTAATTTTTGTACTTTTTGTAGAGACAGAGTTTCACCATGCTGCGAAGCTGGTCTTGAACTTAGGGACTCAAACAATCAGTCTATCTTGGCCTCCTAAAGTGCTGGGATTACACGTGTGAGCCACTATACCTGGCCCTATTTTCTGTCGATGTTGTTTTGCATTATTTTCTGTGATCTTCCTGTAACATAACTCCAACTCTTCTAATTTTCATTGCTATTGTCATTTTTATTTCAATACCTGTTTTATATGTGTGTCAAACATGATTTTACACAGAAAACTGTTTTAGTTTTTTTTTTTTTTTTTTTTGACAGGCTGGAGTGCAGTGGCACAATCTCGGCTCACTGCAACCTCCGCCTCCTGGGTTCAAGCAATTCTCCTGCCTCAGCCTCCCGAGTAGCTGGGATCACAGGTGCCTGCCACCACGCCCAGATAATTTCGTATTTTTAATAGAGACAGGTTTCACCATGTTGGCCAGGCTGGTGTCAAACTCCTGACCTCAGGTGATCTGCCTGCCTCGGCCTCCCAAAGTGCTTAGATTACAGATGTGAGCCACCGTGCCCGGCGTTTTTTAGCTTTTTAAAAGCATCTCTACATGCAAAACAAAGAACAAACTTCTTTGACCCCAGAGAACTTGAACTCAGAGAATTGCTTGAACCCAGCCACTATGCCCGGCCCAATTAAAAAAAAAATTTTTTTTGAGACAGAGTCTCACTCTGTCGCCCAGGCTGCAGTGCAGTGGCGCTTTCTCGGCTCACTGCAACCTCTGCCTCCCAGGTTCAAGCAATTCTCCCACCTCAGCCTCCCGAGTAGCTGTGACTATAGGCACACGCCACCATGCCTGGCTAATTTTTGTATTTTTAGTAGAGATGGGGTTTCACCACGTTGGACAGGCTGGTCTCAAACTCCTAACCTCAGGTAATCCAGCCACCTCAGCCTCCCAAAGTGCTGAAATTACAGGCGTGAGCCGCCGCGCCCGGCCTGTAAATTTTTTAAAAAAGAACATAATCAGTGGGGCACAGTGGCTCATGCCTACAATCCCAGCATTTTTTAGGAGGCCGAGGCAGGTGGATCACCTGAACTCAGGAGTTCAAGACCAGCCTGGGCAACATGGCAAAACAGTGTCTCTACTAAAAATATAAAAACTAGCTGGGCGTGGTGGTGCACACCTGTAGTCCCAATTACTGAGGATAATGAGGTGGGAGAATCACTTGTGCCCAGGAGGCAGAGGCTACAGTGACCTGAGTTGGTGCCACTGCACTCCAGCCTGGGTGACAGAGTGAGATCCTGTCACACACACACACACAAAAATTAGCCATGCTAGGTGGCTCATGCCTGTAATCCCAGCACTTTGGGAGGCCGAGGCGGGCAGATCACCTGAGGTTGGGAGTTCAACACCAGCCTAGCCAACATGGTGAAACCCTATCTCTACTAAAAATACAAAAATTAGCCAGGCATGGTGGCACACATCTGTAATCCCAGCTACCCGGGAGGCTGGGGCAGGAGAATCACTTGAACCTGGGAGGCAGAGGTTGCAGTGAGCCGAGATCACACCACTGCACTCCAGCCTGAGTGACAGAGCAAGACTCCGTCTCAAAAAAAAAAAAAAAAAAAAAAAAGGCCAGGCGTGGTAGCTCACGTCTGTAATCTCAGCACTTTGGGAGGCTGAGGCGGGCGGATCACGAGGTCAGGAGATCGAGACCATCCTGGCTAACACGGTGATACCCTGTCTCTACTAAAAATACAAAAAATTAGCCGGGCGTGGTGGCGGGCACCTGTAGTCCCAGCTACTCAGGAGGCTGAGGCAGGAGAATGGCGTGAACCCGGGAGGTGGAGGTTGCAGTGAGCCGAGGCTGCGCCACTGCACTCCAGCCTGGGTGACAGAGTGAGACTCTGTCTCAAAAAAAAAAAAAAAAAAGACCAGGAGTTTGAGACCAGCCTGGAGAACATGATGAAACCCCATCTCTACTAAAAGTACAAAAATTAGTTGGAAGTGGTGGCAAGCGCCTGTAATCTCAGCTACTCGAGAGGCAGAGGCAGAAGAATCTCTTGAACCCAGGAGATGGAGGTTGCAGTGAGCCGAGATTGCTCCACTGCAGTGTAGCCTGGGTGACAGAGTGAGAGACTCTATCTCAAAAATAATAATAATAACAATAATAATTTTTTTTGAGAAACTGGTTGTGCTTAATCAAAAATTGCAAAGATGCAGCCAGGTGCAGTGGCTCACGCCTGTAATCCCAGCACTTTGGGAGGCTGAGGTGGGCAGATCACCTGAGGTCGGGAGTTGGAGACCAGCCTGACCAACATGGAGAAACCCAGTCTCTACTGAAAATACAAAATTAGCCTGGTGTGGGTGGTGCATGTATGTAATCCCAGCTACTCAGGAGGCTGAGGCAGGAGAATCGCTTGAACCCAGGAGACAGAGGTTGCAGTGAGCCGAGATCATGCCATTGCACTCCAGCCTGGGCGACAAGAGTGAAACTCTGTCTCAGAGAAAAAAAAAACAAAAAAACAAAAAACTTCCCAAGGAGACAGGAATGATAGGGCACACCTGTAGTCCCAGCTACCTAGGAGGCTAAGGCAAGAGGATCACATGAGCCCAGAAGTTTGAGGCCGCAGGGAGCTATGATCTCACCACCGCACTCCAGCCTAGGTGACAGGAGACCTCATCTTAAAAAAAAAAAAAAAAAAGACCAGGTGCGGTAGTTCACATCTGTAATTCCAGCATGTTGGGAGGCCGAGGCGGGCAGATCACTTGAGTCCAGGAGTCCGAGACCAGCCTGGCCAACATGATGAAACCCTGTCTCTACAAAAAAATACAAAAATTAGCTCGGCATGGTGACGTGTACCCTATAATCCCAACTACTTGGGAGACCGAGGCAGCAGAATCGCTTGAACCTGGGAGGCAGAGGTTGCAGGGAGTCGAGATCGCACCACTGCACCCCAGCGTGGGTGACTGAGCAAGACTGCCACCGCAAAAAGAAAAAAAAACAAAAACCTTCCTAATGGCTTTCTTATCCACAAAGCCCTGCAGAACCAGCCTCTGTGGGTTTTCTGACTTTATCTCCTACCATCTCCCCTTTGCCCACTTTTCTTCAACCGCAATGCTCCTCAGGCACTCTCCCACTTAAGGGCCTCTGCTCTAGCTATTCCCTTTCCCTTGATTGTTCTTTCCCCAAGGACCATATGGCTTGCTTCCTCTGTTCCTTCAGATCTTTGCCCAAATGTCACCTTCTCAGTGAAGACTTCTCTGAACACCTTAACCAACATTTCAATACTTGCCTTCTCCTGCCCAGATACTTCCTATCCTCCATCCCAGCATTTTTTCCCCTCTCCTTAGCTCAAATCATCATCTAACTTTTATTTTTCTTTAAATTTATCTTGCTTATTGTCTCTCCTCTAACAAAATGTCACCTCCATTGGGCAGGGGTTTTTACTTTCATGGTTCACTGATGCGTCCCCAACACACAGAATAGTGCCTGACCCATCATTGATTTTCAAAATGTATTTATTCAGGCCGGGCACGATGGCTCACTCCTGTAATCCCAACACTTTGGGAGGCCAAGGTGGCGGATCACTTGAGGTCGGGAGTTTGAGACCAGCCTGGCCAACATGATGAAACTGCATCTATACTAAAAATATGAAAATTAGCCAGGCCTGGTGGCGCATGCCTGTGGTCCCAGCTACTCAGGAGGCTGAGGCACGAGACTTGCTTGAACCTGGGAGACAGGTTGCAGTGACCTGGGATCATACCACTGCACTGCATCCTGGGTGACAGAGCAAGACCTTATCTAAAAAAAAAAAAAAGTATTTATTGAATATTTATTTAATGAATAAATATTTATATTTGCAGTCTGCTTTTTCTCTTTTTCTTGCCTTTCTGAGCATATGGTAGTAAATTACTGAGTTGGTTCTGGAGCTTTATGGTAAATTCCAAATTCTCAGTACAAAGATGCTTATTGGCCCAACTTGAGTTAGGTGTTCACCCCTGGACCAATCAGCTATGATCATATGCCCACCCTTCACTGTGGGAGAGGTTAGTTCCCAGAGAATCAGGGCTGGACAGATACCTTAAAATGGTTCTACGGGTGTGAAGACGCGACTTAAAATGTATCTACCTATCTATTTATTTATTATTTTTAGAGATGGGGTCTTGCACTGTTGCCCAGGCTTAGGTGCGGTGGCCTAATCATGGTTCACTGAAACCTCTAACTTGTGGGCTCAAGTGATCCTCCCACCTCAGCCTCCCAACTAGCTGGGATTACAGGCACACACTACTATGGCCAGCTTCAACTTTTTTAAACCAGAAAAAAAAAGTATGGCTGGGCGCAGTGGCTCATGCCTGTAATCCCAGCACTTTGGGAGGCCGAGGCAGGTGGATCACCTGAGGTCAGGAGTTCGAGACCAGCCTGGCCAACATGGCGAAACCATGTCTCTACTAAAAGTACAAAATTAGCCAGGCTTGGTGTCATGTGCCTGTAATGCCAGCTACTTGGGAGGCAGAGGCAGGAGAATCGCTTGAACCTGGGAGGTTGCAGTGAGCTAAGATCATGCCACTGCATTCCAGCCTGGGTGACACAGTGAGACTCCGTCTCAAAAACAACAAAAAAAAATTAGCCAGGCATGGTGGCAGGCGCCTGTAATCCCAGCTACTTGGGAGGCCGAGACAGGAGAATCACTTGAACCCAGGAGGCAGAGGTTGCAGTGAGCCGAGACTGTGCCACTGCACTACAGCCTGGGCAACAGAGCGAGACTCCATCTCAAAAAAAGAAAAAAGAAAAAAAATACTATATATTGGTTCCTTTTACATTTGTGGCAAAAATGCCAGTCAGATTCTGGCCACATTCAATTTCCCCTCCTGGCTTGACCTAGCCCGGTTCCCTCACTCTTTCGTGTTATTATCCTTGCCAGAGAGAAATGGCCAGGGTGGATTCCTTGCCCAAGGGAAACTAATCCTTTTGTTGGATTGAGGTGATGGAGACTCTTTTCCAGTAATTTTTTTTTCTTTTGAGACAGAGTCGCACTCTGTTGCCCAGGCTGGAGTGCAGTGATGCGATCTCGGCTCACTGCAACCTCTGCCTCCCAGGTTCAAGCAATTCTCCGGCCCCAGCCTCCCAAGAAGCTGGGATTACAGGCACGTGCCACCATGCCTGGCTAATTTTTGTATTTTTAGTAGAGATGAGGTTTAGCCATGTTGGCCAGGCTGGTCTCAAACTCCGGATCTCAGGTGATCCACCTGCCTCGGCCTCCCAAAGTGTTTGGATAACAGGCGTGAGCCACCATGCCCAGTCTTTTCTAAGAATGTAAGCAAAGAGACCCAAAGGGTGTGGTCAGTTGGCAGCTGGCTCTAGAGCAGAAAGGCCCTCATATACAGTCAGGACCACGGTGGGCCCAGGGGCAAGCCCGAACCTCAGGGAGGCCAAAGTGTTGGGAGAGCAGCAACTAACTTTGAGTGTTGTAAGTTGGTCTATAGAGAGAAGAGAGCCCAGCTTGGGAATTGTTCCTATACCCCTAGCTACTTGGGAGGCTGAGACAGGATTGAAATGGACAGGAGGCAGGGAAATACTGGGTAGAAGAGGGCAGTCCCCTGTGAGGGCCACACCCTCAAGCCTGGGACAGCGGCCCAAAGTGAGAATATGCATTCCTGTTTTCCTGTTCATATGTTGTTTTTGGCCTGCCCCACCCCCCATCCTGTACCCATAAAAACCCCAGGCTCCAATGGCAGAGGGGCAGCAGAGCAGCAGAGCAGCTGAGTGGAAGAGTGGAGTGGCAGAGAAGGAGAGAAGAGAAGAAGCAGCCAGACCCTTAAAGAGAAGCAGCTTGACTTCAGCAGGATGGCTTGACAGTGGGACTTTGGCCACCTTCCCACTCCATCCCCTTTCCTGCTCCCCATCCCGCTGAGAGCCACTTCCACTGCTCAATAAAATCCTCCACATTCACCACCCTTCAATTCATTCATGTGACCTGATTCTTCCTGGATGCTGGACAAGAACTCAGGTACCAAGAGGGTGGGTGCAAAAGACTGTCACCCTGAGCCTCCACTGAGCTGTTAAACATTTAAGTCAGTCAGGCACAGTGGCTCATGCCTATAATCTCAGCATTTGGGGAGGCTGAGGCGGGTGGATTGCTTGAAGCCAGGAGTTCAAGACCAGCCTGGCCAACATGGTGAAACCCCATGTCTATTAAAATTACAAAAATCAGCTGGGCTTGGTGGCACATTCCTGTAATCCCAGCTCTGTTGGGAGGCTGAGGCACAAGAATTGCTTGAACCCAGAAGATGGAGATTGCAATGAGCTGAGATCATGCCACTGAACTCCACCCTGGGCCACAGAGTGAGACTGTATCTCAAACAAAACAAAACAAAAACACTTAAGCCATCCGTGGATGGCAAAGCTAAAAGAACACAGGTAACACAAGCCCTCTGGGGCTCTGGGGATTGTGAGTATCCACCCTGCCCCCCAGAAACTGCTGCAGGGACACATGGAGTTCTGCTCCTGCCAGTGCCCAAAAACACTCATCTGGACCCTGCACCTGCTCACCTGCATGTCCCCCCTCCTGTGAGGGTTTCAGAGCTTTGGGGTGAGTAAATGAGCCCACCCCTTCCCAAGTCCTGTGAAGGGGTCAAGGAAACTATCCCATTTCAGGATGATTGCTTAAAGTCAGGAGTTTGAGGTTCCAGTATACCATGATCACACCTGTGAATAGCCTCTACATTCCCGCCTGGGAAATTGAGTGAGACCCCCATCTCTAAAAAAGTTTTTTTTGGCTGGGCACAGTGGCTCATGCCTGTAATCCCAGCACTTTGGGAGGCTGAGACAGGTGGATCACAAGGTCAGGAGTTCGAGACCAGCCTGGCCAACATGGTGAAACCCCGTTTCTACTAAAAATAGAAAAATTAGTCAGGCATGGTGGTGCCCACTTGTAGTCCCAGCTACCCAGGAGACTGAGGTAGGAGAATCACTTGAACCCAGGAGGCGGAAGTTGCAGTGAGCCGAGATCACACCATTGTACTCCAGCCTGGGCAATAAGAGGGAAACTCCGTCTCAAAATAAAAACCAAAAAAAACAAAAACAAAAAAAAACGGGTTTTTTTGGTCTGGCATGGTGGCTCATGCCTATAATCCCAGAACTTCAGGAGGCTGATCACTTGAGAGGAGGAGTTCAAGACCAGCTTGGGTAACATGGAGAAACCTGGCTTTATAAAAAAACAATAATAGGCCGGGTATGGCAGCTGACACCTTTAATCCCAGCACTTTGGAAGGCCGAGGTGGGTGGATCACTTGAAGCCAGGAGTTCAAAACCAGCCTGGCCAACATGGAGTAACCCTGTCTCTACTAAAAATATAAAAATCAGCCGGGTGTGTTGGTGTACTCCTGTAATCTCAGCTACTTGGGAGGCTGAGGCACGAGAATCGCTTGAACCTGGGAGGGGGAGTTTGCAGTGAGCTGAGATTGTGCCACTGTACTCCAACCTGGATAACAGAGCAAGATCCTGTCTCAAAATAATAATAATAATAATAATAATAATAATAATAATAATAATAAATTAAATTTAAAAAATAAATAAATGTTTAAGGTTTTTATTTAAGACAGGATCTCACTCTGTTGCCCAGGCTGGAGTGCAGTGGCCTCATCATAGCTCACTGTAGCCTTGATCTCCTGGGTTCAAGTTATCCTCCCACCTCATCCTCTCTAGTAGCTGGGACTATAGGCTTGTGCCACTGTTACTGGAAAAGGGTCCTGATCCAGACCGCAAGTGAGGGTTCTTGGATCTCGTGCAAGAAAGAATACGCGGAGAGCCCATAGAATAAAGTGAAAGCAAGTTTATTATTATTATTATTATTATTATTATTATTATTATTATTATTATTTTTTGGAGAAGAAGTCTTGCTCTGTTGCCCAGGCTGGAGTGCCAGTGGCATGATCGCGGCTCACTGCAACCTCTGACTCATGGGTTCAGGTGATTTTCCTGCCTCAGCCTCCGGAGTAGCTGAGACTACAGGCGTGTGCCACCACGCCTGGCTAATTTTTTTTATTTTTAGTAGAGATGGGGTTTCACCGTGTTAGCCAGGACAGTCTTGATCTCTTGACCTCGTGATTCCCCGCCTCGGCCTCCCAAAGTGCTGGGATTACAGGCAGGAGCCACCGCACCCAGCTGAAAGCAAGTTTATTTAAGAAAGTAAAGGAATAAAAAATGGCTACTCCATAGACAAGGCAGCCCTGAGGGTTGATAGATGCCCATTTTTATGGTTTATTTTTATTTCTATATGCTAAGTAATGGGTATAGATCACTCATGCCTCCCCTTTTTAGACCATATCGGGTAACTTCCTGCTGTTGCCATGGCATTTGTAAACTGTCATGGCACTGGTGGGAGTGTAGCAGTGAGGACGACCAGAGGTCATTCTTGTCGCCATCTTGGTTTTCGTGGGATTTAGCCAACTTCTTTACTGCAATCTGTTTTATCAGCAAGGTCTTTATGACCTGTATCTTGTGCCGATCTCCTGTCTCACCCTGTGACTTAACTGTCCGGGAATGCCTTAACTGTCCAGGAATGCAGCCCTGGTCTCTGCCTTATTTTACCCAGCCCCTATTCAAGATGGAGTTGCTCTGGTTCAAATGCTTCTGACACCACCATGCCCAGCTAATTTTTGTATTTTTTGTAGAGACAAGGATTCGCCATGTTGCCCAGACTGGTCTCAAACTCCTAGACTCAATGATCCTCCTGCCTTGGCCTTCCAAAGTGTTGGGATTACAGGCGCAAGCTACCACACCCAGCCAAACTTTTTTTGAGACAGAGTTTCGCTCTTGTTGCCCAAGCGGGAGTGCAATGGCTCAATCTCAGCTCACCACAACCTCCACCTCCCAGGTTCAAGTGATTCTCTTGCCTCAGCCTCCCAAGTAGCTGAGATTACAGGCATGCGCCCCCTTGCTGGCTAATTTTGTATTTTTAGTAGAGATGGAGTTTCTCCATGTTGGTCAGGCTGGTCTCGAACTCCCAACCTCAGGTGATCCACCTACTTTGGCCTCCCAAAGTGCTAGGATTACAGGCGTGAGCCACCGCGCCCAGCACAAAAGTTCTTTTTAATTAAAAACATGATTTACAGCTGGACTTGGTGGCTTACGCCTGTAATCCCAGCACTTTGGGAGGCCGAGGCAGGCAGATCACAAGGCCAGGAGTTTGAGACCAGCCTGGCCAACATGGGGAAACCCCGTCTCTACTAAAAATACAAAAAAATTAGCCAGGCATGGTGGCACGTGCCTGTAATCCCAGCTACTCAGGAGGTTGAGGCAGGAGAATTGCTTGAACCCAGGAGGCGGAGGTTGCAGTGAGCCGAGATTGCGCCACTGCACTCCAGCCTGGGCAACAGAGCAAGACTCAGTCTCAAAAACAAAACAAAACAAAACAAAACAAAACAAAAAACAAAACAGACAAAGAAACATGATTTAAAAATATAGACAGAGCCGGGTGTGGTGGCTCACGCCTGTAATCCCAGCACTTTGGGAGGCCGAAGTGGGCGGATCACGAGGTCAGATCGAGACCACCCTGGCTAACATGGTGAAACCCCATCTCTACGAGAAAAAAAACACAAAAAAATTAGCCTGGCGGGGTGGCGGGCGCCTGTAGTCCCAGCTACTCAGGAGGCTGAGGCAGGAGAATTGTTTGAACCCGGGAGGCGGAGGTTGCAGTGAGCCAAGATCACACCATTGCACTCTGGCCTGGGAGACAGAGCGAGACTCCATCTAAAAAAAAAAAAACAAAACTATATATCTATCTGTAGATATATAGATAGATAGATAGATATAGACAGAGAGAAGAATCCAGAAGGCCCAAGGGCAAAGGAGAGACAAAAGACAGCATTGCCTCAGAGAGAGGGAGACAGAGAGAAGCTAACAGTTTTCCAGTCCTTCCTTTCATTCACGTAGCAACCATTTATTGAGCCTCTCTTCCTTGCTTGTAACTGTGCAAGTCATTATGTATATGGATGAACAAGACTGAAGAGGGCCTTCCCCTTTTGGCACACACACTCCAGTGGGGGAGAAATAGTGAAACACATAGCTGCATGGATAATGATTTCATTAATTAGAATTTTTTTTTAGGCCGGGCGCGGTGGCTCACATCTTTAATCCCAGCACTTTGGCAGGCCGAGGCAGGTAGATCACCTGACGTCCGGAGTTCAAGACCAACCTGACCAACATGGAGAAACCCTGTCTCTACTAAAAATACAAAATTAGTTGGGTGTGGTGGCACATGCCTGTAATCCCAGCTACTCGGGAGGCTGAAGCAGGGGTATCACCTGAACCCAGGAGGCGGAGGTTGAGGTGAGCCGAGATCGCACCATTGCACTCCAGCCTGGGCAACAAGAGAGAAACAGGATTTTGCTCTGTCATTCAGACTGGAGTGCAGTGGCATGATCTTGGCTCATTACAACCTCTGCCTCCCAGGTTCAAGCTATTCTCTTGCCTCAGCCTCCCATGTAGCTGGGATTACAGGCTTACACAACCACAACCGACTAATTTCCGTATTTTTAGTAGAGACGGGGTTTTGCCGTGTTGACCAGGCTGGTCTTGAACTCCTGGCCTCAAGTGATCTGCCCACCTCAGCCTCCTAATGTGCTGAGATTATAGGGGTGAGCCACCGCGCCCAGCCTATGATTTCGTTTATTAGAATTGTAACTCTAATAGTGCCATTGCCCAATGCATACAGCAAGTCAATATGCCAAGACACCAGGTTGCAGCAGAGAAAGAGGTTTAATCACAAGACTATCAAAGGAGGAGAGGAGAGGAGACCTCACATCGGTCTCCCTGATGAGTTTGGGGCTAGGGTATTTAAAGGTTTTGGAGTGGGCCGAAGTGTACAGATCACTGGTCAAAGAGTGCAGGGTGAAGTGATAGGACAGGGAGATGTGGAAATGGCATTCTCATGCTGGTTCAGTTCCTTGGTGAGGGCTTTTTTTGTTTTCTGGCTTTTTTTTTTTTTTTTTTTTTTTGAGACAGAGTTTAGCTCTTGTCGCCCAGGCTGGAGTACAGTGGCACGATCTCGACTCACTGCAACCTCCGCCTCCTGGGTTCAAGCAATTCTCTTGCCTCAGCCTCCTGAGTAGCTGGGATTATAGGCATGTGCCACCATGCCCGGCTAATTTTGTATTTTTAGTAGAGACAGAATTTCTCCATGTTGGTCAGGCTGGTCTTGAACTCCCGAACTCAGGTGATCTAGCCACTTCGGCCTCCCAAAGAGCTGGGATTACAGGCATGAGCCACCATGCCCGGCTGGTGAGGGTCTTTAAACTGGTTGGTCAGCTGTTCCTCTGGAATTTAGGTTCTCCTTAAGCAATTCTTTTTTTTTTTTTTTTGAGACGGAGTCTCTCTCTGTTGCCCAGGCTGGAGTGCAGTGGCACGATCTCGGCTCACTGCAAGCTCTGCCTCCCGGGTTCATGCCATTCTCCTGTCTCAGCCCCCTGAGTAGCTGGGTCTACAGGTGCTTGCCACCATGCCCAGCTAATTTTTCGTATTTTTAGTAGAGATGGGGTTTCACCGTGTTAGCCAGGATGGTCTTGATCTCCTGACCTCGTGATCCGCCTCCCTCGGCCTCCCAAAGTGCTGGGATTACAGGCGTGAGCCACCGCGCCCGGCCCTGCAATTCTTTTTTTTTTTTTTTTTTTTTTTTTGAGACAGAGTTTTGCTCTTATTGCTCAGGCTGGAGTGCAATGGCATGATCTTGGCATGATCTTGGCTCACTGAAAACTCCGCCTCCAAAATTCATGCGATTCTCCTGCCTCAGCCTCCCAAGTAGCTGGGATTACAGGCGCCCACCACCATGCCCAGCTAATTTTTTTGTATTTTTAATAGAGACAGGATTTCACCGTGTTGGTCAGGCTGGTCTCCAACTCCTGACTTCAAGTGATCCACCTGCCTTGGCTTCCCAAAGTGATGGGATTACAGGCGTCAGCCACCGCGTCCTGCCCTGCTTAAGCAATTCTTAAAGAAAGCCTTATGATTTTAAGTCAGAAATCCTATCTAGAGGAACTGTGGGGACACAAATGGTCATTATCTAGTGTTACTTGACTTTTGATCACAAGGAAGTGGGTCAAAGTGCAGCCTTGTTAATGCTCAATTATAACTGTATATCTGTCCGGAATTCTTGTTAACTCTGGGAGGACATCTCCAGAGTCATAATTACAGATGTGAATTCATGACAAGACTAATTATTTGTAAGTGCTCCAAAGGTAAAATAGAGTGTACTCTAAAGACATATCAAAAAAAAAAAAAAAAAGGCTGGGCATGGTGGCTCACACCTGTAATCCCAGCACTTTGGGAGGCCAAGGTGGGTGGATCACTTGAGGTCAGCCATTTGAGACGAGCCTGGCCAGCATAGTGAAACCCCATCTCTACTAAAAATACAAAAATTAGCTGGGTGTTATGACACACGCCTGTAGTCCCAGCTACTGGGGAGGCTGAGGCAGGAGAATCACTTGAACCCAGAAGGCGGAGGTTGCAGTGAGTCGAGATCCTGCCACTGCACTTCAGCCTGAGTGACAGAGTAAGACTCCTTCTCAAACAACAACAACAACAAAAACAACTTAGGGCTGGGTATGGTAACTCACACCTGTAATCCCAGTATTTTGGGAGGCCCAGGTGGGATTGCTTGAGCCCAGGAGCTTAAGACCAGCTTGGGAAACACAGTGAGACACCCCATCTCCATTAAAAAAAAACAACAACAGTCCGGGCATGGTGGCTCACGCCTGTAATCCCAACACTTTGGGAGGCTGAGGTGGACGGATCACCTGAGGTCGGGAGTTTGAGACCAGCCTCTACAACATGGAGAAACCCCATCTCTACTAAAAATACAAAATTAGCCGGGCATGGTGGCGCATGCTTGTAATCCCAGTTACTCCAGAGGCTGAGACAGGAGAATCGCTTGAACCTGGGAGGTGGAGGTTGCAGTGAGCCGAGATCGCACCATTGCACTCCAGCCTGGGCAACAAGAGGGAAACTCTGTAGTCCCAGCAACTTGGGAGGCTAATTTAGGAAGATCACTTGAACCTGGGAGTTCAAGGCTGCAGTGAGCCATAATCGTGCTACTGCACTCCAGCCTGGGCAACAGACAGACTCAAAATAAATAAATAAATAAATAAATAAATAAATAAAATAAAGACTTATAACAAAATTGAAAAGACATATGACATGGGATGTCACCCAGCCTGGGGCCTCAGGGAATAATTTTCTGCTGGCACCTCCAGGATAAGTAGGAGCTAGCCAGACAAAGAGCAAGAGGAAAGAATATTGTAGAAAGAAGAAATAGGGGCCGAGCATGGTGGCTCACACCTGTAATCCCAGCTACTTGGGAGGCTGACGCATGAGAATCGCTTGAATCCAGGAGGCAGAGGTTGCAGTGAGCTGAGATCTTGCCACTGCATTCCCGCCTAGGTGACAGAGCGAGATTCTGTCTCAAAAAAAAAAAAAAAAAGGATAAGAAATAGGGTATGCAGGCTGGGTGCGGTGGCTCATGCCTGTAATCCCAGCACTTTGGGAGGCCAAAGAGGGCGGATCACCTGAGATCAGGAGTTTGAGACCAGCCTGACCAATATGCAGAAACCCTGTCTCTACTAAAAATACAAAATTAGCCAGGCGTGGTGGTACATGCTTGTAATCCTAGCTACTCAGGAGGCTGAGGCAGGAGAATCGCTTGAACCTGGGAGGCAGAGGTTGCAGTGAGCCAAGATCGCGCCATTGCACTCCAGCCGGGGCAACAAGAGCGAAACCCCATCTCAAAAAGAAAAAGAAAAAGAAAAAGAAATAGGGTGTGCAAAGGCCTTGGTGTAATAATAAAAGAGTATGGCACATTCAAGTAACTAGGGGAAGGCTGGTATGGCTGGAGTGAGCAAGAGGAGATAAGAAATAAGCCACTGGGCAGGACCAGATCAGGCCACTCCTGCTGCACTGTGAAAGCATTTGGATTTTATTCCAAATGCAATGGGAAGCACTACTATGTCAACCTAAAGGAAAAAAATGAGGCAAACTTAGAAGTAGAGAGTTTATTTTGGCCAAATTTGAGGGCTGCAACCCAACAGCATAGATTCAAGTTGTCCCGAATATACACTCCGATTAGTGACAGTTACAAATGAGGTTTTCAAAGGAAAAGAGGCCAGGCATAGCGGCTGACGCCTGTAATCCTAGCACTTTAGGAGGGTGAGGCAGGCAGATTGCCTGAACTCAGGAGTTCGAGACCTGACCGGCCAAGATGTTGAAACCCCATCTCTATTAAAAATACAGGCCGGGGCCAGGCACGGTGGCTCATGCCTGTAATTCCAGCACTTTGGGAGGCCGAGGTGGGTGGATCATGAGGTCAGGAGTTCAAGACCAGCCTGGCCAAGATGGTGAAACCCCGTCTCTACTAAAAAATACAAAAATTAGCTGGGCGCGGTGGCGGGCACCTGTAATCCCAGCTACTCAGGAGGCTGAGGCAGGAGACTTGCTTGAACCCGGGAGGCGGAATTTTCAGTGAGCCGAAATCAAGCCACTGCACTCTAGCCTGGGTGACAGAGCAAGACTCTGCCTCAAAAAAAAAAAAAAAAAAAAATACAGGCTGGGCATGGTGGCTCACGCCTGTAATCCTAGCACTTTGGGAGGCTGAGGTGGGTGGATCACAAGGTCAGGAGTTCAAGACCAGCCTGACCAACATGGTGAAACCCCGTCTCTACTAAAAATACAAAAATTAACCGGGCATGGTGGTGCACACCTGTAATCCCAGCTACTCAGGAGGCTGAGGCAGGAGAATCACTTGAACCTGGGAGGCAGAGGTTGCAGTGAGCTGAGATTGCGCCATTGCACCATAGCCTGGGAGACAGAGCAAGACTCTGTCTCAAAACAACAACAACAACAACAAAAAATTAGCCGGGCATGATGGTGTGCACCTGTAATTCCAGTTGCTCGGGAGGCTGAGGCACGAGAATCACTTGAACCCAGGAGGCAGAGGTTGCAGTGAGCCCAGATGATGCCATTGCATTCCAGCCTGGGCGACAGAGCAAGACTCTGTCTCAAAAAAAATAAATAAAAAATAAATAAAGGAAAAGAGAAGGCAATTCCTAAGCTGTTTACCAGGAATTTACATGAAAACAACATAAGCTATTGATTGGCTATACATTGTTCTTTGTATCACAAATTCCTGGAACGTGAAGATAATGGGTGAGGTAGCTAGTTATAAACAAAATGCTTTTAAACAATTGCCCCTGGGCATGAGTGGAGAGGCATGACTGAAGTCCCATGCTTATGTCTCTCTGGGCTTGATACATTTTGCATATCTCACTGAGCTCAGGCTGCTCTGTGCATTTTTCTTTTCTCGACTTCAAGGCCTTTAAGGAGGGGAGCAGCCCGATGTCACAAACAGTTTAGGAAGGTCACCCTGGAGGCAGGTCCATATGTGCTGACATGGAAAAACACTCAAGACAGACTCTCAAAGAAAAGAAGCTGGTTGCCAAATGAAACAGAGCTATCCTAGTTATGAAAATACAACCAAACAAAATACAGGTCTGAGTGAAAACACACAGTCAAAGGTCTAAAAGGACATACAGATAACTAATAACACAATTTACCCTCTTGAGGAGCAGAGGACTTGGAATTTGTGAAATTTAACATTGCTTTGTGCTGAATTTTGCTTGGATTTTGCAATGATAGTAAATGCCTGTATTACTTGCCTAATTAAATAAATGACCAAATAAATACATAAATTCTGTTTTAATGAAAGCAAATAAACAAATAGATTGGTTTTTCTTTTTCATTTTTCTTTTGTTTGTTTTTTTTTTTTTGAAACAGGGTTTTGCTCTTGTTGCCCAGGCTGGAGTGCAGTAGCACGATCTCAGCTCATTGCAAACTCTGCCTCCCGGGTTCAAGTGATTCTCCTGCTGTAACCTCCCAAGTAGCTGGAATTACAGGCGTCCACTACCACGCCCAACTAATTTTTTTGTATTTTTAGTAGAGATGGGGTTTCACCATGTTGGCCAGGCTGGTCTTGAACTCCTGAGCTCAGGTGATCCACCTGCCTCAGCCTCCCAAAGTGCTGGGATTACTGGCGTGAGCTGCCACGCCTGGCCCACAGGTTGGTTTTTCAAAAGCAGACCCCAACATGGGAATTCTTGCACGAGTGCTTAATTAAGGAGGGCTCTATGGAGAAACTGGTAAGGCAGTGGGAAAGCAGGAAGGTGAAGGGGAAGAAGACAAACAAGGGTGTGATTTCAGACAAAATTCCCAGAGGGGTGCATTGCCAGCCTGGCGCGACCTGGCAATTCCAGGTTGGGTGGCGGGGCCGGGGGAACTACTGCCTGTCCTGAGGTAAGAGTGCTGGTGTTCATTTCTATTCTGCTCAATCATTGGCCAAAGCATGTCCAGAGGGCAGGACGTGGGGAGGAGGAGAGAGCAAAATTTCCAGGTACTTCCAAGTACTATTGCCAAGACAGGGTAGCTCCAGTAGCTGAACAGTCTTCTGAACAAGGTCCACGTGATCCACTGGAAACTAAGGCACCAGCTCTGAAACTAGGAAACGAGCACACAGAAATGATAAGAAGAGATCCAAGGGAATCTGGATTGAGCATCAACAGTCTCCACTTTGGGAGGCCGAGGCGGGTGGATCACGAGATCAGGAGTTCGAGACCAGCCTGACCAACATGGTGAAACCCCGTCTCTACTAAAAATACAAAAATTGGCCAGGCACGGTGGCACGTGCCTGTAATGCCACCTACTTAGGAGGCTGCAGCAGGAGAATCACTTGAACCCGGGAGGTGGAGATTGCAGTGAGCTGAGATGGCGCCATTGCACTCCAACCTGGGCAACAGAGCGACTCCGTCTCAAAACAAAAAAACAAAAAAAACGGCTACGCCATAGGCAGAGCTGCCACAAGGGCTGCTGGTTGGAAAAAAAAATTAATAGGTAGTATGTTAAATTACCTATTAAGCGGCCAGGCACAGTGGCTCACACCTTTAATCCCAGCACTTTGGGAGGCCGAGGCGAGCGGATCACGAGGTCAAGAGATCAATACCATCCTGGCCCACATAGTGAAACCCCGTGTCTACTAAAAATACAAAAAAATTAACTGGGTGTTGTGGTCCACACCTGTAGTCCCAGTTACTCTGGAAGCTGAGGCAAGAGAATTGCTTAGAACCTGGGAGGCAGAGGTTGCAGTGAGTCGAGATCGCGCCACTGCACTCCAGCCTGGCAACAAAACAAGACTCCGTCTCAAAAAAAAACCTAGCCCTTGTTGCTTTGCCTCAGAAGGACTATGTTTCCAGAGATATTCTATGCCTGTAAAAGTATGTATGAGGCCGGGCACGGTGGCTCACACCTGTAATCCTAGCACTTTGGGAGGCCAGGGCAGGCGGATCACCTGAGGTCGGGAGTTTGAGACCAGCCTGACCAACATGGAGAAACCCCATCTCTACTAAAAATACAAAATTAGCCAGGCATGGTGGCACATGCCTGTAATCCCAGCTACTCGGGAGGCTGAAGAAGGAGAAGAGCTTGAACCCGCGAGGCGGAGGTTGCAGTGAGCCGAGATTGCACCATGCACTCCAGCCTTGGCAACAAGAGAGAAACTCTGTCTGAAAAAAAAAAAAAAAAAAAAAATTATGTGTAGGCTGGTCACAGTGGCTCACGCCTGCAATCCCAGCACTTTGAGAGGTTGGGGCAGGAGAATCACTTGAGCCCAGGAGTTTGAAAACAACCTGGGCAATATAGTGAGATCCCGTCTCCATAAAAAATTTAAAAATTAGTTGGGCCTGGTAGTATCAGCCTTTAGTCCCAGTTACTCAGGAGGCTGAAGTAGGAGGAGAAGTTGAGCCTGGAAAGTCAAGGCTTGAGCCTGGAAAATGAGCTGTGTTTGTGCCACTGCACTCCAGCCTAGGTGACAGAGACATCTTGTCTTAAAAAAAGGAAAGAAAGAAAAGAAAAAAAAAGTATGTACATATTATTTCCTATCTTCTCTAAAAAACAAAACAAACAATAGTAGCATATTATCCATATTGTTTCTTACTTTCCTTATTTCACATCCTGAAGATGGTACCATGGCGATACATTTAGATAATCCTCATTCTTTTCAGTGATTGCATAATATTATATTACATGGATAGGCTTGACTTTATTTAAGCATTCCCTTATTGAAGAACATTTTAATTGTATCCAGTCTGTACTCTAACAAACAAGATTGCAATGAATATTCTTTGTATATCTTTGTGTACATGTACAAGTATATCTGGTAAGCCAGATTTATAGAAGTAGAATTATTTGATCTAAGGTTATATGAAATTAATTTTTTTTGTTTTGAGATGGAGTCTCATTCTGTCGCCCAGGCTGGAGTGCAGTGGCACGATCTCTGCTCACTGCAAACTCTGCCTCCCGGGTTCAAGTGATTCTCCCACCTCAGCCTCCAGAGTAGCTGGGATTACAGGCGTCTGTCAGCACGCCTGGCTAATTTTTGTATTTTTAGTAGAGATGGGGTTTCACCATGTTGGCCAGGCTGATTTCAAATTCCTGATCTCAGGTGATCCTCCTGCCTTGGCCTGCCAAAGTGCTGAGATTACAAGCCTGAGCCACCACACCCGGCCTCACTGGGGTTTTTTTATATTTATCTAGGATGTTCCTCAAACCAGCTTCCCATCTTGAGGTTTCTGAATCTCCTATGATCACAGCTTGTCTTGTCTTTAGGAATTAACTGAAAAAGATGTCCTTTACCTAAAAGCTACATGTGAAACTCCACTCCTAGTTTTACATTTGCAGTCCTTATATCACTATGTTTTCTGCTGGTTCTGATGTAATCTCACTCTTTCTAGAAGTCTCTTTTTTTTTTTTTGAGATGGAATTTCACTCTTGTTGCCCAGGCTGGAGTGCAATGGCACCATCTCCGCTCACTGCAACCTCCGTTTCCCGGGTTCAAGCAATTCTCCTGCCGCAGCCTCCCAAGTAGCTGGGATTACAGGTGCCTGCCACCATGCCTGGCTAATTTTTGTATTTTTAGTAGAGACCAGGTTTCACCACGTTGGCCAGGCTGGTCTTGAACTCCTGACCTCAGGTGATCCACCTGCTTCGGCCTCCCAAAGTGCTGGGATTACAGGCATGAGCCACTGCGCCCAACCCCTAGAAGTCTCTTTTAACTATTATTATTTTTAATTTTAATTTTTAAAAATTATAAATAGAGATGGGGTCTCCCTGTGTTGCACAGGCTGATTTTGAACTCCTAGTCGCAAGTGATCCTCCTGCCTTGGTCTCCCAAAACCCTGGGATTATGGGCAAGAGCCACAGCATCTGGCTGTAAGCATAATATTTGAGAATATATATTATAGATGAATACTCCAGCTAACCTAGTGGATATAATCTGGAAACACCCATGATTACCCACTTAAAGATCAAAATATCAGGCTGGGTGCAGTGGCTCACGCCTGTAATCCCAGCACTTTGGGAGGCCGAGACGGGTGGATCATCTGAGGTTGGGAGTTTAAGACCAGCCTGACCAACATGGAGAAACCCTGTCTCTACTAAACATACAAAATTAGCCGGGTGTGGTGGCACATGCCTGTAATCCCAGCTACTTGGGAGGCTGAGGCAGGGGTATCACCTGAACCCAGGAGGCGGAGGTTGCAGTGAGCTGAGATCATGCCATTGCACTCCAGCCTGGGCAACAAGAGGGAAACTACGTCTAACAAAACAAACAAAAAAACAAACAAAAAGGCTGGGCGCAGTGGCTCACACCTGTAATCCTACCACTTTGGGAGGCCCAGGTGGGCAGATCACAAGGTCAGGAGTTCGAGACCAGACTGGCCAAGATGGCGAAACCCTGTCTCTACTAAAAAGACAAAGATTAGCCAGGCGTGGTGGTGTGCGCCTGTAGTCCCAGCTACGCTGGAGGCTGAGGCAGAGAATCGCTTGAACCTGGGAGGCAGAGGTTGCAGTGAGCCGAGATCGCACCACTGTACTCCAGCCTGGGTGACAAAACGAGACTCTGTCTCAAAAAAAAAAATCAAAGTATCATATGCCCTGTGCTTTTTAGTTGTTAGTGTTATGAAGGCAAAAATACCTTCTACATTGGTGGTGGTTCCTATTTTACTGGGCACCAATGCATGTATACTGTGTTCTAGAAATAGCCTAAAAAGTATCCTGTGTTTTTTCTGAGACAGGGTCTCACTGTGATGGACAGGCTGGAGTGCAGTGGCACCATCTCTGCTCACTGCAGCCTTGAACTTTTGGGCTCAAGCAATCCTCCTACCTTAGTAAGTAGGGGGTAGTAAGAAGCTTCACTGGTCATCTCTCTGCTTTGGTTTAAGACAACATTTGGTAGAATGTTACTTACCAGAAAACATGTATGTCACATCTCTAGGAAGAAGAAAAAACATAGTAGTTCAATTCCCACTGCGTACCTTTGAATTTTTTTTTTTTTTTGAGATAGGGTCTCTCTCTTTTGCCCAGGCTAGAGTGCAGTGGCATGATCTCGGCTCACTGCAACCTCCGTCTCCTGGGTTCAAGTGATTCTCCTGCCTCAGCCTCCCGAGTGGCTGGGATTGCAGGCGTCTGCCACCATGCCCAGCTAATTTTTTTTTTTCAGTAGAGACGGGTTTTTGCCATGTTGGCCAGGCTGGTTTGGAACTCCTGACCTCAGGTGATTTGCCCGTCTTGGCCTCTGAAAGTGCTGGGATTACAGGCGTGAGCCACTGCTCCTGGGCTGATGTCTTTTTTAAAGTAAAAATAAGAAGCTGTACTGACTTTTCACTTGGCTATTCTGGTTTTAAAGGATGAGCTACAAGCTATGTGTTTTCCTGTATTGATATGTCACTGAAATACTTTTTGACCAGTGCAGTAGTTCACACCTGTAATCCCAGCACTTCGAGAGGCAGAGATAGGAGAGTTGAAGACCAACCTGAATAATGTATCAAGTCCCTATCTCTACAAAAAAATTTTTAAAAATTAGCTGAGCATGGTGACACGTACCCATGGTCTCAGCCACTCAGGAGGCTGAGGCAGTAGAATCCCTTGAGCCTAAGAGGTTGAGGTTGCAGTAGTGAGCAATGACTGTGTCACTGCACTCCAGCCTGAGTGACAAAGCAAGACTTGGTCGCAAAAAAAATTTAATCAGATCATTGACTCTTCTGCTCAAATTCTTCTAATAGCTTCTCAAGGTAAACTCCAGGCTGGGTGCCGTGGCTCACTCCTGTAATCCCAGCACTTTGGGAGGCCAAGGCAGGTGGATCACTTGAGGTCAGGAGTTTGAGACCAGCCTGGCCAACATGGTGAAACCCTGTCTCTACTAAAAATATAAAAATTAGCCGGGCGTGGTGGCAGGCACCTGTAATCCTAGCTGCTCGGGCTCAATTGCTTGAGCCCAGGTTGCAGTGAGCTTGCAACTTTGCTTGCAAGTGAGCTACAAGGTGAAGGTTGCTGTGAGCTGAGATCGCGTCACTGCACTCCAGCCTGGGTGACAGAGCAAGACTCTGTCTCAAAAAAAAAAAAAAAAAAAGGTAAACTCCAAATCCTTCCCATGATCCTTGAGGATCTTCCTTGAGGCCCCTCAAAATCTGGCCTCTCTAGGATTTTAAGACCAGTCTGGCCACCATGGCAAAACCCCGTTTCTACTAAAAATACAAAAACTACCTGGGCATGGTGGCACATGCCTGTAATCCCAGCTACTCGGGAGACTGAGGCAGGAGAAACGCTTGAACCCAGGAGGCGGAGGTTGCAGTGAGCTGAGATCGCGCCACTGCAAGCCAGCGTGGGGAACAGAGCAAGACTCTGTCTGAAAAAAAAAAAAGATCTGGCCTCTGCCTGCCCCTGAACTCATCCTCTCATCCTCTACCTCTCTCCTTTTTCCCTGTACTGCAGTGGCCTTCTTCCTGTTCTTCCTAATACCAGGGATGTTCCCTCCATCACTTCATTAATAGCTCGATTCCCCTTGACCTCATTTCTCCTAGTCTTTCATCACCACAATTGCAAGTCCTGCAGGAAAAAGAGCTTTCTTGCCCAACAAGACAGGGCTGGCTTTCATTGGCCCAAATTGGGTGGGCACATCCCTGAACCAATCACAGTTGTCAAGGGGCTGAGATGCTCTGATTAGTTGGGGTTGAGTCACATGCCCTGAAGCTGATGGAGGTGTGGACTGAGTGGAGGAGGACAATTTCCCAGAGAAAAATTCGTGTCCTGTTACTAGAAGGGTGAAGTAATGCTGGGCAGCAGAAGTAACAGATGTTTATTTTCAAAGTTTGCATAGCACTTAACATATAGATGTTGTTTTCAAAAAGCCAGCTTGCACTGCATGCAGGAACACCCCGAGAGCTCCTTCATCAACATTCATTCATTTTACAACTTTGTATTTTTTTTTTTTTGAAACAGAGTCTTGCTCTGTCGCCAGGCTGGAGTGCAGTGGCACGATCTCAGCTCACCACAACCTCTGACTCCCTAGTTCAAGCGATCCTCCTGCCTCAGCCTCCGGAGTAGCTGGGATTACAGGCACACACCACCACGCCCAGCTAATTTTTGTATTTTTAGTAGAGATGGGGTTTCATAATGTTGGCCAGGCTCATCTCAATCTCCTGACCTCGTGATCCACCCACCTCGGCCTCCTAAAGTGCTGGGATTACAGGTGTGAGCCACCGCACCCGGCCACAACTTTGTATTGATATCACTCAGTTCCATACTTAGTCCCAAAGGAATCTGCTACTCTCTTGAATCAAAATGTGATAATGTAATAGATTATGCGACTTGTCTAGAAGAATAGTGCTGGGCATTCATTCACCAATATTTATTAGGCTTTTACTAGCTTTAGAAAGGAGCTGAGATGACAGCTATCATCACCATAGGCAGTCCCTCTCCTCCTGGGGCTTATATTCTAGTGGAAAAAAGACAGATAGTCAAAAAGAAATGTCAGTGTAAATGGAGACACAAGCCACTCATGAAACATACTTTTCAGGGAGAAAAATTAAACAGACTAATAGGCTTTTGTACCTTTAGAACTGAATACTTGTATTACTCATTTTTAAAAAGTAATGTCATAATGAGATACACTACACCCATTCCAATGGCTAAAAGTAAAATGTTTGGCAATGTCAAATGCTCAAGAGGATGTGGAGCAACTGGAATGCTTATAACTGCTGGTGAGAATGGAAAATGGGGCTGGGCAAAGAGTCTCAAGCTAGTAATCCCAGTACTTTGGGAGGCTGAGGCGGGAGGATGGCTTGAGCACGGGAGGTCGAGGCTGCTGAGCTATGATCACTATGATCACACCACTGCACTCCAGCCTGGGTGACAGAGTGAGGCCTTGTCTCAAAAAAAAAAAAAAAAAACAAAAAAAAAAAACCGCATGTAAAGAATGGAATGTAAAAGGATATAACTATATAACTTGAGAGGACTGTTTGGCAGTTTCTTTTTTTCTTTCTTTTCTTTTTTTTTTTTTGTGAGACAGAGTCTTGCTCTGTCGTCCAGGCTGGAGTGCAATGGCCCAATCTCGGCTCATTGCAACCTCCGTCTCCTGGATTCAAGTGATTCTCCTGTCTCAGCCTCCTGAGTAGCTGGGATTAGAGGTACGCACCACCAGGCCCGGCTAATTTTTGTATTTTTAGTAAAGATGGGGTTTCGCCATGTTGGCCAGGCTGGTCTCAAAACTCCTGACCTCAGGTGATCTGCCCGCCTCGGCCTCCCGAAGTGCTGGGATTACAGGCGCGAGCCACCGCGCCCTGCCAAGTTGTGTGTATTTCGCTGAATGCAAATTAAGTCTCAATTAAAAAAAAAGTAACTGCAAATATTTTAATAGACGTTACAGCATGCTATGGAAATATGCCAGAGGGTGACTCCATGAGGGTGTGCCCCAGAAATCAGGGAAAGTCTTTACTAAGAAAGTGAGATTTCAAAGATTTGGGAGGACTACAAATTGCCCATACAAAGCGGGATGGGGGAGTAGGGTGAACTCAATACAAAAATGTTAGCTTCTTTCGGTGAAGGTCTTCCAAACGCAAGTATCTAACATTCACCTTATGCCTGCAGATACTCTACATTTGTGTTTTGGCATTTAATTTAATTTCACAGCGATCATTCGACGTCAGAATTTTGGTTCCCATTCTACAAGTGAGAAAATTGAGGTTCAGGGAGGTCAAAGGACCCGTTGAAGGCCATGAAGTAGGATGCGCCAGAAGCCAGGCTTGAGAGCTGCATACTCGGCGAGAGTTTCTCCAAGGCAAAGCCTGAAACAGGAACCACAGGCTCTCCAGGTGGGGAGGCTGGCGCTGAGGAATGTTCTCCTGAACAAAGGGCTCGGCTCGCGCGCCCGCACACCCGCCTCCCCCGGCGCCGGCCTTGGTCTCCAGAGACAGTGGGGTGGGGGGTGGAGACGCCCAGGTATGGCTCTCCTCCGTGGAATCAGCGATCCCAGGACCGAGGCCGGTTGACTCCGGAACAAAGAGAGTCCTTGGGGCGGGGGCGGGGGCGGGGCCCGATCCGGGGACCGGAGGGAGCGGGGGGGAGGGCGGGGCCGGAGTCGAGGGAGGGGCGGAGCCCGGGCCGGGGGACGAGGGCGGGGAGCGGCCGGGCCCTGGGCGGGGCAGGGCGAGGCTGGATCTTCGGAACGAGTCCGTGAAGGATCGGGCGCGGGCGCGGGCGCGGGGCCGGAGGTGGGGACGAGGGGAGTTGGGAAGGGGCTGGGGGTGTGGGGGTTGGGGGTGTGGGGGTCTGGCGGGACTTATCTGGGGGAGGCTAAAGTGGGTGCTGGAGGCGGGACCCGAGTCCCGGGAGAGGCGGGCGGGGAGTCGCCGCTAGAGCGGGGCCCTTTTGGGGGCTGGAGACCCGGAAGCTTAGAGGGCCCCCTGGCCCCGGAGAGGGGGAGGGCGCAGGGCAGGAATGGAGGCGAGGCCTGGCCTCAGGAGCCGGGGGCGGCGGGTTCAGGGCGCGATCCTCTCTGGGGGAATCCGCGGGTGGCCCGGGAGAGGCCGGGAGGGGGCGCAGAGGGCGGCGCCGGGGCCACGTGGAGTCTGCGCGCCCCACCCGCTTTGGGCCGCGCTCCACCCGCTTTGGGCCGCGCCCCACTATCCCTGAGCGCCGCACTGTTGGCCCCGCCACACGTCTGTCCTGAGAACCCGCAGGTCCCAGGCTGTGCGGCACCCCGCCGAGCCCTGGAGCAAGTCCTTCCCTGCGTGGGTCTTGTTTCCGCTTCTGTGAAATGACGATGGCCCTTCTTGTTTTGCAGGGCCCTGGGAGAGTGGGTTGAGAGAATGGAAGTGAAGAGGAAGGCTTCACCATCACCTTAACTAACATGTGTTTCCTACCGTTAAATAAACATTATAGGAGGCCACTGTTTTGGACTAAGTTTCTGCACCAGGCCCCAGCCGACCAGACTAAAAATCAAAAGAGTCACCCATGCTAAAGTTCCACATTACCAAATGGAAACTGAGTTGCCATCTAACCTGGGGAGAAATCAAGAGACAACAGCCAATTTCCCAAACAGGCCGGTTTAAATCCTCAATCAACATCACATTTCCCTGCTTTAATCCTACGCAAAAAAAGGCGGCTTGAAAGAACCTGATAGTAACCACTTGGTTATTATTCTATTGGTCTGTCCTGCCTTACAAGAAAAGTAAAAGTAACTTTGAAAAATAACTATATACTCTTTTTTTTTTTTTTGAGATAGAGTCTCGCTCTGTCGCCCAGACTGGAGTGCAGTGGTGCAATCTCGGCTCACTGCAACCTCTGCTTCCCGGGTTCAAGCGATTCTCCTGCCTCAGCCTCCCAAGTAAGTGGGATCACAGGCGCACACCACCATGCCCAGCTAATTTTTTTTTTTTTTTTAAGTAGAGACAGGGTTTCACCATTTTGGCCAGGCTGGTCTCGAACTCCTGAGCTCAAGTGGTCCACCGGCTTAGAACTCACAAGGTGCTAAGATTACGGGCATAACCCACTGTGTCTGGCCTTTTTTAAAAATTTTTCTTTTTTCTAAGGTACAGGGTCTAGCTTTGTCACCCAGGCTGGAGTGCAGTGGCATAGTGGCATAAACCCAGCTCACTGAAGCTTTGACTTCCTGGGCTCAAGCGATCCTCCTGCCTCAGCCTCCTGAGTACCTGGGACCACAGGTGGACACCTCCACGCTCTGCTTATTTTTAATTTTTTTTTTTTTATTTGAGATGGAGTCTTGCGCCATCTCGGCTCACTGCAACGTCCGCCTCCTGGGTTCAAGCAATTCTCCTGTCTCAGCCTCCCGAGTAGTTGGGATTACAGGCATATGCCACCACGCCTGGCTAATTTTTTTGTATTTTTAATAGAGACAGGGTTTTGCCATGTTGGCCAGGCTGGTCTCGAACTCCTGACCTCAAGTGATCGCCTGCCTTGGCCTCCCAAAGTGCTAGGATTACAAGTGTGAGCCACTGCACCTGGCCTTTTTTTTTTTTGAGATGGAGTCTCACTCTGTTGCCTAGGCTGGAGTTGGAGTGCAGTGGTGCTACCTAGCTCACTGCAACCTCTTGTCTCCCAGGTTCAAGCGATTCTTGTGCCTCATCCTCCTGAGTAGCTGGGATAACAGGCGTGCACCACATGCCCTGCTAATTTTTGTATTTTTAGTAGAGACACAGTCTCTTCATGTTGGCCAGGCTGGTCTCGAACTCCTGACCTCAAGTGATCCACCTGCCTCAGCCTCCCAAAGTGCTGGGATTACAAGCGTGAGCCACTGCACCTGGCCGTTAAAAAAAAAAAAAAAATTCCACCACACCCGGATAATTTTTGATTTTTTTTTTTTTGAGACAGAGTCTCGCTCTGTCCCCAGGCTGGAGTGCAGTGGTGCCATCTTGGCTCCCTGCAAGTTCCACCTCCCGGGTTCACGCCATTCTCCTGCCTCCGTCTCCCGAGTAGCTGGGACTACAGGTGCCTGCCACCACACCCAGCTAATTTTTTGTATTTTTAGTAGGGATGGGGTTTCACCATGTTAGCCAGGGTGGTCTTGATCTCCTGACCTCATGATCCACCCACCTCGGCCTCCCAAAGTGCTGGGATTACAGGTGTGAGCCACCATGCCTGGCCTAATTTTTGAATTTTTGGTAAAGACAGGGTTTCACCATCTTGGCCAGGCTGGTCTGGAACTCCTCACCTCAGGTGGTCCGCTCACCTCGGCCTCCAGGGAACCACCTCACCTGGCCCATTTTTTAAATTTTTGTAGAGACGGGGTATCACCATGTTGGCCAGGCTGGCCTGAAACTCCTGGCCCAAGGGATCCTCCCATCCCAGCCTCCTGAATCACTGGGATTACAGGTGTGATCCAGGGCTCTGGGCCTAATATACTCTTTATTCTTTGCCAATGCTTTCTTTAACCCTTCTGTGTCTATAAAGCCAAGCTCTTCTGCTCAGATCATTGACATACTTATTCTATTTTATAGAATGAGGTGCTGCCCAATTGTGGAATCGCAAATAAAGCCAACTGATATTTTTATACTAAATTTCTCATAATTTTGTCTTGGCCGGGTGCGGTGGCTCACGCCTGTAATCCCAACACTTTGGGAGGCGGATCACCTGAGGTCAGGAGTTCAAGACCAGCTTGGCCAACATGGTGAAACACCCACTCTGCTAGGTCATGTGCTGAGGAATACAGTGAACAAGTTACAGTTCCTACACAAATAAGCTTGCAGGCTGGTTGAAAGACTGAACAATTAACAATATGAATCGTTATTCAATTAAAATTGTGATATGTGGCTGGGCACGGTGGCTCATGCCTGTAATCCCAGCACTCTGGGAGGCAGAGGCGGGCAAATCACAAGGTCAGGAGCTTGAGACCAGCCTGGCCAACATGGCGAAACCCCGTCTCTACTAAAAAAATACAAAAAATTAGCTGGGCATAGTGGTGGGTGCCTGTAATCCCAGCTACTCGGGAGGCTGAGGCAGGAGAATCGCTTGAACCTGGGGGGCGGAGGTTGCAGTGAGCTGAGTTCGTGCCACTGCATTCCAGCCTGGGTGACAGAGTGAGACTCTGTCTAAAAAAAAATTATCATATGCACCTTAGTGGAGAAGTACAGGGAACTACAGGAGCAGTGTTTTCTGAGCAGCCAGTGCTTATTATTATGTGCCAGGTTCTATGCTAAACCATTTAAGATTTGGCTGTGGTCTCCAGTCCACCTAAGATCTAGATCAGACTTATTTCAAACATTGTATCAACCAGGATTCTAGCAGTTGCAAGTAACAGAAACATAACACAGGCCTGTTGTAGTAAATTTCCCTGTAATTCCAGGCTTTGGGAGGCCTACAGGGATAGCTTGAGCCCAGGAGTTTAAGAAGCAGCCTGGGCAACATAGCGAGACCCCTCATCTCTGCCAAAAAAAAAAAAAAGCCAGGGTGAGGGGTGACATTACATGCCTGTAGTCCCAGCTACTGGGAGGCTGAGGTGAGAGGATTGGAGCAGGGAGGGGAAGATTTACTGACAAACTCTGGAAGTATGTTTTTGTTTGTTTGTTTGTTTGTTTGTTTGAGACAGAGCCTCACTCTGTCACCCAGGCTGGAGTGCGGTGGCCCGATCTCGGCTCACTGCAAGCTCTGTCTCCCGGGTTCACACCATTCTCCTGCCTCAGCCTCCCGAGTAGCTGGGACTACAGGTGCCTGCCACCATGCCTGGCTAATGTTTTGTATTTTTAGTAGAGACGGGGTTTCACCATGTTAGCCAGGGGTCTCGATCTCCTGACCTCGTGATCCACCCATCTCGGCCTCCCAAAGTGCTGGGATTACAGACATGAGCCACCGTGCCTGGCCGGAAGTATGTTTTGAAGTATGTTAAGTATGGCTGGATCCCAGGGGCTCAAGAGAAGGTTTCACAGCTCCATGTCTCTCGTTATCCCTCAATTCTCTCTTACAGGCAGCCAAGCAAGATGGCTACTAGCCGTTCTAGGGCCAGGTGCAGTGGTTCACACCTGTAAATCCTAGCACTTTGGGAGGCTAAGGGGGGGGGGGATCACTTGAGGCTGAGAGTTTGAAATCAGCCTGGGCAACATAGCAAGACCCCATTTCTACAAAAGATAATAAGAAAAAAATTAGTTGAGCATGATGGTTTGCACTTGTAGTTCCAGCTGCTCAGGAGATTAAGGTGAGAGGATCCCTCCTTGAGCCCAGGAATTCAAGGCTACAGTGAGCTATGATTGTGCCACTGCACTCTACCCTGGGCAATAGAGTGAGACCCTGTCTCAAAAAAAAAAAAAAAAAGAAAGAAAGAAAGAAAAGAAAACAGAAAGATGACTGTGGCTACAAGCAGTTTTAGGCTTTCATTGACTTTATAGCTCTGGGTCCCTGAAGAGAGAGTGTACTTCCCAACGGCTCCAGCATTAAAAAAGCAGTCTTGGGGACTATGTCTCCTAAATTCCTTGAAGCTGTCCTGAGCCCTTGCACAGCTAAACCCAAGTCCTGAGCCCTGTGCAGGCCATGGCACAGCAGCAGTGCAGGCTACACGTTAAATTCTGGGGAATGGGAGTGCTTATCGTGGTGGAGGCTTGGAGATGCCTCATAAAGGCAAAGGCCGCAGGGAGATAAGCAGATCACATGGTAGAGAGAAGGCAGAAGGAAATAGTGGCTGTTTCTCAGGCCAGGCTCTGTCGGTGGGATAGGCCATCCCAAGTGGGCAGACGAGTGCTGCAGAGGCAAATGGAGAGAGGCTGGAGCTGGCAAAATAGTCTAAGCAGCCTCCAGAGATGCCCCAGGCTGGAGAAACCTCTGTAAGCCCCATTGGGAGTCAGAGCCCAGACTCAAGTCCCTCTAGGCCTGCTCTAGGGTATGGTCTGATAAGGGGGTCTCAGGCCATCCAAAATATAATAAGAGGTCTTCCCATGTGCACAACTGTTTACAATTTTCAAAGCTCTTACCCTTACCCTCTATGACTCTGAGGTACACATTATTCGGGCCATTTTACAGGTGGGAGTATTGAGGCTAAGAATATCAGGCTAACCTGCCTAAAGTGAGCCATTCGGCAGAGACAAAACTCAGCATCCGGGTCACTCCCAGGGCTCTAGCCCATCCCCACTCCTTCCATCTCCCCACTGACCTTTCCCTAACCTAAACTCTCCTGGAGCCTTGAAACCTCCCGATCCCCATCCATGGTAATCCAGGAGCTGTTAATTTTTTTTTTTTTTTTTTTGAGACAGAGTCTCATTGCTGGAGTGCAGTGGCACGACCTTGGCTCACTGCAACCTCCGCCTCCTGGGTTCAAGCGATTCTCTTGCCTTAGCCTCCTGAGTAGTTGGGATTACAGGCATGCGCCACCATGCCCGGCTCGCCCGGCTAATTTTTGTATTTTTAGTAGAGATGGGGTTGCACCATGTTGGCCAGGCTGGTCATGAACTCCTGACCTCAAGTGATCTAACCACCCTGGCCTCCCAAAGTGCTGGGATTACAGGTGTGAGCCACTGCGCCTGGCTGAGCTGTTACCTTTCAAGAGGAGGTAAGGGACTTGAGAAGGTCAAAGATTTGGAGGTAGTCTGGAGGCAAATCCTACTGTATCACACTCTGGCTCTGGGCGGGAAAAAAGGACATTCATGTCCCCAAGTTTTTCCTCTTCCTTCCTCAGCCCCTTCCACAAACTCAAGGCCTTATGCCCCACCATTAAGATGGTCTTCAATTCAGGCATTGTTAAAGCACAAATGCCGGGCCGGACGCGGTGGCTCATGCCTGTAATCCCAGCACTTTGGGAGCCTGAGGTGGGCGCATCATGAGGTCCAGAGATCAAGACCAGCCTGGCCAACATGGTGTAAACCCCATCTCTACTGAAAATACAAAAATTAGCTGGGCGTGGTGGCACATGCCTGTAGTCCCAGCTACTCAGGAGGCTGAGGCAGGAGAATCGCGTGAACCCGGGAGGCGGAGGTTGCAGTGAGCCGAGATTGCATCACTGCACTCCAGCCTGGGCGACAGAGTGAGACTCCGTCTCAAAAAAAAAAACAAACAACAATGAAGAAACCCCACAAATGCCTGGATGCTAGAGAAAGGGAATTTTACATCTATTACCTGCTGTGATCCTCCTAGAACCTTGCCTGGTGAGGCAGTTTGCAAATGAAGTAATTGAGCTTCTGAGAAATTACGAGTTGCCCAAGATTACCCAGTTAGCAATTGGCAGAGCTGGGATATGAACTCCCCCTGGTCTAGTCCAAAGCCCATGACCTTTCAGGGGCCAAGACCAAAAATGGAGAGGGAGACGGCGGGCTCTGGTTAGGCAGAAGGATGATCACACATGCAGGAGGACTTGAACTTCCTGGGGCCGGAGGGGTGCGCAGGGGAGGTGCTGGGGATGAGGTTGGGGCCAGTCAACTGGCAGGGAGGGATAGTTTCCTCCCAGTCTAGATGCCTGGTCCAAAACAGACAAACTGCATGTTTTGTCTCTACAAAAACTACAAAAATTAGCTGGGCAGCCGGATGTGGTGGCTCATGCCTGTGATCTTGTAATCTCAGCACTTTGGGAGGCCAAGTCAAGTGGATTGTTTGAGCTCAGGAGTTCGAGACTAGACTGGGCAACATGGCAAGACCTTGCTGCTGCTAAAAATACAAAAACAAAAAAACAAAGCAAAAAAAAAACCGGGTGTGGTGGTGTGTGTCTGTGGTCCCAGCTACTCAGGAAGCTAAGATGGGAGGATTGCTTGAGCCTGGGGGAGGTCGAGGCTACAGTGAGCTGTGGTCATGCCGCTGCACTTTAGTCTGGGTGATATAGTGAGACCCTGTCTCAAAGAAAAAAACAAAAAGTCCGGGCGTGGTGGCTCACTCCTGTAATCCCAGCACTTTGGGAGGCTGAGGCAGGTGAATCACGAGGTCAGGAGTTTGAGACCAGCCTGGCCAATGTGGTGAAACCCTGTCTCTACTAAAAATACAAAAAAATTAGCTGGGCATAATGGCGGGCGCCTGTAATCCCAGCTACTTGAGAGGCTGAGGCAGGAGAATCGCTTGAACCCGGGAGGCGGAGGTTGCAGTGAGCTGAGATTGCACCACTGCATTCCAGCCCAGCTGATAGCGTGAAATTCCTTCTAAAAAAAAAAAAGTCTGGGCACGGTGGCTCACACCTGTAATCCCAGCACTTTGGGAGGCCGAGGTGGGCAGATCACCTGAGGGCAGGAGTTCGAGGCCAGCCTGGCCAACATGGTGAAACCCTGTCTCTACTAACAACACAAAAATTAGCTGGGTGTGGTGGCAGGCGCCTATAATCCCAGCTACTCAGGAGGCTGAGGCAGAAGAACCTCTTGAACCTGGGAGGCGGAGGTTGCAGTGAGCCGAGATTGCGCCACTGCATTCCAGCCTGGGCAACAAGAGCGAAACTCCGTTTTGGAAAACAAAACAAAACAAAAGTCTAGGGGCAGCGGAGATATAGCGCCAGCCAGCAGGTGTCGCTGTGACACCCATTCTCTTTGGTGTTCTGATGGAAAGAGCAGAGTGAGATATTTGAGTCGGATTAAGATTGTGTAGACAGGGAAGAGATAGCGATGGTAAACACGGGCCATACCTCTGCTGGAGATAGTAGGGAGGTTGAACAATATCACTTAGGAAAAATGCCCAGCCAGATGCTCAACAAACGGGTTATTTTCTAGGAAATTTACCACCTGTGTCATTTTTCTTTTGTGTGTGTGTGTGTGTGTGTGTGTGTGTGTGTGTGTGTGTGTGTGTCATTTTTCTTTTCTCACTGAGACAGGATCTCACTTAGTTGCCCAGGCCGGAATGCAGTGGCACGATCACAGCTCACCGCAGCCTCGACTTTCCCGGGCTCAGGTGATCCTCCCACCTTAGGCTCCCCAAAAGCTGAAATTACGGGCAGGCGCTAATTTTTGTATTTTTGTAGAGATAGGTTTTTGCAATGTTGCCTAGGCAAGTCTCAAGTTCCTGGGCTCAAGTGATCTCCTGCCTCAGCCTCCCAAAATGCTGAGATTAAAACCGTGCCTGGCCTTATTTTTCTTAATTTCTCTGTGCCTCCGTTTCCTCATCTATAAAATAGGATGCTGTGAAGATTCAGAGAGTTAATGTCCATCTGGCATGTTGTAAGGACTTGGTAAGGGTTTAATGTTGATTATTTTCCTCCTGTCAGCAACAATCTGCCTTGCTGGGCTCCCAGAGTTTTATTCCCCCCACCTGTGTAGACCTCTTGTCACACCAAGGACTCTCTCTGGACACAAGGGCAGGATACTGAGGGGGACAGAGATGCATTCAGGGTGTGTTCGCTCTGGAGGGTGAGAGGGTTTGAAAGTCAGTGTCGACCGGGCGTGGCGGCTACACCTGTAATCCCAGAACTTTGGGAAGCCTAGGCGAGTGGATTGCCTGAGGTCAGGAGTTTGAGACCAGCTTGGCCAACATGGTGAAACCCCGTCTCTACTAAAAATGCAACAGTTAGCCGGGTGTGGTGGCATGCGCCTGTCGTCCCAGCTGCTTGGGAGGATGAGGCAGGAGAATTGCTTGAACTTGGGAGATGGAGGTTGCAGTGAGCTGAGATGGCGCCACTGCACTCCAGCCTGGGCAACAAAGCAAGACTACGTCTCAAAAAAAAAAAAAAAAAAGCTGGTGTCCATCGGCAGGTGACGTCATTGCTCAAAACTCAGTTTTCCTGTCTGTGAAATGGATATCAGTGAAAGAGCCAGCGGCGAATGTGAAACTCCAGCCTAGTGTCTGGCACAGAGTGGGCATTCAAATAGCAGTAGCTGCAGGGCTTGTTGGCACTGGTGTTGGGGGCTTGGGACCCCTGCTGTCTCGTCACAGATCACCAACCAAGCTGTGGTTATTTTATTTTATTTTATTATTTTTTGAGACAGGGTCTCACCCCAGTTGCCCAGGCTGGAGTGCAGTGGCACCACCTCAGCTCACTTCAGCCTCAACCTCCCGGGCTTAGGTGATTCTCCCACCTCAGCCTCCTGAGTAGCTCCGACTACAGGGATGTGCCACCACACCCAGCTAATTTTTTGGTATTTTTTCAGAGAGACAGGGTTTCACCATGTTGCCCAGGCTGGTCTTGAATTCCTGGACTTAAGCAATCTGACCGCCTTAGCCTCCCAAAGTGCTGGGATTACAGGTGTGAGTCACCCCCACCCCTCCACCCCCAGCCCAAGCTGTGTTTTTTTTTTTTTTGAGAGAGAGTTTCGCTCATGTTGCCCAGGCTGGAGTGCAATGCCATGATCTTGGCTCACTGAAACCTCCACCTCTTGAGTTCAAGCGATTCTTGTGCCTCAGCCTCCCAAGTAGCTGGGATTATAGGTATCTGCCACCATGCCCAGCTAATTTTTGTATTTTTAGTAGAGACAGGGTTTCGCCATGTTGGAGAGGCTGGTCTTGAACTCCTGGCCTCAGGTGATCCACCCACCTCAGCCTCTCAAAGTGCTGGGATTACAGGCATGAGCCACTGTGCCCGGCCACTAAAGCTCTGATTCTTTTTTTTTTTTTTGAGACAGAGTCTCACTGTCTCCCAGGCTGGAGTGCAGTGGCATGATCTCAGCTCACTGCAACCTCCACCTCCCAGGTTCAAGCAATTCTCCTGCCTCAGCCTCTGGAGTAGCTGGGACTACAGGTGCCCCCCACCATGCCCAGCTAATTTTTTGTATTTTTAGTGGAGACAGGGTTTCACCGTGTTAGCCAGGATGGTCTCGATCTCCTGACCTCGTGATCTACCCACCTCAGCCTCCCAAAGTACTGGGATTACAAGCGTGAGCCACCACACCCAGCCAAAGCTGTGGTTCTTAATCTAATATTTGGTAACCTGTGATGGCAGACTGGGGTCCTCATGCCAGTGTGATGTTTCTGAAATCCAGAGAACCATCCCATAGTTAAATGGGAAGAGGTTGCTCAGGCCCACAGAAGAATCTCTGTTGGGGGCTATCATCAGCTCTCTAGGATGTCACATAGTGTGTCCTGCCCAGCAGAGCTGCTGGGACAGCTGTTGTTGGCAAATGGAAAACTAATTAACTCTTAACCAATACTCTGTTTTTAAAAATGGGACCTGGTTGTGGATGGTAGAAAGTGGGGAGCAGCTGAGCAAGGTGGCTCATGCGTGTAATCCCAGCACAACAAGGCCGAGATGGGAAGATTGCTTGAACCCAGGAGGTCGAGACCAGCCTGGGAAACCTGGTGAAACCCCATCTTTACAGAAAGAAAAAAATTAACTGGGTGTGGTGGTGCACACTTGTAGTTCCAGCTACTCGGGAGGCTGAGGTAGATCACTTGAGCCCAGGAGGTCGAGGCTGCAGTGAGCCATGATTGTGCCACTGCACTCCAACCTGGGCAAGAGAGCAAAATCCTATCTCAAAAAAAAAAAAAAGGTGGGAGTGGCCGGGTGCAGTGGTTCATGCCTGTAATCCCAGCACTTTGGGAGGCCGAGGCAGGTGGATCATCTAAAGTCAGGTGTTCAAGACTAGCCTGGCCAACACGGCGAAACCCTGTCTCTACTAAAAATACAAAAATTAGCTGGGCATGGTGGCAGACACCTGTAATCCCAGCTACTGGGGAGGCTGAGGCAGGAGAATATCTTGAACCCAGGAGGGGGAGGTTGCAGTGAGCCGAGATCGCACCACTGTACTCCAGCCTGAGTAACAGAGCGAGACTCCATCTCAGGAAAAAAAAAAAAAGGTGGGAATGCTGATCTAGTTTACATTCTCCACTTTAACTCAAACACCATTTTACAGGCAGAGACACTGAGGCCCTAGTTTGAAGCTCAAAGGTCACAGTCTAGTTTTTGTTAAGACCAGGGGTCAGGGGTTGTCATTGTCCTGTAGTAGAAAAGAACTAATGTTTATTGGGGACATACTATGTGTCAGGTGGCTTATAAACATTCTCCTTAATTATCACAGTAGCTCTGATATATTATGTCATTTTACAGATTTGAAAAATAAGGCTCAAGATCTAAAGGCTCACTTTTCCTTCATGGTAACTTTACTAACTGTCTTTCCTCTGCCTAGAACAGTGGTTCTCAAGTGTGAGTGTTGTCCTCCAGGGTCATTTGGCAATGTCTGGAGACATTTTTGGTTGTCACAACCAGGGGTGGGGGGTGCGTGTTGTGGCTAGAGCCTAGGGATGCTGTTAAACGTCCTCCAGTAACACAGGATGGCCTCTCACAACCAGGAACTACCCAGCTCCAAATGGCAGCACTGCTGAGCTTGTGAAACTCTGATCTAAAGTAATGCACGCCCTTCCCTCTGGGTCACACCAGGAAGCCTCTCCTGACTCCCCACCCAGGAGAGGTCGCTCCTCCCTGTAGCCCCTGCAGCCACCAGCCGTGCTGTTAACAGGGCTGGTTGTCCTGCCTCTAACCAGAGCTCTTTGGGCAGATGGTATTGAAGGTATATTCAGTAAATGCTTACTGGCTTAAAACACAGTTAGGGCTGGGCGCGGTGGCTCACGCCTGTAACCCCAGCACTTTGGGAGGCCGAGGCAGGCGGCTCACCTAAGGTTAGGAGTTTGAGACCAGCCTCGCCAGCATGGTGAAACCGTGTCTCTACTAAAAATACAAAAATCAGCTGGGCATAGTGGTAGGTGCCTGTAATCCCAGCTACTCGGGAGGCTGAGGCAGGAGAATAGCCTGAACCTGAGAGGTGGAGGTTGCAGTGAGCTGAGATCGCACCATTGCACTCCAGCCTAAGCAACTAGAGTGAAATTCCATCTCAAAAAACAAAAAAACAAACAAACAAACCAAAAAACACAGTTAGTGTCTTTCGTCTATTGACCTCTTGCTTCAGTTAGGCTGGTGGCTTTTCCAGGACTGGGATGTTTGTGAAAGACCCCACAGCCTCTGTGTCCTTGCCAGAGAGGTGGCAGGCTTTCTGTCACTTCAGTTGTGCAAATTGAGGCCACAGGGCCACTTACCAATGTAGATGTAGTACAGTGCAGAGGTTAAAAGCACAGGATTTTACGTCAGAAAGATCTTGATTTAGGTCCTAGCCCTACAACTTACTGTGTGACCTTGGACATGGTACTTGACCTCTCGGAGTCTCAGTTTCCTCAGTTATGAACTGCAGATAATAATAGTATCTACCTCTTTGGGTCATTGTGAGGATTAAATTGGACAGTCTAATCACAGTGCTTAGCACAGTGCTGGCAATTTCAGCATTCTGAAAATGCTGGCCATTACTATTATTAGGAGATGCCATGGGGTTTCCACTCAACGGTATCAGGTTCCTTCTAATTCTGAAATTCCCAAAACATGCTAGGCTCTATCACACCCCTGTGCTGTTTGACCTCTTTGAACAAGCTGTACTTTGGCTTAGAATGCTGTTCTCCCCACGCGTGTCTTCCAAATACACTCCTCTTCATCCTTCAAGTCTTAGTTCAGGTGCCACCTCTTCTGTGAAGACTCCCTTGATTGCCCTCTTCTGTGCTTCCACCATGAGCCTCCACCCGCCCTGGAATCCTACTGCCATTAGAGCATTGATTCTGTATTTTTTTTTTTTGTATTAAGTTTCTCCCCATCCAGTCTGAGGGCTCTCCCCAGGAATAAGGACTGGCCAACATGGAGAAACCCTGTCTGTACTAAAAATACAAAAATTAGCCGGGTGTGGTTGGCACGTGCCTGTAATCCCAGCTACCCCGGCGGGGCTGAGGTGGGAGAATCGCTTGAACCTGGGAGGCGGAGGTTGCAATGAGCCGAGATGGCACCACTGCACTCCAGCCTGGGCTATAGATGGAAACTCCATCTCAAAACAACAAGAACAACAAATAAACAAACAAACAAACAGAGACAGAGTCTCACTCTGTTGCCCAGGCTGGAGTGCAGTGGTGTGATCTCCACTCCCTGCAACCTCCACCTCTTGAGTTCAAGCGATTCTTATGCCTCAGCCTCCCAGTAGCTGGGATTATAGGCGCCCGCCACCATGCCCGGCTAATTATTTTTATATTTTTAGTAGAGATGGGGTTTCACCACTTTGGCCAGGCTGGTCTCAAACTCCTGGCCTCAAGTGATCTGCCTATCTTGGCTTCTCAAAGTGCTGAGATTACAGGCATGAGCCACCGTGCCCAACTTTTAAAAATTTTTATTTTATTATTATTATTTTTGAAACAGTGTCTCTGTCACCCAGGCTGGAGTGCAATGGCATGATCTCAGCTCACTGCAACCTCCATCTCCCAGGTTCAAGCGATTCTCCTGCCTTAGCCTCCCAAGTAGCTGGGATTACAGGTGCCCACCACCATGCCTGGCTAATTTTTTTTTTTTTTTTTTTTTTGTATTTTACTAGAGACGGGGTTTCACCATGTTGGCCAGGATGTTCTCGATCTCCTGACCTTGTGATCTGCCTGTTTCAGCCTGCCAAAGTGCTGGGATTACAGGCATGTGCCACTGCGTCCGGCCTAATGTTTGTATTTTTAGTAGAGATGGGGTTCCACCATGTTGGTCAGGCTGGTCTTGAACTCCTGACCTCAAGTGATCCGCCCACCTCAGCCTCCCCAAGTGCTGGGATTACAGGCATGAGCCACCACTCCCATCCCTTTTTTAATTTTTAAAATTCATTTTTTAGAGATGGGGTCCTACTCTGTCACCTAGGCTGGGAGGCAGTGGTACAATCACATAGCTCACTGCAGCCTTGAACTCCTAGACTCAAGTGATCCTCCCACCTCAGCCTCCTGAATTGCTGGGATTACAGGTGTGCTTTTACCACACCCAGCTTCCTAAGTCTTAACTGCAATCTCATGAAAGATTCTGGCCAGCACCACTCAGCTAAGCTGCTCCTGAATTTCTGACCCACAAAAACTGTGGGAAGTAATGTTTGTTGGTTTTAGCCACTGTTTTGGGGTGATTTGCTATGCGAGCAATAAAAAATTAAGAGTCCCCCAAGTTTTAGGGTAGTGGTTCATGGCTCTGGCTAGGCATCAGAATTCCCCATGAATGTTAAGAAAAAAATGCAAAGGAATTTGCCGTGAAACAATATGTGTTCAGTGGTTAGAGACTGAGCTCAGGAGTCAGAGAGGCTGGACTTGAATGCGGATGCTGCCACTTACTAGCTGTGTAGACTTGGGTAAGTGACTTTATCTATGCCAGCTTTCGTTTCTCCATCTATAAGCTGGTGGTAATAGAACTTACTTTCTTAGGATTGTTAGGAAGACTAACAAGAGCATTTATGTTGATTCTGTCCAGTAGGTAAGCTGTAAGAAAGAAATCTAGGGCCTTGTCTGTCCTGTTCACTGCTGTAGCCCAGTATCTAGGACAGTTCCTGGAACATAGTAGGTATTCATTAAGCATTTCTTTTTCTTTTTCTTTTTCTTTTTCTTTCTTTTCTTTTTTTTTTTTTTTTTTTTTTTTTTGAGACAGAGTCTCACTCTCTTGCCCAGGCTGGAGTGCAGTGGCACGATCTTGGCTCACTGCAACCTCTGCCTGCCAGGTTCAAGTGATTCTCCTGCCTCAGCCTCCTGAATAGCTGGACCACAGGCATGTGCAACCACAGCTGGTTAATTTTTAAATTTTTTGTAGACACAGTATCTTGCTATGTTGTCTAGACTGGCCTTGAACTTCTGGGCTCAAGCAATCCTCCCATTTTGGCCTCCAGAGTGCTGGGATTACAGGTGTGAGCCACTTCCCCAGGCCCCTTGTTTATTTATGGTGTGCATCCTCCCAGGAGACATCCTCACCAAGAGCAGGGATTACTGTCTGTTTAGTTCACTGCTTATTCACAATTTCTGGCACATAGCAGGTGCTTAATAAACATTTGAAGGATGAATTCAGATGCGTGGGCTCCAGGTTCCAATGAATTATAACCTGTTACGCAGGTAGAGCCCAGGAATCTGTATTTTATTTAAAAAATTTATACGTATATATGTTTATAAACTTTATTTTAGGAGACAGGATCTCACTATGTTGCCCAGGCTAGACTCAAACTCCTGGTCTCAAGGGATCCTCTTGTCTCAGCCTCCCAAGTAGCTAGGACTACAGGTGCACCCCACTGAGCCTAGTGGAATCTATATTTTATTTTATTATTATAAATTATTTTTGAGACAGAGTCTTGCTCTGTTGCCCAGGCTGGAGGGCAGTGGTGCGATCTCAGCTCACTGCAACCTCCGCCTCCTGGGTCCAAGCAATTATCATGCTTCAGCCTCCCCCATAGCTGGGATTACATGTGTGGGCCACCACGCTTGGCTAATGTTTGTATTTTTAGTAGAGACGGGGTTTTGCCACATTGGCCAGGCTGGTCTTGAACTCCTGGCCTTTAGTGATCCGCCGACCTCAGCCTCCCAAAGTGTTGGTATTACAGGCATGAGACACTGTGCCTAGCTGTATCTGTATTTTAGAAAGGCATCCCAAGTATAGTGAAGGTTGAGAAGCTCTATCCCAGAATGTCAGCAGTAAAGCAGCCAATGAGTATCATGCAAGCAAAGTCCAGCCCTCTCATTTCACAGATGACATCACCAAGAGCAGAGTGAGAGTAGTTCCCCAAGGTCACAGGTTGTTGACAGAGAAAGAACTAGTGCCAACAGTAGTGTCGGATACCCAACACAAGGCTCCCTGGAGCTCCAGCTGGCCTGGGCCTGCTCAGTCTCATTCCAGGGCTGACTGAGGGGAACTGCTGAGTCACTGGAACTGAGGCCCAAGGCAGGGTGTGGCCTCCATCGCCTGGTTAGGGGTGGGGCAGAGTGGGACTGCCCCCACCTCCTCTGGGTGACTGAGGCTGAGGCCGGAAGAGGGACAGGCAGAGAGCTCAGACTGCCTCCCCATTCGTGGGACCCCCTCCCTTCACGTGAAACCACCTTTGCAAAGATTGTAACTGAGGAAATTATGACAGTGAAAGGGATCTGACCTAACCGACACCATCTTGCTTTTAACCTCTAAGCTGCCCTTGTTCATTCTTGGGTGTAGGCCAAAGTAACCTTGGGAAGGAATTCAGTTTATACTTTAACTTTGAAACAAAAATTATAATAGCCCTTTCCCGAAATAAACCCCCTTCTTTTTTTTTTCTGAGACTGAGTCTTGCTCTGCTGCCCAGGCTGGAGTGCACTGGTGCGATCTCAGCTCACTGCAAGCTCTGCCTCCCGGGTTCACGCCATTCTCCTGCCTCAGCCTCCCCAGTAGCTGGGACTACAGGTGCCTGCCACCACGTCCGGCTAAATTTTGTATTTTTTTAGTAGAGATGGGGTTTCACCGTGTTAGCCAGGATGGTCTCGATCTCCTGACCTCGTGATCCACCCACCTTGGCCTCCCAAAGTGCTGGGATTACAGGCGTGAGCCACTGCACCCGGCTGAAATAAACCCCCTTCTTGCCTGGGGACCGGTCTGCCTTCATAGGACTAAGAAATTATTGGCCGGGCACGGTGGCTCACGCCTGTAATCCCAGCACTTTGGGAGGCCGAGGCAGGCAGATCACGAGGTCAGGAGATCAAGACCATCCTGGCTAACACGGTGAAACCCCATCTCTACTAAAAATACAAAAAATTAGCTGGGCACGGTGGCAGGCGCCTGTAGTCCCAGCTACTCGGGAGGCTGAGGCAGGAGAATGGCGTGAACCCGGAAGTTGGAGCTTGCAGTAAGCTGAGATCACGCCACTGCACTCCAGCCTGGGTGACAGAGCAAGACTCCGTCTCAGAAAAAAAGAAAAAAAGAAATTACATGATTAGAAATTATGGTTTATTGGGAGGCCAAGGCGGGCAGATCACCTAAGGTCAGGAGTTCAAGACCAGCCTGGCCAACATGGTGAAACCCCATCTCTACTAAAAATACAAAAATTAGCTGGGTGTATGATGGTGGGCGCCTGTAATCCTAGCTACTCAGGAGGCTGAGGCAGGAGAATCGCTTGAACCTGGGAGGCGGAAGTTGCAGTGAGCCGAGATCCTGTTACTGCACTCCAGCCTGGGTGACAGAGCAAAACTCAGTCTCAAAAAAAAAAAAAAATTACGGTTTAAGAACCATGCAGGCTCTGGCTGCAAGAGCCTGAACCTCCTCAAATTGCTCCTGGGAATAACATCACTGTTGTCAAACCTAAGATCAGTGCTTGAGATATTTTGCAGACCTTGCTGTTCCCAGCTGACGCCATCCAGACCCATAATCTGGCTCAACCAGTTCTTTGATCTCACCCTGAAACAGTAGACAGCATGAAAAACTCACTTCATAGGGGCCGGGTGCGGTGGCTTACGACTATAATCCCAGCACTTTGGGAGGCCGAGGCAGGCGGATCATAACGTGAAACCCCATCTCTACAAAAATTACAAAAAAATTAGGTGGGCACATGACTGTAATCCCAGATACTAGGGAGGCTGAGGCAGGAGAATTTTGCTTGACCCCGGAAGGCGGAGGTTGCAGTGAGCCGAGATCGTGCCACTGCACTCCTGCCTGGGCAACAGAGTGAGACTCTGTCTCAAAAAAAAGAAAGAAAAACTCACCTCAACCTCATGGTTCCTGTTGGTTTTATCTCCAACCTGACCAATTAGCAGTCCCCACTTCCTGAGCCCCTACCCACTAAATTATCCTTAAAAACTCCCATCTCTGAATTTTCAGAGAGACTTATTTGAGTAACAAAACTCCGTTCTCCTGTACAGCCAGCTCTGCATGAATTACTCTTTCTCTATTGCAATTTTCCTGTCTTGATAAATCGGCACTGTCTAGGCAGTGGGTAAGAAGAATTCACTGGGCGGTTACACCAGGACCCCAGTCTTTGACCAAACTAATCTAGTGGTGAAGTTAAACCAATGCTCAATTTCAGGAATTGGGTTATAGCCTTTGAAATGGCTAATCCATTTTTAAAAATTTTCAGATTGTCAGTAATAAATAAAATTAAGCTTAAATGTAATTCAGCTTTGAGAAAATATTCTTATTTTATTTTTATATTGTGAGACAGAGTCTTGCTCTGTTGCCCCGGCTGGAGTGCACTGGCGTGATCTCGGCTCACTGCAACCTCCACCTCCCGGATTCTAGTGAGTCTCCTGCCTTAGCCTCCCAAGGAGCTGGGACAACAGATGCGTGCCACCACACCTGGCTAATTTTTGTATTTTCAGTAGAGATTGGGTTTCACCATGTTGGCCAGGCTGGCCTCAAATTCCTGACCTCAGGTGATCTGCCTGCCTTGGCCTCCCAAAGTGCTGGGAGAGGAATGAGCCATTGCACCGGCCAGCTTTGAGTAAATATTCTTTTCTTTTTTTGAGATGGAGTCTCATTCTGTCACCCAGGCTGGAGTGCAGTGGCATGATCTTGGCTTACTGCAAACTCCGCCTCCCGGGTTCAAGTGATTCTTCTGCCTCAGCCTCCTGGGTAACTGGGACTACAGGTGCCTGCCACCACACCCGGCTAATTTTTGTATTTTTAGTAGAGATGGGGTTTCACCATATTGCCCAGGCTGGTCTCAAAATCCTGACCTTGTGATTCACCTGCATAAGCCTCCCAAAGTGCTGGGATTACAGGCGTGAGCTGCCGCACCTGGCTTGAGAAAATACTCTTAAAGCCAGCTCTTGATATGAGGGAGCTGGCAGGCATAATTTGACAGCGTCTTGAAGACAGTGACATAGGTGGGTTTCAAAGCTGTTTGAATGCCTCTTCACCAGGGCCTAAGATTTCCCAAACCTGGATCACCTGGGGCACTGGTGAAAAGCACAGATTCCCATCACTGCCTAGGGGATGTTGGATTCAGTGTGTCTCAGAGTAATTGGGGCTCAGGAATCTGGATTTTAAGGGATTCTTAAATTCTGCAAGACTGGGCCAGGCATGGTGGCTCATGCCTGTAATCCCAGCACTTTGGGAAGCCTAGGTGGGTGGATCGCCTGAAGTCAGGAGTTCAAGACCAGCCTGGCCAACATGGCGAAACCTCATCTCTACTAAAAATACAAAAATTAGCTGGGCGTGGTGGCGCATACCTGTAATCCCAACTACTCGGGAGGCTGAGGGAAGAGAATTGCTTGAACCCAGGAGGTGGAGGTTGTAGTGAGCTGAGATCACGCCATTGTACTCCAGCCTGGGTGTGACAGGGCGAGACTCCATCTCCAAAAAAGAAAAAAAATATTCTGTAAGATTGAAAACGACTGCCCTGGCCCTTTGGAATAATGAATCTTCTTAGAAAGGAATGAGGCCTTGGTGTCAGGACCTACTTCATCCCTAATCTGTTTAGAAGTTGCAAGACTCACATTCCAATGCACTGAAGAAAACATTATGTCCCTAAGTCCCAGTAGACTGTTGTGCTTGTCAAATGCACCATGGGTCAATTCACATTTCATTGCTTCAAAGAATGCCATGGGCACCTTTATGACTCGGCAGTTATTGGAAGATGGTCAGCCCTACCTGGATTATTTTAATATGCAGAAGTTGTTGGAAGATGGCCTCAGGATGGCAGGAGCTGGGGGAACATCCACTGGACTGCCTGGGAGGACTAGCTCAACTGGTTCCAGAGTGGGGAATTTAATATTTGGATCCAGGTCTGCCTGACTCCTGCAGTTCATGCTGATTATTACTGTACTAGCTCTCCCAAGTTAATACACAGAGTGCTCATCATCACACACATGAGACACATGCCTACATGCAGAAGTGAGACACGCTAGGCCTCTTGCAGACAGAACATTGCTTCCTGCTTTCCTCCTCTAGCCTAACCTTCCAGCCCTGCCCACTCTCTCTAAAGTATGGCTCTAATTGATTAGCTTGTGATGGAAATCCTTCAATGGTTCCCCATCGCTATCACTCAGGCTGATGCATTGATTCAACAATCAGGACTGCTGTAACCTAGATACAACTCTCTTTTTTTTGAGATTGGGTCTTTACCAACTGCAGTGGCTCATGCCTGTAATCTCAGCACATTGGGAGGCTGAGATGGGCGGATCACTTGAGGCCAGGAGTTCAGAACTAGCCTGGCCAACATGGCGAAACCCTGTCTCTACTAAAAATACAAAAATTAGCTGGGTGTGGTGGCACATGCCAGTAGTCCCAGCTACATGGGAGGCTGAGGCACGAGAATTGCTTGAATCCGGGAGGCAGAGGTTGCAATGAGTCAAGATCAAGCTACTGCACTCCAGCCTGGGGTGACAGAGTGAGACTCTGTCTCAAAAAATAAATAAATAAATAAATAAATAAATAAATAAGAAAGAGAGAGAGATGGGAGAGTTGGGGTCTTGCTCTGTCACCCAGGCTGGAGTGCAGTGGTATGATAAGAGCTCACTGCAGGCTTAAACTCCTGGGCTCAAGCTATCCTCCTGAGCACACACCTGTGGTCCCAGCTACTCAGGAGGCTGAAGAGGGAAGATCGCTTGAGCCTAGAAGGGCAAGGCTGCAGTGAGCCATGATTATGCTACTGCACTCCAGCCTGGGTGATAGAGCAAGACCCTGTCTCTCATCTCAAAAAAAAAAGAAAAAAGAAAAAGAGGTGCATTGGACTCTCCCTCTCCCTCTCCGTCTCCCTCTCCGTCTGCCTCTCCCCTTTCCACGGTCTCCCCTCTCCCTCTCTTTCCACGGTCTCCCTCTCATGCCCAGCTGAAGCTGGACTGTACTGCCGCCATCTCGGCTCACTGCAGCCTCCCTGCCTGATTCGCCTGCCTCAGCCTGCCGAGTGCCTGCGATTGCAGATGCGCGCCGCCACGCCTGACTGGTTTTCGTATTTTTTTGGTGGAGACGGGGTTTCGCTGTGTTGGCCGGGCTGGTCTCCAGCTCCTAACCGCGAGTGATCCGCCAGCCTCGGCCTCCCGAGGTGCCGGGATTGCAGACAGAGTCTCGTTCACTCAGTGCTCAATGGTGCCCAGGCTGGAGTGCAGTGGCGTGATCTCGGCTCGCTGCAGCCTCCATCTCCCAGCCGCCTGCCTTGGCCTCCCAAAGTGCCGAGATTGCAGCCTCTGCCCGGCCGCCACCCTGTCTGGGAAGTGAGGAGCGTCTCTGCCTGGCCGCCCATCGTCTGGGATGTGAGGAGCCCCTCTGCCTGGCTGCCCAGTCTGGAAAGTGAAGAGGTCTCTGCCCGGCCGCCATCCCATCTAGGAAGTGAGGAGCGTCTCTGCCCGGCCGCCCATCGTCTGAGATGTGGGGAGCGCCTCAGCCCCGCTGCCCCGTCTGGGATGTGAGAAGCGCCTCTGCCCGGCCGCGACCCCATCTGGGAGGCGAGGAGCGTCTCTGCCCGGCCGCCCCGTCTGAGAAGAGAGGAGACCCTCCGCCTGGCAACCGCCCCGTCTGAGAAGTGAGGAGCCCCTCCGCCCGGCTAACACCCCGTCTGGGAAGTGAGGAGCGTCTCCGCCCGGCAGCCACCCCGTCCGGGAGGGAGGTGGGGGTGTCAGCCCCCCTCCCGGCCAGCCGCCCCGTCCGGGAGGGAGGTGGGGGGGTCAGCCCCCTGCCCGGCCAGCCGCCCCATCTGGGAGGGAGGTGGGGGGGTCAGCCCACCGCCCGGCCAGCCGCCCTGTCCGGGAGGTGAGGGGCGCCTCTGCCCGGCCGCCCCTACTGGGAAGTGAGGAGCCCCTCTGCCCGGCCAGCCGCCCCGTCCGGGAGAGAGGTGGGGGTGTCAGCCCCCCGCCCGGCCAGCCACCCCGTCCGGGAGGGAGGTGGGGGGGTCAGCCCCCCGCCCGGCCAGCCGCCCCGTCCGGGAGGTGAGGGGCGCCTCTGCCCGGCCGCCCCTACTGGGAAGTGAGGAGCCCCTCTGCCCGGCCAGCCGCCCCGTCCGGGAAGGAGGTGGGGGGGTCAGCCCCCCGCCTGGCCAGCCACCCCGTCCGGGAGGTGAGGGGCACCTCTGCCTGGCCGCCCCTACTGGGAAGTGAGGAGCCCCTCTGCCCGGCGGCCACCCCGTCTGGGAGGTGTGCCCAGCAGCTCATTGAGAACGGGCCATGATGGCAATGGCGGTTTTGTGGAATAGAAAAGGGGGAAAGGTGGGGAAAAGATTGAGAAATCGGATGGTTGCTGTGTCTGTGTGGAAAGAAGTAGACATGGGAGACTTTTCATTTTGTTCTGTACTAAGAAAAATTCTTCTGCCTTGGGATCCTGTTGATCTATGACCTTACCCCCAACCCTGTGCTCTCTGAAACATGTGCTGTGTCCACTCAGGGTTAAATGGATTAAGAGCGGTGCAAGATGTGCTTTGTTTAACAGATGCTTGAAGGCAGCATGCTCGTTAAGAGTCATCACCACTCCCTAATCTCAAGTACCCAGGGACACAAACACTCTGCCTAGGAAAACCAGAGACCTTTGTTCACTTGTTTATCTGCTGACCTTCCCTCTACTATTGTCCTATGACCCTGCCAAATCCCCCTCTGCGAGAAACACCCAAGAATGATCAATTTAAAAAAAAAAAAAAGAAAAAGAAAAATAGAAATAGGAAACGAATATAAACAAATATATTATCTACTGAAGCCTTCTCCAACCAATTCGTCTCCAACTATTCTTACCCGGCCACTATGTATTTTCCTACCTCCACCATTTTGCTCATGCTGTTGCCTCTGCTGGGGCACTCAGATCTCTCTCCTGAACTCCTATTAATGATTGCCTTTCACTCTACTCTGTGCCCTCAGCATTGACTGCCCGCTATCAGCAGAAGATCAGAAGCTCCTTGGAGGTTCTGTGTCTGTGGCTTATTTTCCTCTGGACCCCATGGTCAGGAGTGGTCCACAGGGGTTTGCATAACTGACCTGGGGCATCATTATTTAAGGACCTCTGATTCTTACCTGCCAGCTGCATTAAGACCTGTCACCATGGAAGAAAAAGAGGATGCTCCACAGGAATTATTGGGGGAGGAGTTCCAAGATTAAGTGAAAGAGGCCAGGTGTGGTGGCTTACTCCTGTAATCCCAGCATTTTAGGAGGCCAAGGCAGGTGGATCACTTGAAGTCAGAAGTTCGAGACCAGCCTGGCCAACATGGCGAAACCCGATCTCCACTAAAAATACAGCACTCCAGCCTGGGCAACAGAACGAGACACCATCTCAAAAATAAATAAATAAGTAAATAAATAAAATAAAAATACAAACATTAGCCAGGTGTGATGGCAGGCACCTGTAATCCCAGCTACTCGGTAGGCAGAGGCAGGAGAATTGCTTGAACCCAGGAGGCGGAGGTTACAGTGAGCTGAGATTGCGCCACTGCACTTCAGCCTGGGAGACAGAGTGAGACTCTATCTCAAGGGGGGGGAAAAAAAGCAGGGGGTCAAAGAGTAAGTAGAATATGTTGCCATTTGTGTGAAAAACAAAAAAATGTGTAATTTTGTTTGTTTGTTTTTGAGACAGTCTTACTCTGTTTCCCAGGCTGTAGTGCAGTGGCACAATCTCAGCTCTCACTGCAACCTCAACTTCTTGGGCTCAAGCAATCCTCCTGACTCAGCCTCCTGAGCAGCTGGGACTAAAGGCATGTGCCACTCGATGCTCAGCTAATTTTTACATTTTTCTTTTTTTTAAAGAAATGAGGTCTCCCTATGTTGCCCAAGGTGAGTCTGGAACTCCGGGGCTCAAGCAGTCCTCCTGCTTCTGCCTCCAAAAGTGCTGGGATTACAAGCATGAGCCATCATGCCTGACCAAAAATTGTATAATTTAAAAAAGGCCTATCCTTAGAAAGATATGAAAAAAAGGTATGAGTATATAATCCCACTGGGACCTTCTGACTTCTGTACCTTATATACATATTACCCGTTCACCCACATACCTGCCGACACACAAATTAAAACATTCTAAATACTGATTCTTGCGCTGTATCCCCAGAAAAGTATCCAGGATATCAAAGGTTGGATGCAGGAATCCGTGTCTAAAGCACTGTGTGTCACTTCATTCCACACCCGGAACTGAATTCTCAGGAAGAGCCAAGATGCAAAGGATATTTGAAAGCATAAACTTAAAATGCATTTTATCAGGAAAATAAGTAGGAAGATCTCTAAGGGATTATGAAGCCACATTTGGGAACCCACTGATTTTGTTTGACCTCTGCTTTTTTTTTTTTTTTTTTTTGGATGAGTATAGAGAGGGAGAGTGAGTTGCCTAAAGCTACACACCCAGTCAGAGTTACAGGCCAGTGCCCCAGGATTTGTTTCTTTTTTATTGTTTTGAGATGGAGTCTTGCTCTATCACCCAGGCTGGGGTAGAGTGGCGCCATCTGAGCTCACTCCACCTCTGCATCCCAAGTTCAAGTGATTCTCCTTCCTCAGCCTCCCGGCCCTGCCTAATTTTTGTATTTTTAGTAGAGACAGGGTTTCATCATGTTGGCCAGGCTGGTCTCAAACTCCTGACCTCGCGTGATCTGCCCACCTCAGCCTTCAAAAGTGTTGGGATTACAGGCATGAGCCACCGTGCCTGGCCACCCCAGGAATATTTGATAACATCAACATCAAATCATTCCTGCCTGCCCTCATGCAGGGACTTCTCACTTAGAAAGTTCTATAGACCCAATGGGCAGGACAGGAAGATAGAGAAGAAAACACCATCTTTAATCAACCCGCCTGCACAGAAACCAGGAGAGCACTCCCCTCCTTGCAAGGTCCCAGTGAAAAGAGAACCTGGTCCCCTTGCAAAAACCATCTTATAAAAACAAAAGGCTTCAAAGCACCAGTGGCTACACCCGTTGAGTAGAAAGGGGCTTGGGGGAGAGTTGGGGTGAGAGAGGTGAGGGCTGGAGGCAGGGCTGGCCCAGTGAAGGGCAGTAGCTTAGCCTGAGGGAGCTGCCCCCCTCTCAAGCTGTACCCACCAGCTGGGAGCTCCATGCCTGTGGGGGCCAGAGGAACTCCTGGGCCTGGCTGCTTGCATTTGGGATGGTGGGGTGGGGTTGCCAGCCTTGCTCAGGATATTTTGGCCTTAGAGAGTAGGGAATGATAGATTGGAGGGTAGTGGGAGAGGAGCGGAATGGTCACCACAGACAGGCTCAGGTGTGCAAACCATCTGCACCATCTGGGTGCCCCCCAGTTCCTCCATGTCTCCTGCCCTCCTTTCTAACCCAGGGCCATGCCTCTTTCACAGATGAAATGCTGAGACCTGATCCTCTCTCTATGGACGCACCAGGCAGTGCGTGGGATGCAGCGTCCTCAGGAGTGTCTGTGGAGGGAGGTGGGGAAAGTGTTCTCACCTCTACTTGCCCCCAAGGAAGGGTGAGGGTGCTGGCAATCCCGACTCCCCGACTACTCACACCCCCATCTGCCCCTTCAGAACTCCTTCTGGGCTTGTTAGAGGAGGCTTCTGGCCATTGGATTGGTTGTAAATGCTGGTGATCTGTAAACACTGGAGTCTGGGCAGCGCTGACCAGCATTGCTCCTCTCTGAAACCACAAGCCTTCCAACTGGTGAGGTGGATGGAGCCGTCAGGGGTGAGTGGAGTTGTGGAGGTGATGGGGATACAGTAGAACCAGCCTCAGGGACCTGGAAGGGGGTGGAGTGACTGAGTTGGGGCCCCACTTTCCTGGAGGAGAGAGCTTGAAAGATTTGCCAAGGGTGGACAGAGGCTGAGTGTAGGAAGGCTTCTCTGTGGGTGGGGCTGAATTTGGGGCTTCATCCATCCAGTTCCCAATAAGAGAACGAATGGGTATATTGCTTTAAGAGAGGCATTGGCAAGTGGTGGTGGTGGTGTGTGAATATGGTGGAGACCACATAGGTCCAAGATGGAGGGGGGCTTGGAAATGGAACTCAGAGAGCAGACACTGGGTTTTACAGTCAGAAACTGCAGAAAGTACACTGTGTTCAAGGCCCACTTCCACCAAAAATCTAGCTGTGTGGCCTCAAGCAAATCACATCTCTGGGCCTCAGTTTTAATGTACTGCAAAATGAGAATTTTAATCCCAGTCTAGCTCAGGGAATTGAGTTAAATGAGAAGTCTAAAAGAGTCCATTTGCTAAGGGATTAATTACTTGAGGTGCGGAAACCGAGGCTCAGAGAGGGCAAGGGCTTTGCTAGACGTCACAGTCAGTGATGGACCTGCGATTAGAACCCAGGAATCCTGCTCCTAGTTCACAGTAGCTTTCCCCAGAGCTGGTGAGTGAGTGTGGTGGGATGGGATGGGTCTGATGTCCTGCTGTTTTTGGACAGGGGGGCAGGATGCTGGGTGAAGAGTGAAAGGGAGAGGCTGGAGAAGAGAGGAAGGCCCCAGCTCACGCCAAGGCTGAGATTAAAAACAAACAAACAAAAAACAAAAAACCCGTGGTGCCCCTCCCCCGCCCCGCCCCACTCCTCCGAAGTCCGGGCTGCGAAGAGCCAAGCTCAAATCCAAGTCCAAGTCCAAGTCCACGTCCAAGTCCGCATCTCCAGATGCAGACGCGGGGTTGGGCACAGGCTGCAGTGAGCGCGCGGGCCACCAGGGGGACACGCCTGCGCCTTGGCCCGAGCTCGCGGCAGCTGCGGTCAGCCCAGGGCGAGGCGCCGGGGTGGGCGCGGGGCAGAGGCTACCCCGACCTGCGGGAAACAAAGGCAGGTTAGGGAGAGTGGATCCCAAAAGTATGGGGGCGGAGAGACCCGGTTGCCCTGCCCACTCCTCCATCCCCTCCTTTTCGCAACCCCGACGCCCAGGCCTCCCCAAGCCAGCAGGGGGCCGTGACCCACGTGTACAGAGGCTGCAGCTGTAAATGCGACGTCTTCTGGGGCGCCTGGTATCCGTAGGAGTCAAAGCCGCCGATGAAGTCAACTGCGGAAGAGGGGCGGCGCATGTTAGGGATCGGCGGCGGGGGCGAGGAGAGGGAGACTGGGTCCTGAAGGGGAAGAATCTGAGGGCAGGACTCCCACCCTAGGAAGCGGAGCCAGAGAAGCCATGAGGAGGGGAGGGGCGAGGGTCAGACCCCGTGCAGGGCCTGGGGCGGGGCTTCGGCTGGACCCTGAGGGATGGGCCTCTGGGGGTCTGGAGGCGGCGAGGCCGGGCCAGCTGAGGGTCAGGCCCCAGTCCTTAAGGCTTGGGCCTGGGAGGCCGGGCAGTCCTATGGGAGAGAAGGCTCTCAGGGGCGGGGCTAGAGCCTCTAAACGGGACAAGACCTCTGATGGGGTGGGGCGAGATTGGGGAAAGGGGGTGCTGGGGCCAGGGACTGGGCACCTGGACGTCTGGACCCCAGCCTGGAACGGGCTGGTATGCAGAGCCTTCCATACCAGCCGCCTCTTCCCCTCGAAAGGGGCCCGTGGCCGACCCTGGGCTCCCTCCCGCCGGGGCCAGTCACAGGCCTCTGTCCAGGGTGCTGAAGGCGCAGGGCCAGATTCCCCACTTCCCCAGGGGCGCCTTACTCACAGCTGTCCTCCTCCTCCAGGAACACTTTGCTCACGTAGCAGGCGAACACGAAGCCGAACAGCTGGGAGTGGAGATGACACGTCAGGGAGGAAGGAGGAGTGGGAACCTCTTCCTCCGCCCCCTGCCGGGCCCTGTACGCTCTGACTGGCAAGGGAGGAGGCATGCCAGGATGAAGGCAAACCGTAACAACTTCCAATTAAATGTTTTCACCTTAAAGTCAAACATACATGGTCTAACTCTTCTGAAAGTGTAACTTGAGACAAGTAATCATTTTACCTCTTTGAGCCTCAGTTTTCCCACTTGGACTTGGGCAATACCTTATGGCTTGTTAAGAAGAAAGAGGATTATGTGACTTTGTGGGTACAAAGTGCCTAGGACAGGGCTGGCCCTTCTAGAAACAGGAACTACTCCTATCTTGGAGTTTCTTTCTTTCTTTTTTTTTTCTTCCCTTCCCTTCCCTTCCTTTCCTTCTTTCTTTCAGACAGGGTCTCACTCTGTCACCCAGGCTGTAGTGCAGTGCTGCAATCATGGCTCACTTCAGCTTCAACCTCCTGGGCTCAAGTGATCCTCCTGCCTCAACCTCTCAAGTAGCTGGGTCCACAGGCATGAGGCATCACGCCCACTGGGGTCACTTTCTTATTCTCACAACTCTGAGGCTGGTATTGTCATTCTTTTTTGTGAATAAGGAAACAAGCTCCGAGAAGGCAGGTGACTTGTCCAAAGTCACATAGTGGGTGTATTGAGCACTTAAACCCAGGATTGATTCATAGTCTGATGCCTCATCCTACTCACTAAACCTGTTCACTCTGCACAGGGGCTGGGGCAGCGGTGAGGGAAGACGGTACAGGATATGGAAACAGATCCAGACAAAAGGACAGACAGGCGGAAGACCTAGGTTCATTCCCTCTTTTTTTTTTTTTTTTTTTTTTTTTTTTTTTTATGGAGTTTCGCTCTTGTTGCCCAGGCTAGAGTACAATGGTGCAATCTTGGCTCACCGCAACCTCCACCTCCTGGGTTCAAGCAATTCTCCTCCCTCAGCCTCCTGAGTAGCTGGGATTACAGGCATGTGCCACTATGCCTGGCTAATTTTGTATTTTTAGTAGAGACGGGGTTTCTCCATGTTGGTCAGTCTGGTCTTGAACTCCTGACCTCAGGTGATCCACCAGCCATGGCCTCCCAAAGTGCTGGGATTGCAGGCGTGAGCCACTGCGCCCAACCCATCCCCTCAACCAGAGCTAAAGAAAGGGATCGGGAAGTGTGTGTAGGGTGGGGGACAGAAGGACTTACTGCCAGGAAGATCTGCAGGGCGCTGCTGAGGGCTTCAATGTAGGGGTAGTCAAGCAGGCAGCCAGTGACAGAGATGACATGGTGGTCCTCCAGAGCCAGGCGGGAGTTCAGAACAGGTGTCACCAGGCAGCCTGGCCCATTCTCCATCCACCAGGAGCGGTGCAGGGATGTGTTGAAGGTCATGATGAAGTCCCGGTCCTGGGGGCAAAGGGGCCTGGGATACTGAGTGTGAGGGAGAGGGAGGGGGGAGCTACTCCCCCAGCCCAGGAAGACTATATTGATCGGTGAAGGGATTCAGGGAGCCTGCACCTGCAAGTCCATATTTGACCAACAGGTGGCACTTAATGACCACACAGGCCTCACTCTTTTGTCACTGAGATGGGAAGGGGTTTGTGTGGACTCACAGGGGCCTCAGAATTTTCAGAGCTGGAAGGAACATTAACAATTTCCCAGCCACAGGTGAAATCCTCAGTACCAGCCCCTTAACAGCCCATTCAGTATCTCCACTGCTCCCCCTGTGTGCGACCCTGGGCGAACCTCTCCTTTGGGGCCTTGGTCTCCACATTTGTTAAATGGAGAAGGGGCTGGCCTAGATCAGAAGTTCTTACCCAGGGTGTGTACCCATGTGCCCATCCATGCAGTCACTCATTCAACAGATAAATACTCACTGCCTGCCGACCAGGGGCCAAGCACTCAGATGTGTGACCTTATTTTATCCCCTCAGCAACCACATGAAGTTGCAGTTGCTCTTATGTCCACTTACTAGATGAGGAAACTGGGGCTCAGAGAGGATCAGCCACTTGCCCAGGGTAATACAGCTAGAAGGTTTTAGAGCTGGGATTTGAATCTAGCAGGGTCAAACTACAAAGCCAATGCTCTTAAATTCACATATTTTGCCTCTTTTATATCTAAAAATAGAAGTTGTGTCTCTCTGGGCTTGCTCTTATTCAAGCGAAACAGTCCTACTTTCTTGGTCTGCTCAATCTTCCCTGAACAAACTCTAACTAGTCTCTTTCCCTTCTGAAAAATATTGATCAGAATTAACCCAAATCTTTGTGGTCTAAGCACTACAAAGCGCATGGCATTTTCACCTCCCTTGCTCTGAATACTCTACCTCTATTAGCGGGGCCTAAGAGTAGCTTTCTGGGCTCCCACATACTGTTGGTTTTTACTGAGCTTGTGATCAACTGGGACCCCTGGCTCATCTTCACATGGACTGCTCTTCAGCCTTATCTGCTCCATCATTGTGTTTGAGGAAGCCAGAAATAAATTGTGTAAGTAGGAAATGGGGCACACAGATTATTTGGGCATGTAAGGAGAGAGAGACTTCTTCGAGACATGATGCTCTGGTCCTATACCACAGTACCCTTAGGGCAGGGGATGGGAATGGTCAGGCTCTGCCCTATGGCACTGCCAGGTCTGAGGCTTACCTGGGACAGCTGTCCAACCTCCAAGTAGAAGCAGATGATAAATGCATTCCAGCCAACCCAGAGCACCAGCCAGGCTGCATACTGGGGAAAGCAGAGGTGGGATCAGGGTGGGGCCTGGGGAGTGGGGGATGGGGAGTGTCAATGGAGACAGAGCTCAGGGATGAGGAGATCTGGGCAGGGGAAATTATGAGAATACCTCACTCAGAGAGCACAGTGTAGCTTACAAATCATTTACACACCCATCAGGCCTTACAACAGCCCTGCAAGGTCAGCACTGCCCTCTTTTAGAGAGAACTAACTTAAAACTGAAAGGAAGTTTAAGGTTTCTAAGATCACACAGCTAGGAGGAGGTAGGGCTGCCACTCAAATCAAGTTCTCTGATAGCTAATCCCATCCACTGTGCTAACAACATCCTCTAGACCAGCTGTCTCTAGAATACTGGAATCATTCAAGGATGTTTGTCAAAAATGCAGATTCTTGGGTCCTACCTCTAGACCTACTGATTCTGAATTTCTAGGGATGTTTAAAAGGGATTGCTTAAGCAATCCCTAGGAGATTGTGACTCAGATGACACTTTCAGAAACATGTTCCAGGTGGTAAGCCACTAGAGGGCGAGGACTCTGACTGCCTGGCTCACCACTGCAATGCCAATGCCTAGCACAGAATAGCTGGATGAACCCATTAAGACTATAGGAAATGGGCCAGGTGCAGTGGCTCATACCTGTAGTCCTAGCACTTTGGGAGGCTGAGGTGGGCAGATCATTTGAGCTCAGGAGTTCAAGACCAGCCTGGGCAATATGGAGAAAACCCATATTTAAAAAAAAAAAAAAAAGAGGCCAGGCGCAGTGGCTCACGCTTGTAATCCCAGCACTTTGGGAGGCCAAGGTGGGCAGATCACCTGAGGTCGGGAGTTTGAGACCAGCCTGACCAACATGGAGAAACCCTGTCTCTATTAAAAATACAAAATTAGCCAGGCATGATGGCACATGCCTGTAATCCCAGCTACTCGGAAGGCTGAGGAAGGAGAATCACTTGAACCTGGGAGGTGGAGGTTGTGGTAAGCTGAGATCATGCCACTGGACTCCAGCCTGGGCAACAAGAGCGAAACTCCGTCTCAAAAAAAAAAAAAAAGTCTTAATTCTTTTGTGTTTTTTTTTTTTTTTTTTTTTTTAAGACAAGATTTTGGTCTGTCACCCAGGCTGGAGGGCAGTGGATGCTGGGAACTTTAGACCAAAAGAGACAGGAGGTTATCCTGCAGCCTTGTGCCTGAGTATGTGTGTGACATCTTCTCACATGGCTGTGGCTGGAGTCTGGGTATAAGGGAACCAGGGCAGGTGGAGGCAGGATCATGGATGGGGCCTGGAGAAAGGCTGGGGTGAGCAGACCAAACTGAGACCCCAAGCATAGAACGGGAGTCCAGCCTGGGCCCTGGATGCCCTCACTCCATCACTTTCCTCCCTCCCTTCCTTGCTCTATAAATTGTACTTGAATGACACAGGTCAATGTGCCCCGCTCCAGCAATCTTTCCATCTGTCTGGAAGGAGAGGGCTGGGATGGGAGGGACTGGGAGCAGCAATGCTGGAGCAGCAATGCTAGGTCAGCACTGAGGCCCCTGGGCCCCTCAGTTTTCCCACATCCCGAATGTGGCCACCTCTGGGGAGAACAGCATTCCACCCACGGTAGTGAGCTGGAGAGGAGGTTAGGGTCGATTTGAGACCTGGATGCTTCTACCCAAGTCCTGTGCCTGCAATTCTAGTGGCTGTCACCTGGCAGATAGTGTTGTTGACAGTGGTGTCTGGGGCTTTCCTGAGAACTGGAGAGAAGTGTTCTCTTATGTCAGATGAGAGAGAGCCTTGTTAGGGTCCTGTTCACCTGGCTTCTGGGAACTGAGCCTGTGGAGGTGGGGAGAGAAGTCCTAGAATGAGTGTGTGTGGGCTCTGGAGGCAGCATGACATTGCATGTCATTGTGATTGTAGGTGTCAAGCATGTATGTAGTAAATCTAGTGAAAAGCCTTTTCCCTCAAGAGAGCCATGTGAAGAGGTCACTGAGGAACAGCAGGGAATATGGGTGAATCTAGCTGAAAGCAGGAGTTTGACAGAGACTATCAGGGACCAGGACTTGGGAAGAGGCTGTCGGGGAGGAGGAGAGAGACCCAGACTCCTGGGGCTGGAGTGCAGGGAGGCACTGACCTCAAAGCCACACTAGCTGCTCCAGAACACATCCTTGATGTACATCGGGCAAGAGAGACAAATGCCAAGCCTTCCTGAAGCTTCTTGAGAAACTAAATAAGATGAAGCCCATCCCTCCTGTGTCCTTGCGCCCACCCCTTCCTGAGGCCGTGTGGTGCCGCAGCAGGAGCCTTCACTGTTGATCTGATGTTCTAATCCTGCCTTGCTTTCATTAGCTGTGTGACCTTAGGAAGACTCGCAACCTTTCTGAGCTTCAGTTTCCTCATCTGGAAAATGGAGCTGTTAAGATCTACCTCACAGGGCTATTGTAGACATGAGATGAAGCATGTGAAATTTCGCAGCGTGCCTGGCACGTGCCAGGCACTCACTACATGATCCATTTTGTTTATATTTGGATTATTTCCCTAAAAAATTCTTCAGGAAAAAAAAAACCCTTGTCTCCTCTGAGCAAAGAAGCATGGGGCTGTGCACATTCACCCCATCTTGTTTTGGGTGGAGCCAAGACCAGTGCCCCAGTGTTGGGGGGCAGTTCTGGTTTTGAGGAGCAGGGAGGGGTGGAGTGGGCAGGGGTGAGGAGAGGAGTTGGCTTGGGAAGGGGCTAGGTGAGCCGTACCAGGATGAGGTACCGGGAGCGGTACTGCACGGTGCCAAAGATGCCCAGGATGACTGCCATGATGTGCAGGAAGTTGGCTAGGATGGGAGCCCACTGGTAGCCCAGGAAGTCAAAGATCTGCCGCTCCAGCGCAGCCACCTGTGGAAGAGACAGGCTGAGGCCACTGTCACCCCCCTGAAAGGGAAGGACAGGGATTCCTGCTTGACCTTGGGGAGCAGGTGGCACCAGTTACCATGGTGATGAGGCATAAGCCTCAGAACAATCCAGTCCTTCACTACCAAAGGGATGCTGGGGGGTCCTTAAGCCTGATCATCACTTTGGGGTGGGCTGAAAGGTGATAGGAGTGAGGGTTCAGAACACCTTCCTCCCTGCCAAGGAGGCCCTTCCCTCTAGCGGCTCAAGCTCCTGCACCTTCTCCATGTGGAGAAGATGGTGGGATCAGAATCCAGACTGCCACCCCTAGCCTTGGAGGGCAAGGAAGTCCTGGAGCCCGAGTCACCTCTTCCAAGGATCCCCATCTGGAGCTTGCCCTGGCCCATGGCATTCCTGGGCTACAGAGAAGGAATGCTTTTCACTCCCCTTCCCTGAAGGAGCTGGAATAGATTGCAAAATTGGCCTCGAATCCTCCTCTTCCTATTTCCATGCTCTTCAGTAGTGCCCTTCCACACTAATGCTGTGCTTGCCCATGCGACTTGCTTTGCCTAAAGGGACTTTGGCAAACACAATGCAAACCATGTTTGAAAAAGGCTTGAAAAATGCATGCATCCAGTCTGGGCAACCTGGTGAAACCCCGTCTCAACAAAAAATACAAACCATTGCCAGGTGTGGTGGTGCGCACCTGTAGTCCCAGCTATTCGGGAGGCTTAGGTGAGAGAATCTCTTGAGCCCAGCAGGCGGAGGTTGCAGTGAGCCAAGATCATGCCACTGCACTCCAGCCTGGGCGACAGAGTGAGACCCCGTCTCAAAAAAAAGAAAAGAAAAAAAAAAAACGGCGTTCATTGGAGCTTGCCAACTTGCTTCACTTATAACAAGACCACCTTGTGAACAAGCCCCAGCTGACCTGCTGGAGGATGAGAAGCCACGGGGAGGAGAGCGAAGGCACCCCGGCTAATAGCCCATCAGCCATCAACCATGTGAGCGAGGCCATGCTAGATCACCCCGGGTCACTAGCTGACCACAGACACATAGCCCAGACCAGAAGAATCTCCCAGCTGACCCACAGAATCATGAACTAAATAAAATGGTCGTTTATTTTTTATTTCTAAATATTTATTATCATTATTTTTAAACAGAGTCCCGCTCTGTCGCCCAGGCTGTAGTGCAGTGGAACTATCTCAGCTCACTGCAACATCCACCTGCCAGGTTCAAGCAATTCTCCTGCCTCAGCCTCCCGAGTAGCTGGGACTACAGGCACCTGCCACCATACGCAGCTAATTTTTGTATTTTTAGTACAGGCAGAGTTTCACCATGTTGGCCAGGCTGGTCTTGAACTCCTGACCTCAAATGATCCACCCACCTCAGCCTCCCAAAGTGCTGGGATTATAGGCGTGAGCCACTGCGCCCAGCCAAATTTTGCTTTAAAGAACCACCTCCTACCACTCTGTCCACATGGCTTGAGTGGGGCTGACTCATTTCTAGTTTCTGGGGTGGGCAGGTAAGCCAAGTCTAGCCAAATAATCAAAGACAATGATGAATTTAGGGATAGGCGCTCACCCCATGCTCTGCCCCTGAGAATCACCCTAGATATTTGCTGGAACAATCAGAACAGAGCTGCTATCCTGCCAGGATACCTGAATGGGTGTGGTGTGAGCTTGGAGCTGTTGGTGGCTGCCTTGGCCACCTCAGGTGGATGGCCCGCCTGAGGAGAAAGCCATAGCTAAGGTACAGAGAGAGTGTGTGTGGGAGGAAGACTGAACACACAAGGGAATGTCCTGAGCCATCTTTCAGGCCTCTGAATACAGCCATGCCTAAAGCTGGTTCTCCCTCCTTGTCCTGCTGATTTTTGTCATTTGCAACAAAGAGTCCTAACTACAACAGAAGAGGAGAGAAGAGGGTCTGGCTGGGGAGGGGGAGGGAATATTCAGATAAAGTGAGAAGATATAAGAAGCCTTTTTCCAGGCAGGGAGGCAGGAGGAGGTGGAGCTGATGCTACCACACAGATGGCAAGGCTTGGGCAGAGACCAAGGAAGCTGCAGGCTTGGGTAAGGTGGTGAGGGAAGCCTGGTGGTGCCAGGCCCAACCTTGGCATTTACCCACTTGGCACCAGCCTGCCTCTTGTCGGTGACTCCCCTCCCAGGGATGTGCAGATTGTAAAGCTCATCTCTCACTGGATGCTCCTTGGCAGAAAGGCAGAGCTGGAATCATTATTTCATTTTGAGGAAAGAGAACATGAGGCTCAGAGAGGGGAAGTGACTTGTCCAAGGTCACACAGCAGGTTGGTGGCAGAATAGGCCTTTCTCAGCCACCTGTCCCATCTTGGCACCACCTTTTCCCATCTTGGCACTGGTAAGGGAGTCAAGAGGTGTAAATTGTGGTGGGAAGTCTGCCTCTGACTCCTGGGTGACTTTGGGCAGCCCACTTTCCCCGCTGGGTTTGGGGCTCCTCTTCCATGCATGGAAGTCACTGGACTAGGTAATCTCCAAGGGCCCTTCCAGCCTTGACTTCCATCAGCTGCTGGCCTTGGGGGAGAAACTCCCCAGGCTTGTCCAGGGGCCTCTGCCACGGTCTCTGTCTGCTGCTCCTATCCCACACTTCCTCCACTCCACTCTTCCTCCTTCCACCCTGACTCTGCCTGGCCTTGGGAGCCTTGGTGTTCTGGGGTCCAGCTTGATGTTCTTGACTCAGCTGTTACCTGGCCCTAAGGGAGAAGGTCTCCATCAGAGGACGGAGGAGGCTGTGACAGAGCAATCCAGGCTCATGGTGCAGCTGAGGAGGCACCCTGCCAAATATTTCCACCTAAGGCTGGGCGCAGTGGCTCACGCCTGTAATCCCAGCACTTTGGGAGGCCAAGGTCGGCGGACCACTTGAGGTCAGGAGCTCAAGACCAGCCTGGCCAACATGGTGAAACTCCATCTCTACTGAAAATACGAAAGTTAGCTGGGTGTGGTGGCACATGCCTGTATTCCCAGCAGATTGGGAGGCTGAGGGAGGAGAATTGCTTGAGCCTGGGAGGCAGAGGCTGCAGTGAGCCAAGATCGCGCCACTGTACTCCAGCCTAGGTGACAGAGCAAGACTCTGTCTCAAAAAAAAAAAAAAAATCCACCTAAGAGGTGATATCATCTCCAGCCAAAGTGGTACCCACTCAAACCCCCTCTGTTCTCTGTGACCTTATTGATAGAAAACAGAGAGAGGTTTTTTTTTTTTTTTTTTTTTAAAGCAGTAGCAGATTTGTAGTCATTTAAACTCAGATTCAAATTCCAGCTCTGCTGTGTGACTTAGGGCAAGTCACTTTCCCTCTCTGAATCTATTTCTTCAACTATAAATAGAGAAGATAATCCCTCTCTTGAGAAGTTGTTGTGGGGATATAGAGATATCACATAAACTAACAGACAATTAGACTTGATACATAGTGGCTAATTAATAGAAGGCTTAACAGTCTAAGCTTCTTAGTTTGGCACCGAGGGCCCACTAGGATCTGGCTCAATCCTGTATTTCCCATCAGCTCCTGCCCCCAAGAGGCTGTAACAGCAGTTAAAGTCCTACCTTCATTTGCCTTTGCCTTATTTTTTATTTTATATTTTATTTTGAGAAAGAGTCTTGCACTTTTGCCCAGGTTGGGGTGCAATGTGGTGATCACAGCTCACTGTAACCTCAAATTCCTGGGCTCAAGGCATCCTCCTGCCTCACCTCCTTAGTAGCTGGGACTACAGGCATGTGCCATCACATCTGGGTAATTTTAAAATATTTTGTAGAGATTGGGTCTCACTATGTTGCCCTGAGTAGTCTTGAACTCCTGGCCTCAATTAATCTTCCTGCCTTGGCCTCCCAAAATGCTGGGATTACAGACATAAGCCACTGCGCTGGGCCTCCCTTTGGCTTTATCCAAGTCCTCCTTAGTTTTCACAGTGTAGCTCAGTTCCCTCTTTTGGTAGGAAGGCCTCCCTGACTGGCCCACAGGTGCTGCTCTCTCCACTTGACATGGAGTGGGGGCTGTTCTTCCCATTCTCAGCATGGCTCTGGCCTTCCTTCATCCTCACACCCAACAATCATTCACTCATTTATCTATAACCAGCTAGACCCATTTATCCATCCATCCCACATCTGACATGCCCTCACCCAGCCAGGGTTCATCACTTATTTATTCACAGAACGTTTAGTCTATGTCAGGCTTTGTGCTAGCTCCGGGATGCAGAAGTGAAGAAGTTGGGGTCCCTGCCCTTTGGGAACTCAGGACCCACTTAGTAGAGGAGGGGAAGGAAATCAGTACAAACCGGGGTATTCAGGGCTATGACCCAGGCCTGGAAAAGGCCGTCTCTTCCTCCGATGGTGAGTGCAGATTTAAATGAATTTTTTTTTTTTTGAGATGGAGTCTCGCTCTGTCGCCCAGGCTGGAGTGCAGTGGCGTGATATCAGCTCATTGCAAGCTCCACTTCCGGGGTTCACGCCATTCTCCTGCCTCAGCCTCCCGAGTAGCTGGGACTACAGGCGCATCCCACCATGCCCAGTGGATTTTTGTATTTTTTGTAGAGAACAGGGTCTCGCCCTGTTGCCCAGCCTAGTCTCATACCCTCCTGGGCTCATGTGGTCCACCCACCTTGGCCTCCCAAAGTGCTGGGATTACAGGCGTGAGCCACCATGCCTGGCCTAAATATATCTTTTAAAAAATTTAGATGTAGCCTGGGTATAGTCACTCATGCCTGTAATCCCAACACTTTGGGAGGCCAAGGCCAGAGGATGGCTTGAGGCCAGGAGTTTGGGACTAGCCTTGGCAACATAGTGAGATCCCATCTCTATTAAAAAAAAAAAAATCAGATTCAGTGTCTTATAAACAATCTCAATTTTATTTTATTATTTATTTTTTTATTTTTTTATTTTTTTGAGACGGAGTCTCACTCTGTCTCCCAGGCTGGAGTGCAGTGGCGTGATCTCGGCTCACTGCAAGCTCTGTCTTCCAGGTTCACACCATTCTCCTGCCTCAGCCTCCCAAGTAGCTGGGACTACAGGCGCCCGCCACCACGCCCGGCTAATTTTTTGTACATTTAGTAGAGACGGGTTTTCACCATGTTAGCCAGGATGGTCTCCATCTCCTGACTTTGTGATCCACCCGCCTCAGCCTCCCAAAGTGCTGGGATTACAGGCGTGAGCCACCGCGCCCGGCAACAATCTCAATTTTAAAGTTATTATTTTTTATTAGAAAACCAAGTCAAGGCCGGTGCAGTGGCTCACACTTGTAATACCAGCACTTTGGGAGGCCAAGGTGGGTGGATCACGAGGTCAGGAGTTCGAGATCAGCCTAGCCAACATGGGGAAAACTCGTCTCTACTAAAAATACAAAAAATTAGCTGGGCGTGGTGGCACGCACCTGTAATCCCAGCTACTCAGGAGGCTGAGGCAGGAGAATTACTTGAACCCGGGAGGTGGAGGTTGCAGTGAGCTGAGATCGTGCCCTTGCACTCCAGCCTGGGTGAAAGTGCGAAATTCGGTCTCAAAACAAACAAACAAACAAACACCAAGTCAAATATTACAGGACTTCTGCTTGTGTAGCAGTTACATGCAGCTAATTAACAAATAATAATAAGAACAAAATAAGAGGAATACCTTTCCCACCTGGTTGCGTCAGCTCCGAAACACTAATCTGAGGGCTGTGGTGATTGTAAATCATAACCGGCCTTGCTGTGTCTTTGTTACTTAGAAGGCAGGAACTGTGCAGAGGCAACAGCAATCTACTCCTTTGCATAAATTGCAAATGCATGTGCACTGGGGGAAAAATTCCTTCCTTCGTTTGGAGATATTTTTACCTAGAGAGCTGCAAGCCAAGCCAAGATAGCTTCTTGAATCCCTCTCCTAAGTGAGCTGGGGTGAAAGTTCCTGGGGACAGTGGATACAGACTTCTCCCTGATCTCCCGCCAGGGGAAGGCTGGCCACCACCCCACTCAGTTACTTTTTCTAAAATACAAATCTCATCCCAGCCACACAGAATGAGCCCCCTGACTGTAATCCCAGAGTGACAGATGAGAACATGTCACCCAGGCCTCACATCTCTGTCTTCACCTGCCAATGCTCACAGAGGAAGCCCCACATTCCTGCCCATCAGTCCTCTCTGCCTTTGATCTCTGTTCTCCCCTGACCCAGCTCTTTCTTTTTCCTTTTTCTTTCCCTTCCCTTCCCTTTTTCTTTCCTTTTTTTTCTTTCCTTCCTTCCTTCCTTTTTTTTTTTTTTTTTGGAGTTTCACTCGTCACCCAGGCTGGAGTGCAATGGCGTGATCTCGGCTCACTGCAACCTCCGCCTCCCGGGTTCAAGTGATTCTCCTGCCTCAGCCTCCCGAGTAGCTGGGATTACAGGTGTGTGCCTCCATGCCCTGCCAATTATTGTATTTTTAGTAGAGACGGGGTTTCTCCATGTTGGTCAGGCTGGTCTCAAACTCCCGACCTCAGGTGATTTGCCTGCCTCGGCCTCCCAAAGTGCTGGGATTACAGGCGTGAGCCCCTGCACCTGGCCTGCTTTCTTTTTTCTTTTCATTTCCTTTCCTTTTCCTTCCTTCCTTTTCTCTCTCTCTCTCTTTTTTTTTTTTTTTTTTTTTTGAGACAGAGTCCCATTCTGTCACCCAGGCTGGAGTGCAGTGGCGGGATCTCAGCTCACCGCAATCTCTGCCTCCCAGGTTCAAGCGATTCTCCTGTCTCAGCCTCCTAAGTAGTTGGGATTACAGGCGAGTGCCACCATGCCCAGCTAATTCTTGTATTTTCAGTAGAGATGGGGTTTCACCATGTTAGTCATGGCTTGTCTCGAACTCCTGACCTCATAAGCCACCCGCCGCAGCCTCCCAAAGTGTTGGGATTACAGGCGTGAGCCACCGCGCCTGACTCTTTCTTTTTTTCTTTCTTCTCTTTCTCTCTCTTCTCTATATATTCCTTCCTCCTTTTTTTTTTTTTTTTTGAGTCTCGCTCTGTTGCCCAGGCTGGAGTGCAGTGGTGCGATCTAGGCCCACTTGCAACCTCCGCCTCCTGGGTTCAAGCTATTCTCCTGCCTCAGCCTTCCCAGTAGCTGCAATTACAGGCACCCGCCACCATGCCCGGCTTAATTTTTTGTATTTTTTAGTGGAGACGGGGTTTCACCATGTTGGCCAGGCTGGTCTTGAACTCTCGACCTCAGGTGATCCACCTGCCTCAGGCTCCCAAAGTGCTGGAATTACAGGCATAAGCCACCGCGCCTGGCCTTTCTTTCTTTCTGCCTTGCCTTGCCCTGCCCTGCCCTGCCGCCGCGGCTGGCCCCCGCCACCTGCACTCTGGATCCAGCTCCTCCTGTCTTCTCAGGAGCCCACACCATCCACAGTCCCTTCTCTCTTGTAAACATAGCCTCTCCCTCTCCCCAGATCCTTCTCACTGGCTCCTAACAAGCTCAAAGCCTCTCCCATTAAAAAAAGAAAAAAAAAGTGTCTGGGTATAATGGCTCATGCCTGTAATCCCAGCACTTTGAGAGGCCCAGGTGGGTAGACTGCTTGAGCTCAGGAGTTTGAGACCAGCCTGGGCAACATGGCATAAAGCCCCACCTCTACAAAAAATACAAAAACTCAGCCGGGCGTGGTGGTGCACGTCTGTGGTCCCAGCTACTTGAGAGGCTGAGGTGGGAGGATTGCTTGAGCCCAGCAGGCTGAGGCTACAGTGAGCTGTGATAGCCTACCTGTCTCAAAAAAAAAAAAAAAAAAGCTTCTTACCACCTTGCAGCTGATATCAGCCTTATCTATCTCAACACTCTCACCCCCAAAACTACATAAAAGGTCTCCATGGCCTTCCCTGCCACTCGATCTGCCAGAGTGACTTTCTGCTTGGCCACTGAAACAGTTCTTACTGAGGTCACTGGCGATCTCCTTGTCATTAAATTCAGCAGATAAGGCCGGGTGATGTGGCTCAGGCCTGTAATCCCAGCACTTTGGGAGACCGAGGTGGGTGGATCACTTGAGGTCAAGAGTTTGAGACCAGCCTGGCCAACATGGTGAAACCCCGCCTCTACTAAAAATACAAAAATTGGCCGGGTGCGGTGGCTCACGCCTGTAATCCCAGCACTTTGGGAGGCCGAGGCGGGTGGATCACGAGGTCAGGAGATCGAGACCATCCTGGCTAACATGGTGAAACCCTGTCTCTACTAAAAATACAAAAAATTAGCCAGGCGTGGTGGCGGGCGCCTGTAGTCCCAGCTACTCGGGAGGCTGAGACAGGAGAATGGCTTGAACCCAGGAGGCGGAGCCTGCAGTGAGCTGAGATCGTGCCACTGCACTCCAGCCTGGGCAACAGAGTGAGACTCCTACTCAAAAAAAAAAAAAAAAATAGAAAAATTAGCCGGGCATGGTGGTGGGCAACTGTAATTCCAGCTACTAGGGAGGCTGAGGCAGGAGAATCACTTGAATCAACCTCCACCAGGAGGTGGGAGTTGCAGTGAGCCAAGATCACACCACTGCACTCCAGCCTGGGCGACAGAGTGAGATTCCATCTCAAAAATAAATAAATAAATAAATAAATAAATAAATAAATAAATAAATAAATAATAAATTCAGCAGATGAATTTCAGTCCTCATCTTACCTGACCTCAATTGCCCTCTCTCCTGCCAGCAGCACTCTTTTCTGGCTTTTGCCCCATGGCACCGTCCCAGAGGCAGGATGACCTAGTGGTCAGGAGCAAAGCCTGAGTCAGAATCCTGGTGTGCTGGTTATTATACAACTCTTGGCACGGCACTAACCTTCCTGTGCCTGTTTCTTGGTTAACAAAATGGGTATGATTCACAGTATCTTCCTCATAGGGTTGCAAGAAGAGTCAGTATTATTTAAAATTATATTTTTCTGCAAAACTCCCTACCTCCCTCCTTCCTTTATTTTTTCCACAGTGCTTATGATTGGATTTTTACTTTTTTTTTTTTTTTTTTTCTTTTTGAGACAGAATCTCACTCTGCCGCCCAGGCTGGAGTGCAGTGGCACAATCTCGGCTCACTGCAAGCTCTGCCTCCCAGGTTCACGCCATTCTCCTGCCTCAGCCTCCCGAGTAGCTGGGACTACAGGCACCCACCAGCACGCCCGGCTAATTTTTTGTATTTTTAGTAGAGACGGGGTTTCATCGTGTTAGCCAGGATGGTCTCGATCTTCTGACCTCGTGATCCGCCCGCCTCAGCCTCCAAAAGTGCTGGGATTACAGGCGTGAGCTACCACGTCTGGCCTAATTTTTTGTATTTTTAGTAGAGATGGGGTTTCACCATGTTGGTCAGGTTGGTCTCAAACTCCTGACCTTGTGATTTGCCCGCCTTGGCCTCCCAAAGTGCTGGGATTACAGGCATGAGCCACCGTGCCCGGCCTTTTTTTTTTTTTTTCCCTGAGATGGAGTCCAGCTTCGTCGCCCAGGTTGGAGTGCAGTGGCGCGATCTCGGCTTGCTGCAACCTCTATCTCCCGGGTTCAAGCGATTCTCCTGCCTCAGCCTCTGGAGTAGCTGGGATTACAGGCACCTGCCACCAAGCCCAGCTAATTTTTATATTTTTAGTAGAGATGGGGTTTCACCATGTTGGCCAGGCTGGTCTCAAACTCCTGACCTCAAGTGATCTGCCCACCGTGGCCTCCCAAAGTGTTGGGATTACAGGCATGAGCCACTGCACCTGGTGGTTTTTTACTTTTTATTTTTATTTTTTTGAGATGGGATTTTCGCTTTGTCACCCAGCTGGAGTGCAGTGGTGTGATCGCGGCTCACTGCAGCCTTGAACTCCTTGGCTCAATCCTCCCACCTCAGCCTCCTGAGTAGCTAGGACTACAGGCATGTGCCACCACGCTGGCCTGTGCTTATCATTGGCAAACACACTCTTTTACACACTATTTAGTTATGGTCTGTCTCCTGCAGTGGATGGCAAGCTTTGTGAGGGCAGGAATTTCTGCTTGTGTGGTTCACTGCCGTATTTTCAGTGGTGAGACCAGTGCTTGGCACACTCCAGGTGCTAAAACCAAATTCTCCACCTTCCTTGGCTACTACCCCATTCTAGAGCAGCAGGCCCCTAACTATTAGAGTGCCCCAAAGCTACATCCCAGGCCCTCTTCATGCCACACTTATCCCAGGAAACGCATGCCCACCCAAGCTTCAGTGACTACCTGCTCACGTGCAGCCCCCAGCTGCATTCTAACCAATGACTCAGTGAACAGCTCATTGTGAACTCCATATGCCCAAACCTGGTCCATGTCCAGTGTTTTGGGCCCCACGATGTGTCCAGCCGCTTGAGCTAGGAACCTAAACTTTAGGTTTCAGTCTCCCTCATGCTCCCCACTTGTTCCACGTCCCCCACTCGCCGCAGCCCATCCTCAAGCCCTGGCTCTCTGGGATCTTCCAAATCTCTCATATCTGGCCACTTTTTTCCGTCCACTTTCTTTCACCTAGCAATGCCAACCCCCCTGCCCTCCACCCTACTTCAAACCTAACTGGCCCTTCTGCTCTCCAGAGTGGGGCCTCCCTGAGGCTCCCTGCTGCCCTTCCCCCTGCCCTTCGCTCCCCGCCCCCACCCCTAATTATTTATTTATCAGGTAGCTGCCAGCTGAAGGGGGATGCCGTTGCCATAGGAACCTTCAGCCCCGAGTCAGGGCTGCCTCTGTTCTCAGTAGGATGCTCTTGTCTGTCTAGACGCCAACCCCAGGAGCCCACACAAGGTGGGGAGTGAGGGACAAGGGCTGAATAATGCAGATGGGCCCACCCTAGCTCCAGGAAGCTGGCTGGGAGAGAAGGTAGCGTAGGGCCCAGGCTCAGGGCCATTGAACCCATCAGAAGTCTCTCGTGCCCCACCCTTGCCAGCCAATTTGGCAAGTCAACTACTTTCCTGGCCAAAATTCCAGCCATGTCACCATAGGCCTTAGACACAGAAGTCAGCCTGTCTGGGGAAAGATGAGGGATGGACCCTTGAAGTTTCTGGAGAAAGCTTTGGTCCAGCCTGGTTCTGTCTCTCTCACTGACTTCAGTCCACTGAGGGACGAGCTCTCCATTTAAGGACAGGGAGGCCTGAGTTCCAGCCCCAGTTCTCATCGACTCACTGTGTGACCTTCGGCAAGTTATCCCCCTCTCTGAGCCTCAGTTTTCTCATTAGTGAAATGTCCTGAGGATTCAGACAGTGCCCATAAAGCTCGCAGCCAGCCGGATGTCTGGCACGCAGTTGGTGCTGACTATATGGCAACAGCTTTTGTTGCATCCCCAACCTCAGACCCCCCTTTTCCCAATGGATTTCTGAGGCAGCTGACAAAATTAAACTCGACTCAACCCCTCATCTGTGAAATGAGGGAGTGGGATGAAAGCCGCAGACAACAGAGCTGGAAGGACCCCTGAGATCTGCTGGCCCAACCCCCTCATTAGGGAGGTGAGCAAACTGACAGCAGAGGGGGCAGTGATGTGCCTGAGGGGAGGTGCTCCTCCCTCTCCCCATCTCCGGGGGTCCATCTGGGGTCATTGCCATCTGAGCATGAGTTGAAATGAGATTTAACTCAACATAAGATTAAAAGGAACAGTCACAGAGACCAAGTGGTCTTTGACCCTGCCAAAGAAGATGGGCCCAGTAAGGACTCAATTCATTGAGCAAATATTTCTTGAGCACCTACAATGTGCCGGGCCCTGGACATATGGCAGTGAACAACATGGCGTGTATCCTGCCTCAGAGAGCTCGTCTGGAGACAGAGACCACTGTCCTCTGGGAGCTGATGAGCTGATGATGGGGGCTTCTCTGCCAGGTTCCCCTCCACTGTGCCTAGGGACCTGTGAAGATGCCTCCCTGGTCCCCGAACACACACACACGCACACACATGCACACACACACGCACACACACACACATGCACACGTGCACACACGCACGCGCACGCACGAACACATGCGCGCACACGCATTCACACACACGCACGCACGCACACCCCTCTCTCCTGTCTTTCTTCCAGGGCTTTTGCAGCCTTGCTGCCTCTCTATCCCAGCCCGGATCCCACTGGGAAATGGCCACGGCCATCACTGTTAGGTGAAAAAAGCAAGCTGCAGAGCAACATGATTCCGTTCGTGTAAACACCTCCCCTAAAAGGCACCAAACGCGTGCGACTGTAAACACAGGACCAAAAGCCAGGGAGTTATCTCATAACAATAAACAGTTATGAGATGTTATTTCTAGGGAGTGGGGAGATGGGGAGACTTTGAATCTTAACTATATGCACTTCTATAGTTCCGGAATGTCTTACAACAAAGTTGGACCAGAAGTCTCCTCTCTCTTTTTTTTTTTTTTTTTTTGAGACAGGGTCTTGCTGTTGTTCATGCTGGAGTGCAGTGGCATGATCCGGGCTCACTGCAGCCTCAGCCTCCTGGGATCAAGTGATCTTCCCACCTCAGCCTCCTGAGTAGTTGGGACTACAGGCAGCTGCCACCCACACTTGGCTATTTTTTAAACTTTTTTGTAGAGACAAGGGTCTCACTATATTTCCCAGGCTGGTCTCGAACTCCTGAGCTCAAGTGATCCTCCCCTGCCTTGGCCTCTCAAGGTGTTGGGATTACAGGTGTGAGCCACTGTGCCCGGCCACATTTATTTATCTCCTATTTGATCTAGACAGTATTCTGAGTACATAACATGTATTCGTCTTATAAACATTTCTCGAGTGCCTTTTTTTTTTTGACAGTCTCGCTCTGTCGCCCAGGCTGGAGCGCAGTGGTGCGATCTCAGCTCACTGCAACCTCCGCCTCCCTGGTTCAAGCAATTCTCTGCCTCAGCCTCCTGAGTAGCTGGGATTACAGGTGACTGCCACCATGCCTGGCTAATTTTTGTATTTTTAGTAGAGACAGGGTTTTGCCATCTTGGTCAGGCTCACGCTCCCAGCAATTTGGGAGGCGAAGGCGGGTGGATCACGAGGTCAGGAGTTCGAGTGCCTCTTGTGTGCTAAATCCCGAGAACACAGTGGTGAATACAGTGCACCCAGCTCCTGTCCTCTTGGGGATGACAGTCTTGCCCTTTCCCTCCTCAGAGCAGACACCAGTAACATCTGTCCCATTAGGAAACAAAACAAACCAAATCTCCCAGAAGATCAGTAACCTCTCTCAAGGGGTCTACCTTAGGATACTTTATGGAGCACTCATTGTCTATAAACCTCATGCTCATGTCACACCTTTTAATCCTACCCTATTTTTTTTTTTTTTTTGAGACGGAGTCTCTCTCTGTCGCCGAGGCTGGAGTGCAGTGGCACTATCTCAGCTCACTGCAAGCTCTGCTTTCCGGGTTCACGCCATCCTCCTGCCTCAGCCTCCCAAGTAGCTGGGACTACAGGTGCCCGCCACCATGCCCGGCTAATTTTTTTTTGTATTTTTAATAGAGACAGGGTTTCACCGTGTTAGCCAGGATGGTCTCGATCTCCTGACCTCGTGATCCTCCCTCCTGGGCCTCCCAAAGTGCAGGGATTACAGGCGTGAGCCACCGCGCCCGGCCAATCCTACCCCTTTTTATAAATGAGGAAACTGAGGCCCAGAGCAGTGGCAGGCTTGCCTAAGGGGACGCAGAACGGCTGACTCCAACCAGTCTGGGGCCAAACCCTTGCTCTTTTCCACCACTTCTTACCAAGGTGCTCTTTGAGATTTGGCCGCCCAGCCTGTTTGCATGCCCCAGCATTTGGGAGTCTCACCCCTTATGGCACTGCTGGAGGTGCCTTCCACCCTGGAGGGGTAATCTTCCTCCTCCTCGGGACAGGTCCTGGACCCCCAATCCCCTGACTGCCATCTGCCTGTCTGCACGCCCTCCTGCTGCGGCCCAGCCCTCTACCTCCGCTGGGCCTGGGGAGCCAGGGAGCATCTGCTCACCTTCTGCATCATTAGCCCTCAGAGACCAGCTTGGAGCTGCTAGGGAGGCCCAGGATGCGACTGATTGGGCCAGCCCTGGTCTTGTCAGGAGGCAGCAGCAGGCTCCTGGCCTCTGTCTCCATGGTAACCCCATCCCCTCATCTCAGTGACCACTGACCCATCCCCACCCCTTCCCCAGCTGGGGGGCTCTGCAAGCCCCTTCTGGGCAGATCCAACCCACTGCACCTCTGAGCTGGCAACTCCATTAGAACAAAGTGCCTGGCAGTGATCTAATTAGCATATATCTACATTAATTTGCATAAATCCTGGGCCAAACGGCCCAGGGTGCTACCAAGGGGAAGTCTAAAAAAAAATCAGGCCGGGGACCAGGCAGGGTGGTTCATTCATCTCTGTATTCCCAGCACTTTGGGAGGCCGAGGTGGGCGGATCACGAGGTCAGGAGATCGAGACCATCCTGGCTAACACGGTGAAACCCCATCTCTACTAAAAACACAAAAAACTAGCCGGGTGTGGTGGTGGGCACCTGTAGTCCCAGCTACTCAGGAGGCTGAGGCAGGAGAATGGTGTGAACCCAGGAGGTGGAGCTTGCAGTGAGCTGAGATTGTGCCACCGCACTCCAGCCTGGGCGACAGAGGAGACTCTGTATAAAAAAAAAAAAAAAAAAATCAGGCTGTGCACAGTGGCTCACCCCTGTAATCCCAGCACTTTGGGAGGCCAAGGTGGGCGGATCACGAGGTCAAGAGATTGAGACCATCCTGGCCAACATGGTGAAATCCTGTCTCTACTAAAAATATAAAAATTAGCTGGGCGTGGTGGTGTGCGCCTGTAGTCCCAGCTACTCGGGAGGCTGAGGCAAGAGAATCATTTGAACCCAGGAGGTGGAGGTTGCAGTGAGCTGAGATCACACCACTGCACTCTAGCCTGGTGACAGAGCGAGATTCCGTCTTAAAAAAAAAAAAAAAAGGCCAGGGGCAGTGGCTCACGCGGGTAATCCCAGCACTTTGGGAAGCCAAGGTGGGCGGACTCCTGAGGTCAGGAGTTCGAGACCAGCCTGGCCAACATGGTGAAACCCATCTCTACAAAAAATACAAAAATTAGACAGGCATGGTGGCTGTAATCCCAGCTACTCGGGAGGCTGAGGCAGGAGAATCACTTGCACCCGGGAGGCAGAGGTTGCAGTAAGCCGAGATTGCGCCACTGCACTCTGGCCTAGGTGACAGAGCGAGATTCCATCTCAAAAAAATAAAAAATAAAATAAAATAAATAAAAAATAATGAAAACACTGTGGATGTCCCTCAGAAGGGGTCACAGTCAATGACAGTGCCTCCACACGATTCAACACAATGCAGCCATTATGATGGAGTGTGGGAAGAGGGCCAAGCTACCACGTTTGAAACGGCGCTGCAGAGCCACTTGAGTAGGACAACGCTGTTTTCACGCATAACAACAAAACAAAGAATCATCAAACTGTTAATTTGTTAACTCTAGGGAATGGGATTATGGGGGCCTTTGAGATTCAGCCAGATATATTTCTGCAAGGTTTTTACATCGAGGAGTAATTTTTTTTTTTTTTTGAGACGGAGTCTTGCTCTGTCACCCAGGCTGGAGTGCAGTGGCACCATCTTGGCTCACTGCAACCTCTGCTTCCCAGGTTCAAGCAATTCTCCTGCCTCAGCCTCCTGAGTAGCTGGGATTACAGGCACCCACCACCACGCCTGGCCAATTTCTGTATTTTTAGTAGAGATGGGGTTTCACTATGTTGGCCAGGCTAGTCTTGAACTCCTGACCTCAAGTGATTAGCCCGCCTCGGCCTTCCAAAATGCTGGGATTACAGGCGTGAGCCACTGCGCTCGGCCTATGAGTAATATTTTTATAAGTGAACAAACACATTCAAAGACAAAACTGATGGCGACAAATGAGCACACCCCCATGAGTCTGCCTGAGACTGTGGGTGACCCTGAGCTGAGGATGACCAACTGTCCCAGTGTGCCTGAGACCATGGGGTTTCTTAGAGCACAGCACTTTCAGGGACAAGTTCCAAAAGTCCTGGGCAAACTGGGACAAGCTGGTCACATGATATGGAGAGGGTATGGACAGCTTGGAGGCCTGGGGTGGCTCTGGATGAATGAAATGAGGGGTGGCAGGGTGGGGAAGAGATGTGGCTGGACCTTGGACCCAGGGCTTTATTCTGCTGGTCCCTAGGAGGCAGGGAAGGTCTGAGCATAGAGACATGGAAGCTGGGTGCTTTGGGTGCAGTGCTGTCTGGCTACAGGAGGAGGATGGACTGGAAGTGGGAGACCAGGAGGAGATGCTGAGGCCTTTCTTGGCAAGCTGAGACAGGGCCCAGAATCCTCCATGCCTGAGGTCCCACTCTCCCAGGACTCCCATCTTCTTGTCAATTCCTACTCTACTTCTGCCCATGTTCCCACGTCTAAACTACTGAGGCATCCCCAGTCCCATCTCCCAGATGCCGGGACCCCGGCAAGCTCTGGAGTGGGCAGCCAAGGCCTGGAAAGAAGGTGCCCTCCAAAGAGGAGCACTTAAGACAGGGGTGAAGGGGAAGACAATCCAGGAAGGGCAAGCTCAGCAAAAACAAGGCTCTCCCAGGAGACGCCGGCTGCAGATAAATGAACATTTGGATAAATAAAATGGTGATTAATCAGATTCCCCAACTAAGTACAATGAAGAACACCACATAATTAAGCCAAAAACTCATGGCAGAAAGCACCTTAATGAAGCGGGCACTTAGGTAGAGAGAATTAATTAAGGCAGTGTTCGGAATTTCAGGAGTGGCTAGAGGGATGGAAGTGATGGGGGGAAGGCCAGAATGAAAACAAGCAGGAGGTAACATCTACCCAGGATGGGACTGAGGCTGCTGGAGAGCCCGGTAATTATCAGCTCAGGCTCTGCACTCGGGCAGGCCTGGAAGTGAGTCTCAGCTCTCACAAGTTGTAGGATCTGGGAAAGCCACCTCCTAATGCCTCGGTTTCCTCAACTGTAAAATGGGAACAATAATATCTACTTCCTGGATTTGTGGGAGGATTCAATGAGGTAATGTGAATGAATGACTTTGCATGTAACTGTTCAATAAATTATCACGGATTGGACAAGCAATTTTTTTTTTGTTTGAGATGGAGTCTCGCCCGGGCTGGAATACAATGGCTCGATCTCGGCTCACTGCAACCTCTGTCTCCCGGGTTCACACAATTCTCCTGCCCCAGCCTCCCGAGTAGCTGGGATTACAGGTGCCTGCCACCACACCCAGCTAATTTTTTGTTTGTTTGTTTGTTTGTTTTTTGAGACGGAGTCTGGCTCTGTTGCCTAGGCTGGAGTGCAGTGTCACAATCTCGGCTTACCACAACTTCTGCCTTCTGGGTTCAAGCCGTTCTCCTGCTTTAGCCTCCTGAGTAGCCACAACTACGGGCACGCCCCACCATGCCCAGATAATTTTTGTATTTTTAGTAGAGATGGGGTTTCACTATGTTGGCCAGACTGGTCTCAAACTGCTGACCTCGTGATCTGCCCGCCTAAGTCTCCCAAAGTGCTGGGATTACAGGCGTGAGCAACCACGCCCAGCCGGACAAGTTTTTTTTTTTTTTTTTTTTTTGAGATGGAGTCTCACTCTGTCACCCAGGCTAGAGTGCAGTGGCACGATCTCGGCTCGGCTCACCGCAACCTCTGCCTCCCAGGTGTAAGCAATTCTCCTGCCTCAACTTCCCAAGTAGCTGGGATTACAGGTGTGTGCCACCACGCCCAGCTAATTTTTGCATTTTTAGTAGAGACAGGGTTTCACTATGTTGGTCAGGCTGGTCTCGAACTCCTGACCTCAGGTGATCGGCCTGCCTTGGCCTCCCAAAATGCTGGGATTAAAAGCATGAGCCACCGCGCCCGGCCCAGACAAGCATTTTAAACTCTCCGGTTTAGGCCAGGTGCAGTGGCTTACATCTGTAATCCCAGCACTTTGGGAGGCTGAGGTGGGTGGATCACCTGAGGTCAGGAGTTCGAGACCAGCCTGACCAATATGATGAAACCCCCGTCTCTACTAAAAATACAAAAATTAGCTGGGCGTGGTGGTGGGCACCTGTAATCCCAGCTACTTGGGAGGCTGAGGCAGGAGAATCGCTTGAACCCGGGATGAGGAGGTTGCAGTGAGCCAAGATCCCACCACTGCACTCCAGCCTGGGCAACAAGAGCAAAACTCCATCTCAAAAATAAATAAATAAATAAAATAAAAATAAATAAACTCTCTGGTTTAAATGAGAAATAAACATTTTAAAAAAGAAGCCAATAAAGCCCTATCTTCTTCATAGAGAAGTTAGAGAACTGAGTAAATCACAACCATGAAAGCAAGTTATATAGTAGTATGTGGTTTTTATTTTTATTTTATTTTTTAAATTTTTATTTATTTTATGTATTTAGTTTTTTGAGACAGGGTCTCACTGTTTTGCCCAAGCTGGAATGCAGTGGCGTGATCTTGGCTCACTGCAACCTCTGCCTCCTGGGCTCAAGTGATCCTCCTGTCTCAGCCTCCTGAGGAGCTAGGACCACAGGTGCACACCGCTACACCTGGCTAATTTTTTGTATTTTTGGTGGAGATGGGGTTTCACCATGTTGCTCAGGTTGGTCTCAAACTCTTGAGCTCCAGCAATTTGCCCATCTCAGCCTTCCAAAGTGCAGGGATTATAGGTGTGAGCCACTGCACCTGGCCTATTTTAATTTTTCTGACACAGGGTTTCACTCTGTTGCTCAGGCTGGAGTGCAGTGGCATGATCATGGCTCACTGCAGCCCCAACCTCTGAGCCTCAAGAGATCCTCCTACCTCAGCCTCCTGAGTAGCTGGGACTATAGGCATGCACCACTACGCTCAGCTAGGTTATGTATTTTTTTGTAGAGATGGGGTTTCGCCGTGTTGGCCAGGCTGGTCTTGAATTCCCAACCTCAAGTGATCCGCACGCCTCAGCCTCCCAAAGTGCTGGGATTAAAAGTGTGATCCTGTAATCCCACCTGGCTGTATGTGCTTTTTAAACTGTGTAGTGCTGTGCCCACATGTGCCATTATTAGGATAATTGTTAAATCCTTGGTTTCATACCAAGATCAGATTCTTGCTGCTTGTTCCCCAAGAAGCTGTACACCACAGAGGTTAAAAGTATGGCCTAGGAGCCAAACTATCTGGGTTTGAATCCTACCTTTAATACTTATTAGCTGTGTGACCTTCAGTAAGTCACTTAACCTCTCTGTTCTTTAATTTCAAATCCCGGCTCTGTCATTTATTAGCCAACTGTAAAATGGGGATGATGATAACAGTACCCATTTCAAGCGAATGTTGTGAAGCTTAAGTAGGGAATATGTGTCAAATGTTCAGAACACTGCCTGGTTCATAGCCATAGAAGTGTTAGCTACGATGATTGTTCCCTGTAGTGCAGACTCTGGGCCTGTGTTGCTCATACAGAGGACTCATGTACTGAAGGAGAAAGGATCACAGTTGTCCTAATGTGCAGGTCACTTTGAGGCCAGGTGGTATTTCACCCCACTCATCCCCAAGCAGCCCAGCAGCTGCCTGACCCCCCTGCCCCACTCTTGTTCTTCTTTGCCCATGAAGCATTCATGGGCACTGACCCTGGGTGCAAAGAGGAACAGCCCCTGCCCTGGCCACGAGCTGTGCCAAGTCTATGGTGACACAGACAAACTTCAATTATCAAATTACACAAGCCCAAGGAAGAGGGCAAGGACTGAAACTGACGCTGCCCACCCTCTGGGGACTTGCACTGAGCCCGCCCTGTACACGCTGCTTGATGTCCATATCATGTACTCCTCTCAACCCTTGGAGAAGTGTCATTTTACATACATGGATACTGAGGCCCAGGGAGGTGAAGTAACAGATCCCAGGTTACACAGTCAGGAAGCGGTAGAGGCAGGAACACAGATCTGCAGGCTCTAGAGCCTGTCTGCCACCACCCCAGGTTTCCCCACTAGCTCTCCTGGTCCACAGATGGCCGCTGGGCCCCCAAAGCATCACCGCTGTGGCCTGACTCCCTGCACTACTGGAACTGGAAACTCTCCCAATGGATCCGCTCATGCCACCGATGATGGCTGAGATGTGTTCTGTTCAAATCCCCACTCCATCATTTACTAGCCGTGTGACCTCTGGCAAGTGTTTAAATCTCCCTAAGCCCGTTTCCTCATCTATAAAAAGGAAAAGAATAAAACCTCAGAGTCACTGTGACACTAAAGGATGCAAAGCATAATGCCTGGTACAGAAGAAGCACCCAACAAATGCCATTCTTTGGTCTCCTCTGAGTCCAATTCTTTCTTCCACCCCCCGCTTATGGAAACTTGTGTTCTGTTGGAGATCCGCCTCTGCTGCAGCTTTCTCATTCCCGGCTTCCTTTCGTGAAGATTTCTTTCATTCTTTCCAGAAGCCTTTCTTCCTTGCTAATAAGAGAAAATGCAGAAGTCCTACCCACAGGCCTTTGCTACCCTATCAAGCAGGGAAGCCTACCTGCCTTCACAGCACCCCTGGGGGTGGGGATCCCAGACACAGAGACACCAAAGCTCACAGGATCCTGCAATTAACCCAAGGTCTATGTGGCCCCCACATAGTGGGGGGAGGGGGCCCTGGAAACCTCTGATGTAAGTGCACAGTTTGTTAGGCCACAGGCCTCCCTCAAAATGCTCCCTTGAAGCTGCCCCGGACTTTGAGAGCGGTCAGCCCTTGTCTACAGCAGAGGCGTTACACAAACCTCCTGACTTTCAGGAACTCTGGCTCTTCCTGTTCCGTGCCACACTCTGGTGTGGGTCTATAACATGCTGTCGGACTCTGCGAGTTGTGATACTGAGGCCTTGGGCAAATCACACTTGATGTTCCAGGGCTTCAGTTTTCTCATCTGTAAACTGGGCAATATAACTCCTACCCTTCTCACCTCCCAGGGGGTGGGAGTGGATCCAATGGGGTAACTGACATCCTGGGAGCCATCAAGCTCTCCCTTCACAGGGAAGATGCCCTCCGTGGCTTTAACAGGAAGACCATCCCACTGGGCCAAGACTGGGCCAAGAAATGCAGCCCAGGGCTGGAGTGGTGGCTCTCACCTGTAATTCCAGCACTTTGGGAGGCCGAGGCAGGTGGATCACCCGAGGTCAGGAGATCGTGACCAGCCTGACCAACACGGTGAAACCTGGTCTCTACTAAAAACACAAAAGTTAGCTGGGCTTGGTGGTGGGCACCTGTAGTCCCAGCTACTTGGGAGGCTGAGGCAAGAGAATCACTTGAACCCGGGAGACGGAGGTTGCAGTGAGCCGAGATTGCGCCACTGCACTCCAGCCTGGGTAACAAGAGCAAAACTCCATCTCAAACAAAACAAAACAAAACAAAAAAACAACCAGCAGCCCAGCAGAGTGCAGCCTCCACCCCTCTCCCAGCTGAGAATCCCAACAGCAGATTCCACCTCCAGGGAGTCTCCTGCAAAAAGGGAGTCTCCTGGAACTCTTTTTTATCCTAAAAGAATACGTATAGCCAGGCATGATGGCTCATGCCTGTAATCCCAATGTTTTAGGAAGCTGATGCAGCATTGCTTCAGCCCAGGAGTTTGAGACCAGCCTGGGCAACATAGTAAGACCCCTGTCTCTACAAAAAATAAAAAAAGTAGCCAGACATAGTGGTGTATGCCTGTAGTCCCAGCTACTCCGGAGGCTGAGGTGGGAAGACCACTTGAACCTGGGAGGTCAAGGTTGCAGTGAGCTGTGATCGCATCACTCCCCTCCAGTCTGGGTGACAAAGTGAGACCCTGTCTCTAAAAAGAAAGAAAAAAAAAGTTAGCCAGGTGTGGTGGTGCATGTCTGTAGTCCTAGCTACTCAGGATGCTGAGGTGGGAGGATCCCTTGAGCCCAGGAGGTCGAGGCTGCAGTGAGCTATTGTTGGGCCACTGCACTCCAGCCTGAGCAACAGAGCATGACCCTGTCTTATTAAAAAAAAAAAAAAAAGATAAGAATGAAGAGGACTCACAATGGCTGATCCAGCATCATCCAACACATCATCCAGCATTCTACTCTGAAATAGAGCCTCCTCCTTAGTTCACGCCCACCAAATTCAGGGTAGAATGATGCTTTGCAGAAATGCATTATGTCTTAGTAATGCATCTCTTAGGGCTCAGCGCCCTCCTTTTCCCAAGCCAGCAGGTACAAGAACTGCAACCTCAGAAGCCAGCCATACCCACGGGCCACAAAGCTATTAGGTTTGGTGCAAAAGTAATTGTGGTTTTTGCCATTCTTTTTTTTTTTTTTTTTAATGGAGTCTCACTCTGTCGCCCAGGCTGGAGTGCAGTGGCACCATGTTGGCTCACTGCAACCTCCGTCTCCTGGGTTCAGGCAATTCTCCTGCCTCAGCCTCCTGAGCAGCTGGGATTACAGGCACCCACCACCACGCCCAGCTAATTTTTATATTTTTAGTAGAGACGGGGTTTCACCACGTTGGCCAGGCTAGTCTCGAACAACTGACCTCAGGTGATCCACCCGCCTTGGCCTCCCAAAGTGCTGGGATTACAGGCGTGAGCCCCCACACCCGGCTTGCCATTACTTTCAATGGCAAAAAACGCAATCTCTTTTGCACCAAACCTAACAGTAGGTCACTCAACACAGCTGAGCCCGTTTCCTCATCTGAAATGGAGATCATTTCTAACAGAACCCACATCTGTGCATCAGGCCAGGGAAAGGTTGACAGGGGTGAGTAAGGAGAAAGGGTCCAACCCTGAAGTTAGGGACATGGACATTTAGAATCCCTGAAGGAAGGGCCTGGGGAGGCTGGGCTCCATCAGCTGTTGTGAGTCCTCTCCATTCTTACCTGATTTGTTCAACTAGTAAATATTTATTGGATGTCAATCATAACACTAGACAGTGGAGACAAAGCAGTGGACAAAGGCAAAAGCAGACATAGCCCCTGTCTTGACAGAAACACTCAACAAAATAGAAAGAGAAGGGAACTTCCTCAACCTGGTGAAGGGCATCTACAGAAAAGCCACAGCCGACATCATACTTAACGGTAAAAGACTGAAAGCTTTCCCCCTAAGATCAGGAACAAGACAGGGATGTCCGCTCTCATCACTGCTATTCAACACTGTGCTGGAGGTTCTAGCCAGGACAATTAGGCAAGAAAAAGAAATCAAAGGCATCCACACTGGAAAAGAAGAAGTAAAACTATTTGCTAATTGCAGATTACATGATCTTGTATGTAGAATAAACTAAAGAATCCCCAAAAAACAACTAGAGCTACTAATTTAGGTCAGCAAGGCTGCAGAGTCCAAGATCAATATACAAAAATCACTTGAATTTCTACACATTGACAATGAACAATCTAAACATAAAATTAACAAAACAATTTCATTTACAATAGCATCAAAAAGAAGAAAATGCTTAGCATAAATTTAACCAAGTAAGTGCAAGACCTGTATGCTGAAAACAAAACATTATTGAAGAAATTAAAGAAGACCCAAATTTATGGATTGGGAGACTTGATATTGTTAAAATGGTAATACTTCCCAAATTGATCTACAGATTCAATGCACTCTATCAAAATTCCAACTACCTTTTTTTTTTTTCAGGAATGTATAAGTTGGCCTTAAAATTCATATGGAAATATGTGGAATCTTGGCTGGGCACGGTGGCTCATGCCTGTAATCCCAGCACTTTGGGAGGCCAAGGGGGGTGGATTGCTTGAGTTCGAGTCCAGCCTGGCTAACATAGTGAAATTTCGTCTCTACTAAAAATACAAAACATTAGCCAGGCGTGGTGACGCATGCCTGTAGTCCTAGCTACTCAGGAGGCTGAGGTAGGAGAATCGCTTGAACCCAGGAGGCGGAGGTTGCAATGAGCCAAGATTGCGCCACTGCACTCCAGCCTGGGAGACAGAGTGAGACTCTGTCTCAAAAACAAAACAAAACAAAACAAAACAAAAATATATATATGGAGTTCAAATAACAAAATAATCTTGAAAAAGAACAAAGTTTGAGGACTCATACTTCCTGATTTCAAAACTTACAATGACAAAGTTACAGTTATCAAGACAGTGTGGTACTAGCATAAGGATAGACATACAGATAAATGGAACAGACTAGTCCCAAACCAAATCCATACATCTATTGTCAATTGATTTTCAACAAGGGTGCCAAGACTATTCAATGGAGAAAGCATAGTTTTTTCAACAAATGTTGCTGGGACAACTGGATACTCACATGCAAAAGAATAAAGGTGCACTCCTTCCTCACACCATATACAAAAATTAACTGAAAATGGGTCAAAAACCTAAATGTAAGAGCCAAAACTATAAGATCCTTGGAAGGAACCATAGGTATAAATCTGTATTACTCTGGATTAGGTAATAGTTTCTTTTTTTTTTTTTTTTTTAGGAGACAAGGTCTCATTCTGTCACCCAGGCTGGAGTGCAGTGGCACAATCTCTGCTCACTGCAACCTCCACCTCCTAGGCTCAAGTGATCCTCCCACCTCAGACTCTAGAGTGGCTGGGGCCGCAGGCACACACCACCAAACCCGGCTACTTTTTGGATTTTTGATAGAGACAGGGTGTCACCATGTTGCCCACACTGGTCTCGAACTCCTGAGCTCAAGCAATCTGCCTGCCTTGGCCTCCCGAAACTTTTGAATTACAGACGTGAGCCACCGCACCCAGCCATAAAAATAAGCTTGGCCAGGCCCGGTGGCTCAAGCCTGTAATCTCAGCACTTTCAGAGGCCGAGGTGGGCGGATCACAAGGTCAGGAGATCAAGACCATCCTGGCTACGGTGAAACCCTGTCTCTACTAAAAATACAAAAAGTTAGCTGGGCGTGGTGGCAGGCGCCTGTAATCCCAGCTACTCGGGAGGCTGAGGCAGGAGAATGGTGTGAAGCTGGGAGGTGGAGCTCGTGGTGAGCCAAGATTGTGCCACTGTACTCCAGCCTAGGTGACAGAGCAAGACTCTGTCTCAAAAAATAAATAAATAAATACACAAAATAAAAAGCTTTTTCTTTTGTTTTTTTTTTTTTTGAAAAACATTAGTATATCAAAGGGTACTATCAAGAAAGTGAAAATTTGTACAGATAAAGTTGTTGAGGATACAAAAAAAAAGAAAGTGAGAAGTCAACCCATACAATATGAGACAATGTTTGCCAATCATACATCTAATAAGTGTCCAAAATCCAGGATATATAAAGAACTTTTGCAATTCACCAGTAAATAGATAAATAACCCAATTAAAAATGGAAAAAGGATTTGCAAAGAATTTCTCCAAAGAAGGTATACAAGTGGCTGATAAGCACAAAAAAATATGCTCAAAATAGTCATTTGGGAAATGCAAATCAAAAGTGTGACATACTTCACACCCACTAGGGTGGCTCTAATAAAAAAGGCAGATAATAACAAGTGTTGATGATGCAGAGAAACTGGAACTCTCATGTGTTGCTGGTGGAAATGTAAAATGGTGCGACTGCTGTGGAAAATGGGGCTAGTTCTTCCAACAGCTGGACACAGAGATATCATGCGGCCCTGCATTTCTTCTCCTAGGTATATACACCTGAGAAGTGAAAACAAAGTTAGCACAAAGCTTGTACATAAATGCTCATAGCAGCATTATTCATGGCAGCCAAAAAGTGGAAACAACCCAATGTCCATCATCTGATGGATGGATAAAAAATTGCAACACAAGTTGGGTGCAGTGGCTCACACCTGTAATCCCAGCACTTTGGGAGGGTGAAGCGGGAGGATCCCTTGAGCCCAGGAATTCAAAACCAGCCTGGGCAATACAGGGAGATCCTGTCTCCACAAAAATTTAAAAATTAGCTGGGTGTAGTGGTGCACACCTGTAGTCCCAGCTACTTGGGAGGCTGAGGCATGGGGATTGCTTGAGCCCGGGAGATTGAGGCTGCAGTAAGCTGTGATCACATCACCACACTCCAGCCTGGACCACAGAGTGAGCCCCTGTCTCAAAAAAAGAATAAAATAAAAATTAATTAATTAATTAATTAATTAATTAAACAAAATAAAAATTTAAGAAGTGATATATCCATACAACAGAATATTATTAAGCCATAAGAAAGAATGAAGTATTGATACCTGCTACAACATGAATGACCCTTGAAAACATTATGCTAGGTGAAGGATAACAGTCACAAAGGATCACCTACTGTATGATTCCACTTATACAAAATGTCCAGCATAGGCAAATCCAGAAAAATAGAAAGTGGATTAGTGGTTGCCAGAAGCTGGTGGCAAGGGGGAGTGGGGAGTGACTGCTAATGGGTTTGGGGGTCTCTTTTTAGGATGATGAAAATATTCAGGAATCAGATAGTGGTGATGGCTGCACAACTTTATGAATACACTGAAAACCACTGAATTGTACACTTTAAAATGGAACAATTTTATGGTATGTGAATTATATCTCAATAAAGTTAAAAAAAAAAAAAAAGAAAAAAACCAGAAACGGATCTTGGCCTCATAGAGCTTACATTCAGTGTATGTGTACATGTGTATGTGTGCATGCATGTGTGTGTCTGCATGTGTTTGTGCATGCGTGTGTGTGCACACCTGTGCAGCACAAAATCCCTGTTGTGCTCAGTGCTCTGAAGGAAGGGTGCCAAGGACAAGAGCTATGATGAGAGTGGTCAAGGAAGACTTCTGCGAGGAAGTGATCTGAAGGAAGAGGTAACAGGATAAGGAGGAAAGGGAGGGAGAATCAGGCAGAGATGAGCGCCTGTGCAAAGGTCCTGTGGAGGGAGGGAGATGGACATAATAGCAGGCGCTGGAGAGGACCCAGGTGGCTAGAGCTGGGGGAATGCGAGGGAGGGACACCAAAGGGAAGGGCTGGAGGGGCCGTCATGCCCTGTGGCCTGAACAGAGAAAGCAGCCTGGGATGGGACACTAAGCCCTCCGGGCGCCCCCTAGGGCCAAACATCATGCTGGAGGCGTTAAGCACCTACGGTGGGGAGTCAAGTGTTCCCAGTCAGCATCTGGAAGGAGCCCGGAGGTCATTTGTTCTGGCTGAGGCCACTCTTCATGTGACCTCGTGGGAGGAGAAAAAAATCCAATTCCCTGACTTATTTAGCGGCAGCTCCTTGTACTGATTCTCCCAGGAAGGAAATTCTGATGAAAACCAGTCTCACTGCTATGGCAACAGCAACCACTTCTGACTTCTCCTTCCGACTAAAAGCCAGGTGGGGAAGTCTGCCTAGCAACAGCAGTGGGTGTCAGGAGCCCCTTGGGCAAAGTTGCACAGCAGTACTCCCCCCAACCCAGGGCTTCGGGATCCCCCTTACCTACTTTCTGTCCCAGTCTTGGCTCGGACCCAGCATCCCGCTTCTCTTTCCAGTGGAGAATCACAGCAGGCACCAACATCTGGACAGCGCTTCACCACTCAGATTGTGATTTACGCTGCCCGTGATGTGGGACTGTTATCCCCATCAGACCGCCCGGGACACTGAGGCTCAGACAGGTGTAGGGGGTCTGTCAGTCTGGTGTCCTTCCCTGGCACTGAACTACTCATTCCTATGCTGAAGCTCTGATTATCAGCACAGGCCTCCTGCTCTGATTCCTGCAGCACGAAGGAATAAATGACACCTCCTCCACCCCTCCCCTCAGTCCCTTTCCTGGTAATCCATCGTATATGAGGGATGGGGGTGTCTGGCCCAACCGAAGGCCCTGGGAGGGATCACCTGGGGCCTGTTACCGCTGGAGCAGTAAGAAGGAATCATGGCAGAGGCCATGAGTGGTGCATCTCTCACGAGTTACCCCCAGTGACTATGCTAGAAGGGTTTCTCTTCAGAATACCTGGCTCTGACCTATAATAAAAGCACTAATAACAATGGCTAAGATATGCACATGGACTCTGGGCCAGCACTTTTTGTGCCCCATGTCATTCAGCTCTCACAACTACAAATGAGGGATGGGCCACTGCCCCCTCGTTCTACGAAGGGGACAAGATCTCAGAGCTGGAGTGGGGGCACAGCTGCAGTAAACCCAAGTGGTCTGGTCCCAGAGCCTGAGCTCTTAAGCAGATACCTGCAGGCCCCACTGCAGCTTTGGGAGGAGACTTTCTCTCCCTCTATCTCGCAGGCAGGCTGGGAAGATTAAAGGGGAGGGCAGAGGAGCACGGGGGAACGGAATGGAACAATCATTTCCTGGCCCTGGGCCAGAGGCGGCTGGTTGGATCTGTTGGAGGAAGCAATTGCCGTCTGCACGTGGGAGCAGGAGTGGAGCGAGGAGGGCAAGGAAGGCCTGGTTCTCACGGCCTAGTCTGAATGTGCCTATGCCGAGCGCTGCTCTTCACAGGTGGCATTTCCTTTCATCCCCAGAATGACACTGTGAGGGAATCATAGCTAATGCTTACCCTATGTCAAGTATCTCTCCAAGTTTAGAACACTTTGATTCATTTAATCTTCAAAGAAACATGCCAGGTACAGCCTAAGGTCAAGCCCGCTTTGCATATGAAAGCACTGAAGCACACCAAAAAGTAACTTGCCTGAGGTCATATGGCAGATTAAGATTTGGACCAGGTCCCCTGGCTCATGTCCATGAGTTTAACAGACTCGCTGCCCTGCTAGGAGAGCTGGAGGACTTTTCTTCCAGAGGAGGGGCGAGGCCATCATCAGTGGGGTTTGATCTCCTAGGAACGCCTGTGGCATTGACTTTTATTTATTTATTTATTTATTTATTTATTTATTTATTTATTGAGACAGCTGGAGTCCAGTGGCACCATCTCGGCTCACTGCAACCTCCACCTCCGGGGTTCAAGTGATTCTCCTGCCTCAGCCTCCCGAGTAGCTGGGATTATAGGTGGCTGCCACCACGCCTAGCTAATTTTTGTATTTTTGTGTGTGTGTGAGATGGAGGCTGTCTGTGTTGCCGAGGCTGGAGTGCAATGGTGCGATCTTGGCTCACTGCAAACTCCGCCTCCCGCATTCAAGCGATTCTCCCGCCTCAACCTCCCAAGTAGCTGGGATTACAGGCGTGTGCCACCACGCCCAGGTAATTTTTGTATTTTTAGTAGAGACAGGGTTTTACCATGTTGGCCAGGCTGGTCTTGAACTCCTGGCCTCAAGTGATCCGCCCACCTCGGCCTCCCAAAGTTCTGGGATTACAGGCATGAGCCACCGTGCCGCGGCATTGACTTTTTGTTTTAGAGACAGGGTCTTAGTCTGTTGCCCAGGTTGGAGTGTGGCAGCACAGTCATAGCTTACTGCAGCCTCCAACTCCTGGACTCAAGTGATTCTCTTGCCTCAGCCTCCCATGTAGCTAGGGCTACAAGTGTGTGCCAACATGCCCAGCTAATTTTTGTATTTTTTGTAGAGACGGGGGTCTCACTATGTTGTCCAAGCTGGTCTCAAACTCCTGGCCTCAAGAGACCCTGCTGCTTTGGCCTCTCAAAATGCTGGGATTACTGGTGTGAGCCACCATGCCTGGCCTTGCATTATGATTTATTTAGTGGCACCTCCTAGACTGATGGGCACCCTCACCACTGCTCCCTACCAACCCCCACCCGGAAACATCAAGACCATGGGGAAAGGCTCTAGCAGCAGACTCTTGCCCATAATTGGGCAGAGAGTAGCTGACTGCTTCCACCCACTGGGGGATCTTATTCTTGTTCCAGGTATTTTTGTCTGGAATTACACGCCCAGTCTCCATCCCTCCTGGAAGTGGCATCAGCCTGCTTCCTGGAACAGCACATGAAGGGCCTCAGTGCCAGGCTCCCTGTCCTCTCCTGGGGCAGTGAGGAAAGGAGACAGGAGTTGGACCTAACAGGCCCCACTGTGTCCCTGGGGTTCTGTGTACTCATCTGTATAAACAAAGGGCTGCAGGGATGTTCTCTAGGGACCCTCTTGGCTCCTGGATTCCAGGATTCTGTGCCTGGGAGGACTCCATTCAGCAAACAATCATGATTTATGCTTCATAGGCACTCCTGTCCTCTAAGCACCTAATAATGATTTGTATTGGCCATAATCACAGCAGCTACCATTTTCTTTCTTTCTTTCTTTCTTTCTTTCTTTCTTTCTTTCTTTCTTTCTTTCTTTTTTTTTTTTGAGATGGAGTCTCGCTCTGTCACCCAAGCTGGAGTGCAGTGGCACATTCTCAGCTCACTGCAGCCTCTGCCTCCCAGGTTCAAGCAATTCTCCTGCCTCAGCCTCCCGGGTAGCTGGGACTACAGGTGCACACTGCCATGCCTGGCTAATTTTTGTATTTTTAGTAGAGATGGGGATTTCAACATGTTGGCCAGGATGGTCTCGATCTCCTGACCTCATGATCCTCCCGCCTCAGCCTTCCAAAGTGCTGGGATTACAGGCATGAGCCACCGCACCTGGCCGCAGCTACCATTTTCTAAGCCTTAACTAAGTGCCAGGTGCTGCTGTGCTGAGTGCATTTCATGGATTCTCTCACTGAATTTGCTGGATGGCTCTAAGAGGCAGGTACACTCATCTCCACTTTACAGATGAAGAAACTTGAAACTGAGCTCAGGGAGGCTGGGCAACTTGCCTCTGTTCACACTTTTAGGAAGTAACAGATGCAGGATTTCCACTCCCTCAGCTTCCTCTTCTGCAAAATGGGAGGAAATCTTACCATCACCTCATGCTGCTGGGAGAGTGAGAGTTGATCAGGTGCATCAAGCATTTGGCCATAGCAGGCCTTGATAAACTGTGCCCCTGTACCCTCCTCCTCACGTCCCCACTTCCTGTCCTATTTGTCCCTGATACCAACCAGCCCAGCCTGTCATAGTCGACAACCACAGTGTGATTCCCAGGCTGGGCCCCAGACAGCCTCTCAGTTCAGTGGATGATCCCTGTCTCTGGTGGCCTGTCTTGAGGATGACAGCTAGCGGCAGCCTGGGGACGGCAGTGCGCTCAGATGACTCGTGGGGCTGCTGACCAGCAGACAGGCAGTGACAGGCTGAGCAGCTGGCATCACCCGAGGCTGATCAGACACCCAGGGGAGCCCTGGCCTGCATTCTGCCCTCAAGTCCAGACCCTTCTCTAACATTTGGGGGCCTTGTGGACCAGGGCAGGAGCACCAATGCGGGTCTACCCCTCACATGCCTAAATATCTAAGTTACAAACCAAACTAACAACCTCCTAAATATATGTTCTGTCTTCTAATAGACTTAATGGTCTGGTAGGCCAGGCTGTGAATTTCAATTCCTCTGACTTCTTGGAGTTTTGAGCCAGAAGGTAGTAGCATCTTTCAGCATATGGGAAAGCCAGCCCCAGCTATCAGTCCCATTTCTGGCTGGGGTCTCATACGCAGGTCTGGATCCTAGGACACATGTGTAAGCTATGTCCACACCTGCCCCTCCTTCCAAGCAGCTGGCGCTGTCTATGGGTGGACATACACACACTGGCAGCGCAGGCTGTCCTCTGGAGAAGCCCCGGCACGCCCTGACAGTGGGCTTGGGGCTGACTGGATGGGGGAATCTGGGGTCCTGAGTATCTGGGGTGGAGTCTAGGGTGGGAGCGTAGGCATAGGTTTCCAGTGAGCATGTCCCCCTGATCCTGTGGACTGCCCGCCCTGGGGAAAGGGGCATGGCCAGAGGAGGGCCACAGAAGGCCCCCTAATGCTTCCGGTACCGCCCAGGTCCCCTGTAGCGGGGCTGTGGTGTCTGTTGTGAGCAAACTCGTAAATCATCACTGGAGACACATTCCCAAAGGAAGGTCTCAGGCCACACAGGTGCCTAGACTCCAGGAGTAGCCCAAGGGTTTGGAGAGCTTGGGATCAGGAAATCCAGGTTCAAGTCCTAGCTCTGCCATGTGCTGGCTGTGATTGTGGCCCAGCAAATTCCCCTGTTGGTTCCCACTTGCCCATCTGTAAAACAGGGATGACAGTTTCTGCCTAGCAGAGTTGTATGAAGGAGCAAATGAGTGCAGTAAGGTCTGTGAAATGTTTGTGCCTTGCTTGCACAGGCTATTCAACTCCACCCTGGCCACTGCTGCTAAACCTGCTTCAGAACACTCAGATTTTTTTTTTTTTTTTTTTTTGAGATGGAGTTTTGCTCTTGTTGCCCAGGCTGGAGTGCAATGGCGTGATCTCGGCTCACTGCAACCTCTGCCTCCCGGGTTCAAGCAATTCTCATGCCTCAGCCACCTGAGCAGCTGGGATTACAGGCATGTGCCACCACGCCCAGCTAATTTTTTTTTTTTTTTTTTTTTTAGTACAGACGGGGTTTCTCCATGTTGGTCAGGCTGGTCTCGAACTCCTGACCTCAGGTGATCTGCCCACCTTGGCCTCCCAAAGTGCTGGGATTACAGGCGTGAGCCACCACACCTGGCAACATTCAGATCTTTTACGATCTTCTTTTCCTGTATAATGCTCACCATCTGTGTCCCAACATGATCACTGATAGCATCTGAGTCCACATGGGCAGGGACATTGCCTCCCATACTACCGTATCCCCAGCACCTACCTAGCACAGAATAAGCACCCAGTGGCCGGGCACGGTGGCTCACGCCTATAATCCTGGCACTTTGGGAAGCCGAGGCCAGTGGACTACCTGAGATCAGGAGTTTGAGACCAGCCTGGCCAACATGGCGAAACCCTGTCTCTACTAAAAATATAAAAATTAGCCAGGTGTGGTGGCATGCACCTATAATCCCAGCTGCTTGGGAGGCTGAGGCAGGAGAATCACTTGAACCTGGGAGGTGGAGGTTGCGGTGAGCCAAGATAGTGCCACTGCACTCCAGCCTGGCGACAGAGTAAGACTCCATCTCCAAAAAAAAAAAAAAAAAAAAAGCATCCAGTGAATATTTGACTGGCTGGATAAACTATGAAACTTTGTGATTTGTGATTATTCACCTGGGCCTTCCATCTGCTCTTGGGGTTCATTCAAGCATCACACATTCACTGAGTTCCTTCTGAGGGCCACACTCCATGTCCACACTCAGTGGACACTTCCAGGCCTCAAGGAGCTCCCAGTCCAGGGAGAGGGATTTGATGTGGAAATAGAGCAGAATTACAACAGCATAGTACCTGCTGTGATGGAGGCAGGGGACAAGTTGTCAGGGCCCAGAGGAAGAAGTCAGTGTGGTGAGCATGCGGGAGTACAGAGATGCTCCGAGGATGAAATGATGGATTAGCAGGCCTAGGAGATAAAGAAGGAAAGAGCTTCCAGAGAGGCAGGCACAGCAAATGGCAAAGGCTCTGAGGTGTGAAACAACCCAGGGTGTTTAGGTCCATGCAACCTGAGTTTAGGGACACGGAAGTGGTAAGTTTCGGTTAGCAGGCAAGCCTGGGCAGGCTTTCAGTGTCTCTCTGGTCTAGACGAATAATTCTCATTGTGTGGTCCCTGGACTAGCAGCATCAGCATCACTTTGGAACTTGTTAGAGATGCACATTCTTGGCCCCCATCCCAGACCTCCTAAATCAGAAACTCTGGGGGTGAAGCCTGGAAATCCATATATATATATTTTTTGAGACGGAGTCTTGCTCTGTCGCCAGGCTGGAGTGCAGTGGTGCGGTCTCGGCTCACTGCAACATCCGCCTCCCGGGTTCAAGCGATTCTCCTGCCTCAGCCTCCCGAGTAGCTGGGACTACAGGCACGCGCCACCAAGCCCAGCTAATTTTTGTATTTTTAGTAGAGCCGGGGTTTCACCATGTTGGCCAAGATGGTCTCGATCTCTTGACCTCATGATCTGCCCACCTCGGCCTCCCAAAGTGCTGGGATTACAGGCATGAGCCACTGCACCTGACCTGGAAATCCATATTTCAACAAACCTCCAAGTGCTTTTGATGCATGCTAAAGTTTGAGAAACACAGCTTTAGACTTTATCCTGAAGGCAATGAGGGGCCAGGGGTAGGGTTTAAACAGAGGCGAGGCAGTATCAGAACTGCATTTTATTTTATTTTATTTTTTTGAGACAGAGTCTCACTCTGTCACCCAGGCTGGAGTGCAGTGGTGCGATCTTGGCTCACTGCAACCTCCACTTCCCGGGTTCAAGCAATCCTCCTGCCTCAGCCTCCTGAGGAGCTGGAATTACAGGCGCCCACCACCACACCTGGCTAATTTTTGTATTTTTAGTAGAGACAGGGTTTCGCCATATTGGCCAGGCTAGTGTTGAACTCCTGACCTCAGGGAATCCACCCGCCTCGGCCTCTCAGTGTTGGGATTACAGGCGTGAGCCACTGTGCCCAGCAGAACTGCATTTTATTAAGATTGCTTGCGCAGGCTGGGTCCAGGGCAGTCTGGTGAGGGGCTGGTAAAAACCCACATCTGAAAGCTGGCCTGACATGGAGACTCCCTCCAGCTGGACAGAGCTGCTGTGGCTGCAGAACATGTGTGTATCTTCACACGTGAAAGGGAAGTGGCTACTGGGAAGTCAGGGACCCCTGCTGGGCAAAGGGCCTGTTGCCAGGGTGACCACCTGTCACTCAGATAAAGGGGGCACAGTCCTACAGAGGGTCAAGAGGCCAGAGACTGTCATCTGCCAGGCCTTCACTTTCCTTTGCCAAGGCAGGGTATGGACCCATCTGGGGGTGGTGACCCGTCACCAGTGGTGGGGCTCTCCCATTCTTTCTTCAGCTGGTGCAGGGTGAGAGGAAGAGGAACAGGAGGACTCAATGCATCCTCTTCAACCAGGAGACGGATGCAGAGGAGCACATTAAACAGCTTTTCAAGGCTCCCCAACAAGGAAGCTCAGAACAACTGAGGCCCAAACTGAAGCTCAGGAGAGGGGAAAGGAAGAGAGAGCAAACTGCACCCTCAAACCTGGTGAAGTGCAAAGTTCAAGGAGTTTGGAGTCCAAAAGGCCTGGGTTAGAGTCCTGAACAAATACTGTGTGATGTTGGGCAGGCTCTGTCACTCCCTGAGCTTCAGTTTCCTCATCTGTACATGGGAGATAGTATCCATATAATAGTGTCTACCTCTTAGGGTTACTGCAGGACCAACTGAGGAAATGCATCTGAAGTGAGATGCACAGTGCCTGGCACCTCCCTGCGTCTTGTCCTCTTTTCTTCAGGGAGGGAGGAACACCTGCTCTCAGGCGGCTACTCCTTGATGCTGGGACACTTGCTGGGGAAAAGCAGCGGCTCTGGGATCAGAAATGCTCCATAAACGGCCAGGCGCGGCGGCTCACGCCTGTAATCCCAGCACTTTGGGAGGCTGAGGTGGGTGGATCACCCGAGGTCAGGAGTTTGAGACCAGCCTGGCCAACATGGCAAAACCCTGTCTCTACTAAAATACAAAAATTAGCTGGGCATGGTGGCAGGTGCTTGTAATCCCAAATGCTCGGGAGGCTGAGGCAGGAGAATTGCTTGAACCTGGGAGGCGGAGGTTGCCATGAACTGAGATTGCTCCACTGCACTCCAGCCTGGGAGACAGAGCAAGACTCCATCTCAAAAAAAAAAAAAAAAAAGAAAGAAAGAAATACTCCATAAACATTGACTGCTGGTACTGTTTGTTTTGTTTTGTTTTGTTTTTGAGACGGAGTCTCGCTCTGTCGCCCAGGCTGGATGGAGTGCAGTGGCGCGATCTCCGCTTACTGCAAGCTCCACCTCCTGGGTTCACGCCATTCTCCTGCCTCAGCCTTCCAAGTAGCTGGGACTACAGGCCCCTGCCACCACACCCAGCTAATGTTTTGTATTTTTAGTAGAGACGGGGTTTCACCGTGTTAGCCAGGATGGTCCCGATCTCCTGACCTCGTGATTCGCCTGCCTCGGCCTCCCAAAGTGCTGGGATTACAGGCGTGAGCCACCACGCCCAGCCGACTGCTGGTACTGTTATTATTACCATTAATCACCTGGCAATGAATGGAACCCTGCCTGGTAAATTGCTTCCTCCAGGTAATCTGCATTTCCTATTGTCCTTGTAGTCTTCATTCACTACAATCTGCTGAACGAATGTTTTCTAGAAAGCAGGAGCTATGTTATACTTTTTAGTTTTCCTGCAATGCCTGTTCCAGTCCCTGGCAGGGAGCACCCAAGAAGCTCAGCAAGGAAGGGACTTGGAGATCATCTACTCTAACTCAGTATGCAAGACAGACAGCTCTCCTCCCTAGCCTTATCAATTGCTTGAATGCCTCCAGGGATGAGGCATCTCCCTGTAAAGCGGTTTCCAGTGTCCAGGACTCTGGGGAGGCTGAGCTCCATGGGGTGAGTAGGAGCTGAATGGGCAGCTGCAGAGGTTGGGGACATCCCCCCATGCCCCAGCAGCCCCCTTCCCTCCCTCTGAGAGCCGATGATAGGAGTGGTTCTAATTATGCTCTAATTGCTTTCTTCCAGGCAGTTTCTCTGGAGCCAAGGAGTTCAGAGTTCATGAATAAATGAACAGGGAGGAAGCGGGAAGGGATGTTTATTGATCCACAAATCTCTACGTGCCAGTGTCCGCCCCACAAATGCTGGGGCATGCAGCAGTGTGCAGTTTCGAATACAGATGCTCCTTGATTTACGACGGGGCCACATCCCAATCAAGCCATCCTAAATCGAAAATGCATTCCACACCCCAATAAACCCATCGTAAGTCAAAAAACCATGTTGAACCACTGTGAGCTGTAAGCTGGGGACCAGCTAGCTGTACATACAAACACAGAAACATACCACAGCCCCCAAATGTCCCTCTCCAACAGACTGGTGGGGAATAAAAGGAAGTTAACAAGAAGTTTCCTAATAGATGAAGCAACTTGAGGATCATGAAGCGTAAGTGCCCTGCCCGGGGCCTCAGAGCCAGTGAGTGGCAGAGAAGGCACCTGGATCCAGAGCCCTTGCTCTTCCCCACCCGGTGTCCCACCAGCACGGAGGTGACAGTCAACCAAATGTGGGTTCCTCCCGCCTCTTCCCTAGTGCCTCCTCTCTTGGAGGGTGGCCAGCTTTTCTTGGAGGATGAGGCATTTGGATGGAGGGGCAACCTGAGGGGGGCAGTGCCCACCTAACAAGGGTAGAGTTGAGAGTGGGACCCAAAGCCAGCGGACACTGCACATGGAGATTTGTGGATCAAATACCCTTGACTTAGACTGTGGTCTTGGGCAAGCCACAGCCCATTTCTTTTTCTTTTCTTTTCTTTTTTTTTTTTTGAGACGGACTCTCACTTCATTGCCAGGCTGGAGTGCAGTGGCACAATCTCGGCTCACTGCAAGCTCCACCTCTTGGGTTCAAGCAATTCTCCTGCCTCAGCCTCCCAAGTAGCTGGGACTACAGGCACCCGCCACCACACCTGGCTAATTTCTGTATTTTTAGTAGAGATGGGGTTTCACCATGTTGGGCAGGATGGTCTTGATCTCCTGATCTCATGATCTGCCCGCCTCAGCCTCCCAAAGTGCTGGGATCACAGGCATAAGCCACCATGCCCGGCCTTTTTTTTTTTTTTTTTTTTTTTTTTAAAGACAGAGTCTTACTCTGTTGCCCAGGCTGGAGTGCAGTGCCACAATCTCGGCTCACTGCAACCTCTGCCTCCTGGGTTAAGCAATTCTCATGCCTCACCCAGCTGAATGGACTACAGGCACCCACCGACATGCCTGGCTAATTTTTGTATTTTTAGTAGAGACAGGGTTTGCACTCTTGGCCAGGCTGGTCTTGAACTCCTGGCCTCAAGTGATCCACCCACCATGGCCTCCCAAAATGTTGAGATTACAGGTATGAGCCACCACGCCTCACAGTCCATTTCTGGACTTCAGTTTTCCCAGCTACATTGTGTGAGGGTGGAGGTGATGTGTGAGAGCCCCCCTCTCAGAAAACTAGAATTTAAGATGTCCGGGGGGACTCATGCAGCCAGATAGAGTCTTGGGCTATGCCCCTCTCAGGTGGGCACTGTCTCCCTCAGATTACCCCTCCATTCAAATGCCTCATTCCTCCAGGAGAAGCTGGCTGGAGGCTGTAGGGAAGAGGTGGGAGAAACTCACATTTCGGTGACTGCCACCTCCATGCTGGTGGGACACTGGGTGGGGAGGAGCAAGGGCTCTGGACTCAGGTGCCTGCTCTGCCACTTACCTCACTCAACTTATGCTTCTTGAGCCTTAAGTTGCTTCATCTGTTAAATGGGAATGACAGATTATGTTATGAAGCTTCACCCAGGGAATATAAAAGGTTTAGCTGACTGCCTGGCACATAGTGCTTGATAAGTGGTAGTTGTTATTGCTAACATTGCCAACAACCCTGCAAGGAACAGGCTGTCGCCTTCATTACAGATGAAGAAACCAAGGTATAGAGACGTCAAGCAACTTGCCCAGCATCCCGCGTTAAGCGCCAGGATTTGAACCCACTATGTGATCCATCTGTGTCCCCAGGGGCTGGCACATAGTAGGTATCCATAAATAATGTGCTGAATTACAGAGAAATGCAGCAAAAAAAAAAAAATCCTGTAAAAACAAGCCCCACTTCTAGTGACCAAGGTGGGGGTGAGCTGATAGAGGAAGAGCTAGACCAAAATTTCCTTCAAGATCAAAGTGAAGTGCTGGGTCTAAGGGACCCTGGGACTCCTTGACTCCTCGGTGGCTGGGGCCAGGCCAGATGGGGATATCGGGGCTCCATGGTATGTGCTTGTTGAAGAAAATCTTTTTTTTTTTTTTTTTTGAGACGGAGTCTCACTGTCACCCAGGTTGTTGGAGTGCAGTGGCACAATCCCGGTTTACTGCAACCTCCGCCTCCCGGGTTCAAGCAATTCTCCTGCCTCGGCCTCTGGAGTAGCTGGGATTACAGGCGTGCACCACCACACCCAGCTAATTTTGTATATTTAGTAGAGACGGGGTTTCACCATGTTAGCCAGGCTGTTCTCGAACTCCCAACCTCAGGTAATCTGCCCGCCTCCGTCTCCCAAAGTGCTGGGATTACAGGCGTGAGCCACCGCACCCGGCCAGAAAATCATTTTTTCTGGAGATACAGTCTTGCTCTGTTGCCCGGGCTGGAGTGCAGTGTTGCAATCTCGTCTCACTGCAACCTCTGCCTCTCGGGTTCAAGGTGATTCTGGTGCCTCAGACTCCTGAATAGCTGGGATTACAGGTGCACGCCACCACACCCAGCTAATTTTTGTATTTTTAGTAGAGACGGGATTTCACCATGTTGGCCAGGCTGTTCTCAAACTCCTGGCCTCAAGTGATCTGCCTGCCCTGGCCTCCCAAAGTGCTAGGATTACAGGTGTGAACCACTGTGCCCAGCCAAAGGAAATCTTTTTACCCCTTTATGAGTTCCACTAAGAAGCCAAAGGTAGGAACCCTGGCTGTTGGCACCAGCCAGACTGTGCTCTGCCGCTGCCTCGTTGCGTGACTTTGGCCAAGTGACTTCAGTTCTCTGAGCCTCAGAGTCCTCATCTAGGAAACGGAAATGGGTGTGACAAAGTTCCACCTCTAGGGCTGTTGTGAGGATGACCTCAGGTGGCACATGTGAAGCTATGTGGCATTGGGGTTAAGGGCAAGACCTGGGTTTGCGCAGCTCTGCCACTGCTGGATGTGACTGCTCTCAGCCTCAGATTCTGCTTCGGTGAAATAGAGGTAGTAGCTGTGCCCACCCCACAGGGTGCCATGAGGATGAATGAGCCACTCCAGGTAAAGCAGTTACAGCAGAATGAGGTGGGTCATAAGTGCTCAGTAAATCTTCTCTATTAGACTATGCCATGTGCAGAGACCCTGCAGTCCATTTTATATACGGGGAAGCACAGCCCCCAAGAGGGCCAAGGACTTGCCCAACCAAGGTCACAGAGCCAGTTCACAGCAGAGCCAGGCCTATCTTTGAACCTGGTGTAGGCAGGACCCCCTGTCCAGACCTTTGATTCCATGATAGCGTGAGATGTATGAATGGATAACCACAAGACCTTTCATGGCCCCGGGCCATCCTGCTCATGGCTTGAGGACTCTAGGGGTGAGAGGTGGCTGATGCTCCTCTCCCCTGTCCTCCCTGGTGGCTCCAACGCTGGCCTGAACCAGTGGGGTGTGTCAGAGTCCAGGGAGGGTTGCCCCACCTTCCTGTCCCCCTGGCCAGCCCCTCCACTCCAGTGCTGGCTGTTAGAAGCCTCAGAAACAATCCAAAGGCCCAAGACCAGAACACCATTTGTCAGCTTTGCATGGTGGTGGCGGGCTTGTCTCCATGGCAACAGTGCAGTGTGAAGGCATCCTGGCATCATTAGGGAGCGCGCTGAGTAGTATAAACAGAGGCTGCAGTAGATTACACGCCTATTATGAGCAGTCTCGGGCTCTGAGCACTGGTAATTATGCCTAATTGTGCATTTAATTGTGTAATTGAAAACCCACATCTCTGGTTCAGGCTGGGGCTGTGGAACATGCCCACCTCCTCCCAAAAAACAGGCTTAGGAACCAATCCTTATCCTGAAAATCTCAGAATTTTTGTCCTTCTAGGGCAAGGGGTGGCCAGAGCAGGCAAAGGGATAAAATGCCTAGAGATTTCCATTTCCCCTACTGCCTGTACCATGAGCTCACCAGGCCCTGTGATTTGAGGTATGGGGTGGGAAGAAGTATGCTAAGGAGAGGGGACATGGTGAGCTCACAGAAATGTTCATAATTATAGATATCATTGTGTGCTGTTAGCACTGTCCTCTCAGGACCTAGAACCAGCATTGAGTGGTTCCAAGGGATCTGGGTCATCACTAGATCCACTACATGTCCAAGCAGTCATCCGACCTACACATAAATTCTTTCTTGCTTTTTTTCATTGTTTGAGGCTGGAGTACAGCGGCATGATCTCGGCTCACTGCACACTTGACCTCCTGGGCTCAAGTGATCATCCTACCACAGCCACCTCAGTAGCTAGGACCACAGGCTGGCACCACCATGGCCAGCTAATTAAAAAAAATTTTTTTTAGAGATGGGATCTTACTGTGTTGCCCAGGCTGGTCTTGAACTCCGGGCCTCAAGTCATCCTTCGGCCTCAGCCTCCCAAAGTGCTGGGATTATAGGTATGAGCCACCAGGCCTGGCCACACATAAATCCCACTGCCTAGGACAGGAAACTCACCACCTGGTTATCAGCCCCCACCCCTGCAGAGCCTCTGGAGGGTCTGAAAGCTGCTAACAGAGTTCAGTACTCTCCTCTCATTTCCCACTTCATAGGCTGTGATAAATGAGGCCCAGAGAAGGCCAGGCCCAACTCAAAGTTGCACAGCAGTGAGTACTAGAACCCAGGCATTCTGTCTTGCAGCTGAGGGCATGTTTCATACACTAAGGTGACTCAGCACCTAGAATCATGCATGGCAGTTTGTGTGTGCTTGATAAATATTTGCTGGATTCAACTCCAGGTAGAGTTAGCTAGAGGCAATTCTCACTCTCTGACCCAAGAGTATTAGTCTTTCTGTAGTTCAGGAAGCTCACCTATGGTGAGCTGGAGGTGAGTGATGGGCCACAAGCCTCCCAGCTCTGAATCTCTGTAGTTTGAGACTTCATCTTACAATCAAAATATGCTACATGGGCATCTGGGGTGGGAGCAGTGCAGCCTATGTTGCCCAGGCTGTAGTGCAGTGGTACAATCATGGCTCACTGCAGCCTCAACTTCTGGGGCAAAAGCAATCCTCCCCTCCGCTTCAGTAGCTGGGACGACAGGTGCATGCTACCATGCCCAGCTAATCTTTTACATTTTTTTTTCTTTTTTTGAGACGGAGTTTCGCTCTTGTTACCCAGGCTGGAGTGCAATGGCGTGATCTCAGCTCACCAGACAGACAGACAGACAGACAGGAGAAAGATGAGGTCACCAGAGTCCCTGACAACCTGACACCCAGGTGTAAAGTCTTGAGCAAGCCATCAGAGGCAGAAGTCTCCTCCTGACCCCAGGCCCTGACACTCCATCAGTCACCACTGCCTGCAACAAGGTGGGCCAGGCAGCACCTCTTACCTCCACCTGGGAAGAGAAGGAGCTCATTACTGACTCAGAGCTGGAAGGGTCCTTTGAGATGATGAGTCCAACCTTTTCCCCATACAGAGCAAGAGAGAGGCCCAAAGAGGCCACGCCTTCATCTTGGAACCCCTCTTAGTGAGTGGCAGCCTGTGCCCACGGCTCTCCCTGCATTATCTCAGGTTGCCCTCATTATAGTCCTATGAGGTGGGTGCTATTATTATTCCCATTTTACAGAAGAGAAGACCACGGTCCAGCAATGCCAAGACCACACAGATGAAGAAGAACTGCTGCTCCAGCTTGAGCCTTCCATTCATTGAGAAAGGGGAGTCATCTCATTTCCTACCCCACAGTACTCGGATTGCAGAACCTGCAGCCTCATATCCTGGGCATTCAAGAGTGTACCCCCTTTGTGAGCTCCCACTCCACACGTTTTATTTCAAAGGAGCCTCCCAACAACTCTCTGAAGTAGATGATCATTATCCTGATTTAGAGAAGTGCAAGTGGAAGCTCAGAGAGGTTAGGTGTCTTCTTGCTCAAGGTCATCCAGCTACAAAGAGGCAAAGCTGGAACTCAAATCCCAGCCTGACCCCAAAGCCCGGGTTCTTCCCAGTTCCCAGTCCACCTCCTTGTCTCTGGATTTGTCAGCTGCTTTGAGAGGGGCCAGGAGGCCAATGTAAATCAGGAAAACCTGCAACCACACTTAACGGCTCTTCTAAAACCTTACTGCTCATTCAGTGCCTCTAGGGGAAGTTTGCTTTGCTCTCTGAAGCTCTCCCTCATCTGTGAATCAATCGACATCCCTCTCCAGGCCAGGGCAGGGAAAGCCAGGCAAAGCACTGGGACTTGGCTTCCTGGGCCTAAACCCAGCTCTCCCCCCATGGCCTGGATCTAGTGTTCAATTTAAAAAATGTTTTTAATTTTTAATTTTTGTGGGTTACATAGTAGGTATATATATTTAGGGGGCACATGAGATATTTTGATATAGGCATCCACTGTGCAATCGTCACATCAGGGTAAATCAAGCATTTATCCTTTCTTTGTGTTACAAATAATCCAATCATACTCTTTGGGTTATTTTTTTTTTTTTTTTTTTTTGAGACGGAGTTTTGCTCTTGTTGCCCAGGCCGGAGTGTAGTGGCACGATCTTGGCTCACTGCAACCTCCGCCTCCCAGGTTCAAGTGATTCTCCTGTCTTAGCCTCCTGAGTAGCTGGGATTACAGGTGCCCGCCACCATGCCCAGCTAATTTTTTGTATTTTTAGTACAAATGGGGTTTCACCACGTTGGCCAGGCTGGTCTCAAACTCCTGACCTCAAGTGATCCACCCGCCTCGGCCTCCCAGAGTGCTGGGATTACAGGTGTAAGCCACTGCACCATCCAGTTATTTTTAAATGTACAGTAAATTTCGTTGACTGTAGTCACACTGTTGTGCTATCAAAGACAAGATTTATTCATCCTATCTAACCATGTTTTTATACAACCTCCCCACTCCCCGACTACCTTTCCCAGCCTCTGGTAATCCTTATTCTACTTTTTTTTTTTTTTTTTTTAATAGATGCAGGGTCTTGCCATGTTACCCAGGCTGGTCTCCAACTCCTGAGCTCAAGCAGTCCACCCACCTTGGCCTCCCAAAGTGCTGGGATTACAGGCGTGACCCACAGTGCCCAACCTCCTCATTCTACGCACTATCTCCATGAGTTCAATTGTTTTTGTTGTTGTTTGTTGTTGTTGTTGTTGTTGTTTTTGAGACGGAGTCTCGCTCTGTCACCCAGGCTGGAGTGCAGTGGCGCCATCTCAGCTCACTGCAAGCTCCGCCTCCTGGGTTCATGCCACTGTCCTGCCTCAGCCTCCCGAGTAGCTGGAACTACAGGCGCCCGCCACCACGCCCGGCTAATTTTTTGTATTTTTAGTAGAGACAGGGTTTCACAGTGTTAGCCAGGATGGTCTCGATCTCCTGACCTTGTGATCCGCCCGCCTTGGCCTCCCAAAGTGCCGGGATTACAAGCGTGAGCCACTGCACCTGGCGAGTTCAATTGTTTTAATTTTTAGCTCACACAAATAAGTAAGAACATCTGAAGTTTGTCTCTCTGTGCCTGGCTGGAACTAGCTTTTTTTTTTTTTTTAATTTTTTTTGAGACAGGATCTCACTGTGTTGCCCAGGCTGTAGGGCAGTGGTGCAATCATGGCTCACTGCAGCCTCAAGCTCCTGGGCAAAAGCAATCCTCCCCTCTGCCTCAGTAGCTGGGACTACAGGTGCATGCTACCATGCCCAGCTAAGTTTTTACCTTTTTGTTTTTCTTTTTTTGAGACGGAGTTTCGCTCTTGTTACCCAGGCTGGAGTGCAATGGCGTGATCTTGGCTTACCACAACATCTGCCTCCCAGGTTCAAGCAATTCTCCTGCCTCAGCCTCCCGAGTAGCTGGGATTACAGGCATGAGCTACCATGCCTGGCTAATTTTGTATTTTTAGTAGAGACAGGGTTTCACCATGTTGGTCAGGCTGGTCTCGAACTCCTGACCTCAGGTGATCCACCTGTCTCAGCCTCCCAGAGTGTTGGGATTACAGGCATGAGCCACCGTGTCTGGCCTACTTCATATATATATATATATATATATATATATAGAGAGAGAGAGAGAGAGAGAGAGAGAGAGAGAGAGAGAGAGAGAGAGTGGGGGAGGTCTCACTATGTTCCCCAGGCTGGTCTCAAACTCCTGGGCTCAAGCGATCCTTCCACCTTGCCTTCCCAAAATGCTGGGATTACAGGTGTGAGCCACCGCACCTGGCCTGGAACTAGTTTTTAAAAATACACCTGTAGCCTTAGTCTGCCTTCCTGTCACCCATCTCTCCTTAATACTAGAGAAGAGTAGTTTGGGAGTCTCCTACCACATAGAATAAAAAAATACAAAATAAAAAATAAAAGGACTGACTAGAGGAGACAACATGTTCCAGTGATCAGAGCTGACTATCTCTGCTTGGTCCAGATTTTATAACAATTGTTCTCAAACCCTTTCCCCTTGATGACTACTCTGAGGCTCAGACTATTATCTCCTGTTTCCTTGGAGAGATGTCATTTTACCCTTCTGAGCCTCAGTATGTCCATCAGTTAATGGGTATAAAAACCACACCTATCTCATAGAGTTGTTATGAGGATGGATCACTTGTAGATACAGGTTACTTTATTCCCTGGTTTTCTCAATCTGTATCACAGCTCCTTGGCACACTGCAACCTCCGCCTCCCAGGTTCAAATGATTCTCTTGCCTCAGCCTCCCGAGTAGCTGAAATTACAGGTGCCCACCACCACGCTCGGCTAATTTTTTGTATTTTTAGTAGAGATGCGGTTTCACCACATTGGCCAGGCTGGTTTCGAACTCCTGATCTCAAGTGATCTGCATGCCTCGGCCTCCCAAAGTGCTGGGATTACAGGTGTGAGCTACCGCACCCAGCCGTGCATCACAGCTCTTTTAAGTCCAGCACAGAGCTTGGGGGTGGGTAGAATGGGGAGAGGGGGCATCTGTGTAAGCAGTTAGATCTGGCATCTGGTAACAAGCCCTGTGGCTGAGGAAAGGTTTGGATTTCTCCACCTGCTTCCACTCCAGCGTCCCACAATACTAGCAGGGGGCAATGGGGCATGCAGGGAGAAGCTGTGGAGTCCCAGATCTGAGTTTGAATACTCATTCTGCACCTATCATTTATGTGGCCATGGATAAGCCACACAGTAGCAAGAGACATATATAAAATGCCTAGTACAATGCCTGGCTCATAGCAGACACCAAACAAAAAGAAATTCTCATTATGTTAATTTCCCACTCAGCCCCATATTTTCCACATAAAGAAGAGCTGGAGTGTTTGTGGGAATGACCCTGATCACGAAATCCTCTAATACAGGCAGAGATGGGGCTGACGTGACTTGTCCAAGTCTCAAGGCAAATCATAGCTAGCCCTGGAGAGCACTTTCCTAGGCCAGGGACCGTACTTGGCTATCCCGGCATCAACTTGCGAATTCCCCAAACTGCCATGGGCTCGTTCGTGGGGTAGAAGCTGTTTTTCTGACTACTTTGTAAGTAAGAAGGCAGAGGCTCAGAGAGGGTGCAGGACTTCCTGGGAGTCACAAAGCAAGGCCTGATCCCAGATGTAGTGCTCCTAGCCCCTGTGCCAGATCTCAGCGAAGCTGCCATTTATGGGCTGCTTATTTAAAAACCATCCACTCACCTACCCTTATAAAGGAGGAGAACCAGGGCCATCCCCAGGTCCCCTGGAGGCCTTCTTCTCCATTCTACCCTGCTCCGCCCATCTCATAAGGGCCTCGAGGGCAGTTTGGCTTCAGTCTGTTCATTCACAAAAGGGAGTTGATCATCCCTGCCAACTCTGTCCAAAGGGGTATGAGGAACAAAAGGGGCCAGTGGCCTGCATAATTTCACGCTCCTGACTCTGATACCCGGCCCAAGGACCTCAAGCACCCGAAGCAGAACCAGACCCTCCCGAGGAAGCCGTGAGCTTGCAGCTGCAGCTGCTCCAGAGTGCAGGCCCCTGCTGGAGCCCATCTCCCTTTGGTCTTCGCCGTCACTATTGCTAATAACGACATCAATCAGGTTGACCATGTTTCACACCATTACTCGCAGCTCAGCTGGAAGCTACATCCCGCCCCCCGCCCCCACCTTCCAGAAAGCAAAGAGCTTTCTAGAAGGGAAAAGAATGAAACCAACATTTTTCTGAATACCTACTATGTGTCTGGCACCTGGCCAAGGAAGCCCTTTCTACAACTCTGTGGGCTAGAGATGACTCTTCCTCTTTTACAAAGGAAGAAACTGTGGCCAGAGGAGTGAATGCGTGTGTCCAAGGTCACACAGAGCTGGGACAGAAACAACCATGGCAGTGATCTATTATTGGGCACTCACTGGCTCACAGTGCAGGCACTACACATGAGGCTATCGAAATATGATCATCTTCATTTTCAGATGAGGAAACGCAGGCTTGGACCTGTCTGGGGTCAAGCACTGGTTAAACGCGAGCAGTAGAGTAGCACGGGGCTGAGAGGGTGGCTCTCTGTTCAGACAGAAGAGTCCTCGCATCTTGGTTCTGTCACTGACTAGCTTAGCGAGCTTGGGCAAACGTCACACCCCTTCGCACCTCAATTTCCTCACCTGAAAAAGGGGATAATAAACACATCTACCCCACTGTGTGGAATTGCAATAAGAAGGATGAAAGCAGTAAAAGAGCTAACGTTTATTGATCATTTAACATGCACCAGGCACTTTGCCAAGCACTTTACATATGTATGCTCATTTGGTTAAATGAGGTAATGCATATAAAGTGCTTAGCACAGGACTCCTGAAATGGGAATGATAATGATGATGATGAAGAAATTGATGGGGATTCCCTAGGGCAAATCTCACTGGTTCATCCCCTTCCAGGAAGAACAGAGTGGCCTGTAAGGTTTCAGGAAGGAGGTGAACAAGGAAGAGCTGGGTTTGGAAAGGAGAGAGAAAAGGCACGGGATTAAAAATTAGAGGGTGAATATGTTAATAATGTTGTCAAAATGATACACCAAAAAGAATTCTGGAAAGCAAGGGACCCAAGATGTTCTACAGAAAGGAACCGGATCAAGATGCAACAAAACTGCCATGCCAAAGCCAGGTGTGGTGACATGCACCTGTTGTCCCAGCTATTTGAGAGGCCGAGGTAGGAGGATCACTTGAGCTCAGGGATTTGAGGCTGCAGCTATTTGAGAGGCTGAGGTGGGAAGGTCACTTGAGCTCAGGAATTTGAGGCTGCAGTGGGTTATGATTGCCACTGCACTCCAGCCTGGGCAACACAGTGAGACGCCTATCTCTAAAAAATAAACAATAAATAAACAAAACATGCCAGTCCAGGCACCACCCTGAGTTCCTGACAAGTACAGCTGGCAGGATCCCAGCGAGCCAGACCAATAATGCCTCCCATTTTACAGATGGAAAAACCAAAGCCTAGAGTGTGGAAGAGACTTGCCCCAAATTGCAGGATGTCAGAAGCAGAGCCAGGCTTAAATCCAGGTCTTTTGCCTCTCAGCTCAGTGCCCAACTACCTGCTACTTCCCACAAAGGACAGTCCACAAAGGACAGTGCAGGGGGTCACCTGGATATGTTTGGGCTACAGTGCCACAGACACATCCCATGATATGAATCATTAAGATAATAACAATAAGCTACAGTTTAATGAGTACTCACTCTGTACCTGCCAGAGTGCTAAATTCATTATATGGACTGAGTCCTCACAACAACCCTAAGGATTAGGAACTGTTTTATATTCTCTCTATTTAACAGATGACAAAACTATGTGGCTCAGAGACGGTAAGCAACTTGCCCAAAATTGCATAGCCAGGAAGTGACAGAACCAGGTCTAAAAGCCAGGTCTGTCCTGTCAAACTTCAGAGCCTTAACTACTATCCTACACTTATCCATCTGAAAGGCACAGTCCCTACCTGCTTCCCTTAAACCCCATGGCACCCTCACACCTCACTCCCTCACCCAAATCACATCTATCCCAACTGAGGAAGAATGTTTCGAATTGGCCTGATTCATTGTAACGATTAAACTCCATTTGAGAAAGAAAAATGACACAGTTCCTCCTAAGTTTTCAGCTGAAAGATATTTAACAGCCTCTTTTTTCCCTTCAGTCCCTTGGATGAGAAAACCAAGACTCCCTTCTCCCCTCAGGCTGGTGAATTCCAACATCCCGGGGCACATTATGGAAGCTATCAGGCAGTAGGGGCTCATGGAGGTTAGTGACAACTGGAGGGCCCACTCTGCAATGAGCCCAGATAGTGCAACAGAGCCAAGAGAGCAATTTTCAAGTTCCTCCCGCAAATGATCTTGTGCAACCTTCACAAGCTGCCCAAAGCCACCCAGCCGGGATGTGGGAGAAACCAGAATGCCACCCAGGTCTCATCTAACTCAAGCCTCTAGTGCTGGTGAGCTCCTCTAAGTGGAAGAGTGGGGTTAGCTTAGCAAGGGAGAACTATGGAGGAAGGGAAGTGGGAGGCAGAGAGACACTCTACCACCTTCATTTCTCTCTAGAGCCATGAGCTCCTTCCATGGGGCCCCAGACTTACCAGGGCCAGAACTACTTATTTTATAATTAAGAAGGCAACAGAGGACCTGGCCAACTGCCTGGATTCAAAGCCTGGATCCTGGCTGGATGTGGTGGCTCATGCCTATAATCCCAGCACTTGGGAGGCTGAAGTGGGAGGATGGCTTGACCACAGGAGTTTGAGACCAGCCTGGGCAACAAGAGTGAGACCCACCTCTAAAACACAAAAAAATTAGCTAGGCATGGTGGTGTGCCCCCGTAGTCCCAGGTACTCAGGAGGCTGAGGTGGGAGGATTGTTTGAGCCTGGGAGGTCAAGGCTGTAGTGAGCTATGATTGCACCACTGCACTCTGTCCTGGATGACAGAGTGAGCCCATGTCTCAAACAAAAACAAAAACAAAACCCCCAAAACAAAGCCTGGGTCCTAGTTCCTGTAGAATTCTGGACAAGTTACTTCATAGGGCTGTTAGGATTAAATGAGTTAATACCTGGAAAAGTGCTTCCAAGAGTACCTGACACTTAGTCAAGGGCTCTCCAAAGCTAACCGTTATTATCGCCAACAGAGAATGAGCATGGGACAAACTGCTAACAGGTTCACCTTTGGGGAGGGGTCTAGTTATAGAGAGAAGAAAACTTTTTTTTTTTTTTTGAGACACAGTTTCACTCTGTCGTCCAGGCTGGAGTGCAGCGGCGTGATCTCATCTCACTGTAACCTCCGCCTCCTGGGTTCAAGTGATTCTCATGTCTCAGCCTCTCGAGTAGCTGGGATTACAGATGCGTGCCACCACCCCTAATTTTTGTATTTTCAGCAGTGATGGGGTTTCTTCATGTTGGCCAGGCTGGTCTCGAACCCCTGACCTCAGGTGATCTGCCCATCTCGCCCTCCCAAAGTGCTGGGGTTACAGGCATAAGCCACGATGCCTGGCCTAGAAAACTTACTTTTTATTTATCTGTCCTGTTTGATTATGTATGTATTTATTTTTTACAATATATGTATATTACTTTTCTAATTAAAAAAAACCCCTAGTTTAAAATTAAAAAATTAACAAACACAGAAGAATCCTCTGAAAGGTTTAAACATTTCTTGGCATTTCATGTTCCTCAAAGTAGATAAAGAAAAACAGACAATCTCTGCCCTTCTGGAGTTCCCATTCCACCTGATCTTAATTAATTCCCTCTGCAATCCTCAGGGATAATCATTTTACAGATAAGAAGACTGAGGCCGGCCAGTGGGGGGAAGTCACTTGTCCAGTCTCCCACAGCTGGGAGCAGGGCTACAATCTCCAGAGCTAGGGCTGTTTCCACCACTGCCCAGGCCAGGTCTGTGGATGGCATGTTTGAAGCTGGTGTCCCCAGGAGGAGAGAAGCAAGACGAATGAGGAGGTCTGCATGTCCAGGCTCAAAACTTCACTCTACATTATCATTGGCTCCTGTGGTGGGGAGGGCGTGATGGATGCAGGCAAGAGTGGAAACCCAGAACAAGGAGTCCAGCATGAGGGGGGCTCAGGCTCCTCGCTGCCCACTCTCAGACCTGGGTTCGGCGATGGAGGTCCCCATGCACCTCTGCCTAGAGGAGAAGCACAGCTTCAACCTCCCTAGTTGTTCAATCTCAGCTCTAGGGTAGGTAGGAGACCCCTGCCTCTCCTTAACCACCCTCCCAAATTCCCCTGCCAGGGCCTGATTTGAAGGGCAGTGCTGTTTCTTCTAGTCCACTACAGTCACTCCTCCCTGAGACAAGAACCTGAGTTCCCTATGCTGGGGCTAGGCACAGTGTCCTCAGATGCTCTGGTCCTCCCTAGGGCACCCAAGTGTCCCCATCCCCACTGTTGCTGGCCCCGGCAGAGGAGCTGCTCTGGTGGGTGGAACTGATGACTGATGGAACCCCCATGGCCACAGCGGCCAGACCAAAGCAGGAAGTGTGGTCCAGGCTGGGTCAGGCTGGCCCAGGATCTGGCAGCTCCTGGTGACCCTCTCCAGGGAGGTGGCTCTCCTTTCCCAGGACTGCCCGGTCAGGAAGGTGAAGGGAGGCAGAAACAACACAAAGGATTGGAGGGTTCTTGGAGTCTAAGATCCCAGAACACAGATGAACATGGGCCAGAAATGGTCAGCGATTTAGAGACACACCAAAGAGAAACCCTGAGAGACACACGCCGGAGCAGAGACTTTGTGAGAAACGCTCACACAGGGGTGGTGATCAGAGGCAGAGACCCAGAGGAAGGGAGAGACCCATGCAAACGAGGGATCTAGAGGGAAACACACAGCAGGACCTCAACGGATCCACAGATCAGCCTCAGACACACCCCCAGTCCCAGCAAGCCACCGTCCCACAGCGCATCCCCCAACAGGAGGCCACTTGTACAGTGCGGGCGGGCCGGGGACTCGCGCACAGGACGCACTTGGGGACCGGAGGAGCGCCGGGCACAGCAGCGAGAAGCGCACACAAAGAGACAGCCCGGCCAGCGGGAGCAGGCTCCGCCCGACCGCTCCGAGACTCCAGACCACCCCCCGCCCGGGCACACGCACCAGACACACACACAGAGACACACGCAACCCCACCCGCACGCCCTGGGACCGCGCCCCGCCGCGCCCCACCCTGCCCCGACTGCCTGGGCACGCGACGCTTACCAGCTGCAGGCAGCAGAAGGCGACCAGCGTGCAGCGCCCGCTGCACTTGCCCATGGCTCCGGGGGCTGCGCGGGCCGCACGCCGCGGCGCCCTTCTTGCTCCGCGGCCGCCGCCTGCTCGCGCCGCGCGGGCTCCACGTCCTCCCCGCTGGGCGCGCCGGGCGGCGGGGCCGGGCGCCTAGGGCCGGGCCCGGGAGTGTCCGGTCCCCAAGGCTGGGGCCGGCCGCCCGCGCTCCGAGTCCATGGTCCGTCCGTCCGCGCGCTGGCCCCGCCGAGCCGCGCCTCCTTTGTCTAGCGGGCCGTCCGTCAGGCGCGCCTCCTGCCCCGGGGCGGCTGGCGGGGAGCGCGGAGCAAGGAGAGCGAGCCCCGAGCGCGGCGCAGCGCAGAGCAGCACTGCCCAGCTGGGGCAGTCGCCCGGGCTCTCGTCGGCCGCGGCTTCCCGGCCCCACCACGTGGCTCCGCCGCCGCCACCGACAGGGAGGGAGTTGGGGGGAACGGCAGAGGGGTGGGGCGGGGGAGCCGCCGGAGGGGAGGGGAGAGGGATAGGGAGGTGGAGGGTTGGAGAGGCAGGGAGTGAAGTGGAAGAGTGCGTGCGGGCTTAGGGGACAACAGCCCTGAGTCAAATCCAGACTTTGCTGCTCACTCGCTGTGTGACCTTGGGCAAATCACGTCACCTCTCTGGACCTGTTTTCTCATGAACAAAGTAGGAATAATTATGCCTCTTTAGTGTAGATATGAAGATGAAATGCAGTCATGTGAATAAAGCGCTTAGCCCTGTGCCTGGCCTCCTGGCTTGGAACACTTTTTTGTCCACCCTGTCTCTAGGGCTCCAGGGTTCCAACTTGGACTTCTAGTTCTATTTACGTTCCCAGATCTGCTCCTCACCCCAGCCTCTCCCCTGAGTGTCTGGCCACATTTTTCGCCTTCCTTCTTTCCGTCTACTGGCATTTATTGAGCCCTGACTGCATACACACCCCTGGGGGCCCTGCGAGCCAGAGATGAGACCTGCAACACTGTTCCAAATCCCGTAGAGCTGCACCGCCCAGGGAACAGATAGGCTCCCAAGAGCACGCCAGTGAGATGGGTGATGGCAGAGATCTGCCCAGGTGGAGGTAGGGAGCCCCTACCCTGGGCTGCAGTAGGGACAGAGTCAGAAGTTTCCCAGCAGAAGATTGCCTTCTCCAAGCCACCCCCAAAAGCCCTCGAACTGGACACATCTCAAATCCACATAATCATTCCTGTCCCACTCCTAACTTCCTATATTCACCTTGGCAATTAGCATCACCCAAGTGGAATTTCCTAGGTCATCCTCCAGGCTTCCCTACAATTACATCTGATCTGTCACTACATTCTATAAACTGTACTTTCCAACTAACATTTATGAAATACCCACTATGTGCCAGGTTCTCTGCTGGGGATAAGGGAACAAAACCCGACAAAATCTCTGCCCTCATTGAGCACACAGTCTAGTGAGGGATTGTCATTAAAACAAGGAAATATACAAATAAATACGCAAAGTTCTGATGAATACTCTAAAGAATATTAAAGAAGAAACGTGGCACGGTGGCTCACACCTGTAATTTCAGCACTTTGGGAGGCTGAATCAGCTCACTGCAACCTCCACCTGAGTGGAGATCGGCCTCCCAAAAGTGAGTGGATCACCTGAGTTCAGGAGTTCGAGACCAGCCTGGCCAACGTGGTGAAACCCCATCTCTACTAAAAATACAAAAATTAGGCAGGGATGGTATCAGGCACCTGTAATCCCAGCTACTCAGGAGGTTGAGGCAGGAGAATCGCTTGAACCCGGGAGGTGGAGGTTGCAGTGAGCCAAGACCATGCTATTGCACTTTAGCCTAGGCGACAAAAGCGAAACTCTGTCAAAATAAATAAATAATAAATAAAATACTAAGGGAGAAAAGAGAGAATGAGAGGGGCATAATTTAGGTTTGGGGACCAGGAAACACCTCTTTGAGGAAACGAAACTGATACTGAGACGACAATAGGAAGGAAGGAGAGGCAGGGGAGTGAAGAGTGTTCTGGTGGAAGAAACAGAAGGTTCTTATTCTTTCCCTTCCTCTCCACTCTCACTAGCCCTCTTGATTCGAGAGACAGGAAGTATGGTAAGATGTAGGTTAGGACCCGTGGTTTTGGACCCAAACGGCCTGGGTCCCGGTTCCAGCACTGTCACTTGTTTGCTGCTCACATAGTAAGCATGCAAATAAATGTGTCACTGTTTTCTTCCAGGACTGGCTACATAGTTTGGGGGGCCCAGCACAAAATGAAGATGCAGCACTTCTTGTTAAAAAATTAAGAATTTCGGCCAGACGCAGTGGCTCATGCCTATAATCCCAGCACTTGGGAGGCCTGGCCAGATGACAAGGTCAGGCGTTCGAGACCAGCCTGACCAACATGGAAAAACCCTGTCTCTACTAAAAATACAAAAAATAATTAGATAGGTGTGGTGGCACATGCCTGTAATTCGCAGCTACTCAGGAGGCTGAAGTGGGAGAATTGCTTGAACCCAGGAGGCAGAGGTTGTGGTGAGCTGAGATCACCCCACTGCACTCCAGCCTGGGGCAACAAGAGCAAAACTCCATCTAAAAAAAAAAAAAAAATTAAGAATTTCAAGATGGCAACACAGCAGAGCGTGAAGTCAAGAACATGCAGGGGGCCGGGCGCTGTGGCTTACGCTATAATCCCAGGACTCTGGGAGGCCAAGGCAGGCGGATCACTTAAGGTCAGGAGTTCAAGATCAACCTAGCCAACATGGCAAAACCCCATCTCTACTAAAAATACAATAATTAGGCCAGGCGTGGTGGCTTATACCTGTAATCCCAGCACTTTGGGAGGCCAAGGCGGGCAGATAATCAGGAGATCGAGACCATCCTGTCCAACATGGTGAAACCCCATCTCTACTAAAATACAAAAAATTATCCAGGCGTGGTGGTGCATGCCTGTAATCCCAGCTACTAGGGAGGTTGGGGCAGGGGAATCGCTTGAACCCAGGAGACGGAGATTGCAGTGATCCAAGGTCACGCCACTGTACTCCAGCCTAGTGACAGAGTGAGACTCCATCTCAAAAAATAAAAATTAAAAAAATACAAAAATTAGCTGGGCGTGGTGGCATGTGCCTGCAATCCCAGCTACTTGGGAGGTTGAGGCATGAGAATTGCTTGAACCCAGGAGATGGAGGTTGCAGTGAGCTGAGATTGTGCCACTGCACTCCAGCCTGGGTGACAGAGTGAAACGGTGTCTCAAAAAAACAAAGAACAGAAAACAAAACATGCAGGGTCCTGTGTGACTGCAGAGGTCACATGCCCATGAAGCCAATTGTGTCTTCTCCCTGGACTTTAAGGTGGGTCTCTTTGGCCGGGCGTGGTGGCTCACACCTGTAATCCCTGCACTTTGGGAGGCTGAGTCGGGTGTATCACCTGAGATCGGAGTTTGAGACCAGGCTGGCCAACATGATGAAACCCTGTCTCTACTAAAAATACAAAAAATTAGCTTGATGTGGTGGCAGGCGCCTGTAGTCCCAGCTACTCAGGAGGCTGAGGCAGGAGAAATCACTTGAACACGGGAGGCGGAGGTTGCACTGAGCCAAGATCGTGCCACTGCATTCCAGCCTGGGTGACAAGAGCAAAACTCCGCCTCAAAAAAAAAAAAAAAAGATGGGTCTCTTCACAGGTCTCCCTCTTCCACCCATTCTGCAGGATACCACTTTGTATTTTAAAAGACACAGAATATCCCCACCGTTGAATATCCTATGTGTGCTGAAGTTTTCACTTGGGTCAATAAGCTAATAGTGGGAACTTTTCTTTTCTTTTTCTTTTTTTGAGACAGGGTCTCGCTCTGTCGCCCAGGCTGGAGTGCAATGGAGAGATCACAATTCAGTGCAGCCTTGACCTCCGAGGCTCATTTGATCTTCCCACCTCAGCCTCACGAGTAGCTGGGACTACAGGCGTGTACCACCATGCCTGGCTAATTTTTGTGTTTTGTGTAGAGACAGAGTTTTGCCATGTTGCCCAGGCTGGTCTCAAACTCCTGGGCTCAAGCGATCCACCTGCCTCGGCCTCCAAAAGTGCTGGGATTATAGGTGTGAGCCACAGTGCCTGGCAGAACAGCAGGAAATTTTCTCAGCCATGCTTGGCAAATAACAGCTGTGTCCAACCAGGTTCCGTGACTAGACAGGCTTCCAGGAGTCTGTGAAGTCCCTGAAATAATATGCAAAGCATCATGTGAGCAGCTGTGCCTTTTTCTGGGGAGAGGCACAGCTTTCGTCAGGTTCTCCAAAGAGTCCATTTCCCACAAAAGAATAGAACCACCTCCACAAAGGCTCAGCCCAGATGTAACGTTCTCTACCAGATCCTCTGCTGGGCCTCTTCCAGATATAATCTCTGCCAGTTACCTCTGTGAGGCTAACAATGCAACTCAATAACAAAAAGACAATAATAGCTACCATTTATTGAGTGTTTACTCTGAGCCAAGCTTCTACATGCATTATCTCATTTAATTCCTATAGTAACAGTGGATTCCCACTGGGGCTCTGACCACCCCTGCCGGCTCTTGACTATATCTGGTCATGCCTGTAACCTCTATTCCAAGGCCTGGCTGACTCACTCATAAGTCTGTCCTGTGGGAGTGGGGATGGCCTGTCTGACCTCAGTAGAATTAACCTCTGCCCCTGGCTCATTCCCGCAAGTGCTGCCCTGACGAATTCACGCACACAGGATGCCCTCTCATACTTCCACTCTTAAGCAACTACGTCATAAATTATCTCTACATCCTACAGGGCTAGGATCAGGGCAGGAATCAGCAAATGTGTAGCAAATGAATGATTGCACACCCAGCACTCCTGTCGTTCCTGCTTCAGTGCCCAGCATATCTTGTGCCCTCTTTACCACCTGGAAGTCAGGGTTCTACGGAGGAAGACAGCCTAACTGTAGGAACAGATAGAAACATCTTTGGCAAGAAGTTGGAGGGGCTAGGAGCTGGGGATGACATCAATATTCACCTTGAAGGATGACTAACCCTTGGGCCAAAGAAATGCTGTGGGGAGAATGAAGCAGGGTTTGGAAATAAAGGAGAGAGATGATTCAGAATATATCCACACTTCCTGAGCGAGAAGACAGAGGCATGGTCAGCCCGGAGAGAAGCATGGTGGGTTCTGCTGAGGTGATGAGATTTCTAGAGGGTTAAGAACTTTCTCCCCTGCCCTGAACCAAGGCTTGTCAGTGTTTCAGTCTTCCACCATTAGTCTCTCTGTGGGTTAAAACACTAAAGGCTTCTGAGAAAGTTCACTTATAAGATAGCTGAGTTGTTAAACATAATAATTTCCCTGCTTTCAAGTTAGAGGACTGAACATGCTCACTAATTACAGCCTCTGGGATATTTTCTGACATCAGCCAAATTCTTCACACCAACTGGGTGGCCAGCAATCCAGTTCAATTCTGACCCTAGCTATTAGGGGTTAGTGTAGACCCCACAGGTTAAGGACTCAGTTCTTCAAGACTGCCCCTACTTCAGACCAGTCACAAGTCTCTGGCCACCCAGCTATACTGCTGATAAACTGGCTATAAATTGGGGGTTCCTGCTATCCCCTCCTCAGTTCTAATAGTTTGCTAGAATGGCTCACAGGATCCAGGAAGGCATTTTACTTACGTTTGTCTGTTTATTTTAAAGGATACTAATGAGGAGCCAGATGAAGAAGTATACAGGGTGAGGTCCAGAAGAGTCCCAAGTGCAGGAGTTTCTGTCCCTGAAGAGTCAGGGAGCATCACCCTCCTGGCCTGTGGATGCATTCACCAACCCAGCTCTCTGAATCTCATTGTTCAAGAGTTTTCATATAGCTCAATCTTCAGCACCACCCCCCATTCTCAGAGGTCAGTGGGTGGGACTGAAATTTCCAACCTTCTCATCACTTGGTCTTTCTGGTGACTAGTCCCATCCCTAGATCTAGGGGCTCTACTTAAGTCACCTCATTAGGGTAAACTCAAGTGTGATAGAAGGGGCTTATGAATAAGAAAAAACACTCCTATTGCTCAGGAAATTCCCAAGATCCAGGGACAAAGACCAAATATGTTTTTGTATTATACCACTGTAGCCAACACTTATCAAGAACTATGTGCCAGGCTGGGTGTGGTGGCTCATGCCTGTAATCTCAGCACTTTGGGAGGCTGAGGTGGGAGGATTGCTTGAGCTGAGGAGTTCGAGATCAGCCTGGGCAATGTAGCGAGACCCTGTCTCTACAAAAATATTGTTAAAAAACTAGTCAGGTGTGGTGGTGCAAGCCTGTACTTACAGCTACTTGGGAGGCTAAGGCGTGAGGATCACTTGAGCCCAGGGATTTGAGGCTGCAGTGAGTCATGATTGTGCCATTATACTCCAGCCTGGCTGACAGAGCAAGACCCTGCCTAAAAAAAAACCCAAAAAAACAAAAACGATGTGCCAGGCACAATTTCTATGTATTTACTCATTAAACCTCACTACAATCCTTTGAGGTAGGTGCTATTATCATCATCTCCATTTTCTAGATAAGGAAACTGAGGTTAGATCACTTGCCCAGGGTCATATAACAAGGAAGTCATAGAATAGGATTTGATCCCAGGCAGAACAACTTTGCCTGTACCATTTGTTATGTTTTCAAACTTTTCTAACAGTAGACCCTTTTCTTCAAAAGAAAGCATACATTTCTAAAACAGAAAAAAGTAGAACTTGTCTGATTGTATAGGGAAAGAGGACTAGCAACCTGCTCTCTCAATGTGCCCTTGCCTTCTGTGAAGGCCTCCAAAATCAGCTCCTCAGTCCAAGGCCTCTAACGAACAAAGTAGAAAACCCATTGGCCTAGATGATCTTCAAGGTGCCTTTTTTTGAAGAGGGGAGAGAGAAAGAAAGGGAGAACCTGAAGGGCAGAGACGCTGACTGAGTTCTTTACAGTTACATAGCACCTTAGGGGCAGAGTTGGATCTCAACACTTCTGGGTCACTTCGGTTTGGTTACTCTGCCAGGTATTGTGTTAGGAGCTTTGGAAGCAAACATGAATGGCACAGGTGTGCCCAAGAAAGCCCTGGGATAAAGACCTGAGGTTAATACAGTGGCCAACAGTGTGGCATTGTCCACTGATCACTGTCTTAAACTCAGCAGCTTCACCAGTTGTTTTTCCTCTCTGGCCTCTACTGGCATCTAAGTTTGTGACTCTTAGGCCTGTTGGAGAGGCAAAACATATAAAGAGAGTTATAAGCAATACATAGATTGGCAATAGCGTCTATGAGGTACATAAACAGAATAGTGGAAGAAATAATTAACTTTGCTCGGGATTAGGCAGTAATGAAAAATTTCAGAGAAAAGATGATGCCTGAAATATAGGTTTCCAAACAAGAAAAGATGTGCAGACACACAAGTGTCTAACTTCTCCTTCTCCTTCTCCTTCTCCTTCTCCTCCTCCTCCTCCTCCTTCTCCTTCTTCTTCTCCCTTTTTTTTTTTTTTTTTAGTAGATATGGGGTCTTACCATGTTGCCCAGGCTGGTCTCAGAACTCTTGGGCTCAAGCCATCCACCTGCATTGGCCTCTCAAAGTGCTGGGATTACAGATATGAGCCAACTTGCACGGCAGAAGTGTCTAACTTCTGCCCATACTTTTTCAGGAACTATGACCCCTCTTTTCTTTAACTTCCACCCACACTTTTTACTTCTTCTTGCCTCCTTACTGCCATTACTGTAAGTTACTTCCTTTAACTAACTATCTTCCAAATCTCACCTCCAGAGCAAATATTAAAAGGAGAAACAGGCCAGGCACAGAGGCTTACGCCTGTAATCCCAGCACTTTGGGAGGCCGAGGCAGGTGGATCACAAGGTCAGGAGTTCGAGACCAGTCTGTCCAATATGGTAAAACCCCGTCTCTACTAAAAAATACAAAAATTAGCTGGGCGTGGTGGCGCATGCCTGTAATCCCAGCTACTTGGGAGGCTACAGCAGGAGAATCACTTGAACCCAGGAGGCGGAGTTGTGGTGAGATGAGATAGCACCACTGCACTCCAGCCTGGGTGACAGAGTGAGACTCTGTCTCAAAAAAAAAAAAAAAAAAAAGGAGAGAAACAAAATCTCTGATCAGAAAGAATGGTCAAGAAAAAGGGAAGAGGTTAGGGGTTAGGACAGGGTGTATATGAATGGCAGCGTCTAGGGATCTAGGGCAGGAAATCCTAAACAGTTCTGATGGCAGTAAAGCTGGTAGAAAATTTACTCTTTTTTTTGCTTTTTTTGAGATGGAGTTTCGCTCTTGTTGCCCAGGCTGGAGTGCCATGGCGCAATCCTGGCTCACTGCAACCTCCACCTCACAGGTTCAAGCGATTCTCCTGCCTCAGCCTCCCGAGTAACTGGGATTACAGGCATGAGCCACCACTCCCAGCTAATTTTTGTATATATATTTTTTGAGATGGAGTCTCGCACTGTCGCCCAGGCTGGAGTACAGTGGAGCGATCTCGGCTCACCGCAACCTCTGCCTCCTGGGTTCAAGCGATTCTCCTGTCTCAGCCTCCCGAATAGCTGGGACTACAGGTGAGCACCACCATGCCCAGCTAATTTTTTGTATTTTTAGTAGAGACAGGGTTTCACCATGTTGTCCAGGCTGGTCTCGAACTCCTGACCTTGTGATCCGCCCGCCTAGGCCTCCAAAGCGCTGGGATTACAGATGTGAGCCACCGTACCCGGCCTAATTTTTGTATTTTTAGTAGAGGCAGGGTTTCTCCATGTTGGTCAGGCTAGTCTCGAACGCCTGACCTCAGGTGATGTGGCCGCCTCAGCCTCCCAAAGTGCTGGGATTACAGGCATGAGCTACTGTGCCTGGTGAAAATTTACTCTTCTTGTCTGGACTGTGGGGTCCAGTCTTTAGCACAGAATCTGTTGACAGCCAAGACAAATCTCCCTTTCCACCAGCCTTTGGAAACCATGTGGGTTTTCAGTTCAAGTCTGCCCTCAGGCCAGTTGAGCTGGGGACAAGGAGAGATGGCTAGAGGCCTTCTCGCCGATTGGCCCCTTACTGTGTTGAGTCATTATGCTGCACTGGGGTTGTCTAGGGACCAACTAGGATAGGAAGACAGATGGAGTCAGCTCAAGCCTGGCCCCTCTAGCACATCCCAAATGCCCTGATGAGATTCTCAACTCCCTGCTGCTCCCCGCTCCTTGTCATTTTCCATAGGGCCTCATCCAGGTGTCTCTTCTCAGCCAACAGTTCTTAGGATCCTAAAATTACCATCTTTGAGTCTGAGGAAAACTGTCATCTTAAAATCACAGAACAGTAGAGCTGGAAGGACTTTTTTTTTTTTTTTTGAGACAGGGTCTCACTCTGTTGCCCAGGCTGGAGTGCAGTGTGCAGTGGCATGATCTCCTCTCACCGCAACCTCTGCCTCCTGGGTTTGAGTGATTCTTGTGCTTCAGCCCCCTGAGTAGCTAGGATTACAGGCATGTACCATCACACCCGGCTGAATTCTTTTTGAACTTTTAGTGGAGATGGGGTTTTGTCATGTTGGCCAGGCTGGTCATGAACTTCTGGCTTCAAGTGATCTGCCTGCCTCAGTCTCCCAAAGTGCTGGGATTACAGGTGTGAGCCACCGTGCCTGGCTAAACTGGAAGGACTTCTAAATGGAGCAGTTCCCAAATGTTAGTGTACAGACCACTTGCATCTGAATCAGGGCTCCACACCAGCCCAAATCAAACAAAATCTGTGGAGGTGGGACCTGGTTATGGGTGTTTTTAATATACTCCCCAGGGATTCTGATGAGTAGCTCTAATCCTCTGAATGGATCCGACAGGAATTCCTGTCTAATGGTCACCCAACTTCTGCTTGCATACCTCCAGAGATGAGGAACTCCCTACCATTCTGGAAACAGCTCTGATGGTTGCTCTTTCTTTTTTTTGGTTGTTATTTTTGAGACAGAGTCTCATTCTATCACCCAGGCTGAAGTGCAGTGGCCTGATCTCAGCTCACTGCAACCTCCACCTCCTGGTCAAGCGATTTTCCTGCCTCAGCCTCTCGAGTAGCTGGGATTACAGGCATGTGCCACCATGCCCGGCTAATTTTTGGATTTTTAGTAGAGATGGGGTTTCACCATGTTGGCCAGGCTGGTCTTGAACTCCTGACCTCAGGTGATCTGCCTGCCTAGGCCTCTCAAAGTGTTGGGATTACAGGCATGAGCCACCATGCCTGGCCTGTTGCTCTTTCTTTGTTCAGTATAAATCTGCCTTCTTATGGTTCACTTTGTCTTGGCTCTGCACTTTGAGGCATCCCAGAATAAGAGTGTTTCCTCTCTTTTCCAAGGCAGCTTTTTGCTGTTTAAGGCAGTGATCTTACCTGTCTTCTTCCCTAGTTCCTACAACTGTTCCCCACAATGACTTCCCAAGAGGGCACCCAGAACCAAAGGCATCCTCAGGTGTGGTTGACCTCTTGTGCAGAGTACTAAGAACCCTCTGGTGGCTCCCTTTCCATAGGACGAAGCCAAAGCTGCCAACTTGGCTTTCCAGGCCTTTCATAATTTGGCTCCATCACTTTCCAAGGCTCCTACTCATCTGTTACTCCCCCAACATGCTGTCACCACATACGCTGTGTGTTATTTTTGAACACACCAGATTTGGCAATCTGTGTTGTTGTCCATGTTTATTCCACTATCTATCTAGATGGCCCCTACCCACACTCCCAGCTCCCTCCCTTCTCCACAGTTTCTGATCCTCCTTTAAGATTCACCTAGGCTGGATGCAGTGGCTCACGCCTGTAATCCCAGCACTTCGGGAGGCCGAGGTGGGCAGATCATTTGAGGTCAGGAGTTTGAGACCAGCCCAGGCAACATGGCGAAACTCTGTTTTTACTAAAAATACAAAAATTAGCTGGGTGTGGTGGTGCACACCTGTAGTCCCAGCTGCTCAGGAGGCTGAGGCAGGAGGATTGCTTGAGTCCGGGAGACAGAGGTTGTAGTGAGCCGAGATCAGGCCACTGCACTCCAGCCTGGTCGACAAAGCAAGACTCCAGCTTAAAAAAAAAAGGAACAACAACAACAAAGATTCACCCCATGTTATTCCCTCAGTAAAACTTTTCCTAACTCCTCCCTATGCATTGCCTTCTTTGCAGGTATGCCTTTGACAACGTGTATTAGATTGTATTTTTTTTTTTATTAGATTGTATTTGAATTGATAACTGGTCTAAAACAAGTAAGTGAGAAGACACAAAGCATAGGGTAAATGTAGTTAGTAAATCTTCCTGGAGTATCCATTTTAGTTGATGCTAAGTCATTTAAAACATTTATTGGCTGGGCACAGTGGCTCATGCCTGTAATCCCAGCACTTTGGGAGGCTGGGGTGGGTGGATTGCTTGAGCCCTGGGGTTTGAGGCCTGCCTGGGCAACATCAGGAGACTCTGTTACTACAAAAAATAAATGAAAAATTGGCCAGGTGTCGTGGCACGTGCCTGTAGTCCTAGCTACTTGGGACGCTGAGGTGGGAGGCTCACTTGAGCCCAAGATGTTGAGGCTGCAGTGAGCCACGATCCCACCACTGTACTCCAGCCTGGGCAACAGAACAAGACTCTGTCTCAGAGTCTTATCAACATAAAACAAGCACAACAATATTATGAAGCAACATACAAAACCACGTACCTTTTAAATTTCATTTATTTACTATTATTATTATTATTATTTTTTGAGATGGAGTCTCGCTCTGTCACCCAGGCTGGAGTGCAGTGGCGCGATCTCTGCTCACCGCAAGCTCCGCCTCCTGGGTGCACACCATTCTCCTGCTTCAGCCTCCCGAGTAGCTGGGACTACAGGTGCCTGCCACCATGCCTGGCTCAATTTTTGTATTTTTTAGTAGAGACGGGGTTTCATCGTATTAGCCAGGATGGTCTCGATTTCCTGACCTCGTGATCCGCCCGCCTCGGCCTCCCAAAGTGCTGGGATTACAGGCGTGAGCCACCGCACCCGGCCTATTTATTTATTTTTTGAGACAGAGTCTCACTCTCTCGCCCACCAGAGTGCAGTGGCATGATCTTGGCTCACCGCAACCTCCGCCTTCCAGGCTCAAGCGATTCTCCTGCCTCAGTCTCCAGAGTAGCTGGGATTACAGGTGCATGCCACCACGCCTGTCTAATTTTTGTATTTTTAGTAGAGACGGGGTTTCACCATGTTGGCCAGGCTGGTCACGAACTCCTGACCTCAAATGATCCACCTGCCTTGGCCTCCCAAAGTGCTAAGATTACAGGCGTGAGCCACCGCGCCTGGTCCACATACTTTTAAATAGTCAATTTCACTGGGAAAAAAGGTCAGGGGACTGTTCCAGATTGAGACACTAGAAAGAATAGCCAAAATATAAAACTTGATAGATCTTTGATTGAAAAATAGCTATAAGACATTTTTGGTGCTGGTATGATCATTAGATGGTATTAGGAAATTGTTTTTAATCTTCTGAGGTATGGTAATAGAGAACATTCCTAGGAGATGCTTACTGGAATATATATATATATATATACACACTATATATATAACATATATATATATATACACACTATATATATAACATATATATACACAATATATATATAACATATATATACACAATATATATATAACATATATACACAATATATATAACATATATACACAATATATATATAACATATATACACAATATATATAACATATATATAATATATTATATATATTAATTTAAGAATATTTGGGAGTAAAGAATTATGATGTTTGAGCTCAGTGTGGTGGTGTTCACCTGTAGCCTCAGGTACTAAGGAGGTTGAGATGGGAGACTTGCTTGATCCCAAGAGTTCAAGTCCAGTCTGGGCAACAAAGCAAGACCCTATCTTAAAAAAAAAAGAAAATTAGGGTCGGGCGCAGTGGCTTTCACCTGTAATCCCAGCACTTTGGGAGGCTGAGGTGGGTGGATCACAATATCAGGAGATCAAGACCATCCTGGCCAACATGGTGAAACCCCATCTCTACTAAAATACAAAAAATCACCTGGGCGTGGTGGCACGTGCCTGTAGTCCCATCTACTCGGGAGGCTGAGGCGGGGGAATCGCTTGAACATGGGAGGCGGAGGTTGCAATGAGCCAAGATTGTACCACTGCACTCCAGCCTGGGCAACAAGAGTGAAACTCCGTCTCAAAAAAAAAAAAAAAAAAAAGAAAAGAAAAGAAAAGAAAATTATTATGGAGTACGTCTGCATCTTACTTTCAATGGCCAGTGAAAGTCAAATATGTATGTGTGTACATACATGTGTGTGACAGTGAAAAGATTTTGAATTATTGAATCTAGGTGGCATACAGATGTTCAGTACATTAGTCTCTCAATTTTTATATTTGAAATTTTTTTTTTTTGAGAAGGAGTCTCGCTCTGTCACACAGGCTAGAGTACAGTGGCACAATCTCAGCTCACTGCAAGCTCCGCCTGCTGGGTTCACGCCATTCTCCTGCCTCAGCCTCCCGAGTAGCTGGGACTACAGGTGCCCGCCACCGCGCCCGGCTAATTTTTGTATTTTTAGTAGAGACAGGGTTTCACCGTAGTCTCGATCTCCTGACCTTGTGATCTGCCTGCCTCAGCCTCCCAAAGTGCTGGGATTACAGGCGTGAGCCACTGCGCCTGGCCTGTATTTGAAAATTTTTAAGTAAAAAGTTGGAGGATCAGAGATTCAAGGTAAAATTTCTTTTTAAAAAGATTAAAAATTACAAATAATTTTTTTTGAGACTATCTCGTTCTATCATCCAGGCTGGAGTGTAGTAGCGCAAACACGGGTCACTGCAACCTCAACCTCCTGGGCTCAGGTGATTCTCCCACCTCAGCTCCCAAGCAGCTGGGGCTACAGGTGCATGCCACCACGTTCAGCTAATTTTTTTAAATTTTTTTGTAGAGATGGGGGTCTTGCTTTGTTGCCCAGGCTGGTCTTGAACTCCTCGGCTCAAGTGATCCTCCCACTTTGGCCTTGCAAAGTGCTAAGATTACAGGTGTGAGCCACTGGGGCCTGGCCAAGGACAACTTTTTTTTTGTCTTTTTTTTTTTTAAGACAGAGTTTCGCTCTTGTTGCCCAGGCTGGAGTGCAATGGCGCGATCTCGGCTCACTGCAACCTTTGCCTCCCGGTTCAAGCAACTCTCCTGCCTCAGCCTCTCGAGTAGCGGGATTACAGGCATCTGCCACCATGCCTGGCTAATTCTGTATTTTTAGTAGAGATGGGGTTTCTCCATGTTGGTCAGGGTGGTCTCAAACTCCCGACCTCAGGTGATCCGCCCGCCTCAGCCTCCCAAAGTGCGGGGATTACAGGGGTGAACCACCATGCCTGGCCAAGGACAACTATTAATAAGTAAACAGGACAAGGCTCTAGCACTCTCCTAGGAAAGATTAAAACTTTCCGAGCCTGTAGAACAGTGGTTCTCAAACTTGCACCAGAATCTCCCAGATGGCTTGCTAAAACACAGACTACTGAACACTTTACTCCCCCAAAATTTCTTGAAGGAGAAGTTAACTTGGCTTTATGCTGCCCTCCTGACTATAGTTCTAGCCATGGCCAGCACCAGTGTTCTCAGCCTTGACTGCACACTGGAATCACCTCAGGAGGCTTTAAAATCTGATGTCCACCTCAGAGATTCTGATTTATTTTATTTATTTATTTTAATTAACTTTTTTTTTGAGACGGAGTCTGGCTCTGTCGCCCAGGCTGGAGTGCAGTGGCACGATCTTGGCTCACTGCAAGCCCCACTCCCAGGTTCATGCCATTCTCCTGCCTCAGCCTCCCGAGTAGCTGGGACTACAGGCGCCTGCCACCGCGCCTGGCTAATTTTTTTGTATTTTTAGTAGAGACAGGGTTTCACCGTGTTAGCCAGGATAGTTTTTTGTTTTTTTTTTTTGAGACAGAGTCTTGCTGTGTCACCCAGGCTGGAGTGCAGTGGCGCAATCTCGGCTCACTGCAAGCTCCGCCTCCCAGATTCATGCCATTCTCCTGCCTCAGCCTCCCGAGTAGCTGGGACTACAGGCACCCGCCACCACACCCGGCTAATTTTTTGTATTTTTTAATAGAGACGGGGTTTCACCGTGTTAGCCAGGATGGTCTCTATCTCCTGACCTCGTGATCCGCCCGCCTCAGCCTCCCAAAGTGCTGGGATTACAGGCGTGAGCCACCGCGCCCGGCCAGAGATTCTGATTTAATTGGCAGGCCTTGGTGGGGCACTAGAAACTGTACTTCCAGGAAGTTCTCAAGTTGTGGATGCTGTTGATCCAGGACCCCACTTTGAGAATCACTGCTCTAGAGCAGGATTTCTCAAAAGCATCACTCATGACATCCTAAAGCAGTTAATTCTTTGAGCATCTCTGGCCTCTACCCACTTATATGTCTGTAGCACCCCTCTAGATAGCTCCAGACATTGTCAAATTGTTCCCTGGGAGGCAAAATTGCCTAAGATTGAGAAGCACTGCTCTAGAAGATCTAAGTTAAAAAAGAATGCAAGAGTCTAGGTGGGTTGCAGTGTCAATTGAAGAAAAGAAGTTGAAGCCTAGAAGAAAGAGTTTGGAACATCCCCGGGCTTGATGCAGAGGATGGCCATCCATGCAGGCTTCTTTCAGAGGAGCATCATTATGTGTCTGGGGTTCACAGACAATTGATCAAAGGGCAGGCTAAGAGGCTAAGAGCTCAGACCTGGCATCATTTGGTTCCACAGGAACAGGGCTGTCCATTTTAAGTCAGGCTCCTCCCTCTTCCTGGGACATCAGCTGTCAAGCCCCAAAGACTCTTGGAAAAAGCAATCCTGTCCTAACCCAAATGGCCTGACAACCTTTCTTTAAGGCTCAACTGCCTACGGCTCCAAATTGCTCAGAGCTCTCTTTTACCTCAGTTTCCCATTCTTCTACTTTGAGATGTTAGTAAGCGGCAGACTCTAGTCTATTAGTAAGAAGCAAATAGTTTTGTTGTGAAGAAGCAACTCTGATAAGCCTTTACCTGTTCTTTCTAGCTTATTAGATCCAATCCCTGAAAAAGATTGTTCTTGTCTTTGAAACCAGCAACTCTGCCTATTACCTATTTACTTGAAATAGAAGACAACGTCTGGAGGCTTGGATCTGCTTCCCTACAGGACTCATCCTTGCATAACTTCACTAGGCCCATGAAGGTCTTCAGGGATTAGCTTCTCTAACCTGAAAAGGGATCGACCATCCCTGAACAACCAGGGGAAGTAGGTGAGGGAAGACAGTACCAATTTTTGTTCTGATGGGCTGGCCTGTAAATAAACTGTTTAGGGGGTTGGGACTGAACGGGATTAGGGCTACTGACTAGGAGAAAAGGTAGTTATTATATCAGGGAGGCCAAAAAAAAAAAAAAGGAAAAATAACCTGAAAATCTGCCTCCCTAAAAATTCAACCCACAAAACTCAGCCACGCAGCAAAAAAGAAATTTGGCTCTTTAAGTGCCAACAGTATTAAGTGCTAGAGATTGTGGAAGTCATAAAGGGAAATTAACTGAAAATCAGGGATGCCATTACTCATTCGGGAGCAATCTCTCTCTCCCAAAGTGAGAATACAATCTGCACCCTCTGGGGATCTTTTATACGCAAATCTTTATTCCCCAGGCTGGGGCTTCTATTTTCTTCAAATTCTAAATGGTGCTGCTATTTCCTGCTAATGGCTTCTACCCAGCCTCTTGAAGAAGGCACCTGAGGGGGGACTGAAGAAGCTGAGGTTAGAGGAAAGCCCTCACAGTCTCCAGGGTCTTGGCTCTTCCCAATCACTGCCAACTTCTCAAGGGATTGGTAGGCTTTTAAAAGGGCAGTGTCAAGGTTGAAGCCCTGTTGTATTCCAACCCAAGAAAAGATGAGGGTGGGTGGAAGGGACTGGACCGGTTTTCAAGTACAGGTTGAATATCCCTTATCCAAAATACTTGAGACCATAAGTGTTATAGATTTTGGATTTTACTATTTTTTTTTGAGACAGGATCTCACTCTCACCCAGGCTGGAGTGCAATGGCAGGATCTTGGGTCACTGCAGCCTCCACCCACTGTGCTCAAGCAATCTTTCCACCTCAGCCTCCCAGGTAGCTGAGACTATAGGTGCATGCCACCACACCTGGATAATTTTTGTATTTTTTGTAAAGACAGGGTTTTGCCATGTTGTCCAGGCTGATCTCAAGCAATCCTGGGCTCAAGCAATCTTCTCGCCTTGGCGTCCCAAAGTGCTGGGATTACAGGCATGACTCATTGCACCCAATTTCTGAATACTTGCATATATATAATGAGATATCTTGGGACCCAAGTCTAAACACAAAATTCATTTGTTTCATATACACATAGCCTGATAATTTTGTAAAATATTTTAAATAGTTTGTGCATGAAACCAAGTTATTTTTTTTTTGGAGATGGGGTCTCATTCTGTCACCCATGCTGGAGTGCAGTGGCATGGTCATAGCTCACTGCAGCCTTGATCCCCTGGGGTCAAGCGATTCTCACCTCAATCTTCCAAGTAGCTGGGACCACAGGTGTGTGCCACCACATCTGGCTAACTTTTAAATTATTTGTAGAGATGAGGTCTTGCTATATTGCCCAGGCTGGTCTCAAACTCCTGGGCTCAAGTGAACCTCCCACCTCAACCTTCCAAAGTGTTGGGATTATAGGTGTGAGCCAGTGTCCAGCTGAAACAAAGTTTTGACTGCGACCTGTCACATGAGATTAAGTGTGGGATCTTCCACTTGTGGCATCATATGGGCCCTCAAAGTTTAAATTCTGGAGCATTTAGGATTTTGGATTAGGGATGCTGATATAGTTTGGATAGTTGTTCCCTCCAAATCTCATGCTGAAATTTGATGCCCGATGTTGGAGGCAGGGCCTAGGTGGAGGTATTTGGGTCAAGGGGGTGTATTCCTCATGAATGGCTTGATGCCCTCCTTGTGGTAGAGTTTTCATGGGTTATTTATAAGTGCATGGCACATCTCCTCCTCTCTTGCTCCTTCTCTTGCCATGTGATACATCTGCTCCCCCTCTGCCTTCCACTATGACTGGAAACTTCCTGAGGTCCTCACCAGAAACAGATGCTAGTGCCACCCTTTTTGTACAGCCTGCAGAACTGTGAGCTCAATAAACTTCTAAGTTACTCAGCCTCAGATGTTTCTTTGTAGCAATGCAAAATGGACCAAGACAGATGTTCTACCTGTATGTGGACCTGGTGCTTAAAAAGGATTATTAGGGAGTGTTCAGTGATACTGCTGGAGGTGTGAAAAGCAGCTTGCATACTACCTTTGTCCAAATTTCTCCTGGTTAAAGGCATAACCATATATATATATTGCTCAGACCAGAAATCTGAAAGTCACTATTCCCTTTGGAGATTCTACCATACTATGTATATTAAAGGCTCTAAACAGTCCTGCAGTAAATAAACTGGCTTCACTTTATTTAACCTGGTCTTGAGCATGGGATCTTTATGCCCCAAAATATCTAACAAACTATCTGAAAAACAGTGTTCTGTGCAATGCACTTTGGGAAACCTCAACCTATGGATCACGTACATGAAGTACAAGCTTTCTCAGATTTGGCTTTCAGTTCTGTAACTTTACTGTTTGCTGCTCCCCAACTCTAATCATCCTCAAGTTCTTCTGGTTTATAAAATGTGCCACACTTTCAAGCTTGTGCCTGCTGTTTCCTGAAAGGCACATGTTCTTTGTCCACCTGGCAAGCCCTACTCATCCTCCAAGTCCCAATCTAAGCATAATCACATCATCTGTGAAACTTCCTAAATGCTCCAAGGCAAAATAAATTGTTTACTCCTGTGTTTCCAGTGCACTTTATTCAAACGTTATTCACTGTATTAAAAGTAATTGGTTTGAAAGCTTTACCATCCTGCTGGTTCCTTCATTGATGAGTTGTATAAATCTTTGGCATATGCTCACTTAAAAAAGTAATGAATTTGAGACGGTTTTTTCTACTGGTGTGTGCACTTCTCAAGATGGCAAGGACAGTACCTTATTTATCTCTGTCTTCAGCAACAATGGTCATGCCTGCCACGTAATAGGGGTTGATGTGTTTGTTGAATGATGATGCCCCAAACCCAGGGTAGATATCCTCTCTCTAACTTAAGATAAATAGATGATTCAGGTTTGTGAGCCAAAAGTATACAACCAAACATGCTCAGAACAGGTTAGAACTGTGAAGATCTCTTTGTTCTGAGATAAGAGATTCAGAAAAAACACATTCTACTCCCCAGTGCCAGATGAGATTCACTAGTGTCTATCTGTGTGCTGGGTGTTGTCACCCAGTGATCCAGGGAGACAGTAACCTGTCTTAGTGGTAGGAGGAAAGTAATAGCATTTCTTAATGTCCCTGTCTGTTTATGCAAAGCCAGACAAGTAAACAGAATCATAAAGATGTCTCAGATAATGTCACGGTTAAGTTGCACCCAAACATTCTCACATTCCATTTGAGTTGAGTTTGATGCAGCATTCTGGGCAATGTCATTTCTACCAGCTAAGACTGCCCCAAATCTGCCCACTTTCAGGAGCCTGAGAATAGAGAATGCTGCTCAGAAAAGTTCTTTTGGCAGGAGGCAGAGTAAATACGGGCTCTGTTCATTAAAGATCAGATGCAAGTACACAAAACCAGGTTCTTTTTTTTTTTTTTTTTTGAGACAGAGTCTTGCTCTGTCGCCCAGGCTGGAGTACAGTGGCGCAATCTCAGCTCACTGCAACCTCCGCCTCCCAGGTTCAAGTGAGTCTCTTGCCTCAGCCTCCCGAGTAGCTGGGATTACAGATGTGCATCACCACACCCAGCTAATTTTTGTGTTTTTAGTAGAGACGGGGTTTCATCATGTTGGCCAGGCTGGTCTTGAACTCCCGACCTCAGGTGATCCGCCTGCCTTGGCCTCCCAAAGTGCTGGGATTACAGGCATGAGCCACCGCGTCTGGCAAAACCAGGTTCTTTTAGAACTTATTTATCACCTCCTGGCTGCTATCCTTCTAGTAGGAAAAAAGTATTGTTACTGATAATTATTCTTTGTCATTTTCATGGAAGTAAGTAAACCTAAAAACACAGAAAAGGGGGGAAAAAAAAACAAGTGAGCAGCTTCTTGGAAGTTTAAATGAATTGTATTCTGTGGCCACATCATGCTCTATTCTGATTTATAGCAATCAAGCCTCAAAAAAAAGACAGCAATAAATCCAATCCACATGGCTCTTGTAAAAAGGCATCTATTTGGCTTTTAATACAAAATGATATAGAGAAATACAGAAAGAAAATATCATACAAGCCAGTTACAAAAAAAAAAAAAAAATCCCAACCAACAAATTTGTCACATTGGGCCTGCATTAGAAAACAGGAAAAAAGAAAAAGAAAAAAAAAAACAGTCCCTGAAATCTGGCAGGTGGTTTTTAGAGGCCACAGGGAGCTTGCCTTAGTCATCCTGGTGAAATGGGACAGAAGTGGTTTTTGGAATATGGCCACCGCCTCCTGTTTCTTGCTAGCAATGGTCATCTGAAGGGAGGGTGCTAGCCTGGACATCCAACATTTGGCATCACTTATGCAGTCTGAGGTCTCAAAGACAAGCGGCCTTGGAGTCTTCCAGTCCATATCTTCACTGAATCTCTCCCATATACAGTCTCTTGTCACTCGATGCTGAGATAACTGAGGTAAAAAGAACAGATAACTAGAAATAATGAAGGCTCAAGGAGACTTGGTGCTCAAGGGCTCTTGTGTCAAGAGCCAATTCTGGTATAAAAGAGCAATTGGACTTAGCTTAAATTCCCCTCCTAAACACCATCCACAGGAAATTGTAGCCTGGCTTTTCAATCCAAGTCCTCTAATATCATGAGGATGACTGTACTATGGGAAATACATTATCAGACACTAAATACTGACATCCCTTGTCAGTCAAACCCCAAGAAAAAGACTTTCCCAGTCATTCTAGAAGAGAGGAATCTATGGCTGTGCCAGTCATTTTGTAAATGTGCTTCTGCTTGTTATACTTAGCCCTGGAGAAAGTTACAGTTTCTCCTTTAATTCAAGGCTGAAATTATTTGGTTTAGCCAGCCAAAAAATTTTAAGCTGAAATTTATATCTAAATATTAAAAAGTATCATTCTTGGCCGGGCGCAGTGGCTCACATCTGTAATCCCAGCACTTTGGGAAGCTGAGGCGGGTGGATTACCAGAGGTCAGGAGTTTGAGACCAGCCTGGCCAACATGGTGAAACCTCGTCTCTACTAAAAACACAAAAATTAGGCAGGTGTGGTGGTGGGTGCCTGTAGTCCCAGCTACTTGGGAGGCTGAGGCAGGAGAATCGCTTGAACCTGGGAAGGCAGAGGTTGCAGTGAGCCGAGATCGTGCCACTGCACTCCAGCCTGGGCGACAAGAGTGAGACTCTGTCTCAAAAAAAAAAAAAAAAAGTATCTTTCTTTTAATCAAATACATCATTGAAACAGACTTGATGGAAGTAAATTTAAAAAAAAATTAGACTTACCAACTTCCCTTTGAGATCAAGAAGAAAATGGAGCATTGCTCTTACTCTCACCACTTATGAGCAATGGTGAGACTGACATTGATACCCACATAAAGACTGTTTGCAGCTGGGCACAGTGGCTCACACCTGTAATCCCAGCACTTTGGGAGGCTGAGGCGGGTGGATTACTGGACGTCAGGAGTTCGTGACCACCCTGACCAATGCGGTGAAACCCCGTCTCTACTAAAAATACAAAAAAAAAAAAAAATTAGCTGGGCATGGTGGTGGGTGCCTGTAATCCCAGCTGCTTGGGAGGCTGAGGCAGGAGAACTGCTTGAACCCAGGAGGCAGAGGTTGCAGTGAGCCAAGATTGCACCATTGCTCCAACCTGGGCAAAACAGCGAGACACTGTCTCAAAAACAAAACAAAACAAAACCCAACAACAAAAAAACCAACAACAACAACAACAAAAACACCCAAAGGCTGTTTGCATGGAAATTCGTATAAAACAGATACCCGCTTTTGACTCTCTATTCCCAGGATCCCTACGGGGAGATTTCCAGTTTCCCTTTCCCCCTCGTTGGGACAGACTTACTGATGGGCTCATCAGGGTGGAAAGCCACTTCATTGATGGAGCCAGCATGGCCGGGCAGCTTATACAATATTCTCCTGCTTGTGGTATCCCACACATAAACAAACCTGTAAGGTATCATGAAAAGCAAGGGTAAGTCCTCTTAGAGCTGGGGGTAGGACAGAGGCATGGCTTTTTAAAGGAAATGGAAGCAACAATTATTTACTTACCTTACATTTACTGAACCATGTTCTGGCTTTTAGAAACTAGGAACACAGAGTTTGAATAAGACATGGACTCACCTCTTGAGCAATGGGGTGGAGAAATAAGAATAACTAAAAATATAAGCATGACTGGCATGTTTGAATACAAGCTTCTGAAATGGGAAACACCACAGGGAAGAAAAGAAAGTTTTTCCTGCAGACATCACACAAAAACCTTTTTCAGAGTGTCTAGTATAATTAGGCTACAGTTAACTTCATACTCATCCAGGAAATCTAAAAGGTAACCCAACTCATGGCAGGGTGGGAGCCTAGGCTGCTGATCCAGATGAACTTTTTAGTACTGTATTCAAACAGAGACCTGAGAAGGGACAGGAAGTGTCTGGTATATAAAATATTTATAGTGTTTGCTAACCTAATACTCACTTGAGCCAACTTTTCCATTGAATTAACAGGCAGAAGGAATACTGAATTCTAGAATGGGAAGGGGCCAAGAGAAATCAGCTTGTCTAGGCTGGGAGTGGTGGCTCATGCCTGTACTCCCAACACTTTGGGAGGCCGAGGTGCGTGGATCGTCTTAGGTCTGGAGTTTGAGACCAGCCTGGCCAACAAGGTGAAACCCAGTCTCTACTAAAAATACAAAAAATTAGCCAGGAGTGGTAGCGTGTGCCTGTAATCCCAACTACTCGGGAGGCTGAGGCAGGAGAATTGCCTGAACCTGGGAGGTGGAGGTTGCAGTGAGCTGAGACCGTGGCACTGCCCTCTAGCCTGGGTGACAGAGTGAGACTCCATCTCCAAAAAAAAAAAAAAAAAAAAAAAGAGGAGAAAAAAGAAATCAGCTTCTCTAAACTCCTTATTTTAGAGATAAGAAAACTGGGGCACAGTGACGTTTCCAAGGCAATACAGTTCATCAACGGCGTAACTAAAATTAGAACTCTTCAAAAAAAAAGAGCTTATTAGAGAATGTTCTTAGGAAGACAAAATTTTTATTTGTCATTAAAAAAAATTATGAGGCTGGGCATGGTGGCTCACATCTGTAATCCTAGCACTTTGGGGGGCCAAGGCTTGAGCTCAGGAGCTTGAGACCAGCTTGGACAACATGGTAAAACCCCATCTCTACAAAAAAATTAGCCAGGTGTAGTGGTGCATGCCTGTGGTCCCAGCTACTTGGGAGGCCAAGGTGGGAGGACTGATTGAGTCCAGCACGTAGAGGCTGCAGTGAGCTGAGATGGCACCACTGCACCCCAGCCTGGGTGACAGAGTGAGATCCTGTCTCAAGAAAAAAAAAATTATGTTTTTTTTCATGCTGTATAATAAAGGTAATGTAAGAGGCTATAGAGTTTTAAGCTTCTTTCTACTGAAATACTCTGAATACTACTGAAATACTACTGAAATACTGAAATAACACAATGTACTTTCTGCAATGCTAGAATAAATAAAAAAAAACTTCTACATTTCTCTTCAAAAGTGATGAATAATAACAGAAGATGTCATAAAAATGTGATTTTTTCCTTATTCATTCTATAGTATTAGAGCCAGTATTTTTATCATCACAGGCCATAATTTTCACAAAAGTCTACATATTATCACAGAATCTTTTTGTTTTTCTCAATTAATTTTTTTTTTTTTTTTTTGTAGAGACAGTGTCTTCCTATGTTGTTAAGGCTGGTCTTGAACTCCTCGCGTCAAGCAATCCTCCTGCCTTCACCTCCCAAAGTGCTGGGATGACGGGCATGAGCCACCATGCGTGGCATATGGCACAATCTGTATGTATTTAGAGAGCCCCTGAAATCAACTCTGTTCCTAATCCTCTGAGCCAATGATGACTTTATAGCCTTATCAAACTGAAGTAAAACTTGAAGGGCAAGTTGAGTGAACTGCTGAGATTTTATGAGCTCATCTAGGCTCTCCTGAAGACTGTGTCCCAAAGTAGTACTTCTGTATAACTGATATGATATGGCTTAGGAAGAAGAAATTGTTTTTCTTATTCAAGCTTGCCTTGATGTCCTGTGCTGAAGGTTTCCTGCCATGGAGCAGACAGAAGTGACCAGGAGCCCAGCAGGGGGTTCCTATGTTCCTGACCACCTCTTCAGTAGCCACAGAAACTACAGAGCTGAACCCAAGACTCTGGAGCTCTTAATATACTCTCGTATTTTACTTTCACTTACCCTCCATAAATGTACTGGCTAAAAAAAAAAAAAAAAAAAAAAGTTCCTTTGACCCTCAATCTTGCTTAAGTCATTAAAGGGTAAAGTATAGAGCTATTATCTTAATCTGATGATGTAAAATTCATCTGTTGGTAAATATAAAGGGCTGGTAGTTTTGAAGCAGGTATTTAAAATTATTTACATATTTTGTTTTGTGCAATCAACAACTCACCAGTACTTGATCATAAAAATGGTACATTCACCAGTACTGGATTATAAAATGCCTAGTTCTAATCCAACTTACACTTTTGGTCAAAAATGCAAATAAACAAGAGCTTCTTAATTATACTATTTAGCTGTCATCAGCTAGGCTCCATAGAAAGTAAGTTCTGAACAAGATGGAAGAGAAGCAGGAACTCCATCTGTCTAGACTCCATGGCTCTGATACTCATGCCCTTCCTACTGTCTTCTTTCTTGTCATGCACAAAAAGCTGGTCCTCATTAATTCAATAAAGGGCAGTATGGCATAGTGAAAGAGTATGAGCTCTGGAGTCAGAAAGACTGGGGTTCAAGTCTCAGTGCAGCTATTTACTAGCTAAGTAAGCTTAGCTCAGAGAAGTTAAATAATTGCAGATCATTTAACTTCTCTAAGCTTCTTAGTTACAATGATGGAGAAAATATTGATCTCATAACTTTGTTGAGAAAAATAATGAGGTAATATATGCAAAGTGCCTGGCACACAGAATTAATTATAGCTATTGTTATTATAAGTACACTCATCATCAAAACAGAATCTCATGAAGTCAATGGGCTGAATAAATCACTCTTGGCCGAGAGACTGGTCAGCCTTCCCGTAGCCTATAGGACTATTCAGAGTTTCAAGTTTGAATATGAGGAGGTGATCTGTAAGTTATTAGTTAGTAGAAAGGAGAAGTTTGCCAAATCCAGGCCAAGCTGAAAAGGAGTTTTCTGAGGATACATTTCCCAGGCACATAAAAGACAGAATCCCAGATCTCCAAGGGTTTACACTTCAAGGTCTCACTCTTGATGGCTGCCAATTAGATGCTAAATTTAGAGGGGTTCCTTGCCCTCTCCTTACTTTGGCATGGCAACATTTGGCAGGAACCAGAAGCCTTATGTAACACAGCTGCTTCTTGACTTGGGGCCAATTGGTGAGGTGGCCTGTCAAATCTTGCCAACCCCCAGCAGGTAGAGAGGGATAGGCTTTCCTCATACCACGCTTTCACATGTGATTTTGTTTTTTTTTAAAGAGATGGGGTCTTGCTCTGTTGCCCAGGCTGGAGAGCAGTGGCATGATTGCAGCTCACTATATCCTCAAACTCCTGGGCTCATGGGGTCCTTCTGCCTCAGCCTACCAAGTAGCTGGGACTACAGGTGCACACTACTATGCCTGGCTAATTTTTTAAATATTTTTTTTATAGAGACAGGGTCCTGCCATCTTGCCCAGGCTGGTCTTGAACTCTTGGGTTCAAGCCATCCTTCCACCTCAGCCTCTCAGAGTGTTGGGATTAAAGGTGTGCACCATTGACCACATGTAAAGTTTAAAGGAACAGTGGAGAGGAAAAGAGAAAAAAAGGACATTGCAATTCAGAAAGGGCCAATGCCAGAAACAAACTGCTCATCAGAAAAAAAAAGTATGTAAATATAATTTAAAAATTTAATTACAGCTGGGTGCAGTGGTTCATGACTGTAATCCCAGCACTTTGGGAGGCCGAGGCAGGCGGATCATGAGGTCAGGAGATTGAGATCATTCTGGCTAACACGGTGAAACTCCATCTCTACTAAAAATACAAAAAACTAGCCAGGCGTGGTAGCGGGCACCTGTAGTCCCAGCTACTCGGGAGTCTGAGGCAGGAGAATGGTGTAAACCCAGGAGGTGGAGCTTGTAGTGAGCAGAGATTGCACCACTGCACTCCAGCCTGGGCGACAGAGTGAGACTACATCTCAAAAACAAACAAAAATTTAATTACAAAAGATACACTCTTTCTGCTGAAAATTATGTAAAAATACTTAGGATAGTTCTTACTATATCAGAATATGAGACACCTTAGTCTGTTTCTTGAAGTCTTCTCTAGCAACTTGATAACTTAAAATTCTTTAGATTTCCCTCTTCTAGGCAGCTCTCTAAACCACTTGCACTCAAATGATCAATGTGACACTTTCACCTGGACCCTTTCTTTTTCCTCCAGAAAATACCTGAATACTTGTCCATTTTTCTTGGCATTAAACTTGTCAGGAAAAAAAAAAGTAGACTCTGGAATTTAAATATGTTCAGAATTATTCATTAATAGAAAGGTATGGGACAGATCACAGTGCAGCTTCTGTGTGGCAGCGTTAGGGCCCCAAATAGAGGAAAACCCTGGAATATGCTGAAAGCCCTGGCTAGCCCAAGAAAGTCTTCCTATTTATAGGATGGTGCTTGTTTCAGTAGGATTGAAAGAGAAACTCTAAAGGGGAGGATAGGATTAAGCTAAAAAGGGTCAAGACACTGCCCAATGAGAGCTAAACACAGGATTTGCTGTCAGAGGGTCTTATTGTTCTTTACCAGGCCTCATTTGCAGCCCATCAGACTCGACACCTGGACATCCCTATTCAACCTCTGATTCTCCCCCAAGCACAGGTTACCACAGACATGCCAAATACAACAGCATCTGACAGAAGAATTCTCTCCCTTCTGTTTCTCATTCAGCACATAATGCCTGAGCCAGTTTAGATTCGTATTTCATAAAGCCTTAGCCGATTAATTCAGCATGGGGTGGAAAATACCTAGTTCACATTTTGTTACACCCTGCACCTAGCAATCATTGCACTTCCCACTAACCCAGACACAGCTCTGAATCATCTCCAACACAGGCAGGCATTACCAATAGCTGAGCTGCTATGCAGGGTAAAATTGGACTGCCATTCTTCAGCTAGGAATTCATTCATGTAATATAAACTAATTGGTTAGAAAAGCTCAAGCACTGACAACAGTGCCATGGGTTCACAGAAATGACTAAGATTCATTCCCTAATCTCTAGGAGAAAATAACTTAGTGGAGGTACCTCACTTTGTCTGTCTGATTGTAAGATGTAATAAATGCTACCAAAGTTTAGATGTATGAAATGGGATTACAGCACAAAGAACAATTAGTTATCTCCAAGAGGTAATAGAGAGAGGGGACCAGGGACAGTTTATGGATGTAACATAGAGGTGGTTACTAGAGAGATATAGGAGTTTAGATAATGAAGAGGGAATGTGAGAGAGAACCTAGAGGTGAGAACGCAAAAGGAGGTTAGAATATGAAAATTCCATGTGCGCAGCATTGTGGTGATGGTGGGGGAGGTGGGTATTTAATATGTGTTCAAATGAACTGAAGCATGGAATAAGAAATGTGGTGAGGGAAACTAGAGACAGATTATGAGACTGAATTTTATTCTGATGGCAAAGGGAACCCAACAGAATCAAACAAATTGTTGATCCTCTAGGTCTAAAATGTCTCCAAAGTGGGTAGAAATGATCTGTTTGTCGAACACGGTTTTGAAACCCTTCATACTGCACAGAGCTTCATCTTCAAGCACAGTCATAACTCTATGTCTGCTCTAGCTCCATATCCACGCTTTATGTATAAAACACAAGAAGACATCCTGCATAGCTATATCATTGTTTTTTTTTTGGAGATGGAGTCTCGCTCTTGCTGCCCGGGCTGGAGCAGTGCAACGGCGTGATCTCGGCTCACCGCAACCTCTGCCTCCCAGGTTCAAGTCATTCTCTTGCCTAAGCCTCCTGAGTAGCTGGGATTACAGGCATGTGCCGCCACGCCCGGCTAATTTTGTATTTTTAGTAGGGATGGGGTTTCTCCATGTTGGTCAGGCTGGTCTCGAACTGACCTCAGGTGATCTGCCCGCCTCGGCCTCCCAAAGTGCTGGGATTGCAGGCACGAGCCACCGCATCCGGCCAGCTACATCATTCTTTACTTTGCACCCACTAATCCTTACCTGTCGGCTGAGCCAGCTGCTATTTTGCTTCCATCAGGTGACCAAGAACATCTCAGAAGGTTCTATGATAAACAAGAATCCACTGAATAGTAATATACCAAACTCCTCTTTGCAAGGCTACCGAATCACTAAGAGGCTTTAAATTTCCTAACTAGAGTTTTAATTACTCTTCTCAGGAAGATGGTCTGTAATTATCTTATATTCTATGGCCCAAAACAGCATACTTTGTTATTTTACACCATATAAAAACTGTAGAAAATACTTAACTTACAGTTAATTAGATTGAACCTGGCAACAAAATTTTGTTCTACTTATAAATGGAGGCTCCCTTTGCTCCATTTATCTTGATACTCATTTTTTTTCCTATTTATCTTGAAGAAAAATACACGCAAACCCAACAAATAATAAATTTTGGGTTTTTTTTTTTTTTGAGACAGGGTCTCGCTCTCTTGTCCAAGCTGGAGTACAGTGGCACAATCATAGCTCACTGTAGTTTTGACCTCCTGGGCCCAAGTGATCCTCCCACTTCAGCCTCCCAAGCAGCTGAGACTGCAGGCACATGCCACCACACCCAGATTTTTTATCTTTTGTAGAGACAGGGTCTTACTATGTTGCCCTGGCTGGTCTCTAACTCCTGGCCTCCCACCTTGGCTTCCCAAAGTGCTGGGATTACAGCTGTGAGCCACCATGCCAGGTCTAAAAAACAAAATTTGATTTATACAGTGAAACTGAATCTCAATGAGCTCTCAAAAAAAAAAATCTCTATTAACAAATTCTCTGAGGGGAAAAGCTTCTTTCAATAGAGCTGACCTTGAAATTTGAGGCTTTGAAAAAAATTTTCTCTCTCAGAACTTGGGCCGTGGTAGTTACTGAGGGAAGAGATGTATTCTTAGGGTTCTAACACACATGGTCACGGGATGCGGAGGCAGGTAGGGAGACCATCCAGGTTACAGCTATGGGAGCTTGGGTTCCATATGGAAAACTGATTTAGGAGGGTAAAATTCCCAAGTAATTAAAAAGGCCAGGAGTCTCTTGTTGAGGCTGGTGTCAAGTCAGATGCCCTCAGTTTGAGGGCTGGCTCCATTCCTTTTGGGCTATATGACTGGCTTCTCCCCAGTCACTATTATTTCTATCCGTTTTATTTTTGGCAACAAGTTTTAATTAAGAGCAGTGTTATTGGAATGAAGTCCATTCTTAGCAGAGCTACTGCTCTCTATCCTTAGTACCACCTTAAATGTTTCTCTGAAGTAAATGAACAGTAAAACTCCTCTGCCATGCAGAACTCACCTTTTCAAAGTTGTGCACATTTCCTTGAAATATCTTTACACATCTCTCTTTGGGGGCAAATGGCCGGACATCCCAGACACGAACTGCAAAACAAATCCAAATAAACAAACCAACCAAAACAACTATCGGCCAGAGGCCTCCTGGGCACCCAGCTGAAATTAGTATCATGTCAATCAATGGCAGATGCTGTTTCCTCGGTGGGCAAAGTCCAACTTGACATACTGCTACCTGTTAAGGCTCTTTTCTTTTTCAAGCAGGAAAACACATCTAAATCCCAATAACTGGGGCTAGCTGAGGGGGCAGGAAGGAAAAATGTCACACACAATGTTGGTAATTTGCAACAGAATGCAGTTGGGTGTGATACTAATTTCAAAAAGATATTTTGCAAGATTTCTCTGCCAGCTTAGTCACATCCAGCAAAGCTTCAATGTGACAAACTAAATACCAGGAACTACTGTGACAATGAACTTATAAAAGCCAAACTTACATCGCCCTTTCCTAATTTCCCTCATATGGGCACCTGATAGTCTAAGACTGGACAAGGTCAGATATATATAAAATATATAAAAGGTCAAATAAATCAAAAAAGCACTGTACCATACCAAAAATCAGAAAAAGTAAACATTGATTCTATCTCTGTTACATATTTGGGTGATGTCAGGTAAACAGTGAGATTGTTTGTGTCTTGGTTTTTCTGTTCTGTAAAATGAAGAGAAAATTATCTGTCTTCTTTTTAAAATAATATTATTGACTGATATGATTGAGATGGAGTTTCGCTCTTGTTGCCTAGCCTGGAGTGCAGTGGCGTGATCTCGGCTCACTGCAACCTCCGCCTCCCAGATTCAAGTGATTCTCCTGCCTCAGCCTCCCAAGTAGCTGGGATTACAGGTGCCCACCACCACACCTGGCTAATTTTTGTATTTTTAGTAGAGATGGGGTTTCACCACATTGGCCAGGCTGGTCTCAAACTCCTGACCTCAGGTGATCTACCCTGCCCAGCCAATAACACTATTTTAAAGATCCAATGAGATGATATATGTGCAAAGGTTCTAAAATTTGTAGGCAACAAACAAAAATAAAGAATTTGTAATTGTATTATGCAGCCACAAGAAATTATTCTATTATTTTTTCCTTATTTTAGTATCAATCTAGGAAACCTCATTGTTCCTCATAAAGAACGCTAGAATTAGCTAGGCATGGTACTTGGGAGGCTTGCCTGGGCCCAGGAGTTTGAGACCAGCCTGGGCAACACAGCAAGATCCTGTCTTATCAAAAAAATTAAGGAAAAAATATTTTTTTAATGCTAGATTAAATGTGTATAAACATCTATTGTAAGCAGTAGCTATAGCCGTTGTAACTGAAGCTATACCTATAGTGGAATTTCAGTGATGTCATTTTATTTGAGTATGAAAAAAGTATTATCAATCCTTGGAGTCAGACAGGCATAAAAAGGCAAAGCTATGCGTGAAAGTTTGCCATTGAGAATATAGTTAAAAGGTAAAGATGTCCATTAATTCAACAAATATTTATTAAGTACCCAATGAATGTCAGGTATTGTTTTTGTTACAAAATGTCAGGGAATACATTTTAGTTCCTGACAAGCCTATAATTTTGTATACCAGGGCCATTTCCAAACTCCCTCAACATTAAGCATATAATCCAGCAAGTCACCTTACTTTTTTTCTGTAGTAACCCATCCTCCCACCCTACAACTCAAAAACAAGTAAAGAGAAAGAGCAAGAGTGTGTTCGTGTAAATCCAGAATGTTTTAATGAAGACCTCTTCCCACACCAATGCTTTCAGAGTGGGGAGGGAAGACAGACTGGCAGGAAAGAGCAGAAGAGATCATCCAAGCTTGGTGCTCTCTGAAAACGCACAAGAACTGCCTTGAATAGACTTCTAGATTCACATCTTTTTCATTAAACTCATCACCTAGAGTTTCTAATATCCTGTTGGATACACAGCATACCAGAGCTGAGATGGGTCTTAAAGGTAAAGTCCAATCTTCTTATCAATGTAGAAACTGATGCCTAGAGAGAAGAAATGCTGTGTGCAAAGTTGTTCAGGGACAAGACAGAGATCTGAGACTACAGTCCTAGATTCTTGACTATCTCACCTAAAGCTTTCCCCATTACAACACATTCTAATCGTCTGATGGAATCTGTGAGCAATCTTTGACTTTTTCCTTGGATCCTGGGAGAGATTTCCTTTCCAAAGTTACCTGTATTGTCCATTGCATTGGACAAAAGATAAGAGCCTTCAGAACTTAAACTCAGGCCAGTCACTGAATCTGCATGGCCTCTCATGGTGTAGGTTAGCTTGTTCTGGCGCAGGTCCCAGACCTGCAAAAACAGAAAGGTGCCCCCAGAAATCAAATTAATAAAAGCAGAGAAAGAGAATGACACAAGAGACAAGAGTCAATTGCCCAGAGACACTGATATTACTCTACTATAAAACACAGGATTTCTGTCAAAGAGAAAAACACCTTTTTTTAATTTTCATTTTTTTTTTGAGACAGCGTCTCACTCTGTTGCCCAGTGCAGTGGCACTATCATGGCTCGCTGTAGCCTTGACTTCCCGGGCTCAGGTGATTCTCCCATCTAAGCCTCCCCAGTAGCTGGGACTACAGGAGCATGCTACTATACCCAGCTAATTTTTCTGAAGAGACAGGTTTCACCATGTTGCCCAGGCTAGTCTTGAACTCCCGAGCTCAAGCAATCCTCCCACCTCATCCTCTCAGTATTTGGATTAACACGCATGAGCCACTATGCCTGGCCAATCTCTGTCTTTCTAAAAAGGTAGCTCAGGCTACCACGTTTGACTAGATAAATATAAACGAATGCATATCAAATGTTAAGATAAAGTTTTACACACAAAAAAATAGAATTCAGAAAGGTTATTTTCAAATCATAGCAAAGAAAAACTATTATAGAAAAAAACTAAAAATGGCTATGATTCTTAGCCATTAAAAATTATTATAAATACATAAAACGAACATGTCATTTAAAAAAGGCATTATGATTACATGTTTGTGTAACAATATGAAAAATACAGATGCTTAAAATTTTTCTTTTAATGTAACAATATGTGACAATAAATGTATATATATGTACATGTATGGATATGTACATGCACATACACTATGGAAAAGCACATTTATTAAAATAAAAATAAATTACAGGTTCACTATTGCTTGTATAGGAAACGTAAGATACAGAAAATAACCTAAACGTCAAGCAGGAAAAATAGGTGGTTTATTAAATTATGGTTCATAAGCACATTGCAAAACTGAATTCTCATACAGGAGATAGCATGACAGAGTAGAAAGAGTGGTGACTTAGGGTAAGAATAAACTGTTCCTTGCCACTTAGAGTTATGTGTCATTGGGTCACTAATTCTTTCTGGGCCTGTTTCCTGGTCTGTAAGATTAGGGATAACAATAGCTACTTCTTACGGCTGTTGTAAGGATTATAAGAATGCTTAGCATATGCCGGGCACAAGACAGGTCCTCAATAATGTGTAGCTATTGTTAAGCAGTTCCTAAAAATAACTCAGAAGACCAAATGTAAAAATATTTACATAATAAGCTATTAAGCAAAAAAGGAAAATACAAAACAGTATTTATCTTTACACAGACTACAGCTATGTAAAATAAATATTTTCAAGCTAACAGAAATAGTCTGGAAAGTCACATGGCAAAAAGAACAGTAATTTTGTTAAGGTCACTGGTATTACATAAAATACAAATTTTCCCCCAATTTTATTTCATATTGCAATGTAGTTTTTTTCTAAGTGAATAAAACTTTTGCTGTTCCTTAAATCAAGACACTTTTCCTTATCTAGAAATGAGTTAGGTGTTACACAGCAGAGCAATACATAGGGCAGACAACTCCACTTTCTCCATCAGTAACTCACTCATGTGTGGAGCCCAACACATTTTCTATACGATCATTTTTTTATATCAAGATGTTTGCTGCTTCAGTAATCAGGAAAGCCTGAAGTATCTGACATTTTGTTCAAGCTGTTGTTCCTTCTCTTCTGAGAAGGCACTGTTGAAATCTAGCTTTGTAACAACTAGGAGAGAATGCATTTTGCCAACCCCTCACAGAACTTGTGTGTTATTTCCAAACTTCCCCCTTGAGGCCTGTACACCTTGTTTGTGCAGGGCCAAAAAAGTATCCAGGATTTGCCACAAAAAAAATCTACAGCAGGGGTGGCTCACTCCTGTAATTCCAGCACTTTGGGAGGCCAAGGTGGTTGGATCACCTGAGGTCAGGAGTTCAAGACCAGCCTGGCCATGGTGAAACCCCGTCTCTACTAAAAATACAAAAAATTAGCCGGGCATGGTGGTGCACACCTGTAATCCCAGCTACTCGGGAGGCTGAGGCAGAAGAATCACTTGAACCCGGGAGGCGGAGGCTGCAGTGAGCCGAGATCACACAACTGCATTCCAGCCTGGGCAACAAGAATAAAACTCTGTCTCAAAAAAAAAAATCTACAGCAGGAATTTAAGCAAAACATTTTGCAAGTATCCTACTCAGCTGTTCAATGAAAAATCTGGGCATCTGATTAGTGGCAGGTACTGCTGGAGATTAAAAAAAGACATGGCCCTGCTCACAAGGAGTGTTCAGTATAACAAGGAAAACTTAAGACGTTTAAACAAGTAATGACAGGCCTATGCAAGGTACAGTTGCATACGGGTCAGAGGGTTTAGCTCTGGTGGAACAGAGATGAGAGTGAGAAAGGGAAGCTTTCACAGAAAATGAAGCACCTGAGCAGGGTCTGGAAGAAGGAAGTTTTTTTTTGTTTTTGTTTTTTTTTTAACTTAGACAAAGTGGAAGGGTATTTACTAGGACAAGATAATTTATGGAAGTAGAGGGGCATGAAAAACACTGCTGGATTGTAGGAGATTAGGCACCCAGAGGCAGCAGATGATGAGGTAGACAGGCAGAGGCCAGCTCATGAAAGGTTTTGAATGCCTGGCTTGCACTTTATTTCCTTCACTGGGGGGTCAAAGAAGGGTTCAAAATAGAAAAATGAGACATTCAGTTGTATATTCTGGAAAGATCCTTCTGACCCATTGATTAACTGATTGATTGAGACCGAGTCTCCCTCTGTTGCCAGGCTGGAGTGCAGTGGTGCAATCTCGGCTCACTGCAACCTCTGCCTCCCGGGTTCAAGTGATTCTCCTCCCTCAGCCTCCAGAGTAGCTGGGACTACAGGCGCGCACCACCACACCCAGCTAATTTTTGTATTTTCAGCAGAGATGGGGTTTCACCATGTTGGCCATGGCCAGGATGGTCTCGATCTCTTGACCTTGTGATCCGCCCACCTCAGCCTCCCGAAGTGCTGGGATTACAGGCTTGAGTCACCGCGCCTGGCCTGGCCTATATATTTAATAACTGAAGGGATGAGACCTCCTAAAGTGCAGGGATTACAAACATGAGCCACTACACCTGGCCTAATCTATCCTTTTAACCATTACATTAAAAAAAAAAAAAAAAAAAACCAAACTGAACTCCCATCCTAACTAGAGTTCAGGATTACAAGAAACGCCAGATTGCCAGCCAGACCATCAGGCTCTCAAGTGACACATTTTCTTCTTTCTTCATTTTCCTCTGACTCCCCAATCCTATTACCAGGTAGGAAGTTCCAAGAGATTGGTGGGAACAGCATTATCTGCTCACAAATATACACAGAATTTGTTTAACTCAGATTTTAAAAAGGGTTCCCACTCCTTATTTGTTTCTCTTTCTTAGAACAGGCAGTGCTACCTAAGATAGACTGAGAAACAAATAAAAACCAGGCTCTCTGAGGAGCATCTCCTAATATAGTGAGGCAGTATGGTGATTTGTCACACAAGGGCTCAAGACTGGTAAGCCTCTAGGTGCTTAAAAGGTGCTTGTTAATTGACTAGAGGTAACAAGACAGAGTGGCAAGACTATTAGCCCTCTAGAGATAGAGCTCTGGTCCCGTCTCTACCACTGACTGAGTGATGACTATTTGATCTTGGCCAGATCACTTAACCTCTTAGGGCCTCACTTCAGTCACCTATAAAGTGAGGGATGGAGGTGATGTCTACGGTTCTTTTCAGGTTTGACATTTCCTGAGTCTTTCTGATTGAAAAGGAGCCTCTCCTTTGCATGTTTAAAGAAATTTATGAGGTCTTTTAGGACAACTAAGAGTCTTCCTGAGTTCGAGAGAGCAATTACTCTCCCCTCTGCATGTAACAACAGGGTATTTTTTTTTCTAATCAGGACAGAGTCTCACTCTGTCATCTGGAGTGCAGTGGTGCAATCTTGGCTAGCTGCAACCTCCACCTCCCGGGTTCAAGCGATTCTCGTGCCTCAGGCTCCCAAGTAGCTGGGACTACAGGTGTGTGCCACCACGCGCAGCTAATTTTTGTATTTTTAGTAGAGACGGGGTTTTGCCACGTTGGCCAGGCTGGTCTGGAACTCCCGGCCTCAAGTGATCTGCCCGCCTTGGCCTCCCAAAGTACTAGGATAACAGGCATGAGCCACAGTGCCTGGCCATCAGCAGGGTATTTTTAATAGGGAAAAGACTACCTTCTAAGTAAATTCTAACACATATACAACTCTCTCCAGTCCATCTCTGTTATACAAGAGCAAAAATAAAGAAATAATTCTAGCAACCTGGTTTCAAACATTGTATTAACTGCTCCTGCCAGAAAACAATATGGCAGCCTGTATCCCAAATATGAAACATCCTTATACTTATTAAAACACATTAATTTTCATCTGGAAATCTATTCTAAGAAAACAAATACAGAAAAAGTTTCATGCACAAATATGTCCATAGCAGCATAATCTGTGATAATGATTCACATGAAACAGCCTAAATGTCCAATGACATGGTTGTCACTAAATTATTTAATACTGTAATAATAAAAAAATGATGATGATAATGGCAGCTGACATATATTGAACACACTATGTCCCTGCCACGGTGCTAGGAATATTATATCCTTACTTCATTTAATTAATGTAACAATTATATGAGGTGAGCTGACAATTCCCATTTAGACACAAGAAATGGAGATGAGGTTAAAACAACTTTTTTAAGATCACAAAGCTAGCAATTAATTGGCAAATTGCAAAATGATCCCAACTTCGCTTAAGCACAGGAATTCAAGGTTACAGTGAGCTATGATTCCACCACCACATTGCAGCCTGGGCAACACGAGTGAGACCTCAAAATAAAGCAAAAAAATGGAAAGGAAAATGATTCTAACTACAATTCTAAGAAAATAAGAATGATTTGATAGAGAGCAACTAGAGGTGGGCTTAGTTAAGGATATACTTTCCAGAAGAGATATCTATGCTGTGATCTGAAGATAAGAGGCAAGTCACAGCAATGCATCAAAGGTGGGGGTGGGGGATTCCTGACAAAGGAGCAGCTATGTGATAATAAGTGAAAAGAGATCATGGCTGGGCACAGTGGCTCATGCCTGTAATCCCAACACTTTGGGAGGCCAAGGAGGGAGGACTGCTTGAGGCCAGGAGTTCGAGACCAGCCTGGGCAATGTGTTGAGAACCCATTTCTAAAAAAACAAAAACGAAAACGAACCAAACTGGCCAGGCGTGGTGGCTCACTCCTGTAATCCCAGCACTTTGGGAGGCTGAGGTGGGCGGATCACCTGAGGTCAGGAGTTCTAGAACAGTCTGGTCAACATGGTGAAACCATGTCTCTACTAAAAATACAAAATATTAGTGGGACGTGGTGGCGGCTGCCTGTAATCCCAGCTACTCGGGAGGCTGAGGCAGGAGAATCACTTGAGTCCGGGAGGTGGAGGTTGCAGTGAGCTGAGATTGTGCCATTGCGCTCCAGCCTGGGCAACAAGAGTGAAACTCCGTCTCAAAAAAAAAAAATTTAGCTGGGCATAGTGGCATGTACCTATAGTCCCAGCTACTTGGGAGGCTGAGGTGAGAGAATTGCTTGAGCCCAGAAGGTCATGGCAGCAGTGAGCCATGATTGCACCACTGCACTCCAGCCTCGGCAGAGCGAGACTCTCTCTTGAAAAAAGAAAAAAAGCATCATCTAAAGAATGAATATTATAATGTTTACATACAAAACATTGTAGTACAGAAAAGACTTGAAGGAAGTACACTGTGAAATAGTAAGAGTGACTGAATTTGGATGATGAAACTACAGTGACTTATCTATTTTTATAATTCTTTTACATTTTCTGCACTTTAATATACAAAGTATCACTTTTATTACTAAATCTATTTTAATTGTAATTAATTGTTAATAATGTTATTCCCAATAAAGTTGATTTGTTAAACATATATTTGAATGCAAATTTTATATCTGCATAAAACATTTAAGGTAAATAAGCAGACAAATTAGGAAAAGTCTATACTGATTTTTTGTTTAGAAAAGAGAATACAATATATACAGTACACAAACAAGGAGACTGTCTCAGTGCTGGGTGCACTTCTAATTAAAAAAATTCCCCGAAAATGAAGCATTGGCAGAAAAATTTGAATGTTTGTGGACGGATTAAACGCTTTTTAGCTTTTTTTTAATGCTTTGAGACAGGGTCTCTCTCTGTCGTCTAGGCTGGAGTGCAGTGGCACGATCTTGGCTCACCACAACCCCCACCACCCTGGTTCAAGCCAGTCTTGTGCCTCAGCCTCTTGAGTAGCTGGGATTACAGGCGCATGCCACCATGCCTGGTTAATTTTTGTATTTTTAGTAGAGACGGGGTTTTGCCATGTTGGCCAGGCTGGTCTAGAACTCCTGACCTTAAGTGATCCGCCTGCCTTGGCCTCTCAAAGTGTTTGGATTACAGGCGTGAGCCAACACGCCCAGCAAACACTTTTTAGTTTACTATCACCAACAGAGTACTGAACAATTTTCATCACCCCAAAAATTTCCTAATTTTTCTCCTTTGTGTCAAACCTCTTCATCCCTAACATTTGCTGATTATTGATCTCTTCTTTGCCCTATGATTTTTTTTGAGAATATAAGGAATCCTATACATATATATAAAACCTTTTGAGGCTAGCTTCTTTTATTTAAGCTGTGAGAATTTGTGCTGTATAGCACTATTGTCTTTAGAAGGCCCAGGAACAGTCCAGATAAAGAGCCCAAAGTAAGCCATACTATTGACAGTAAGTAGACTTTACTAGCACAAGAGTATTATTGTTAGGTTAGTCTATCCTCACAGTGGAGACGAGGGCATCAATCAAATTTGGTACTCTGTTGGTGGTAGTGAATCTATGCAAACATTAAAATTCTTATAACTGTACACCAAAAATGTTTATTTCACTGTATGTAAATTTACATGTCTTGAAAAGTATAAAAGTTATCATAGCTTGATGACATTAATCTATTTTCATGTGTACAAGAAGTCTTCTAGTGATTCTGACGCCAGTGAGCTCCCAACTCCATTCTGGGAAATATTGTGCACAGCTATTAAAGTTGATCTAAGTTTCCATGTTCTGATTCTTCATTCTCCAAGTATTTATATGATGGAAAAGGGATGGGAAGTTCAATTTTGGAAAACCTGAATTCTTAGGTACCTATGAGACATTCAAATGGGGGATACTGTACAGCTAGTTGTACACAAGGACCTGATGCTTAAGATCTGGGGTGGGAAAATTGTCTTCGGCAGAGGGATGATGGAGTTGTGGAAGTAGACGAGATCTGTCTTGGGGAATGTACACAGCGAGAAAAGCAAAGGCCCTTGGCGAATAATGATGTTTAAAGACTCCACAGACAGAGTAGCTCATAATGGTATGTAGAGAAGGAGAAGAAACTACCAGATGGATAGGACAGTTTGTTGTCACAGAACTCAGGGAAGAGAGAAGACCAGGTCTATGGTACAGAGCGATTATGTTAAAAAACAAAAACACATACAAAAAACAAAAAAAAAAACCAGACTATTAGGAATGAAGAATGAATGGTATGTGAGGAACTGAAGACAGTGAGTGCAGAAAAATCTCCAGGGTATTCCTCTAAGTATTAAGAGTATAATTCTAGAATGAAACTCTGGGATTTGAACTGAGGTTCCATCACGTATTAGCTGTGTAACCTGGGTTTAAGCTGTTGTGCCTCTTTTAGCTCAGTTTCCTCATCTGTACAATCGCATCAGTAGGATTTATTTCATGAGGTTGTAAGGTCAAAGTCTTTAAGATCCGTGAGGAGGTCAATAGCAAAGCTTAAATGAATTAATGATGTAAAGCTCTGAGAACAACAACTGGCAGAAAGTAAGCACTATGTGTTAGATAATGATGATAACAATATTATCACCACCACCATCATCATCCTTTTTAAGAAGTTTTGGGCCAGGCATGGTGGCTCATGCCTGTAATCCCACTTTGGGAGGCCAAGGCGGGTGGATCACCTGAGGTCAGGAGTTCGAGACCAGCCTGACCAACACAGAGAAACCCTGTCTCTACCAAAAATACAAAATTAGCCAGGCATGGTGGCACACGCCTGTAGTCCCAGCTACTCAGGAGGCTGAGGCAAGAGAATTGCTTGAACCCAGGAGGCAGAAGTTGCAGTGAGCCAAGATCACGCCACTGCATTCAAGTCTGGGCGACAGAGTGAGACTCTGTCTCAAAAAAAAGAAAAGTAGAAAAGAAGAGGTTGAAAGAAGTGACGAAGGATTGAAACCCTCACATTTAAAGGACTACCTTTAGGCCGGGCACGGTGGCTCACACCCGTAATCCCAGCACTTTGGGAGGCCGAGGCAGGTGGATCACAAGGTCAGGAGTTCGAGATAAGCCTGCCCAACATGGTGAAACCCTGTCTCTACTAAAAAATACAAAAATTAGCTGGGCATGGTGGCACGTGCCTGTAATCCCAGCTACTCAGGAGGCTGAGGCAGGAGAATTGCTTGAACTGGGACCCAGGAGGCAGAGGTTGCAGTGAGCTGAGATAGCACCACTGCACTCCAGCCTGGGCTACAGAGGAAGACTCTGACTCAAAAAAAAAAAAAAAAAAAAAGGACTACCTTTAGACAAAAGCAAGGATATTCCTTTCTTTTTTTTTTTGGAGATGGAGTCTTGCTCCGTGGCCAGGCTGGAGTGCAGTGGCGTGATCTCAGCTCACCGCAACTTCTGACTCCCAGGTTCAAGTAATCTCCTGCCTTAGCCTCCTGAGTAGCTGGGATTACAGGCACACCACCATCACATCCAGCTAATTTTTGTATTTTCAGTAGAGACGAGGTTTCACCACATTGGCCAGGACGGTCTCGGTCTCCTGACCTTGTGATCCACCCGCCTCGGCCTCCCAAAGTGCAGGGATTTCAGGTGTGAGCCACCACACCTGGCCAAAAGCAAGGATATTTCATCCAAAGTAACAGCAAAGGAAACAATGAGGGATGGAAATACAGTACAACTTCTAGGTAAGGACAACACAGAAAGTTGAGTATCTGACAGTTACTCTTCTTACTATAAAGCAGAAGGTAAGGTCAAAGTCGTTAAGATCCCCAAGGAAGCCAAGAGGAAAGGAAGACAGAAGCTGTGCAGGCCCAAAATAATACATTTCCTGGCACTTGTTATGTCCAGGAATTCTGCTAAGTGCTCTAATGAATCAGGCTCATTTAATCCCCACAATGGTATGTGGTAGATGCTACTGTTTTTTTTTTTTTTTATCATTACCCCCTCACCATTCACACAAGAAAAAGAGGCTTAAAGAAGGTGCTTGAAGTCACAAAACTAGAAAATGGTGAAACTGGGATTAGAACCCAAGTCAATTACTTGAAAGTTTGAGCTACACTCTACTGCCATATGGTCTATTGCCTCTTTAATATCATTACCTTCTCTCATTCTTAGAGAAACTTAGAAAACTCTCTTTCCATAGTGTCAAAAAGAAAAACACAGTGAGAGATGAGGATACAGAATCACAAACTGATTCACTGCTCTCTTTAAACCAAGATGGTTAAAAAAAGATTTTGAATGTCTTTAAAAGGAAATGCACTCTTTATTTTTTACATAGTCCCCCTACAGAGACTTCACACTTCACATTAAGTGCCTGGTCCCTGACAGCATTTATAAGATCTGCAATGCAAACTTTAATTTAGGAAGTCAATGAAGACAGGAGAAAAAGAAAATAAGTTCCAAGTTACTATTTTCCTTTCAGTTGGTATTAAGTGCAAAGCTACCACAATCTCAGAAGTTTGAAAAAATTCGTTTCTAAGTGCAGATAGATGAAATGGAAATATATCATAAACATCAAACATACCTTGATATCATTGTCTATTCCACCAGAAATAATCTGATCACTTGTGTCATTGAAGGTCACAGCTAACACCTGGTACGTGTTCTGAAATGTCTGGATGGCTGCTTTCTTCCGGATGTCCCAAAGCTGAAGCAAAGGACAAGACAGTCTATCAGCAACATCATTCTAAGAAGCAATTGCACAGTACAAATATCCCTTAAGTACGAGGACTTTGTGGACATGAACACATCTATAATTGGGATCCTATATCACTAACTCCTGGATATCCTAATAACACACATGGTAAGCAGTGTGCTCAATTTTGCCAAGACATTTGAAGGCTGGTGAAACAAAACTTCGGTTATATTTTCAGACTTCTTTGTTGAAGTGAACAGAGTTAAATCAACATACTCTTAGAATGGAATTCCCCTAACTACTTAGTTCATATATTTTTTAGAACAACAAGGATATCAGACAATTTTTTCAAACCGTAGAGACTAATTCATTAGTAGGCTGCAACCCACATTTAAAAAAATAGAGGGTATGTCAGTGAAAATAGTATAATAAACAATGACAAAAGCTTGTCCCTCCACGAAAGCAGCAAATTAACCAGCAAAATCTGTCAGAATCAACTGTTGGAACTCTCAAAACTAATCAAAAGTTTATAGTAACCCGGCAAACCCTTAATGAGGAAAAAGGAAACAAAAAACTCCCTGAGTCCCAGTAAAAGGGCTTTGTAGTGTTTTAACTTGTGCTGGCTCTGTCTCCTGCTCAGCAACAGCTTTGAAGATAACCCATATTCCCAGTATGGTTTCCTAGTACTGAGGAAGCAAAGGGGGCCTATTTCTTATTGTCAAAGAATAAACAATAAAAATTGTTTATTTTTACCTGTCTGGTGGCTCTCTGAAGGATGAGCCCAAAGGACTTACATTTATTTTGCCTAACTTGGAACTTCCCTTGAAAACATTTAAAGGAAAGGACATTATTAGCCTCTGGTTCCTGGGGGCAAGGAAAAACAGTTGGGGCAAAAATACAAACCAAAAACCTTGGGAGGAAGGGCTGGGGAAGGAGACAATTTGGGGAATAAGAGCTTCGAAAAGCACCGACATATTCCTGGCTATCTATCTATCTATGTATCTATCTATCTATCTATCTATCTATCTATCTATCTATCTAATCTGGGGACACACTCTCCCTCTGTCGCCTAGGCTATCTATCTATCTATCTATCTATCTATCTATCTATCTATCTATCTATCTATCTATCTTTCTATCATCTATATCTATCTATCTATGTATCTATGTGTCTATCTATCTATCTAATCTCTATCTATCTATCTATCTAGGGACAGACTCTCCCTCTGTCACCCAGGCCGGAGTGCGGTGGTGCGATCTTGGCTCACTGCAACCTCCACCTCACGGGCTCAAGCAATTCTCATGTCTCAGCCTCCCGAGTAGGTGGGATTACAGGCGTGTGCCACTATGCCCAGCTAATTTTTGTATTTTTAGTAGAGACAGGGTTTCGCCACGTTGACCAGGCTGGTCTCAAACTCCTGGCCTCAAGTGATCTGTCTGCCTCACCCTCCCAAAGTGCTAAGATTACAGGCATGAGCCACCACGCCTGGCCCATTCCTGGCAATCTAGACCACTTGCATGTCCAGGGCTGGGCACATACTTAGAAAAGATCTGAGAAGGCCGTAAGCTCTCTGGTTCACCTTCAGGCTCTGCACAAGCAGGAAGTGAAAGCTAAGGAGAGATGTAAACTGCATGGCAAGGAGTTGAAGGCAGGCTCCAACATACAAAAAGACAATCTGCAAAGACTGGGAGAATTTTTGTTCTTGTTGTTGTAGGTAATTTAGGAAACTTGTGTCATTCACTAGCTGACCACTAAGCTAACGAAAAAAAGAATTCAGTGGTCACACAGGACAAAGAATACAAACTTTACAAAATTAGTTCAAAAATTCACTAAACAGGCCGGGCATGGTGGCTTACACCTGTAATCCCAGCATTTTGGGAGGCCGAGGTGGATGGATCACTTGAGGTCAGGAGTTCAAGACCAGCGTGGCTAACATGGTAAAACCTTGTTTCTACTAAAAATACAAAAATTAGCTGGTCATGGTGGTGTGCCCCTGTAACCCCAGCTACTCAGGAAGCTGAGGTGCAAGAATCACTTGAACCCGGGGAGTGGAGGTTGCAGTGAGCCAAGATCGCACTACTGCACTCCAGCCTGGGCTACAGAGCGAGACTTCGTCTCAAAAACCAACCAACCAACCACTCTCACCTTACCCCAACCCACAGAAAGTCACTAAACAAACAACTACAATAAGCAGCTCTGGGGACCTAATTTCCAGAGTCACCACGCTATAATATTTAAATGCCTAGTTTTCAACAAAATATAAGGCATGCAAAGAAGCAAGTAACTATGGTCCATATAGAAGGAAAAAGTAGTCTTCTCAACAAATTGTGCTAAGACAACTGGCTAACCACATGCCAAAGAATGAAGGTAAGCCCCTGCCTAACATGATACACAAAAATTAATTCAACATGGATCAAGGACCTAAATGTAAGAGCTAAAACTATAAAATTCTTAGAGGGCCAGGTATGGTGGCTCATGCCTGTAACCCCAGCACTTTCGGAGGCCGAGGCCAGGAGGATGGCTTTAGCCCAGAGTTAGCGACCAGCCTGAGCAACATGGTGATTCCTCATCTCTACAAAATAAAAACAAAAAGTTGGGTGTGGTGGTATATGCCTATAGTCCCAGCTACTTGGGAGGCTGAGATGGGAGGATCGCTTGGGCCAGAGAGGTTGAGGCTGCAGTGAGCCGTGATTGCGGATCTGTACTCCAGCCTGGGTGAGAGTGGCGGCATCTCGGCTCACTGCAACCTCTGCTTCCGTGTTCCAGCAATTCTCCTGCTTTAGCCTCCTGGATAGCTGGGATTACAGGCATGCGCCACCACGCCCAGCTAATTTTTCTATTTTTAGAAGAGACGGGGGTTTCACCATGTTGGCCAGGCTGGTCTCGAACTCCTGACCTCAGGTGATCCACCCACCTTGGCCTCCCAAAGTGGTGGGATTACAGGCGTGAGCCACTGCACCCGGCCAAGACCCCATCTCTTAAACAAACAAACCCTTATAGCTCTACTTTTTTAAAGCGTGGATAACACAGAGAGGGCTCAGAGATGTTTCAATAAATGAATGACACACTTGAGAAGATGAACCACAAGTAAATGATTTAAAAGTATGGGTCGTTTCATTCAGAAGAAAGAGACTTTGGGATGACTGTTCCAAGTTTTAAAGGGCTGGCATCAAAAAGAAAGGAATCAGCCATGGAACTTTAGGGAAGGTCATAGGCTTAACTTCAATCCTGTAGTCAACAAGGAGAGTCTGAGTAGGATCTGTGCCAAGATGCCTCTTCCTCCCAATTCTCATGGTTTAGGATGAAAAGTAGTTTCTTCTTTGTTCATGTAAATACGAACTAAAAATTAGTTCATTACTCAGATAAATGGTCTAAAAAGAACGCTTCACTCCTCTCCTACATGCCCAACATCTCCTACTCCCCCAACTCCTGTGGTTACAGAATCAAGTCCAAACTTCTTAACCTGGAATTCAAGGCCTTAATAATTTAGATCCTATATATTTTATAAACTGTACTATAATCTTTGTCTCAATAGATACTTCACTCAGGTCAAATCTATCTTTGTCTTTCTCCTAAAAGTCATGGTAGTCAAAGTTTGTTTAAAATAATTTAGAATTTTAGTTCCAGATAACTACCACTTTTAATAATTATTTTACTTTGAAGCAATCATAAATTTATAGAAAACTTGGAAGTAAAAAGAACACTTTTTTTGGTCTAAATCATTTGAGAGTAAGTTGCTTACCCAATGCCTTATCACCTTTTTTTTTTTTTTGAGATGGGAGTCTCACTCTGTCTGTTGCTCATTCTGGAGTGCAGTGGCGTGATCTCCGCTCACTGCAACCTCCACCTCCCGGGTTCAAGCAATTCTTCCTCAGCCTCCTGAGTAGCTGGTATTACAGGCATCTGCCACCATGCCCGGCTTTTTTGTATTTTTAGTAGAGACAGGGTTTCTTCAAGTTGGCCAGGCTGGTTTCAAACTCCCGACCTCAAGTGATCCACCTGCCTAGGCCTCCCAAAGTGCTAGGATTACAGGCATAAGCCACTGCACCTGGCCCCTTATCACTCCTAAATAGTGTCTGTCCTACAAAGATGTTCTCCTACATCATCTCAACATAACCATCAAAATCAAGAAATACAGATACACTATCACCATTTTATCCTCAAATCCCACTCAAGTTTTACCAGTTATCCCAAATGTCTTATTGCACAAGGATTCAGTCTGGAATCATATGTTAAATTTAGACTCCAGTCTGCAAGACTCTCTCAAACTTTCCTTGAGTTTTATGAACTCAACACTTCTGAAAGTTACAGGTCATCATCCCCAATTTAGGTTTGTCTTATGTTTCCTCTTGATTAGATTTAAGTTATACATCTTTGGTAGGAATATCACAGAAATGATGCTGCATCTTTGTTGTATCCTAGCAAATGGTTCATGATTTTGTCTTGTCCCATTACTAATTAGGTCGATTTGATAATTTAGTTAGGATGTTCTTTTGACAAAATAAGCCTTGACAAGTACAAGGCTTATCTTGTACTTTCACTGCCCCTGGGCTGAAATAGGAGCCCTGGTTCCTTTTAATGGAAAACAGTACCTGTGCAGTAAGGGGTGCTATTGCTATTGGGGTCTTGTTGCTCCTAAACCTTTTCAGTGGACAGTCAGGCAATATATGTACATTTAGGTACACACACACACACACTCACACATTTATGTCTATTTTTTTCTATATGTTTCTATATTGAATATTGTGAGTTCACACTTATACCTCACACAAGATTCATTTTAGTCTTCTCTTTTGTACTGGTAACTCTGTTCTTGGACAGAGAAATCAGCCTCCCATTAAATTCAATATATTCACTTATTTGATTATGCTTCCTGCATGCAACCAGTTTCCCATATTCTCTTCCACCCTTCCCTACTTGAATTGTGATTCCCATTCTTGGTTGAAGCCATGTGTGACTCTTCCTTAACCAACTTGGGTCATTCCTCTGTGTGAACACCCTCATCACTCTGCTACGGCTCTTTTCCAGTCTGCACTTCTCCAAGCATGCAGTCATCATCTTGCTCAGTCTCAGACTCCCTACACCAAATCATTTCTACCCTGTGTGGATGCCCTCAGTTCAGGCTTTGACATCCACATTCTCCCCGTACTGCTTCACGTACAGGCGACCCTTTCACCCCATTAGGGCACTGTTGGGCTGCTGCCCCTCCCTCACCCTCAAATTCCCCACACTGGTTACCTACCCTGTGTTGTATGGATGCCTTCCTCACTCTCTGACTACTCCCTACAATGTACTGCCCTGCCCAGTGTGGATGCTCTCCTTACCACACTTGTGCTCTGACACTCTACTCTGGGCCACCTTGGCCCATCTCTAACTAGAGCACCTTCCCTGCTTTGGCCTATATAACTGGCTTTAGGACTGAACTGCTCATGAAAGGGAAATTTATATATATATGAGTACATACACACATACACGCAGTATTTCACTTAATTTTATTAGAAGAATGCACTTGATAAAAAGTTTGAAAACGATCTGTATGAATAATGCCCAGAATGCTTTTAGACTAAAAATGCAAGTGCTGTTGGAAACCTTTGCTTTCTGTTAAGAACTCTGACATGTAAAAAGCAACATGACTTTTTTTCCTCTTAAACTGAAGTTATTCAATTCCTGTACTTGCAACCTAGTAACAAAAATACAAGAACACAAAGCATTCCAACTTCACAAGTAACTGAAAAGTACATTGCAAAAAGCTGTTTAATGATGCCTTAAATATAAATATACTGACATTAAAAATAGGAGCTGGTTAAAAAGCAGTCATCTTTAGGTGATGTGACATACTGCTTATTAAAAAAAGTATTAACTTGAGTAATAAGGTAAAAATAACTATTCCAAATCATGTTTAATTAAGGCAGAAGAGAAGCAAAAAACCAAAAGAAGGCAGACAGAAAGGACATATACTCTTTTTCTACTACCTAAATAGTTCCTAGATATTTATTACAGCAGGCCCTCAATAATAATGTTAACAAAATTCACTGGGGCATTTCCACCTCTTACTATCTTCTGAAATGACAATTAGTAAATCAGCTACTGTTAAGACTCTCCAACTACAGTGACATCTAGGTCAGAGCTCTGGTTTAGAAACCAATCTTAAACAACAGACTCTCCTCCCATCCAACCATCAAGGGGCCCCAAGTGATTAGGTATAAGAAAACCACTCAGTAGAAAAACGTCTCAGCCAAGTGTGGTGGCTCACGCCTGTAATCCCAGCACTTTGGGAGGCCGAGGGGGGCGGATCACAAGGTCAGGAGTTTGAGACCAGCCTGGCCAATATGATGAACCCCTGCCTCTACTGAAAATACAAAAACTAGCTGGGCGTGGTATGGGTCCCTGTAGTCCCAGCTACTAGGGAGGCTGAGGCAGGGGAACTGCTTGAACCCAGGAGGTAGAGGTTGCAGTGAGCTGAGATTGCGCCACTGCACTCCAGCCTGGGCAACATGGTGAAACCCCATCTCTACCAAAAATAGAAAAATTAGGCAGGTATGGTGGTGTGCACCTGTAATCCCAGCTACTCAAGAGGCTGAGGCTGGGGAATCACTTGAACCCGGGAGGTGGAGGCTACAGTGAGCCAAGATTGTGCCACTGCACTCCAGCCTGGGCGATAGAGCAAGACCCTGTCTCAAAGAAAAAAAAAAAAAAGCAAATTCATTAATTCATTTAAAAAGCAATAAGAAGTATGGGGGTGTAGTTTCCCAGATGTACTCTTTTGAAGTCCCTCACTGTTTAACAATTAAAATATAAACCAGAGCCCAAAATTCGTGTCAAAGAGAGAATCAAATGGTTGGTACTATGATGTACTGTGTCCTTGTGTGCCTCTGAGATAAATTATTATTTCTAGGCCTCAGTTTCCTTATTTATAAAATGAGGATGCTCAGTGAGATCAGTGGCTCCCAGAATGTGAGACTGGCTACACTGAATCACTTGAAGGACACATTAAAATATCTGATTCCCATTGCAGATCCACTGAACCAGATTCTTTGGGTATTTTTAACAGGTTCTTCAGGTGATGATGATATAAAGATAGGCTGGCAACCATCTGACTAAACGATGTTTAAGTTCCCATCTTGTGCCATACTAAAACTATTCACTGAACTTTTTATATATTGTCTATAATCTCAGAACAGCCTTTTTTTTTTTTTTGCTACCTCCCTGTTGGTGGAGATACTCATAACAGCCTTGAAAGACACGTATATTACTGTCACAGTTCTTTTTTTTGAGACAGAGTCTCGCTCTGTCGCCCAGGCTGGAGTGCAGTGGTGCAATCTCTGCAAGCTCCACCTCCCGGGTGCACACCATTCTCCTGCCTCAGCCTCCCAAGCAACTGGAACTACAGGTGCCCGCCATCACGCCCGGCTTATTTTTTGTATTTTTAGTAGAGACGGGGTTTCACCGTGTTAGCCAGGATGGTCTTGATCTCTTGACCTCGTGATCCACCCGCCTCGGCCTCCCAAAGTGCTGGGATTACAGGCGTAAGCCACAGCACCCGGCCTATTTCAAGTAACAATTTATTCTATGGTTCTATTATTATTCTGTAGGGTAATTAAAACTTGTATTAAATGTTTTATTTTAAATGGGGAAAAATTTCAAGTGTGTTATGGGAGATGACTGCTAAAATTAAGTTTTGCACAGGAAGCTAGAGTACAAGTGGCAAGGCAAGATAAGGTTCACATCACATCACCTCAGAAACTGGAACACGGAGAGACAATACCCACCTTAACTGTGCCATCGTCACTGCCAGTGCAGACAAGCTGAGGGCCTCTCCTGGCTGGATAACAGGAATTCACAAAGGAAGTATGTCCCTTTAGCCTTTTAACCCTCTCACCTGTTTCACTATCCCACACAGCCACGGTTTTATCTGTGGATGCTGAGAAAAGCATACTAGAAAGTAAGAGAAAGAATAAAAAAGAAATAAGTGAAGATAAACAGTAACAATCTATCTTTCCTACTTGACAAAAGGTGCCAAATTTTTCAAGATCACTGACCTGCTGTGCTACGCCAGTTTGCCCATGATGCTGGAATGCCTCACCCTACCAAAATCCTATTTGTCCTCTAGGCCCAGATGGCCCAGATAAAAGATCTACCCCTGTGAAGTTTAAAAAATTCCCCTTCTTTGAGTCCCCATGACATACATCTAATGTAGCAGTTTGCTCTATCTTTTCCTCTTTTGTGATAGCTAACATTTTAAACATAAGACACCCTCTCACTTGGAAATGTTTAATAACTCCCTGGTGCTGCAGAGATCAGACAGACTGTGGTACCGACCTGACAGCTGAGTGACTCCAATCTTTTCTCTTTACCAAAGTTTTTCTTTTGTCTCTGAGGACAATTTCTTTCTTTCATTTTTTTTTTGAGATGAGATCTTGCTCTGTCACCCGGGTTGGAATCATGGCTCACTGCAGCCTCGACCTCCTGGGCTCAAGTGATCCTCCCACCTCAGCCTCCTGAGTAGCTGGGACCACAGGTCTGTGCCACCATGCTCAGTTAATTTTTAAAAATCATTTGTAGAGGCAAGGTCTCACTATGTTGCCCAGGCTGGTCTTGAACTGGGCTCAAGCAATCTTCCTGCCTCAGCCTCCTACAGTGCTAGGGTTATAGGCGTAAGCAACCACGCCCAGCCTCTGAGGATGATTTCTAAGTTATAACTGATCTTATAATGCTTTCTTTTTTCATTTTTTTTGAGATGGAGTCTCACTGTGTTGCCCAGGCTGGTTTTGAACTCTTGGGCTCCAGGAATCCTCCTGCCTCAGCCTCCCAAATAGCTGGGATTATAAGCACATGCCACCAGGCCCAGCTTTCTAATGCTTTATTTAAAATGTATACAATGCTATGTATCAATTGATGGAGCACCCTAAGATTTTAGAGGTCAGAAATGTAAAACAATGAATGTTTACCAGACTACCTAACAATGTAATTACTTTTGTATAGCCAGATTTCTATATTATCTATAATATATTCTAAAATAATATAGTCATTAAAATGACGTTTATGACATCAGATGTTGGCTGAGCAATGTTAAGAGAAAAAAGGAGCAAATAAGATTGTACACACAGTTCTGGCCAGGTGCGGTGGCTCACACTTGTAATCCCAGCATTTTGGGAGGCCAAGGCGGGCGGATCACAAGGTCAGGAGATCGAGACCATCCTGGCTAACACGGTGAAACCCCATCTCTATTAAAAATACAAAAAAATTAGCCGGGCATGGTGGCGGGCACCTGTAATCCCAGCTACTCAGGAGGCTGAGGCAGGAGAATGGTGTGAACCCCGGAGACGGAGCTTGCAGTGAGCCGAGATCGCACCACTGCACTCCAGACTGGGCGACAGAGCAAGACTCCGTCTCAAAAAAATAAAATAAAATAAATAAATAAATAAAAAAGATTGTACACATAGTTCTAACAAATATGCAACAACTAAACAGTTCTGAGTAGAAAAAAAGGCATTAGAAAAATGTATAAAATTAACAGTGATTGGCCAGGCACGGTGGCTCATGCCTGTAATCCCAGCACTTTGGGAGGCTGAGGTGGGCGGATCACCTGCGGTTGGGAGTTCAAGACCAGCCTGACCAACATGGAGAAACCCAGTCTCTACAAAAAATACAAAATTAGCCAGGCACGGTGATGCATCCCTGTAATCCCAGCTATTCTGGAGGCTGAGGCAAGAGAAACACGTGAACCTGGGAGGCGGAGGTTGCAGTGAGCCGAGATCGTGCCATTGCACTCCAGCCTGGGCAACAAGAGTGAAATTCCGTCTCAAAAAAAAAAAATTAACACTGATTATCTTTGGAGTGGTAGAAATATAGACTATTTTTTCATCTTTCTGCTTTTTTTGGTTTCTCAAAAGAAATGATTTTTATAATAGAAATAGCTGATTTCAGGCCAGGCATGGTGGTTAATTATTGTAATCACAGCATTTTTGGGAGGCTGAGGCAGGTGGACTGCTTGAGCTCAGGAGCAATATAGCAAGACCATGTCTCCACAAATGATTTTTAAAAATTAGCTGGGCATGGAGGCGTGGGCTTGTGGCCCCAGCTATTTGGGAGGCTGAAGTGGGAGGATCCCTCGAGCAAGAGGTTGAGGCTGCAGTGAGCCATGTTTGTGTCACTGCACTCCAGCCTACATATAAAAATCACATTTATTTTATGTCTTAAAAAAAGAAAAATTTGTCTGGGTTGTTGAAATGACCGATGTAACATCTTTATATTTGCATACACAGACTATAAACACCTCACTTGGGGTGACAGTGATAAATCGGATACTAAAGTAGCTACCCAAAATTAGTAGTTTTTGATAGCAGGGTCTCCTGAGAAAGGATGAAAGGTGAAAGGACGCCAAGAATTAGTATGAGAAGCTGTCCTTCCATTATGCAGAATACTCACCTGCCATCTGTGTTGTAATGCAATTCCATCACTGCTCCACTGTGTCCCTTCAGTGTGGCATAGTTATCACAGTCACCATAGACATTCCACAGTACTGTTAGGGAGATGGGTTCTGTGAGCATTACTAGGCAAAGGGTACTTATAAATTTATCAGAACAACAGTTCTCAGGTCAGGCACGGTGGCTCACACCTGTAATCCCAGCACTTTGGGAGGCCGAGACGGGTGGATCACTTGAGGTCAGGAGTTCGAGACCAGCGTGGCTGATACGGCGAAACCCCATCTTTAATAAAAATAAAAAAATCAGCCAGGTGTAGTGGCAGACGCCTACAATCCCAGCTCTTGGGAGACTGAGGCAGGAGAATCACTTGAACCCAGGAGACGGAGGATGCAGTGAGCCGAGATCGCGCCACGGCACTCCAACCTGGGTGACAGAGTGAGACTCCGTCTCTAAAAAGCCAACCGACCAACCAAACAAAAAAAACTATGTAGTTTGTCTGATGAAATTAAGCCTATCAATAATTCATATATGTTCTGCAAAGATCCCTAAGCAATCCAGACGTTTGGCCACTAGTAAGCTTAAGGATCATAGAGCCGGAACATCCAAATCAAAATGGGCAGTGAAGACGGGTATCATCCACCCGGCACCGAGGAAAAGAGTTAACAGAAAAGAGCCAAATAACTCATTTCATCTCATAATCTGGCAAGAAAGTAGCAACAGAAGCATCTGATTTTTTTTCCTTCTGGCTTCATTTGCTGGAGTATAAATAAAACGACTTTTTCTACTTACTTCTCAAAAATGGGTATGAGAAATTCTTATTTCTCAAAAATGGAAATCTGGTAGTAGATCCTAATGATGTACAGGTAGATTATTTAAGGGAGTTACCACTTTAGGATTCCTTCCTTCCCATATGCTAGCTAGGATTCTGGGTGTGAATTAAGAGGACCTTATACCTTTGGGAAAATAAAAGTTATTTCTCTCCTCATTACTGCCATTAACCTGTTATGTCTAGATTGCTAAGTGCCTTGGTAAATTAGCTGGAGATTTGCCTCTATGAGGAAGACATTCTCAAACCAGAACAACTCACTTTCCAACTAGTAAAATAATGGCTTCTGTATTTACCCCATGGACTCCAAGTTCTACACCCAAGATCATTCAGCATGTTCATGCCCCAATTTTAGCATATTAGCCATGCAGCCTGTTATGTTGCCAACATAGAGTGATACCTTCTGTGGCACCCAAGATTTAAAAAAAAAAATCACTATCTGGCAGGAAAAATTATTCCAGATTCAAAAACTATGCCTCACATATCAGTCGGTCAAATCCTGCAGATGCTAAGGTGGATCCGTTGGGGTGGAACTTGCAGCAGTAGACTTCCCCTTCATGTCCAGAGAGCAGCATGATTGGGGCTTGAAGGGAGGAACATCTTGGAGGTCCCTAAACAAAAGAGAAGCACAAGGTAACTACTGCATACAGACAAAGGAGGCTACAAAATTAGGGGGTGGGGAGTGGAGGGAAAAGACCAAGAAAACAATGATTAAGTGGGTTTCATCTGACTTACAGAATGGTAGCTCTTCTCATATGAATGCCTCCAACTTGACACTCTCTGAAACTTTCCATTATCTACCTGTTATAATGACTCTCTTGTTCACTCTCTCAGCTCTTGTTGTACGACCAACTTTTTTTTGGAGATAGGGTCTCACTCTGTCACCTAGGCTGGACTGCAGTAGTGTGATCATGGTTCACTGCAGCTTCAAACTCCTTGGCTCAAGTGATCCTCCTGCCTCAGCCTCCTGAGTAGCCAGGACTACAGGCATGAACTAGCATGCCATGCTAATTTTTTTAGTTTTTGTGGAGATGAGGTCTTGCTACGTTGCCTAGGCTGGTCTCAAAATCCTGGCCTCCCTCCTTGGCCTCCCAAAGCACTAAGATTATAGGAATGAGCCACCACATTTGGCCTGGCTCATTTAACAAATGATGGAACTGACTTTCCCAACAACTCTGCTTGGTATGGAGTACTGGGTGAAATAGTTTTGTTTTATTTTTAATTTTTTTTGTGTGTTTTGAGACAGAGTTTTGCTCTGTCACCCAGGCTGGAGTGCAGTGGTGTGATCTCGGCTCACTGCAACCTATGCTTTCTGGGTTCAAGGGATCTGGTGCCTCAGCCTCCCGAGCAGCCAAGATTACAGGCATGCACAACCACGCCCGGCTAATTTTTGTATTTTTAGTAGAGATGGGGTTTCACCATGTTGGCCAGGCTGGTCTCAAACTCCTGGCCTCATGTGATCTGCCTGCCTTGGCCTCCCAGAGTGCTGGGATTATAGGCATGAGCCACTGCACCTGGCCTATTTTTATTTCTTATTTTTTCATAGCAAACGGATCCTCAGCATGGGTGAAGTAGTTTTGATTATGGTCTTGGACACCAAGATGACACTTGGGCAATTCATCTAAACATGGGCTGATATGCTCACTTGTCAAATGGGAGAAGTATACTACCCATAATCCCCAAATCTCTTCAGTACTTCCCAGCATTTTCATATTTATTTATTTATTTATTTATTTTTTGGGGAAGGAGTCTTGCTCTGTTGCCCAGGCTGGAGTACAATGGCGTGATCTCGTCTCATCGCAAACTCCGCCTCCTGGGTTCAAGCGATTCTCCTGCATCAGCCTCCCGAGTGGCTGGGATTACAGGCACCCACCACCAAGCCCGGCCAGATTCATTTAGTTTTAAAAAATGTTATGTGCAGGCTGGGCGCGGTGGCTCACACCTGTAATCCCAGCACTTTGGGAGGCTGAGGTGGGCGGATCACTTGAGGTCAAAAGTTTGAGACCAGCCTGACCAACATGGTGAAACTCCGTCTCTACTAAAAATATACAAAAATTAGCCAGGCATGGTGGCGGGCGCCTGTAATTCCAGCCACTCAGGAGGCTGAGGCAGGAGAATCGCTTGAACCCGGGTGGCGGAGGTTGCGGTGCACCGAGATTGCGCCACTCCACTCCAGCCTGGGTGACAAGAGCAAAATTCCATCTTAAAAAAAAAAAAAAGAAGTTACGTGCTAGGCACTGGGCAAACAGCAATGAACAAAATAAACAATGGAGCTCGCTGTTCCAGTGGGAAAGGGGGAAGGGAGAAGGGAAGGTGAGAGAAAACAAGCAAACTATATATGTGGTGTCATGTGCTATAGAGCAAAAGAAGGGATGGGGATGGTGGCTCATGCCTGTAATCTCAGCATTTTGGGAGGCCAAGGTGTGCGGATTGCTTGAGCTCAGGAGTGAAATCCTGTCTCTACAAAAAAATACAATTAGTTAGATGTGGTGGTGTGTGTCTGTGGTCCCAGCTACTCAGGAGGCTGAGGCAGGAGGATCACTTGAGCCCAGGTGGTGGAGGCTGTACTGAGCCAGTGGTCAACACAGAGAGATTGTCTAAAAACAAAAAAACAAAAAAAGAGAGAGAGAGAAGCAATGTGGGTTCCACAGTATGTGGTACTGCAATTTAAAATAGGGTGGTCAGGAAAATCCTCACTGAAAAAATTACATTTGGGCAAATATTCGCAGGAGCTGAATAGTAAACCATGTAAACATTTGTGAAGAGCAATCCCACAGAGAGGACAGCAAATGCAAAGGTCCTGAAGCAGAGGCTTGGAAGAGAGAGTAACTGAAGCCAGGTGAGCAATAAGAAATTGGTCAGAGAGGTAAAGGGAAAGAGGGCAAATAATTACAAGAATTTTGGTTTTTACTCTGGATGAAGTACAAAGCCACCAGAAAGTTTTCTGCAGAGTGTAATGTGATCTGATGTTTAGAAGGATTCCTTTGGTTATTGGCTTGGTAACAGGTGCTGATACAAAGGTAGAAAGTGGAAGACCAGTTAGGGTCCCACTACAAAAATGCCAGATGAGATAATAATGGCTTAGGCCATGAGGCAATGATGGAGATGGTAGAAGTAGCAATTCTAGACCTATTTTGAGGACGGTGCCAGCAGGATTTATTGAGGAGATGTGAGGACACTCGTATTTCCTCGTCTGAGCCTAAACAGGACATTAGAAGTGTGATCACTATTTCTATCTTACAAAAAATGTAGTTAGGAGCATGGTTTCTCAGTTCGAAATCTGCTTCTATCACGTACTTGGTAAGTCTGTTTTTCCATCTGCAAAATGGGTTAATAACGTTCCTAACAGGCTGCTACCAAGATCAATGGAAATTTCATATACGAAACACTTTAGTACAAGAGTCAATGAATGTTAGCTGCTATTTAGTTGTTAATAATACTAGTGCAGAGAAATAAAGGGAAAAGCAACTTGCCCAAAGTCCCAAAACGAGCCAACACAAATCATTTCCCTTTTTTCTTCCCTCCCTCATTCATTCATTCTACACACTCTTCGGAATTTTTGTTCTATGCCAGATCCATGTTAGAGTCAGGATGCTTAAACCCGGGTCAGGGTTTTGAGCCCAAGGTCCTCAACTCTAATTCTAATGCTATCTCAGGGCAGTCGAGAGGCTGAAAACGGGCGCCAAACGGGGGAACACGTACGCAGCATTCGCAGGCTATGGGGAGCTTTTACAGTGTTTATGTGCTTTAACTCTGCGTAGAAACTCTCGTTCTGCCCCCGCAATGCGGGAAAGGGTCAGGGATCACCAGATACAGCGCTCTGAGGGGAGGAAGATGAGCTGAGGGCCAAAGGCCGCCTGCTTCTTCACTTACCGCTTGCAGCAAGGCTCCCGGCGTCGCCTGCTGCTGCCCGGCTCCTGGGCCAGACCCCGCTCCCAACAGCAACTCATGCCGCTGCCGCTTGACTGGAACCAGCGGCAACTCTGGGCCCTTACGCTTCTGCTGTTCTATCATGGCGGCAACCGGTCTCTTCAGCGCCGCCACTGACCGCGCTGCCGCTCTCAGGCGCCACGCAATTGGTTCCAAATTAGTCCTTCCTCCACAACTTCCAGCTTGGAAGAACCAATCGGCTTTCAATATTTCCATTTGCACCGCCCTCGGATAGTCTCTTGTTATTGGGCATATCTTTCTGACGTCATGAGAGTGCGATACCAGGATTGGTGGACGGAGCTGGCGACCGCCCTAGGCGCGCTGGGTCTTGTGGGTGGAAACGCGCTGGCTGACTGGGGTCGGCGTTTAGTTCAGCGCAGCGACTCGGGGACCTGGAGCTGACGCCTAGTACGTATGAGGAAGAACGGGGTGGGTGGCTGCCTGAGTCTGGAGGCGACGCCTCGGTTGTGCAGTCTGAACCTGCCCTTCTCAGCTGAGGGTGCTGACAGCAAGGGGTGGGAGGCGGGCCCCGAGTCCCCAGCTGTGGTAAGTAGTAGCCTGGGCTCCCTTTCGGGGCAGGAGCGGAGCCTTGGGGTCTCTGGCGGCAAGACCCAGCCCCTGCGGCTCCCTTCTTCAAGAGCGCCCATCGTGGCCAGTCCTGTGCCGGGCATTCCCAGGGAGAAAGGCCTGCGTCCCAGCCTCCTCCGGTGCCCCATTTGGCCGAGGAGGCTGACTTGTTTCTGCCACTGATTTTGCAGTTTTTGATCAGGGCCTACTGTATGCCCCCCTGAGAGAGACAGTGATGAAGGAAATGTCCGACTCCTTCTCCAGAGCACAGTCTTGTTGAGAAATTTGAGACTCATGCCCATGAACGTGGTCATTGCCTCAGTCGTCCTGCTGATATTCATTTAGCAGCGCGTTGGGGGTATGTTGTGAACCGGGCACGGTCCCTACTCTCAGGGCGTTTAACTCTGGTGGGGAAAACGTTAAACAATGACCTCACTAATACATGGAAATGCCTCCTACTGCTGCCTGATGCTATGAGTGCCTGAAATAAGCAGGAAGGTTTTTCAGAGGAAAAGATGCCTGCGCTGGTAGCTGCAGGAAGTGTTGTAATTAATTAGGTGAAGAAGTGAAGGCAGAACCTTCCATAGAGAACTACTTGTTCAGAGCCCTGAGGCACTTGGGAGGAAAATGACTAAAAGCACAAAGAGCCAGTGTGGCTGGTACAAAGAGAATGAAGGGAGTATGGTACAAGATGAAGCTGTACGTGATAGCGGTCAGACCTTGCAGGAATTTGTAGCTTTTATTTTAAAACGGATGAGATACCACTGAGCCGTCTTCCCCCAGTGGGGTGTGGTGGAGGAGGGGACTTGATCCCTCAGGCTCAGTGGTGTGAACAGACGGGGGTTGGGGAAGCCCTAGTCGATGTATGTGGACCACTTGGGATATGCAGTAATCCTGGTCAGAGATGTCAGTGAGGACTGAGATATGGGTGGAACTGCAGAGAATTGGACAGATTCTAGAGGTATATAGGAGGTAAAATGGGTGGGACTTGGTGATGGGTTGATTTTAGGGAGTGAAGAGAGGAATCAAAGGTAACTCCTAGGTTTCTGGCTTATGTAGTTGAATAGATGGTGGTACCATTCACTCACTATCACGGAATCCCTCAAGCTGGATAGGGAACACTAGAAGATGATTAGAGACCAGTTTTTTTTTGTTTTTTTTTTTTTTTTGAGACAGGTTCTTGCTCTGTCGCCCAGGCTGGAGTGTGGTGGTGCAACCTTGGCTCACTGCAACCTCCACCTCCCAGGTTCAAGCAATTCTCCTGCCTTAGCCTCCCCAGTAGCTGGGATTACAGGCGCCTCCACTGTGCCCGGCCAATTTTTGTATTTTTGGTGGAGATGGGGTTCCACCATATTGGCCAGGCTGGTCTCCAACTCCTGGCCTCAAGTGATCCACCTGCCTCAGCCTCCCAAAATTCTGGGATTACAGGCCTGAGCCACTGCTCCCAGCTGAGATCAGTTTTTATTGATTGATTGATTGATTGTGTGGGGTCATTCATGACATCCAAGAGGCAGTTTGAAATACAGCTTTGTGCTCAGAAGAGAGATTTGTGTTGGGAATATAAAATTGGGCATAATTTGTATATACATGAATTGAGCCATAGGTGTGGGTAAGGTCAGCTAAGTCAGAACCTTGACTAGTTCCAACATTTAATGGTGAAGAACAGGTGAACCTACAGGAGATACAGAAGAAAGGAAGGAGGACTGGAAGAATGTCTCAGAAGCAAAAGAATGATTTGTGATAGAAATTTCTAGAATTTAAATAACATGAAGATTGAAAAACATATTTTGGCTTTTATCATCATGGAGGTCACAGTAACCTTAGCAAGAGTTATTTTGTTGGTGTGATTGGGCCAAAAGCCAGATATGAGGCAAGGATTTGGACAAGAAAATGTAGGTAGTGAACCTACACAGTATTTTTCATAGATCTGATTGTAAAGAGGAGGAGAGGATGTGCTAACCGATGGGGATAAGGGATTATCCAGGATCCAGTTGAGGATCCAGTTTTGAGAAATTTGAGAATATTGTAGAAGATTTGAAAGTCACTGTGGAGTGTGGGAGAATGAGGTTACTAGAGAAATGTAGGATGCAAGGAAAAAAAAAATTTTTTTCCAGCATATCCAGCGGTTTAGTGCATGCATGGAGAAAACCTTTCTGGGTATGGCAAGGACATCGCTTGCTCAAGACACATTCTAACCTCTAATATGTCTTCTCTTCCTGAAAAATCTGGAAAACTAAAAACCATTTTCTTGACTCCCTTGCACCTAAGGTGAAAATTGAATTTGGAACTGAGTTAAATGTGGAAAGAAGGAGGGTGTGAGTCATCCAGTTTTGCTGCCAGTCATGGCAGTAAATTTCTCCAGTCAATAGCTCCCTGGTTTGGTGGCTTGCTGCAGTGATAGCCATAACTTTCCTGGATTGTGGCAAAGGTGGTATTATTTTGTGGGTTAGGTGTTGTTCCTGGAAGTTCTGCCAAAGTCTTTTATTGCAATACATCCCTTACTGCTTAAGTGGGTTCTGTTGTCTGCAACTGTCCCTGACCAGGTTAGAGGTACTGCCAGAGAGTTAAATATAAAGACAGAGTTAAAGGGAGTTTAGGGTGTTGTTGGAATGATGGGCTATGGAATCTAAGCTGGATTGGAAGAAAACTGAAGAAAAAGGGGAGGGCTGATAGATTGGAAGAAAATAGAGGCCAATAAATCAGGGTTCTAATGAGGTCAAAGAACAGTATTCTCTGCTAGAGGATTTCTGTTTATCCTAAAAGGCTTATTCAGTTATCTGTTTAACTTCTCTACTTCCCCCAGACCCTCTTTCTCTTCCTAGCTACTACTTTTGTTTGTTTGTTTTGAGACAGTCTTACTCTGTTGCCCAGGCCGATTGCAGTGGCATGATTATGGCTCACTGTAGCCTCGACCTCCCAGGCTCCAGTGATCCTCCCACCTCAGCCTCTCCAGTAGGTGGGATAACAGGTATGTGCCACCATGCCTGGCTAATTGTTGTATTTTTTATAGAGATAAGGTCTTGCCATGTTGTCCAGGCTGGTCTCAAACTCCTGGCCTCAAGTGATCTTGCTGCCTTGGTCTCCCAAAGTGCTACGATTATAGGCATAAGCCACCATGCCTGGCCCCCAAGCTTCTGCTTTAGCACTTATCACATTGCAGTGTAATTGGTGTTATTTTGTGGGTTAGGTGTTGTTCCTGGAAGTTCCGCCAAAGTCTGTTATTGCAATACATCCCTTTCTGCTTAAGTGGGTTCTGTTGTCTGCAACTGTCCCGGGCTAGGTTAGACATACTGCCAGATAGTTAAATATAAAGACAGAGTTAAAGGGAGTTTAGAGTGTTGTTGGAATGATGATATCTGATATCCCTATCAGATTAGGAGGTCTTTGAGAACAGGGACTGTGTTGAAAAGGGTGGTTTAGGCCGGGTGCTGTGGCTCACTCCTATAATCCCAGCACTTTGGGAGGCCGAGGCAGGTGGATCACCTGAGGTCAGGAGTTCGAGACCATCCTGACCAATATGGTGAAACCCTGTCTCTACTAAAAATATAAAAATCAGCTGGGCATGGTGGTGTGTGCCTGTAATCCCAGCTACTCGGGAGGCTGAGGCAGGAGAATCGCTTGAACCTGGGAGGAGGTTGCAGTGAGCTAAGATCGCGCCATTGCACTCTAGCCTGGGTGACAAGAACAAAACTCTGTCTCAAAAAAAAAAAAAGAAAAAAAAGGGTGGTTTAGTGGCAAGTGTGTGTGGCCCTTGGAATGGCCTAAGATTTGTCTCTTTCTTGCTGTGTTGTTTTGGACAAGTTATTTCATTCCTGTAAAATAGGATTACTTGCTTTGTAGAGGAGTTTTAGGGATTGAAAGCAGGTTTATAAAGTACCTTATATATAAACATCAATCAATAGCATACTGAATTGATGAATTAACAATTTAAATGGGGTAAAATTAAATACTTCACTATTTTAGTAGACAATTTCCATGTGTGTTACACTGTGCTAGGCACTGGAGATTTGGGGAGGAAGGATATGATGATGTGCAAGACAAAGGCATGCTTACAAGAGTTCCACACTCTACAAAGGGAGGAAAAAAATGTCCCTAAAAATGATTTGAATCCCATCCCCATCATTCATATTTTGCAATCTTGAGCGAGTTTACTTAGCTTCTCTTGTGTCCTCATTTTTAAAATGGCAATGATAATTGCCTGTTTTATGGGATAGTCAAGAAGAGAATTATTGAATGTCATGAAGATAAAATTTTAAAAAGAAAAATTAGTTAAGAGAAGTAAAGCTCTTAGATTAATACATGGCAGATATGAAGCACTCAAATATTAGCTATTATAAGACTTTGAAGGGATCTTAGGAATAATTGACTGAAAGTGTAGTGTCGAGTGGTAGAATAAGTGCTGATCCTGGGGTCTTATACCAATGTTGCTAACTGTGAGCAGCCTTTGTCAAATCACTTGGCTTCATTTTCAGTGGCCTAAGAGTAATAGGTTTAATTATTTCCATAATTCCTTTAAGTTTTTACATTTTCTGAGTTCATCTTTTGTGTTTTTCCTGGCATTTTACTATTCCTCTTTCCTGCTTTTGGCTATTTTCTCAACAGGTCCACGACTGGAATTTGAAAGCAAGAAGCATCTATCTTACATGGTCACTCTAGAATTTGGTGGGAGGGAGGAAAGTTGGACCACCAGTTTGACATTTGAAAGTGTCCCGGCCGGGTGCGGTGGTTCACACCTGTAATCCTAACACTTTGGGAGGCCGAGGCGAGCAGATCACTTGAGGTCAGGAGTTTGAGACCAACCTGGCCAACATGGTGAAACCATGTCTCTACTAAAAGTACACAAATTAGCTGGGCATGGTGTTGCATGCCTGTAGTCCCAGCTACTTGGGAGGCAGAGGTGACAGAATCACTTGAACCCGGGAAGTGGAGGTTGCAGTGAGTCGAGATCGCACCACTGCCCTCCAGCCTGGGCAACAGAGCGAGACTCCATCTTAAAAAAAAAGAAAAAAGAAGTGTTCCATCTGTTGATCTGTCCAACATATTAAATGGGACCTAGCTCCTTCTTCTTCTATATCCTTTAGACCAGAATGTGTTCCCCCCTCTTTCTCTACCTGTGCTTGGCATATAGTGAGGCTCAGTTCACTCATTTAAAAAAAACTGAGTACTTGTAGTATACCAGACCCCAGGAACACAAAATCAAATGAGAAATGGTCCTTGGTTTCATGTTTGAATGAATGGATCCAGACGTTGCTCATCCTAGCTCTTCCATGAATGATATCCACATTGATTCCTCTAATGTTGGGACCTAGTTAGTGTTAGAGCTATATTCTACAAAATTTAGATTTAGACCGTGTATTAGCCCATTTTCACACTGCTCTAAAGAACTCCCTGAGACTGGGTAATTATAAAGGAGAAAGGTTTAATTGACTCACAGTTCTGAATTGCTGGGGAGTCCTCAGGAAACTTATAACTCATGGCAGAAGGTGAAGGGGAAGCAAGGCACGTCTTAAGTGGTGTCAGAGGAGAGAGAGAGAGAGCAAGAGAAACTGCCACATTTAAACCATCAGATCTCGTGAAAACTCTGTCACTATCATGAGAACAGACTGTGGGAAACTGCCATGATCCAGTCACCTCCCACTAGGTCCCTCCCCCAACATGTGGGGATTACAGTTCAAGATGAAATTTGGGTGAGGACACAAAGCCAAACCATATTCGATTGTGAATTCTTTTTGAGGTATAGTGCTTAAGAATGCAGGCTCTTGGCCGGGTGCCATGGCTCATGCCTGTAATCTCAGCACTTTGGGAGGCTGAGGTAGGAGGATTGCTTGAGCCAGGAGTTCAAGACCAGACTGGGCAACATAATGAAATCCAGTCTCTACCCCCCCTCAAAAAAAAAAAAAATTAGCCAAGCTCGTTGGTGTGTTTCTGTCCCAGCTACTTGGGAGGCTGAGGCGGGAGGATAGCTTGAGCCCAGGAGGTCAAGGCTGCAGGGAGCCATGTTTGGACCATTGCACTCCGGCCTGGACAACAGAGTGAGACCCTGCCTCAAAACAAAAAACAAAGCAAACAGTGCAGGCTCTGGAGTCATTATTCTGTCTCTGTTCATATCCTAGTAGTTTTAGTTAGCTTACTTTGCTCACAATTCCAGCACAGCTTAAAGATAAACTAAAATTCCTTTAAATTCTTAGGGTTCTAGTCAATTAGTACTCAAGTAACAAAAAAATCTAAATCCAAACAAGCTGGAAAATGATAACAACAAAAATCTTGACCAGGTCAGTAAGGTGACACATTAAATGAAGTTCCAAAAAGGCTATAAAATGTCTGGCCAATTTAATATTGTTCTTTAAACTTTTCATTGCTTGGGGGATAGGAGGACAGGATGTGTAGGGTTTTTTTCCCAGTTGCATGTGTACTTTAAAATTTTTTTTTGAAACTATCACATAATTATGGAAGCATGTACAGATAACATTTTTCTGAATTATTTGAGTTAAATTGCTGACCCAATACCCCAACAGCCCTGAAAACTTTTTTTCCTACAAACAAGGACATTCTCCTCTATAGCCACAGTGTAATTACCAACATTATGAAATTAACATTGCATTACTTCTTTGATCCTCAGGCCCCACCTCTTGATGCTCGAGCTCTGACTACCCATTCTGGGCTGCTCCAGTGTGTGCCTTCATCACCTTATTCTTCCCTATATTGCAGTTCTCTTTGTAGATTTCCTCCTCACCCAGCTTAGACTCTGACCTCACTCTGGGCCACCATTTCTTCTCCTGTATCCTTTACTTCCATCCCATACTTTCCTTTCTCTGTCCCTTGTTTTGGAAAGAGAGTGGCTAGTAATTGGTCCCCTGTTGCTTCCCTATGTAACACAGTTGTTTAAAACATGCAAGCAAAATGCTTTGTTCTGCATTCAGAGCTATTGCAAGGCAACTCCAAATGGTGTACCTCAATCCTTGTCGACTTACTGGCTCTTTTAAGTGTATGAATGTGGTCCTGTCTGACTGACTGTATCTATCTTAATGTTATATACTCTTTTTTTTTTTTCTTTCTGAGACAGAGTCTCTGTTGCCCAGGGTGGAGTTGCCCAGGGTGGAGTGCAGTGGCATGATCTCGGCTCGCTGCAACCTCCACCTCCCATGTTCAAGTGGTTCTCCTGTCTCAGTCTCCCGAGTAGCTGGGATTACAGGTGCCCACCACAATGCCCAGCTAATTTTTGTATTTTTAGTAGAGATGGGGTTTCATCGTGTTGCCCAGGCTATTCTCGAACTCCTGGGCTCTAGTGATCCACCCGCCATGGCCTCCCAAAGTGCTGGTATTAACAGGTGTGAGCCACCGTGCCTGGCTCAATGTTATATACTCTTATTTTTTTTTTTTAGACGGACTCTCGCTCTGTCGCCCAGGCTGGAGTACAATGGTACGATCTTGGTTCACTGCAAGCTCCACCTCCCAGGTTCATGCCATTCTCCTGCCTCAGCCTGCCGAGTAGCTGGGATTACAGGTGCCCGCTGCCACGCCTGGCTAATTATTTGTATTTTTAGTAGAGATGGAGTTTCACTGTGTTAGCCAGGATGGTCTTGATCTCCTGACCTCGTGATCCACCTGCCTCAGCCTCCCAAAGTGCTGGGATTACAGGCGTGAGCCACCACGCACGGCTGTATACTCTTTAAAAGTAGCAGAACTCTTTTTTTTTCCAAGTGAAATCTTACACAGAATTTTAATATGTAAACTGGATCAAAGCAGAATACGTTGTTACAGTAGGCACCCTTGCAGTAATTCTCACTCACTCCCCCTTTCACTGTGGCCCACCATAAGGTTGGGAGATTAACTGTGAATCAGTAATAATTGACCTTTGCCTAATTACTGAGGAGAGGCTTCTACCCAACTGCTCTGAGTGGGACTTCTCCCAGCTCTAGTTTCTTTGGGGGTTCTACTCCCTCAGCCTTTGGTATGGAGGCTCACCTCTGGTTGGTTGACTTAGAGGCAGCCTCACTGGTCTGGGACCTTGTGGTGACCTAGATATTTCAGAGTTGACTTTTTTTTTTTAATTTCTTTTTTTTGAGACAGGGTTTCATTTTGTCTTCTAGGCTGGAGTGCAGTGGTATGATCACGGCTCAGTGCACTCTCCATCTCTTGGGCTCAAGTGATCCTCCTGCCTCAGCCTCCTGAGTAGCTGGGACAATAGGCAGGTGCCACTATGCCGAGCTAATTTATTTTATTTTTTGTATTTTTAGTAGAGATAGGGTTTTACCGTGTTGTCCAGGCTGGTCTTGAACTCCTGACCTCAAGCGATCCACCCACCTTGGCCTTCCAAAGTGCTGGGATACAGGCGTGAGCCACCATGCCCGGCCATAATTTTCTTTTCTTTTTTTTAAAAAATATTTTGTGGAGATGGGGTGTCGCTGTGTTGCCCAGGCTGGCCTCGAACTTCTGGTCTCAAGCATTCCTTCCACCTCAGCCTTCCAAAGTGCTGGAATTACAGGTGTGGACTACTGTACCTGGCCTGGAAGTTGACTTTTTAAAAATAAATTTGGATTAACTAAGGAGCCTCTGAGTAACCGCAATAGAACCCTCGGTTTCTACAGAATTTGAAAAAAAGTTTTATATTCCATATTTAAAAAATGACAACCATTTACTTTCCTGAAATTGTAAACCTGTTATAGTCATACCCCCTTGTTCATGGGGGATACATTCCAAGACCCCCATTGGATCCCTAAAATTGTGGGCACTGCTGAACCCAGTTGCTATCAATTGGAAGACGTTTCTGTTTGTATTTTCTACCCACAAATTTAATGCCTTCTCCATCTTAACTAAGCACTTATCATACACTGTGGCTATAACTTTAGCAGTTTGAGGTGCAACAGCAAAACTAACATGAATGTTTTTTTCTTCCTCACAATTTCAGACATCGAAGATTCATTCTTACTATAGATCTTAGCAACCTTAGCATACAATTTTTTTTTTCCCCTTGAGAACTTTCACCCTTTCACTTAAAGGAAGCAGTTTACAGCTTCTCTTTGGTATACCAAAATTGCCAGCATTACTACTCTGCTTCGTGGCCATTATTAAGTAAAGAAAGGATTATTTGAACACAAGCAGAGATACTTCAACAGTCAGTCTGATAACCAAGATGGCTACTATGTGACTAATGGGCACTTAATATACACTGAGTGACTAGTGTATGCAGCATGGATACGCTGGACAAAGGGGATGATTCATATCCCAGATGGAACAGAGTGGGATGGCACAAGATTTCATCACACTAATAAGAACAACATAACAGTTTTAAGCTTATGAATTGTTTATTTCTGGAATTTTTCATTTGGTGTTTTTGGACCGTGGTAGACTGTGAGTAACTGCAACTGTGGAAAGTACAACTGTGGATGGGAGGACTACTGTACTGTTATATTTCAGGCTTTCCCTCAAAAATGCATGCCAGTTTTTTTTTGAGATAAGGTCTCACTGTGTCGCCCAGGCTGGATTGCATTGGCATGATCGTACCTCACTGCAGCCTTGATCTCCTTGGCTCAAGCGATCCTCTTGCTTCAGCCTCCCAAGTAGCTGGGATTATAGGCTGGTGTCACCACACCTGGCTGATTTTTTTTCTTTTTTTCTTTTTGAGACGGAGTCTTGCTCTGTCACCAGGCTAGACTATAGTGGGGCCATCTCGGCTCACTGCAGTCTCCGCCTCCCGGGTTCAAGCAATTCTCCTGCCTCAGCCTCCCAAGTAGCTGGGACTACAGGTGCGCACCACCATGCCTAGCTAATTTTTGTATTTTTAGTAGAGACGGGGTTTCACTATGTTGGCCGGGATGGTCTCGAACTCTTGACCTTGTGATCCACCCGCCTTGGCCTCCCAAAGCGCTGGGATTACAGGCGTGAGCCACTGTGCCTGGCTGATTTTTTTTTTTTTTAAGTAGAGATAGAGTCTCACTGTGTTGTCCAGGCTGGTCTTGAACTCCTGGCCTCAAGTGATCCTCCCGCCTTAGCTTCCCACGATTACAGTCGTGAGCCACTGCACCTGGCCCCAGTTTCCTTCTTGAAGAATTGCATGGGGTTTCTTAGGCCACTGTTCTACAAGAGGTATAAATCTGGGAGCATTAAACCTAGCTTTTTGTATGCTTATCACAGCAGAAGTCTGTAAGCAACAATGTAAGTTCATTTCTGCTTTAGACTTTTTTTTTTTTTTTGAGATGGAATCTTGCTCTGTTGCCCAGGCTGGAGTGCAGTGGCCCAATCTTGGCCCACTGCAGCCTCCACCTCACCGGTTCAAGTGATTCTCCTGCCTCCAGAGTAGCTGGGATTACAGGCGCCTGCCATCACGCCTGGCTGATTTTTGTTGTTTTTTTTTTTTTGGAGACGGAGTCTCACTGTGTCATCAGGCTGGAGTGCAGTGGCACAATCTCGGCTCACTGCAACCTCTGCCTCCTGGGTTCAAGCAATTCCCCTGCCTCAGCCTCCCAAGTAGTTGGGACCACAGGTGTGCACCACCATGCCCGGCTCATTTTTTGTATTTTAGTAGAGATGGGGTTTCACCGTGTTGGCCAGGCTGGTCTCGAACTCCTGACCTCAGATGATCCACCCGCCTTGGCCTCCCAAAGTGCTGGGATTACAGGCGTGAGCCACTGCACCTGGCCTATGACCTTTGTGTGTAGAGTAACAGATGATAGATTAAGATGTTTGAAGTTAATTTAGATGTTTCAGCTGCTGGTGCCCCTATGGATTCTGTACCTCACTAATACGTTTCAAGTGTTGGAGGGATAATAAAAGTCTCCTGATAGAACCTGATAGATTAGTAACTCCTGTTCTAGCATGTGAGGTGAGGGATACTGGACAGAGGGAAAGGACAGGCTAGAGATGAGATTGTATTGCTATGAAATGGAAGAGGCAGGATTTAACCAGAATGTAAAACTTGGAATTAACCTGTTTATGAGCTATTTCTCAAGAACTGACAAATCTGCCTGTATTAGCTCTGTGTACTTTTAGTACAGTAATAAAAAGACACTTTGGCTGACCTAAGCAGAAAAGGGCAAGTTTAGTATAAGGATATAAGATTATCTTAGGGAGCTTGAGGACAGGGATGTTCCTGAGCTGTGGGATAATACTAGAACAAGGGTTTGGATGTCCTGAAAGGATTTTCTTTCATTTCTGTTTCAAGTGAAGCTGTCAATTTAATGGATGGTCATTGTAAATCGGGAATACTTACCAAAATCAGGACATCAAGTCATCCTCTGAAAGTGAAAGGAAGCAGTGGGGGTTGAGGAGAGAAGAAAGTATTTACCTGTGAAAACACAAGAAAAATAATTTCAGGTCTTACTGGTGTCAAATGTAATTGGGAGGAAAGAGAACTGAGGATAGTACCATTAGATTTATCTTGGCAGTGATTTATCCAACAGAGTAAAGAGGCATGTTTAAGAGCCGCTAGATTGCTGGTTTCCCCTCTGTTTAAGATCAGGAGGCTGAGCAAGATTATCTCTAAGGTAAGTATCCAAAGCTGTAAGTTTTGCTACTTAGGCAGTATCAGTGTCACCTAGTAGCTGGTTGAAAATGCATTATCTCAGGTAACACCTCAGACCTACTGAACTGCAATCTGCATTTTCACATAATTCAGAAATAGTTAAATGAATTTGGTACATCCAACAATGGATTATTAGGTACGTGTTAACAAAAAGTTGTGTATGCGTATGAATTGCTGTAGTAAGAAAATGATTTCATGATTCCATTAAAAAACCACTTCTACATATAAAAAAACTGTAAGAATATAGATCAAATTGAATTACAGGTGATTTCATTTTCTTTATTATTAATGTATTATCTGAATTTTTTTATTATCTGAACTTTCACAGTGTGTATGTGTTTTAATTTTATCAAGAAAAAAAAAGTAAGCCCTTTTCTCTTTGAAGTCACTTCAGATTTAATACCTTAGCATAGTAGTTAAGAGAATGGACTCTGGAGTCAGCCAGTTTGACTCCCCATTTCCTGGCTTTTTGACATGCTTAGTAATTTAACTTCTGGAAGCCTTTGTTCTCTCATCTGTATAATATAATAGTAATAGAACTTACATTTTAAGAGTTTTGAGAATTGTTTTGTTTTGTTTTTGAGATGGAGTTCGCTCTGTTCCTTAGTCTGGGGTGCAGTGGTGTGATCTCTCACTGCAGCCTCTGCCTCCCAGGTTCAAGTGATTCTCCTCCCTCAGCCTCCCAAGTAGCTGGGACTACAGGCTCCTGCCACTATGCCTGGCTAATTTTTGTATTTTTAGTAGAGATGGGATTTCGCTATGTTGGCCAGGCTGGTCTGGAACTCCTGATCCTGAGATCGTCCGACCTCAGCAACCACAGTGCTGGGATTACAGGTGTGAGCCACCATACCCAGCCTGAGTTTTGAGAATTAAACGAGATTGCATGTCTAGTGCTTAGCACAGTGCCTGGACATAGTAAGTGCTGCATTAATGTTTTTATTTCTGTTATTCCATTTTTTTGAGATCCGGTCAAACATACTTAACATCTTTTCCCACCCTCCCCCAAAATTCTTCCCCGGCAAAAAAAATAGCAAAAATAGCAATTTAAAAAAACCAAACACAACAAAATTAGTAGCCTAATGGCCTTGGGTAAGTAACAAATTGTTGAGAAATAGGATCAAGGTTTCCAAAACTCCCCACAATTAGAATAAACAAAAGAGATTTGGATAAAAGTGTATGGTGTTAAATCTAGTGGTATTATTCTGTAGAGAATAGCTGTGGATTGTCTGCATATTCATTTCTTTAATGCAGATATCTCTCTAATTGGTGTCTGATTTCTTTATGACAGGACACTTGTATTAGCTTTAATAGAAGAGAAATGGAGGAGCCATAGAATATTAAGGATGAATTCAGGAAGGCCTGAGACCATGGAAAACTTGCCTGCTCTCTACACTATTTTCCAAGGAGAGGTATATTCTTTTGTGCTTTGAAAACCCACCATTTATGTTAAAATAGATTAAGGGTGACAACTGGGTTTGTTGTTCCTGTCCACTTAAGTCTGTCTTGAGCATTACAGCTTAAATGGGAAGGGCCAGCGGAACATCTGGCAATCACATGTGCCTTCTCTAAGCTCCAGATATTTAAGTGCGTAGTTGACATCGTCATTGGAATACCAGCATGTGTAATTTATGTTTTAAAATGAATTTATTTTTTCACTGCTGTGGTTTGAATGTGTCCCCTAAAAAGCATGTTTTGGAAACTTAATCTCCAGTGCATCAACGTTGGGAGGTAGGACCTAGTAGGAGGTATTTAGTTCTTGAGGGCTCCACCCTCCTGAAGGGATTAATGCCAATTACTGAAAGGCTTGAGGCTGTGAGTTTGATCTCTTTCTCTCCTTCTTACCCTCTTACCTTCCACCATGGGATGACACAACAAGAAGATTCTTGCCAGATGCTGGCACCTTGCTCTTGGACTTTCCAACCTCCAGAACTATGAGCCAAATAAATTTCATTTCTTTATAAATTATCCAGTCTCTGGTATTCTGTTAAAGTAACACAGAACATACTGAGACACTCAAAAAATTGTTTCTCTTCTAGATGTTTTCACCTCAACAAATAGAACCACTATCCTGCAGGTTCCCAGACTACACATCTGGCCATCACCCTTGATTTCTCTTCTTGATTTGATTTTGATTTTCCCTCCCACTCCAGTCTATTTGCAAGTCCTAATTATATCTCTGGTCTATGTACTTCTTTATCCCCTTGGCACCCTATTAGTTAAAACTCTCTATCTCTTGCCTGGTCTTTACTGGGATCCCTGCTTCATCGTAGCTCCTCTCCAGTCTGTTCTTCACATTGTAGCTAGCATAAGATTTTTGTTTTTGTTTTTGTTTTTTAATTCTTTTTTAAAAATTGAGCTGGGGTCTCACTATGTTGCCCAGGCTGGTCTCAAACTCCTGGGCTTAAGTGATACTCCCACTTCAGCCTCCCAGAGTCCTGGGGTTACAGGCATGAGCCATTGTGCTTGGCCTAGAATAAGATTTTTAAAGTAGGTTGGACATGTTGCTTTCTCACGGCTCTTCAGAAGCTTCTCATTACAATTGAATACAGACATGGACCTTCCACAGCTTGCCCCTGGGTGCTCTCACAATGTTGTTTGTTCTACCCTGCTCGTAGTCAAGACACACTGGCCTCCTTAATAGCTTTGAACAGTCTGAGTTCTTGCTCTCTCTTTAGGATTTGTGCACATGCTGTTTTCTTTTTAGTCTGTGCTGCTATAACAAAATACCTGAGATTGGGTAATTTATAAAGAACAGAAATTTATTTCTCACAGTTCTGGAGGCTGGGAAATCTAAGATCAAGTTGTCAGCAGATTTGGTGTCTAGTGAAGACTACTCTGTTTCCAAGATGGCACCTTCCTGCTGCATCCTCTGGAGGGAAGAAATGCTGTGTCCTCACATGACGGAAGGGACAGAAGGAGCGAACTCACCCTTTCGAGCCCTTTTATGAGGCACTCATCCATTCATGAGGGGCCTAAGGGCCCCACCTCTTGATACCATTGAATTGGGGATTAGGCTTCAAAGTGAATATTGGAGAAATACCAAAGTTCATGTTGAACTTTAGTCCCCCCCGTGGGGGTATTAAGAGGTGGTATTAAGAAGTATTAATCACTTGGGAAGTGGTTAAGTCATGAAGGCTCTGCCCTTGTAAATGTGATTAATGCCCTTATAGAAGAGGCTACAGAGAGCTGCCTGGCCCCTCCATTCCTTCTGCTGTGTGAAGACACAGCATTTGTCACCTCCAAAGGACACAGGAATAAGGTGCCATCTTGGAAGCAGACAGTGAGCCCTTATCAAACACAAAATCTGCTGGCACCTTGATCTTGAACTTCCCAGCCTCCAGAATTGTGAGAAATAAATTTCTACGGTATTTTGTTATAGCAGCACCAACAGACTAAGACACTCTTCCTTTTAACTACCCACTTTCCCATCATCTTGTATTCATCCTTTAGGTCTCAGCCCTAATGTCTCCTCAGAATTTTTTTTACCCATCATAAATAAATCGGTTCACACTGTATTTAATTATATACTTGTTTAATGTCTATCTTCCTCACAGGACACTAAGCTCCATGAGGGCTGAGTTGTGTCTGTTTTGTTGTATATCTCAGTCTTAGGTGGATGGGTAGAAAATAGTAAGTGCTTGATACATTTTTGATGACCGAATGAATTATCAACCTTTGGTAGAGAAGGCATATTTGTTTCAAGAGCAGAGGCTTTGAAACCAGACAAAATCGGGATTCTAGTCCCAGCTCTTTTTGCTTGCTATGTGAGCCTTTAGGGTGTCACTTAATCTCTTTGAACCTCAGTTTTCTTGTTTGTTAAATGGAGGTTCCATTTATTCACAGTAATTCTCTTCCATAGAATTACTGTGATGGTTAAATAAGCTATCATCTATAAGAATACAATGCCTGAGACATAGTAGGAATTAATTAATGTTGGCTCCCTCCTCTTGAAGTGAAAGTAAAGCCAAAAAATTGTTTTCAGTGTCTTACAAGAGCATGTAGTTTGCTTGTTCATTTGTTTGAGACAGAGTTTTGCTCTTGTTGCCCAGGTTGGAGTGCAATGGTGTGATCTCAGCTCACTGCAACTGCTCACTGCAACCTCCACCTCCCAGGTTCAAGCAATTCTCCTGCCTCAGCCTCCTAAGTAGCTGGGATTACAGGCGCCCACCACCACACCCAGCTAAATTTTGTACTTTTAGTAGAGACAAGGTTTCACCATGTTGGCCAGGCTAGTCTCCTGACCTCAGGTGATCCACCTGCCTCGGCCTCCCAAAGTGCTGGGATTACAGGTGTGAGCCACCACACTGGGCCTCTTTTTTTTTTTTTTTTTTTTCTTTTTTTTGAGACAAGATCTCACTCTGTTGCCCAGGCTGGACTGCAATGGTGTGATTTGGCTAACTGCAACTTCCACCTCCTGGGTTTTAAGTGATCCTCCCACTCAGCCCCCGAGGTAGCTGGGACTACAGGCACACACCACAACACCTGGCTAATTTTTCTGTAGAGACAAGGTCTCACTATGTTGCCCAGGCTGGTCTTTTGAACTCCTGAGCTCAAGTGATCTGCCCACCTCAGCCTCCCAAAGTGCTGGGATCAGGCGTGAGCCATCGCACCTGGCCTGAGCCTATAGTATTTTAATGGTATCATTTATACTTGATATTCATACTTGGCATTCATACTTGCTTTATATGGTTGACAAAAGTTTTACATCCTAATAATGTGAGGTCTTGGAGGGCAGACTTTGTGATTATCAGTCAGTTATAGATAATTGTGGCTCTTGACTTCTGTTAAGTTGATCCCAACTTGTAATATAACAGTCAAGATACAAAGTATAATACCATTTTAACACATAGCAAACAGCTCTGCTCTTTAAAGCCTCTGTCCTTTTTCTTTATGGCTCATGGTATCCCCAAAGGTTAGTAAGGTACCGGAGCTCAGAAGAAGGAAGTGTAGCACTGGAGGTGAAACTGATTTTTCTGATCATGAAGCCCTCACTCATCAGGTGCTGCCCAAAAGAAAGGGAAGAACACTCTGCCCTCCACAGAATAACTCGGATTTCTAAAGTGGATCCTAACCTACAGCTCGCTCTTTTCTTTTCTCTTCTCTTCTCTTCTTTCTCTTTTTTTTTTTTGGACAGAGTCTCACTCTGTCACTCAGGCTGGAGTGCAGTGGTGCAATCTCGGCTCACTGCAACCTCCACCTCCGGGTTCAAGTGATTCTCCTGCCTAAGCCTCCAGAGTAGCAGGGACTACAGGCGTCAGCCACCACGCCCGGCTAATTTTTTGTATTTTTAGTAGAGACAGAGTTTCGCCATGTTGGCCAGGCTGACTTCAAACTCCTGACCTCAGGTGATCCACCCACCTCGGCCTCCCAAAGTGCTGGGATTACAGGTGTGAGCCACTGTGCCTGGCCACCTACAGCTTTCTTATATGAGATGGAGCTTGAATTAGTGCAGGTTTTATATATTACTATCAAGGATGGATGGTCTTTAGGAATGTTCAGAGAGAACTTTATAGTTCTAACTTACTATTTCAGTAGCATATTTTGAAAAGGGATGGTTTAGAAGTGACTTGGAGTTAGGGAAAGAGAAATACGATAAATTGGAAAGAAGAAACTTTTCAGAATATTCATCCAATAAACATTTAATGAGTACCCAATATTTACAAAGAAGAGGAGTTACATTAAAATTGAAAAAAAAAAAAAAAGGTGTAAGCCTAATCTATGCCAGCACTTTCACACATTCTGTCTTATTGAATCTCTCCAAAGAAATTGTTAACTCTATTTGATAGATAGGGAGACTCTTCTCAGAAGTTAAGTAATCGCCTAGGGATTAATAAATGGCAAAGCTAGGATTCTAAATCAGGTCCTCTTTCCAAGTTTACTTTCTGCTAAACTGCAGCTGGGGTTGTGCAATTGTACATAAATGTGTGGAGGAACCAAAAGACCCATGAGAATTCTTTTTTTTTTAAGATGGAGTCTTCCTCTGTCGCTCAGGCTGGAGTGCAGTGGGTTCAAGCGATTCTCATGCCTCAACCTCCTGAATAGCTGGGATTACAGGCGCATGCCACCACACCTGGCTAATTTTTGTATTTTTAGTAGAGATGGGTTTTCACCATGTTGACCAGGCTGGTCTCGAACTCCTGACCTCAAGTGATCCATCTGCCTTGGCCTCCCAAAGTGCTGGGATTATAGATGTGAGCCACCGCACCCAGCCAAGAGAATTCTTTTGACTGAATTGAGTTATAGGAGGAATATAGATAAATTTGGTGGTTCTACAGTCATTTGTTGGTACAACTCTGTTACAGCATTTATCCTGGTCTGTCTTGTATTATTATTACTTGTATGTGTCTCTCTCCACTACTAGATCGTGAGTTACTGTAGAGCAGAGGCCATGATTGTCTCATATGTCTTGGTAACTACTTCAAATTTATTTAAAATGACTGGGCATCCCTTTTTTAAAGTTGTCTTTATTTCATAGTACCTGACATGGTATCTTGTACATAGTAGATAGGTGCTTAAAATGGAGCCCAAGCCTCACAGGACTAGTTGTCCTTGAAGAAGGTGGTGTTTCAGCCCATGTCCCAGCTCTTCTCTTGCTGAACTTAGCAGGGATTTGGGACCTAGTAATTAAATAGCTGAGAAGCCAGTATTCATCCTGTCATCCTCTGAGAAGCATGTTGGTAGCAGAGTGCATTATATTAATACATGGTAGGAGGTACGAGCATAGCAATGAGACTTGGGATTTGGCTTAGGCTTGCCATAGCCCAAGAAATGCTGAGGGGAGATTCATGTTGGTAAGGTCGAAATAGCATTGGACTAGAAGTAAAAAAAAAGTCTGTGTTGTACTTGGCTGTGCTACTATCTTTGTGACTTTTGACAAGTAACTTATGCCCCTGAGCCTCAAATTCTTCATTTACATTATGGTGACAACAAGTTTCAAGGCCATTTGCCACCTATAATCTGAAGATGGGAAATTTACTTTACCCAAGCTCTAATGAATTCAGTTGAGATAGTTACTGAATTTTTTCCCCTGAGCTATTTGACTAATTATTCTTGGGACACCAGGCAGACTGCGTGATCATCTATGGCAGGTGTGATTGCACCCTAGGAGACACAGTGATGAAAACACCTGGTGCTAGAAATCTGAAACAATGCCTAAACAGTTGAGTGCATCCATTCTGGAGCATATTAACCTTTCCTTTTGGGAGAGGCCAAATTAAGGTCTATTATATTACCTCTAAAGACCATAATGTGACACTGGAGCTTCAGGATTGAAAAGTGAGATTGTCTTAATTTATAGCAGTGAGGTGAATTTGGCTCTAACTTCCAGATTTATTTATTTATTTATTCACTTATTTATTTATTTATTGACAGAATCTTGCTCTGTCACCCAGGCTGGAGTGCAGTAGCATGATCTTGGCTCACTGCAACCATGACCTCCTGTGTTCAAACGATTTTCGTGCCTCAGCTACCCAAGTAGCTGGGATTACAGGCATGTGCCGCCATGCCCAGCTAAATTTTGTATTTTTAGTAGAGATGGGGTTTCACCATGTTGGCCAGGCTGGTCTCGAACTCCTGGCCTCAAGTGATCCACCTGCCTCAGCCTCCCAAAGTGCTGGGATTATAGGTGTGAGCCACTGTGCCTGACCCAGATGCTACTTTTAAGTTTGTTGGATGATTATGTTCTTTAATAATGTTGTTACACAGTATGAGACTTTTCAGCCCTCTTTCTAGAACTGTGGAACAAAAGCCAAAGTGCCTTCAGTTGGTCCAGAAAGAAGCGATTTGCTTTTATTTCAATTAAAAATTGGGAGACTTATCTTTATTATGTGGCCCTCTTTTACAAAGAACAAATTGCTTTGTAAACTCAGGTAAGCACTTTTTATCTCTGATCTCTACGTTCCTCATTTGAAACATGGTAGAACTGGACCAGCTAATCTCTGAAGTCATTTCTTTGGCTCTACCTTGCCTTAATTTTAAGCATCTGTGTGATTGTACTGTTTCTTTGGGACTCTCTGGTTCCTAACCCAGCATAACATGTTCATTAGTATAAAACATGAGTTTAGAACTTTTGGTTCGTAACCCATTCTTCATGTTTTGTCTTGGAGAGTTAATTCAAGTGCTCCATCCGATGTCTCCATTAAAAAATGAGAATGAAAGTTTTTATCTATTTCCATCCTAACATTGAAGTGAGTAATGATGATATTTGGTTAAGTATAAGGCACTGGACTAGGGAGTCAAGGGACCGAGGTTCTATCCCTAACTTTTTTTCTTTTTTTTTTTTTTTTTTGAGATGAAGTATCGTTCTTGTTGCCCAGGCTGGAGTACAATGGCGCCATCTTGGCTCACTCAACCTCTGCTTCCCAGGTTCAAGTGATTTTTCTGTCTCAGCCTCCCGAGTAGCTGGGATTACAGACGCCCACCACCAGACCCAGCTAATTTTTGTATTTTTATTAGAGACAGGGTTTCACCATGTTGGCCAGGCTGGTCTCGAACTCCTGACCTCAGGTGATCCACCTGCCTCGCCCTTTCAAAGTGCTAGGATTACAGGCATGAGCCTCCGTGCCTGGCCTCCCTAACTCTCAAGTAGTTGTGTGCCTTCCTACCAGTCACTAATCTTTTTGTGCTTCAGTGTCTTAGACTGTAAATTATTGAAAAGCTACACTTTGTTGAATGTCCATTATGTGCTACATACCTATGTCAGTCACTTTATGTACATCATTTGTTATCTGCAGCAGCAAAGTGAGAACAAATGGGAACTTAGGCCCTGAAAGGCAAGTTGTGTGCAAGATCCTACAGGTGGGAAATGGCAGAGCTAGGATTAGAAGCCACATCTTTCACTCCAAAGCATGTTCACTTTCTATACCTATACTGTTATTTTTTTTTTTTAAAGCTTTTTTAGAGATGGGTCTTGCTATGTTATCCAGGCTGGATTCAACTCCTGGCCTCAGGCCACGCTCCAGCCTCAGCCTCTGGAGTAGCTAGGACTACAGGCACGTTGCACAGCACCCAGATACACCTATACTATTCCACTTCATTTGCAACATAAGGATCTACTGTATATGCTTTCTAGGATTGTTGCTAGGAATAGATAGGATATCAAATACCACATTGCTTTTGGCCATTAGAATTTTATAGTTAGAGGGGACCTATGAGCAGCTCTAGTGTAATTAAGACTCCGGATTCAAATCTCAGCTCTGCTACTTATTTAGCTTTGGACCTCCGATATGTTACTTAATCTCTTCATGCATCTTTTTGTCATCTATTGGATGGGAATAATAGTACCAACTCTGTACAGTGACATAAGGATTATGCAAAGCATTTTGAATATTATTTTGCATATAGTGAGTATTCAGTATATATTAGTAAATAGCAGTGCAGTCAGGATTGTTTTATTTACTCCCCTTGTTTTAGTTATGGTGAAGCTGAAACAGTGCTCAAGATGAAGCAGCTAATTGAAGACACTGAAAAGAATAAAGTTTATGTATGTAAGATTATATTGAATATTTTACAAATAATCATTTAGTGTTAAATTCAGCATATAGTGACAACATTACCCTCGATCCACAGGTTGGGGGATGGGGTAGGCTACAGGGGGAAGAGAGAGCTAGAGCCTAGGTTAATGATTTATCTGGCAAGGGTTCTGGGCCTTTCATCACTAACATTTATTGGTTGCCTATTACATAGACCCATCAAGCCTCTAACTTCATCTTAGACAACTCTGCAGAAGACTGAGGGGACAACTCTTTCTCTCTGATTAGATCTTTTCAGGTTCTGTCAGATGTGTATGTATTGGCTTTTTATCTAGTTGTCTTGATGAAACCCAAGACTCAGACTTGGAGTTAAATGTAACAGGCTGTATGCTCTGGTTTGATTTGAAGTTCAGGTATGAGGGGAGGAATGCCCTGTGTGATCCATCCCAAATTTATTAAAGTTCTCTGTATTGGGTTTGGAGGCCTCAGTCCTAGCTAATATAAAATATAACTTTATTACCTGGTTTTTTGCTTTTTGTTCCTTTTGTTCATGAAACTCCTCTGGTAATATCAATATGTTCCCTTTGTTCATGAAACTCTGTTGGTGATTTTACTAGGTATAGGATTTGGGTATTCCTCAGTATCATCACACCGTGTGATAACACTCTAATCTCCCAGTGTTTTTAATGTGTACACACATACCTGTCAGTCTAAATTTCAAAAAAAACCCAGAAAGAATGTTTGACAGAGCATCATTTTTAGGCAGTTTTATAGCATACAGAGGCAGTCAATATGAAGTACAGATTTGGGGAGACTAGGTTAAATGCTACAGAAGAAAGATTCTCATGTATGTGACATTGATTTTTTTCCCCCATCTTTATAGGTTGCTATGGTGACAGACTATGGGGCCTTTATCAAAATCCCAGGCTGTCGGAAGCAAGGTAGGAGTTTATAACTTGAAATTCAGCCCTCTGATTCTACTCTCTGCTAACACTCCACCACCTCCTAATTATAGGCTGTACATTTTTCAGACAGTAGTTTTTCATTCCTTTGTTTTCTTTTTAATGTATAGATATGAATACAAGATGACAGTTCATTTTTAGCGGGCAGAGAATTGTGGTCTCTGACTCAGGAGGAAGACTGGGGTATAGCTAACTGGGTTTACTTCTGAAACCAGCTCCTCCTTAGACTTCACCTGTGACCCTAGGCAAATCACTTGACTTCTTTAGACACAGGATTTGCGGGAGGGCAAGCTACCTCTGTCTGAGGCTGACAGTGTGAGTTTTCTAGTAGATAGCGCATGAAATGGGAATAGTATTGCAAGTGATACAAACATATATAATATATATAATGTTTTAAGTTTTTTTCATAAAGAGGCGTCTGTTGAACATTTTTTTGAGAATCCTGTTATAAATCTATAATCTTATTTATTTACCAAAACTATGTTAAGCCGAAAAGGCAGGTTCCACAGACCGGTTGTCTGCCCAGAGTGATTTGGCTAGGTAGTGGCATAGCCAAGACTAGAACCCAATCCTTCTGATTCCTAGCCCCTGGATCTTTCTACTATATCACACTGCTGGTGGATCCAAAGATTCAACTTGCTAACTTCTTATGCTAAAATAAGGTTTAATTAAAGATTTTAACATTTTAAAAAAAGGCAACCATAAGAATACTAGAAGAAAATCTAGAAGAATATTTCACTACATGAAAATTAAAAACTTCACTGCAAAAATCATTGTAATCAGAGTTAAGTTTGGAAAAAGAATTTGTAGTACATATGATAAAGAGCTAATACAAAGGGGGTATTAGGAAAAGGTGCCAAGGATATGAAAAACAACTCACAGGATAAAAAAATATTACTTGGTACTATAGTAAAAGATACTCATTCTCCGTATGACTAAAAAGTAACTTAGACTGGTAGATTCATATAATGGGATATTACTCAACAATACAAAGGAATGAGAATAAAATATTCATACATGCAACAACCTGGATCATCCCTCTCCAGAAATTATACTGAGTGAAAAAAGCTAATCTCAAAAGGTTATACACTTTATGATTCCATTTATATAACATTCTTATGTTTTACTTGAGATATGATTCACATACCACACATTTCACCTGCTTAAAGTGTACAATTCAGTGGTTTCTTTGGTATATTCAGAGTTTTGTGACCATCACCACGATCTACTTTGAGAACATTGTTGTCACCCCAAAAAGAAACCCTGTACCTATTAGCCATCACTCCAGATTCTCTCTATGCCCCCAGCTTTAGGCAATCATTATTCTACTTTGTCTCTGTATATTTGCTTATTTTGTACATTTCTTGTAAATGGAATAATGCAGTATATAGTCTTTTGTGACTGACTTCTTTCACTTAGCACGTTTTCAAGGTTCATCTGTTTTATAATATGTACTTAATTCTTTTTTATTGCCATTACAAATTTATTGCAGTTCCATCAGTTGATGGATATTTGGGTTGTTTCCACTTCTTTAGTATTATGAATAATGTTGCTATAAATATTTGTGTACAACTTTTTGTGTGGATATTTGCTTTCATTGGGTATATACCTGTGAGTGGAAATACTGGGTCATATGATAACTCCATGTTCAACTTTTTGAGAAACTGCCAAACTGTTTTTCCAAAGTGACCACGCCATTTTACATTCCTACCAGCAATGTATGAGGGTTCTATTTTCTTTACATCTTTGTTAACACTTGTTATTATCTTTCTGGGTATGGCCATCCTAATGGATGTGCACGGACATCTCATTGTGGTTTGAATTTCCCTAATAGCTAATGATGTTAAGTCTCTTTTCTTGGGTTTATTGGCCATTTGTATATCTTTTTTGGGGAAATGTCTATTCAAATCTGATATATTTTGGCTGTGTCCTCACCCAAATCTCATCTTGAATTGTAGTTCTCGTAATCCCCATGTGCTGTGGTAGGGACCAGGTGGAGATAATTGAATCATGGGGGTGGTTTGCCCCATCCTGTTCTCATCATAGTAACACAAGATCTGATGGTTTTATAAGGGGCTTCCCTTATAAAACCATCATTCGCTGGGCACTTATTCTCCTTCCTGCTGCCCTGTGAAGAAGGATGTGTTTGCTTCCCCTTTCCCCATGGTTGTTAAGTTTCTTGAGGCTTCCCCAGCCATGCTGAACTGTGAGTCAGTTAAATCTCTTTCCTTGGTAAATTACCCAGTCTCGTATGTCTTTATTAGCAGTGTAAGAACAGACTAATACAAAATCCTTTTCTTTTTTTGAGACAGAGTCTTGCTCTATTGCCCAGGCTAGAGTGCAATGGTGCAATCTTGGCTCACTGCAACCTCTGCCTCCTGAGTTCAAGTGATTTTCATGCCTCAGCTTCCTGAGTAGCTGGGATTACAGGCATGTGCCACCACACCCGGCTAATTTTTAGTAGAGGCAGGGTTTTGCCATGTTGGCCAGACTGGTCTTGAACTCCTGTCCTCCAGTAATCTGCCCTCCTCAGCCTCCCAGAGTGCTGGGATTAAAGGTGTGAGCCACCACACCTGCCTTTTCCCTTTTAAAAATAGGGTTATTTTTGTTTTTATTGTTGAGTTAGGTGTTTCTCATATATTCTGGATACTAGTCTCATATCAAATATATGATTTGCAAAGATTTTTATGTAACATACTTGAAATGACAAAGTTATTTAAATGGAGAACAAATTATTTAATGGTTCACAAGGATTAAGAAGGGGAAGGAAGTAGCAATATGAAGGATCCTTGTGGTGAGGGACCTGTTCTGTATCTTAACTGTGGCAGTGTATACATGAATCTACACATGTGGTAAAATTACGTGGAACTAAATACATACACATACAGAAACACAAATGAGTACAGGTAAAACTGGGGAAATCTGAACAAGAGCCAGTCGATTTTATCTGAGATGTTTTTCCCTACACCAACCAATTCTCCAGTTCTCTGATTCTCTAACATCAACTGGATGTCCCAACAATTCAATTCAATTCTGACACTAACTACCTGGGAATTAGTGTCAGATTCCACAAACTTAAGGGCTCAGTCCCACATGACTACCCTCACTTCAGATGCCAGCCCCAATATTGAATCCTCAGATTACCTACACTTTTGTCTCACTTGGCTACAATTTTTGGGATTCCCAGCACTTCCCCCCAAAGTTGGTAATTTGCTAGAGTGACTCACAGAACTCAGAAAAATGCTATAGTTACTATTAGTTTATTTTAAAGGATAAAAATGAGCAGTCAGATGAAGAAGTACACAGGGTGAGACCCAAAGTGTTCCGAGTACAAAGCCTCTGTCCCCATGGAGTTGGGGTGTGTCACCCTCTTGGCACATGGATGTGTTCACCAACTCTCCAAACTCCATTGCTTAGGGGTTTATATGGAGGATCTGTTATATAGACATGGTTGATTAAATTATTGGCCTTCAGTGATAGAGCTCAGTCTCCAGCCCCTCTCCCCTTCCCGGAAGTCAGAGGGTAGGGCTGAAATTTCTTTTTTTTTTTTTTGAGAGGGAATCTAGCTCTGTTGCCCAGGCTGGAGTACAGTGGTGCAATATCAGCTCACCGCAACCTCTGCCTTCCGGGTTCAAGCGTTTCTCCTGCCTCAGCCTCCTGAGTAGCTGGGACTACAGGTGTGCACCACCATGCCTGGCTAATTTTTGTATTTTTGGTAGAGACGGGGTTTCACTATGTTGGCTAGGATGGTCTCAAACTCCTTTCCTTGTGACCTGCCCGTCTTGGCCTCCCAAAGTGCTGGGATTACAGGTGTGAGCCACCATGCCCAGCCCAGGCTGAAATTTCTAACCCTATCTAATCACATCGTTGATTTCTCTGTTTCTGAAGCTATCTAGGGACCCACAGTAGTCACCTCATTAAGGGACTTAATGAATAACAAAAGACACTTCTATCACTCAGAATAGTCCAAGCGTTTTAGGAACTCTGCCAGGAACTAGGGACAAAGATCGAATATGTATTTCTTATACCACAGTATCAATGCCAGCATCCTGGTTGTGTTAGTGTACTATAGTTTTCCAAAATGTCACCATTGGAGAAAACTGGATAAAGTGTACATAAAACCTCTGTATTCTTTCTTTCTTTTTTTTTTTTGAGACGGAGTCTTGCTCTGTTGCCCAGGCTGGAGTGCAGTGGCACAATCTCGGCTTACTGCAAGCTCCACCTCCTGGGTTCACGCCATTCTCCTGTCTCAGCCTCCCAAGTAGCTGGGACTACAGGCACCCGCCACCATGCCTGGCTAATTTTTTGTATTTTTAGTAGAGTCAGGGTTTCACCGTGTTAGCCAGGATGGTCTCGATCTCCTGACCTCATGATCTGCCTGCCTCGGCCTCCCAAAGTGCTGGGATTCCAGGCGTGAGCCACCGAGCCCGGCCTAGACCTCTGTATTATTTCTTTTGAGTGCAGATGAATGTACAATTATCTCAAAAATTTTTTTTCACATAGGGCAGCAAAGTTATCAAATATTTTTAAAAAATGATTTAAAACACTCCTAAAATCTTTGAGATTAATAAATATTTTAAAAGATTGCTGTTAATACCCAGTGTTAGAAATGGATACTTTTACTCTCTATCAGGAGCATAATTTCACAGACTTTGGCAATGCCTATTAACATCTTTTATGTGCTTATTACCCTTTAATCCAGAAATTCTTTGAAGAATTTAGTGTAAGTAGAGAATTACATAAATTATGTGCATCTGTTTTGTAGACTATGCAGATGATTGAAAGAATGACTGTATTTCTAAGACATAATTATGCCTCATCTTACCAGAAAGATGCCATGGAAGGTTTTCATACAATTCCATCACACTGCTACCTGACTGATAACAGTTGTAAAACATCATTGATTATGAGAAGCACTCCAATTTCAGAGAGATTAAAGTGAGAGGAAAAGAAAGTGCATCTTAGAATCAATGAAACACAATAAATGTCAGTTTACTGACATGAGCCAGGAGTGGTGGCATGCACCTGTAATTCCAGCTACTTGGGAGGCTGAAGTAGTAAGATCACTTGAGGCCAAGAGTTCGGGGCCAGGCTGGGCAACATAGCAAGACCCCACTGATGGCGATGGAGGCCTGTCTAGAGTGGCTGCTGCAAAGATGCCAGCCATAGTGGGGGCTGTGCGGCCAGGGCTGCATGTTCTATGGAGCTGGCAGGAGCCCTGCCCCCTTATGAGTTAGTGGGGTGGGAGCCCACCCTCATGGGTGCAGCTGCCGCCACCCAGCCCTGGCTGCAGACCCAGGCATCCCTGCACTCTTGGAGGTCCGGGAAGACCCCTTTCCCCCATAGTCTCAGAAGTGCCTGCTCCCACTGCCTGGACTCTCCAAGCTCCCGGCTCCTGCTCTGATTTTGGAGCAAAGTCGAAGCTGAGCCTGGGCACTATTGCAACCTGGCTGGGTTTGCACACCTTGGGGTGGTGCTGCCATGCCAGCTTCCTACCATCTTGGCCCCCTCTGGACTTTGGGTGCCAGTGAGCACAGGAGGGAGGCCAAAGGGGTGCTGAGGGTGGCTCAGCATGGGCCTGCAGGTGCCCCTGGGCACAGAACAACTGGGCGTCATGGACAACATGATTGATGGTGACAAGAGGCAGACAGGCTCCTGGGTGGAAAGGGGCAGGTCTCGGTGAAGCCGCACCTTCAAGCCAGGGATGGCCTAAAGCATAGGGGCCAGGCTGTCAGTTCCAGGTGGAGTCTGTGGCCCAGAGTGAGAACTTAAGGTGCTTTTCCTGGGCCTGCCCATGGACCAGTCAGCACACACTTCTGAAGACTGTAAAAATCCTGGACTCAGCCAGACTTGGGCAGACACTGGGAGGACTTGCCTGTGGAAATGGGTTACCCACACTGGGTCTCCTCTCCGTCAAGGGCTGCAGATGTTGGGATGACCTGCCTGCAGATAAGAGCTGCCCATTCTGGGTCTCCTCTCTGCTAAGAGCTGCACTCAACAGGTTGACCTGCCTGTGGAAAGGAGCTACCTACTTTGGGTCTCCTGAGAGCTGTACCATCACTCAATAAAGCAACTCTTTGCCTTGCTTACCCTCCAGTTGTCTGCTTACCTCATTCTTCCTGGATGCAAGACAAGAACTTGGGACCCGTTGAATGGCGGGACTGAAAGAGCTGTAACAGATCCAAGGGCTCCCTGAGCCAGAGCTGTGACACCTCTTTGGGGCTTTATGGTTCCTGGCCTCTCCAAGCTTCTGGGCACCACCATGTTCCCCAGAGTCCACAGTGGAAGCCGCTTGTGGTATGCCTGGTCCATCCACAGCCTCACATGGAGCTGGTGCCTGTGCCAGCACCTGGAGCTGCCTGCCCAGCCACAGCAGCCAGTGTGCCTGGCTGTGCACAGTGGCTGGACCCCATGCTCACTCACTCATGCATCCCTCGCCACTCCGAGCCTGGCTCGCCCTTGGCAGGTGTGGGATCTGGGACGGCAGCATGAGCCAAGCGCAGCCCATTAGACCAAGTGGATGGAACAGGCCTAGTGGCCCCAAGCAAAGCTGAATGCAGCCTGCCAGGCCAAGTGGGCAGAACGAGCCCAGCAGGTCCAAGCAAAACTCGGGCAAAGGTGCTGCTGGCCACAGCAGCTTCTGGCTGGAAAAGTGACACCTGAAGAATCTTGTGACACCATCTTTACAAAAAGTTAGCTGGGTGTGGTGGCAGAAGGATCACTTGGGCCCAGAAGTTAGAGGCTGCAGTGAGCTATGATTGTGCCACCGCACCCCAGCCTGGGTAAGAGTAAGACCCTGTCCCTTAAAAAAAAAAAAAAAGAAAAAACTAACATGGAAAGAAGTCTAAGATAATAAAATTTAAAAACATGTTGCAGAAGACTTTGTATAGCATCTCTCTTCCCCTTTTAAAGCAAGTGTGCATATGCCTTTAATATCTTTTTTCTTTATATAGTTTAAATTACTGCCTATGTTTAGAAGAAAGGCTGGAGGAATATTCAACAGATTAACAATGGTCACTTCTGGGGAGTTGGTTTTGCTAAGGAAGGGATGTACATGGAAGAGGGACTTTGACTTCTGGAAATTTTTTTTAAGTTTTTTCTGTTAAAAAAAAAATCCAAGAGGTGATCTTTGGATAATAAATCCATGCCTCTAACCTTGTAGACTACTATTCTGCAAATTGCATCTTTGCTTAAGAAATGGTTTACCAGCAGTTTTCAAGCTGGCAGTCAGCAGTCTGTAATTAAGTTTCTCATTTTATGTTGTCTGGAATTTAATGACATCGAACTCTTCCCCACCCCACAGGACATTCATCTCTTTCTGTCTGAGCACAGGTTTTCTTGTTAGTATAGTTGCCATAGCTGCCAGTGCCTGAAAGTCCCATTCTAATTTGGGCATATGTGACACTTTGGGGACTGTGTGGGATTAAAGGCCTGTGACCTTCCAGCAGTCAATCTTCAACTCATTTTATCCATACCCTGTCAGGTGATGCCTCTGATTGTGGCTGACAGCTTACAAGTGAATCTGTCAGTCTGACAGCTGGGCTGAGGCAAGCCTCAGAGGGAGAGCTCAGGGAGCCAAATAATTAGGTGGAAACTCTGTGAGTTTTAATCCTGAGATCTATAGGTTTATTGGATAACTTGAGCAATTGACTTCCTTACAGTGTATCTTAGTTTCTCTGCCCATAAAGAGGGAAGATTATTAAGTCTCAGCCTGAAAGGACTGAGTTAGAAAATAACTCTGGTCTGATCAGGTCTTAACATCTTTGGCTCAGGTAGGTAGATTCTAATTTGAGCTGGTTTCCCAGATGTCATGTTCTCAGAATACTTCAGCCAACACTGAGTTGAAGACCCCTTCCTACTATTCAAACCTAAGCTAGATTTTCTTTCCCCTCTCATAGTATTATCCAATATAACTTTCTGTGATGATGAAAATATTCCTTATGTTCTCTGATTTGTTTCCTGACACCAACCAACTCCCCAATTCTCTGGACACCAACTGGGTGTCCAGTGACTCAGTTCAATTCTGACATTATTTATCTGGAGCTTGTGTTAGATCTCACAAATTTAAGGGACTCAGTCCCACAAAATTTCCCCCATTTCAGATGCCAGCTGCAAGTCCTGGGCCACTTGTACTTCTGACCAATCAGCTGTAAACAGGGGTTCCATGACCACCTACTTAGGTTTGAGACTTTGCCAGAATGGCTTACAGAAGTCAGGAAAACACTTTACAGTAGTCCCCACTCATCTGTGCCTTTACTTTCCACGGTTTCAGTTACCCTAGGTCAACTGAGGTTTGAAAATATTAAAGGGAAAATTCTAGAAACAATTCATAAGCTTTAAGTTGCAGTTGCAGTGTGATGAAATCTTGTGCTGTCTTGCCACATTCCATCTGGGACTTGAATCATCCCTTTGTCCATCCACACTGTGTACGCTACCCACCCATTAGTCCCTTAGTAGCCTTCTCAGTGATCAGATCGACTGCTGTTGCAGTGCTTGTGTTCCAAGTAACCCTTATTTTACTTAATGGCCCCAAAGTGTAATACTAATGCTGGCAATTTTGATATGCCAGAGAGAAGCCATAAAGGGCTTCCTTTAAGTCAAAAGGTAAAAGTTCTCAACTTAATAAGGGAAAAACAGGGACCCCTAGAGGGGGGACTGAGGAAGGGGGAGAATGGTTGAAAAATTTAACTTTGAGTACTATGCTGAGTACTACTGTAATGGGATGATTAATATCCCAAACCTCAGCATCATGCAGTGTACACAGATAACAAACTTGAACATATGTACCCCCGGAATCTAAAATAAAGGTTAAAAACAAATTAAGGAAAGAAAACGTAATCCTGTCCTGTGGTTGCTAAGATCTACCCTAAGAATGAATCTTCTGTGTGTGAAATTGTGAAGAAGGAAAAATTCATACTAGTTTTGCTGTCGAATTTCTAACTGCAAAAGTTACAGCAACAGTGTGTGATAACTGTTCTTACAGTATGTTGTTATGTTATTATTGTTAATCTATTTCTGTGCTTAATTTATAAATTAAGCTTCACAGCCAGGCATGGTGGCTCACACATGTAATTTCAGCACTTTGGGAGGCGAGGTAGGTGGATCGCTTGAGCTCAGGAGTTTGAGACCAGCCTGGGTAACATGGTGAAACCCCATCTCCACAGAAATACAAAAATTTACTGGTCATGGTGGTGTGTGCCTGTAGTCCAAGCTACTTGAGGGGGCTGAGGGGGTTGTTTGAGCCTGGGAGGCAGAGGTTGCAGTGAGCCGAGATCATGCCACTGCACTCCAGCCTGGGTGACAGAACAAGACCCTGTCTCAAAAATAAATAAATAAATAAATAAAAATTAAACTTTATCTTAGGTGTGTATGTATAGGAAAAACATAGTATGTATAGGATTCAGTACTATTCTTTGCCAGTTTATTATAAAGGATACAACTTAGGAACAGCCAAATAATTGAAGAGATACATGGGGTAGGGTATGGCTGGAGTGGAGTGGGATCGGGTAAGGTGTGGTGGGGAGCTTTCATGCTCTCTGGTATGCCACCCTCCCAGCACTAGGATGTGTTTGCCAACCCAGAAACTACAAATCTCATGTATGGGAGTTTTTATAGAGCTCAGTCTCTAGCTCCCAACCCTCCTCTTTCTTCCTAGAAGTAGGAGATTGGTGGGTGGGATTGAAAATTCCAGTCCTCTAAGCCAGCATGGTGGTGAGCACCTGTAGTTCCAGCTACTTGGGAGACTGAGACAGGGGGATCAGTTGAGCCGTCCAGGAGTTTGAGTCCAGCCTGGGCAATATGGCAAGATCCTGTCTCAAAATAGAAAAAGTTCCAGCCCTCTGATCGCTTGGTCTTTCTGGTGACTAGTCCATCCTGAGGCTATCTAGGGATCCCACTCTGTCACCTCATTAAAATAAACTCAGGTATAATCAAAAGGGGCTTACTATGAATAACAGAATACACTCCTATCACTTAATAAATCCCAGGAGTTTTAGAAGTTCTTTGACAGGAAAATGAACAAATGTATTTTTGTATTATACTACATCTGTGCTGATACATGACTTTTTCATTTTATTTATTTCAACTAATTGAAATTGAAACTTAAAACAGCTACATGACTAGTGACTATCTATTAGGCAGTGCAACCCTATACAATTATAAAGTTCTTTTTTTTTTCCTACTGTCTTCTGCCATCCAGCACTAAACTATGAAATTTTGAGAACAGATTTTTCAACATTATACTTTCAGAGTTTCTTGCTTATGATAGAAGCTCAAATATATTTAGCAGTGGATTCAGTTTAGCAAATAATTATTGAGTTCTATTTTCTGATTAGCTTTTTTGGTGGGAACACAGAGGTAAGAGAAACATAATCCCTTGCTGCCCTCAGATTGCTTACAGTCTAGTGATGTAAACAAATTAGAGTGGCGTGTAATAAAAATGAGTGTTGTTGCACTTAGTCCATGGAATTGTGGAACGGTTAGGCTGTTTGGATGAGTCAGGGCATAGTACAATACTTGAGGTATAGTGGGTGGGTGTTCAGTAAATCTCACTGAATGAATGAATGAATTATAGCCTCAGTTCTACCATTAACTGGCTTCTTGGCAAGTCTCCTAGTCTTTGAGCCTTAATTTCCTTATCCCTGAAATGGGAATGATGTGCATATTTTAGGGTCTTGAGTTTTTTTGACTGGGAGGACCATGTTTCATTAACGCTTGGATATATTTTTGCCTATAATATAGTTTAAGCGTTTAGTAAATGTTTTAGTGAATCCTTAATCCCAACAAGAATAAAGGGTGTTAAAACACTTTCACGAATGTGCTTATATTATTGTCATATACCATTGATTGGGAGATGAATTGACTTAAACTGTGGAGAGGGAATTAAGATTACCCAAGGGTAACAGTGACCTTTTGTTTTGACATTTTTTTGGCTGCAGCTGTCCTCTAATGATTTGAGATTTTCACTTCTTTCCTTTATTGCCAGTGGAAGTTGTGGAAGAAATTAATGTTGAACCTAACGCAGTTGGGGTAACGGTTTTAAGGGGACTATAATGGGCTCACTCTGTTACTCTCATGTGGTGATTGAGGAGCTAGCCCTTTCCAAGTTGTCAGGTTTCGTTTTTTTCCTGTTTTTACCAGCAGACACTCAGATGGGACTAATTCTGTTTAAGTGTCATGTTGGGTTTATTGAACTTGATGATGGACTTGATATGCCTCTTGGGCATTTATTTATGGCTTGATGTCAGAAATCCATGCACAGGTTGCTCTGAAGAGCTCCCTTTGGTGTAGCGTGGGAAGCAAAGCATTTTTGTTTGTTTGTTTCTGTTTGATTTTGGAGCATATGCTAGAACAGAATTAGATGTACTTTCCTCTATTTGTAGGTAAGTTCATCTTTCTCCTTTTTTTAATTGTAAGGATAATATAGATTAATAATAAAAATGGGGAAAATATTGGTATGATGTAGGAGACCTGATAAACTCATATTTGAATTGCACTTCTGTTATTTATCAGCCTTGTGATCCTGGATAATTTATATGATTTCTAGATGATTTTTTCCCATGAACCTTTGTCAAAGAGGATTAAATGAATGGATGGATGTAGTATATATAGTGAGGTACTCAGCACAAAGGGAAGGGGCCTCAAATATTTTATATGGTGTCCTCTACTGCATACACGTCATCTGACTTTTGGTGGTGTGTCCATGTTAACAATGAAGTCTCTCCCAAGAATTCAGACTGCTTTCTGAGAATGAATCTAGTCATGAATCCCTCCCATACAGAGTATAGTTTCAGCCATAGATAGAAATAAACCAGGTAATTGCCTATAAAACAGACTGAAGAGATGGGAGCACTCAAGATGCAAACAAGATAATCTGGGTGTAATTCCAGGGAAAAGGGATTGGAATGAAATTGTAATTTAGGAGACTGAAATCTAGTTGATTGTATCATAATATTCTTTTTTTTTTTTCTCTTGAGACGGAGTCTTGCTCTGTCGCCCTGGCTGGAGTGCATTTGCATGATTATCAGCTCACTGCAACCTCCATCTCCGGTTCAAGTGATTCCTGTGCCTCAGCCTCCCTAGTAGTTGGGACTACAGGCAAGTGCCACCATGCCTGGCTAATTTTTGTATTTTTTTTTTAGTAGAGACGGGGTTTCACCATGTTGGTCAGGCTGGTCTAGAACTCCTGACTTCAAGTGATCCGCCCACCTCAGCCTCCCAAAGTGCTGGGATTACAGGCGTGAGCCAGCGTGCCCGTCCTGTATCATAATATTCTACCGAGGGAGAGATTATGGGAACAAGCAGGGGGTTGTCAGCTTAAAACATGGTAAACATAGTAAAAGACAGGCTGAGTGCTTGAAGTTGGCAGAGTTTATCTTGCCTTATTTATGGCAGAAATGAATCTAATGATAGGAACTGTAGAGATGGATTTTTTTTTTTTCTTTGAGATGGAGTCTCGCTCTGTTGCCGGGCTGGAATGCAATGGCTCGATCTCGGGTCACTGCAACCTCTGCCTCCCAGGTTCAGGCAATTCTCCTGCCTTAGCCTCCCGAATAGCTGGGACTACAGGTGTGCGCCACCATGCCCAACTAATTTTTGTATTTTTAGTAGAGATGGGGTTTCACCATGTTGGGCAGGATGCTCTCGATCTCTTGACCTCCTGATCCGCCTGCCTCAGCCTCCCAAAGTGCTGGGATTACAAGCGTAAGCCACCATGCCCGGCCGAGATGGATTTTTTTATGAGGAAGTGATAGTACACTAAACCTTCATGGACAAAAAAAGTATCTCAAAATAGTTGTCTCCCTTTTGTTCTGATTCCATGTGGAAGCAATTTCTGATCACTAATGATCACTAATGTAATTGTTCAGGTATTTAATCTGAAGGCAGCAGCTAGTTTACCTAGATGAGGACTGAGAACCTTCCAGGTATAAGGAAAGTATATCTTGTATTGTAAATTAATAAACTGGTGTGTGTCTCTCTCTGAACCAGTCACTAAACTGACAGTCTGGTTAATGTATTTTAGTATATAAGCATCTGCATGCTAAAGACTCCTGCACTTATATCTACAGTTCATACCCTTCCCCTGAGCTACAGACTTGGATATGCAACTGCCTACCTGACATTTGCATTCAAGATCGAGGGCGAGGGCTAGACTGTGTCTTTTGTTTAATTCACTGCATAAGCTAAGGCCTTTTGGTAATAAGCCATTAATGTCTCAACTTTAATAATCCTGTACCCCGTTATAACTATTTTTATGTTTCCTTTTGGTCTATGTCCATATGAGGCATAGTTTCACATTATTTCATAGTGTATATATTATTTAATTATAAAAATATATAAATTTTTATGATTGGAAATAATGCATGCTCATCATAGAAAAATAGAGGGAAAAACACACAATGGAAAATGATCATTATGTGCTATTACTACCATACAGAGATAGGCACTGTTAACATTTTGGTGTATTTCTTTTTTTTTTGAGATGGAGTCTTGCTTTGTCACCAGGCTGGAGTGTAGTGGCATGATCCTGGGTTCAGGCAATTCTCCTGCCTTAGCTTCCCAAGTAGCTGAGACTACAGGTGCCTGCCACCACACCTGGCTAATTTTTGTATTTTTAGTAGAGATGGAGTTTCACCATGTTGGCCAGGCTGGTCTTGAACTCCTGACCTCAAGTGATCCACCCGGCTCAGCCTCCGAAGGTGCTGGGATCACAAGCATGAGCCACCGCGCTTGGCCAACATTTTGGTGTATTTCTGTATATTCACATATGTGTACACAATTTAATATGTTGAGATTAAGATTATACTGTATATTTAAAATGTGTAGTTTTTTGCACGTAATGGACCTTAAACATTTCCCCATTAAAAAAATATTTTCTATAAACATTTAATGGCTTTATTCTGTCATTCAGATGTACCACATAATCATTTTAAGTTGTTTCCAGTTTTTCACTGCTAACGCTTCTAGACTGGTCATGTTTATCCAGGAGAGAGCTACCTGTACCAAAAATAAAATAAAATAAGTACAATAAAATAATAAAATAGAATTTAAAAAAATGCCGGGTGCAGTGGCTCACACCTGTAATCCCAGCACTTTGGGAGGCCAGGGCGGGTGGATCAAGAGATCAGGAGTTCAAGACCAGCCTGGCCAACATAGTGAAACCCTGTCTCTACTAAAAATACAAAAAATTAGCCGGGCGTGGTGGCAGGCACCTGTAATCGCAGCTACTCGGGAGGCTGAGGCAGGAGAATCACTTGAACCCAGGAGGTGGAGGTTGCAGTGAGCAGAGATTGTGCCACTGCACTCCAGCCTGGGTGACAGAGTGAGACTCCATCTCAAAAAAATAAAAAATAAAATACATATGTGTGTGTGTATGTGTGTGTATATATATAGTTTACTCTCACTGACTCTTAGATATACTCTAAAGACCCATGGAAATTCAGTTGTAGCATAAAATAAATACATTTATAGCGTAAAAGAGCAAAATATTTCAAATTAACTTGCTTAAGCTACTTAAAGACAAAAAAAGTTCATTTGAAATCTTTTGTCATTTTTTCACTGGTTATATGGAATCAGGTGAGAGAAGGACAAGTTTTGATGCCATTATTTCTATGTGGTACTCCAGTAAATAGACTTTCTGTTTTAGGGAAGAAGAATAGTGTTCCCTCAAGTATATTAGGTTCAACATTAATTTCCATCATAACTTTCATTAGCAATAGAGGAAAGAGATGAATTTTAACCAGTAGAGGACAGTTGCAGCCAAAAACAAGTCAAGATGAAGGGCTTCCCCTTTATGGGATCTGAATTTCCTCTTCAAACTTTAAAATTAGGCTAGTTGGCTCATTACATCATAGGGGAAAAAAATAAACCCCATTTGCATGAATTTCACCAAATTTGGAGATTGTGTGTTGATCTAAAATTAAAAACATAATGTATATAAAACATTTTAGAGGCCCCAGAGTTGTTTAGATAGGTAGGCTATCAACCTCCAGAATCAGCTTATGTAGGTATGTGGGATGTAGTGATGATGGATAGAGAAAGTAGTGGCTCCCAGTAGGAGCTCTAAACAGAAAGGGCAGGTATTTTGAGTTTCAGGCATCTGCAGGCATCCATGTGCATCTCTCTCTCTCTCTCTCTCTCTCTCTCTCTCTCTGTGTGTGTGTGTGTGTGTGTGTGTGTGTGTGTGTGTGTGTGTGTGTGTGTGAAAGAGAGAGTGGGAGAATGAGAATAGAGGTGGATAAATTTCCCAAGCAACTTCAGGGAGGGCAGTTATTTTAGACAGGATGACTGATTTTTATTCATTCAGAGTAATTATTTATGTTCATTTTCTCCAGAATTGAAGTAATCCTCTATTATTATTTATTATCGAAAATAAATGAAAAGGTTAACTTGTAATACTATAACCACTGTTGGCATTTCAAGTCATTTCTTTCTAATTTTTAAAATGTTTTTAAAGCATTTGTAATCATACTGTATAATTTTGCATTATGCTTTTGTTATTTAGTATGGGAAAATGCTAGATACCTACAGTACTTGATACATAATAGGCACTCAATAACTATTTACTAAAGAAGGAATTATTGACTTGTTTAAAAATCTTTTGAATGGACCATCAAGCGACTATACCATAATTGACCTAATTGTTATCCTTTGTTGTTTCTAAATTTTCCTGTCTTAAAAATACATTGAATATTTTGATGTAAATCACTTTTCCTGAAGCATATAGTTTTTCCTATGTATAAAGTTATTTTCTTAGGACAGGTTCCCAGAAGCAATTAGGGGTCAAATAAAGTATTAGAACTCTTGGTTGCAAGGGGCAGAAACTTAATTGGGAAACATTTTGGCCAATCTTGTCAGGGGCTTCCAGGATAACTCTCAGTTATGTTTCTCAGTTATGTTTCTGCCCCTTGTCTCTTTCCTCTATTGCTGGGACTTCAGCCTTTGCTGTATTGGGTGCTCAGTTTATACTCCCAGGGCTTTGCTTCTTGTTTACCAGTGCTCTTCTTTGCTTTTCTCTGGCAGACTCTTGCCATCTGGTGGTAAAGATTGGCTTTGGCAATTTTTTGTAGTTTACAATCCTGATTTGTATATGTAAAATGTAATAAGCAAGGTGGTTCTCCCAAGGAAAGGATTTTGGACAGACAGGAAAAGGATGTTTGCTATAAGTGTTTTATTAAATGTTATTAAAATATTATTTGATTTATTTTTGAGACAAAGTCTCGCTCTGTCACCTAGGCTGGAGTGCAGTGGTGCCATCACAGCTTACTGTAGCCTTGACTTCCTGGGCTCAAGCCATCCTCCCACCTCAGCCTCCTGAGTATCTAGGACTACAAGCATGCACCACCACATCCTATTAATTTTTCTGTAATTTTTCTAGAGATGGGGTCTCACTGTATTGCCCAGGCTAGTCTTGAATACCTGGGCTCAAGCAGTCCTCCCAAAGTGCTGGGATTACAGGCCTGAGCTTCCATGCCCAGCAATTATTTCATTTTAAATTATTTTTATTAAATGTGTAATAGTTTATTAGTATTTTATCATTCTTGATAGCCATTGATAGTGACTTCCAAAAGTTTATTCTAGCCTTAGTAATAGTTCTTATTTTACTATCCTTTCACCACATTGAATATTATTTTCTAAATACTTTGCTAATTTAATGGATTAAAAATAGTAGCTTGTTTATATTTCCTTTTTTAACTTAACGTCTATCATAAATATTTTTTGTAATTAATTTAAATGGCTGTTTACTTTTTTATTCCACAGATTTACTATGTTTGCCATGCTGTTTTCCAGTTATTGTTCATTAGGGTTGTTTTATGGTTCTTATATATTTTTTAACCTCTGTAGGTAATAATACCGCAAGTTATTTATGTATTTATGTATGTATGTATGTATTTATTTATTTGTGAGATGGGGGTCTTGCTCTGTCACCCAGGCTGGAGTGCAGTGGCGCAATCTCAGCTCACTCCAACCTCTGCCTCCTGGGCTCAAGCAGTGCTCCCACCTCAGCCTCTTGAGTAGCTGGGATCACAGGTTTGCACCACCACGCCCAGGTAATTTTTGTATTTTTGGTAGAGATGGGGTTTTATCATGTTGCCCAGGCTAGACTGCAAGTTATTTCAGCTCTGTAAGTTTTTTGGCTCTTGTGAGTTTTTCCTTTGAAAAAATTCTATTGATGATATTCTTGCATCAAAGATAAACATCTTTATCTTTTTGCTTTCAAATAATTTTACCAACTTATATTTCTATCAGTATTGTGTAACTACAGATATTTTATCACATCTTTACTAATATGGAGCATTACATTTTTTAAATTTTTTGTTTTTTATTTTTAAAATAAGATTTACAATATTTAAAAAATAGAGATGGGGTCTCGTTATGTTGACCAGGCTGGTCTCAAACTCCTTGCCTCAAGGTATTCTCCCATCTTGGCCTTGCAAAGTGTTGGGATTACAGGCGTGAGCCACTGTGCCTGGCCTATTTTATTTACTTATTTTTTTGAACCAAGGTCTCACTCTGTCACCTGGGCTGGAGTGCAGTGGTGCAGTTGCAGCTCACTGCAGTTTCAGCCTCCTGGGCTCATGCGATCCTCCCATCTCAGCCTCCTAAGTAGCTAGAGCTACAGACACGTGCCACCATGCCTGGCCAGGTTTTTTTTTTTTTGTATTTTTTGTAGAGACTGGGTTTTGGCATGTTTCCCAGGCTGGTCTTGAACTCCTGAGCTCAGGCAATCTGCCCGCCTCAGCCTTCCAAAGTTCTGGGATTACAGGCATGAGCCACTGTGCCCGGCCACTTTGAGCATTATTTTAAGAATGTTTGTTGGTTGATTGGGTATAAAAAGCAGTCTCAATTTGCAGTTTTAAGTTTCACGCTTTTCAGTAAAAATTTTCATTTTTCCCTTGCATTCCCCAACTCTTACCTTCTTATCCAGTTTAGAGTATAAATACCAGATATGCCCTCTGCTTTACGTTATTTCTTCTTCTTGTGCCCAGGTCTGGTCCATCGAACTCATATGTCATCCTGTCGGGTGGATAAGCCCTCTGAGATAGTAGATGTTGGAGATAAAGTGTGGGTGAAGCTTATTGGCCGAGAGGTAAAGTTCTGTGCGGCTCCCTTGTGGTTAGAAAGGATTAGGAAGAGCTGGGATTTTTGATATTTTATGATAGTGAGTGTGTAAATTTTGTTAATTGTGCTGATAATCTTATTTTTAAATCCTGCCATTAGAATCTATTCTGAATTCAAACCTTCTGGTAGACTGTCCTGCAAACTCAGAAGGAATGATATGAGCTATAAAAGTGTGGTGCAATAAGTGCACGTTTGTAAAACTTCCCTCCCTGAAGTTTACCCATAGGGTGGGCCGGAGGAGAGAAAAAAGAACCAAAAAGAGAGAAGGAAAGTTGACCTATGGGACAAGTGTTTATCACAGACTTCAAAGAATACCTGCCAGATACACTTCAGTTTGGGACAAAACAAAAAGAACACAGATAGTTTACAGTCATTTTCCCTAATATCTGGCACCATGCAATGTGCAGAAAGTGAAAAAAATCTGAAGGACCCTGTTACTCACTTGAGGGTATGAGGGCTGTGGGTGTGGGCCGACCACAGGAGAAATAAGAGCATACACTGAGTCCTGTTCTACCAGAGACAGCACAGGAGATAGGCATGAAAGAACTATTATTCAACAATATTTAAGTGCTTAATATGTGCTAGGTTTGGGAGATATAAGAGCGAACCAGACAAAAATGATCCCAGCTATTATGGAGTTAATATAGAATATAAGTAGAGACAATTTTTCTTTCTTTTTTGAGACAGGGTCTCTCTTTGTCACCCAGGCTGGAGTACAGTGGTGCCATCACGGCTCACTGCAACCTCAGCCTCCTGGGCTCAACTGATCTTGCCACCTCAGCCTCCTGAGTATCTGGGACTACAGGCACGCACCACTAAACCTGGCCTTTTTTTTTTTTTTTTTTTTAATTTTTTTGTCAAGATGGGGTCTCACTGTGTTACTACCCAGGCTGGTTCAAACTCCTGGGCTCAAGTGATCCTCCTGCCTTTGCCTCCCCAAGTGCTGGAATTACAGGCATGAATTTCCATGCCTGACCAAGACAAATATACATAAAATAATTGCAAGTTATATTAAGTGCTATATTGGGTTCAAACACTATTGGAAGAAGATTTCTAGTTGTCAGGAAAGGACTCTTTGAGGAGATAGAATATGAGCTGAGACCTTAAAGAAAAGGAACTAGTCATGGAAGACTTGGGATAGGAACATTCCAGGCAGAGAGAATAACTGATGCAAAGACCCTGAAGTGAAGAAGTGCTTCATGTGCTGCGGGAAGCAAAAGAAGACCAATGTGACAAATGTCTTCATGCTTAAAGAAGCTCTAGACCAAGTCCAGAAGGAGATCTAGTCTCTTGAAGTATTCAAAAACCTATTCTGGACTTAGGGATATCTCAACAAATCACTATGCTGAACTTACCTGGAAGAAAAACTTTTATTTTCTGCCTGGTTACTTCCACAAGCCATGGATTTTTTGAGCTACCATTTTTGTCTTTCCCTCAGAGGGACAAGAATGAGATTAAGACTGTTTCCTAAAATTCTTCTGCCACAGGGTCTACCTGTTATGCTTATTTGTATCTGCAATGTTCCTAGCACAGTACCTGGTCCATTAAAGAAGCTCAATGTTATGATGAAAACGTTGACTCTTAATTTTAGACTGGCCATCTAAATGATGTATTTAAAGTTTTTGGTGACTTTTTTTGGTCTCTTTCAGATGAAAAATGATAGAATAAAAGTATCCCTCTCCATGAAGGTTGTCAATCAAGGGACTGGGAAAGACCTTGATCCCAACAATGTTATCATTGAGTAAGTAAAAGGTTTGGAAAGGTGAAAATTCTTCTGCCTCCCAAATCATAAAATGGTTTAGTAAATCAGACTGAACTGGTAACTCTACCATTTATGGACTTTGTGATATTGATAAGTTACGTAACCTTTGCAATCTTTGGTTTTTAGAAATGTAAAATGAAGTTAGACCAGGCGTGGTGGCTCACGCCTGTAATCCCAACACTTTGGGAAGCCGAGGTGGGCGGATCACCTAAGAGGTCAGGAGTTTGAGACCAGCCTGGCCAACATGGCGAAACCCCGTCTCTACTAAAAATACAAAACTAGAAATTTGCTGGATGTGGTAGTGCGTGCCTCTAGTCCCAGCTACTCGGGAGACTGAGTCATGCACTAGAGTCTCTTGAACCCAGGAGGCAGAGGTTGCAGTGAGCTGAGATCATGCCACTGCACTCCAGCCTGGATGACAGAGTGAGACTCGGTCTCAAAAAATAAAATAAAGTAATAAAATAAAAATAGTTAACACCTTGCTGCATAGAGTTCTAAGATGAAACGTTAACGTACCAAGCTCCTGGCATTGGAGTGCTCCATCAATGGTTTTGTTTCCTTTCCCTTAATCTCTTTCTGTTTCTGCCCTTTAACGAGTTAGCTAATAAGCATTCATGAAGAACTATTCTTTACCTCTCTCCCAGTGATTTCTGCAGGTGGGGTTACGTGGGTCTCTTCCACATAGAGACCACGTGGAAGGGTAGAGTAATCCAGGAACAACTCCAGCGGGGTTTAGACTCCCACATCTTGGGATACACTGTGCTCTGAAAACAACATCTTACTTTCGTTGGCTCTTCTGACCTTTCATTTAGGAATGGGAAATTATCTATGTAGGACAATGTCTGGCAATACAAGGAATGTTCTGTCTGTCTCAAGTCTTTCTTGGATTTCTTTTTTTTTTTTTTTTTTTTTTTTGAGATGGGGTCGCCCAGGTTGGAGTGCAGTGCCATAATCACGGCTTACTGCAGTCTTGACCTCCCAAGCCCAAGCTATCCTCCCACCTCAGCCTACCGAGTAGCTGGGACTACAGGCATGCGCCACCACACCTAATTTTTATTTTGTAGAGACAGGGTCTCCCTATGTTGCCCAGGTTGTTCTTGGACACCTAGGCTCAAGCGATCCTCCCACCTTGGTCTCCTAAGTGCTGGGATTACAATTGTTAGCCACCATGCCCAGGCTTCTTTCTTAAATTTCTCATCGGAGGTTCTTGGATCCCTAAAGTCTCTTAAAGGGGGATCTTGGAGGGTTTTTTTTTTTTTTTTTTTTGAGACAAGTTTCACTCTTGTTGCCCAGGCCGGAGTGCAATGGCACAATCTCGGCTCACCGCAACCTCCGCCTCCCAGGTTCAAGTGATTCTCCTGCCTCAGCCTCCACAGTAGCTGGGATTACAGGCATGTGCCACCATGCCCGGCTAATTTTGTATTTTTAGTAGAGATGGGGTTTCTCTATGTTGGTCGGGCTGGTCTTGAACTCCCGACCTCAGGTGATCTGCCCGTCTCGGCCTCCCAAAGTGCTGGGATTACAGGCGCGAGCCACCGCGCCCGGCCCTTGGAGGGTTTATTAACTGTTTTTAGTGTTTTAGAAAGCCATCCAAAATTCTATGTGTGTCCTCAGGTTAACCATGCTGTTATTTTGTTGCTTTTGATGATAAAATATCACATTGTTTGTCTTATGTTAATTAGGTACGCTCAATGACAATTATGTCATTGATGAATTTAAAAGACAAGAAAAATGATAGAATGTTATTTGAGTGGGATCTTATTGGTGAAAAGTTTGGAAAGCCTTATGTTTATAGTTCTGAGCAAAATCACTTTGAATTTGAAGGAATTTTATCTGGAAGTAAGGGAAATGTTATTGAATACATACTGCAGTGCCAGGCATTTTATGTACATTCTTGGGTACATAACAACCTGCAAAGTGGATGTTATCTCCATTTTACCTTATATTCCTACTTTATAGCTTGGTGCCTGGTGATAAGTAACTTACCTGTGGTTACATAGAAAATTATCAGGGACTCAAAACTCAGTCTCTCTGACCTTAAAGCTAATGCCCTTTTCACCACAAAATGCTTCTCACTCTTGCATGTGACTTACAGAACTTTTCATATTTCTGTGGTTTAGTCTCTAAATATTAACATGTTTGTAAGGCTGATTATTGACAAAATACTGTCAGTAATAGTAGGAATCTTTTATAACTCAGAGTGCAGAAGTGTTTAAATCTGGCTGTGGTTCAAGTTAGTGTTGGGAAAAGGAAAAAGAAAAAATTCTGATGATTGCATTGTAATAAATAGCTTCTGCTCCAAAAAATCCAATGCTATATGGACTCATTAAAAAATAGTGAAATTTCCCAAAGCCACCCTTACAGTGATAAAATATAAAACATGTAAGATAAAAGAGCTAACCCTGTTTCTCAGAAAATGGGTAGGGAAGGGAAAGGGCTCCCTGGTTTTGGGCTGTCTCTGTGTAGAACTATTTTTAGTAATAATCAAGTGGCTGAAACAGTAACTTTTGTTGTAAATTATGTCTATAGCTGCATCCAGGAAGGAAGCATGGCATAATGGAATGATTAGAGGATTTAGAGCTAGACTTGAATCAGAAAGAGTACTGGTTCTGCTCCAAACTAATATATGACTTTGAGCAGATTAATTAGTCTATCTGAATCTTAGCTTCTTTACTATAAAAGGAGACAGTAACATATATCTAAGGAATGCTTGAGTGATTTAAGTAAAATCTTATTTGTAAGGAGCCAGCTTCATGTCTAGTCTATGGTAGACATACATGTAGCTACTTGTAGTTATTGTTTTAAATGCCGCTTTGTTTTATCCTCTAATATCTGAGATTATAGCACCTTTTCTTTTTTCCTCATACTATGGTGTACGGAACCACACCTTTGCTTTTGAAAGAGTGTGTGTGTAAGACCCACAAAAACAGAGACCATGACTTGTCTGCCATTGTGCCTGATGTATAGCATCCATAGTATTCATTTAGTTTTTTTGAGATGGAGTCTCACTCTGTTACCCAGGCTGGAGTGTAGTGGTACAATCGTGGCTCACTGCAACTCTGCCTCCTGGGTTCAAGCAATTCTCATTCCTCAGCCTCCCGAGTAGCTGGGATTACAGGCATAGTCCACCATGCCTGGCTAATTTTTGTATTTTTAGTAGAGACGGGGTTTCACCATGTTGACCAGGCAGGTGTCAAACTCCTGACCTCAAGTGATCCCCCGCCTCAGCCTCCCAAAGTGCTGGGATTACAGGCATGAGCCACTACCGCTCAGCCCTAGTTAGTACTTTCATTTACTCATTTGTTCAACAAATATAAGGCAACTTGTAATAAATACTAAAAGAGTAGTTTAAAGCAGTTGTCCCCGACCTTTTTGTCACCAAGGACTACTTTTGTGGAAGACCAATTTTTCCATGGATAGGGGGCTGGAATGGTTTTGGGATGAAACCGTTCCACCTTAGATCATCAGGCATTAAATTCTCATAGGGGGTGCGCAACCTAGATCCCTCACATGTGCAGGTCACAATAGGGTTTGCACTCCTATGAGAATCTAATGCTGCTGCTGATCTGATAGGAGGCGGAGCTCAGGTGGTAATGCTCCTTCACCTGCTGCTCACCTCCTGCTATGCAGCTTGGTTCCTAACAGGCCATGGACCAGTAGCAGTCTGTGGCCTGGGGGTTAGGGACTCCCTGTTTAAAGAAAGGGTTCTAGGAATTCACTTGAGGAGGAATAGTTTACTTCAGGCCTTGATGGTCAGAGAATAGGTGGTATTTGAGTTAGGTTTTGAAGAACAGATAAGATCTTGTCAGACAGCAGGGGAAGGAATGGTATTTCAGGCAAAAGAAATGGTTTGAGGAAAGGAATGAGGCAGAAAAGCACATAGTACATTTGGGAACCTTGTTTAAGGAAAGAAGAGGATATGGTCAAGTACTAGAATGGAAGGCTTGAAAGATAATTTAGGGTCAGATTGTGGAGAGCCATGAATATCAGTTAAAGAATATGAATTTTTATTTATTTATTTTTTGAGATGGACTCTTGCTCTGTTACCCAGGCTGGAGTACAGTGGCATGATCTCTGCCTCCCAGGTTCAAGCAATTCTCCTGCCTCAGCCTCCTGAGTAGCTGGGATTACAGGTGCCCACCACTGCGCCCGGCTAATTTTTGTATTTTTAGTAGAGACGGGGTTTCACCATGTTGGCCAGGCTGGTCTTGAACTCCTGGCCTCAAGTAATCCGCCTGCCTTGGCCTCCCAAAGTGCTGGGATTACAGGCGTGAGCCATCACACCCAGCCCATGAATTTTTTTAAAAAAGCCTTTGGACAGAGAGGCTTCTCGTCAGATTAACCTCCCCAGGAATCCCATTGTCTGGCCTTGCCCTGTTATGCTCAGTATTCTCATCCTGTCTTCAGCCATCCATAGTTTGTTAGCCACCTTTCATTTTCCATAAAAATCTAACTCTTATATTCATCCCCTCAGGTCCCAAAGTGTTAATGAGATAATCTAATAAGTGACTCTGTAAATGGAAAGGGGCTAAAAGCAGTTTCCAATTAGGCATAGCCTGCAAAGTACAGTCTTTTTCTTTTTTATTATGATCAAGATCAGAATTGAGTGTAGTATATAATTTTTTTTTTTTTTTTTTGAGACAGGGTCTTTGTCTCCCAGGCTGGAGTGTAGTGATCATAGCTCACTACAACCTCAAATTCCTAGGCTCAAGTGATCCTCCTCCTTCAGCCTCCCAAGTAGCCAAGACTATAGGTCCATGCCAGCATGCCCCACTAATTTTTTTTTTTTTTTTTTTTTTTTTGAGACAAGAGTTTCACTCTTGTTGCCCAGGCTGGAGGCAGTGGCACGATCTCGGCTCACTGCAACCTCCACCTCCTGGGTTCAAGCAATTCTCCTGCCTCAGCCTCCCGAGTAGCTGGGATTACAGGCATGTACCACTATGCTCGGCTAATTTTTGTTTTTTTAGTAGAGACGGGGTTTCTCCATGTTGGTCAGGTTGGTCTTGAACTCCTAACTTCGGGTGATCTTCCTGTCTCGGCCTCCCAAAGTGCTAGGATTACAGATGTGAGCCACCATGCCTGGCCTAATTTTTAAATTTTTTGTAGAGATGACGTCTTGCTGTGTTGCCCAGGCTGATCTTGAACTCCTGGTCTCAAGTGATACTCCCACCTTGGCCTTCCAAAGTGCTGAGAGATTATAGGTGTGAGCCACAACTGCTGGTCCATAGGGTAGTCTTTAGAAAAAGCACATATGACTTAACTCTGTTAAAATTTTTCATTTGTATGTCTCCCTCCATTGCCAGACTATTAGTTCTTTCCAGAAAAGAATCATGTTTTGTTCGTTTTGGTATACATAATTATTACTATCACTAGTATTAGCACTGGCGTTATCCACTTACTAGCTGTACTGAAAAAATGAGATTAATCTCAGAATCTGTGCTGGGATGGATTGGAGGAAGAAAACTGGAGGCAGGGAGACCAGTGAGGGAGTTATTACTCTAGATGAAACATGATGGGAGCCTAAACTAGAATGATGGCAATGAGGACAAAAAGAGAGACGTGGGTGACTGACACATTTGTTGAATTGAGTGTTAAGTGGGAAGTATGATTTGGTTTGTAGTCTGGTAGAAGCCACAGAGTATTGGAATTGATTGTCATGGGGGTTGCTTAAGCTGCAACTCACAGCCACTTGAAACTCATCTCTACAAATAGATAGGTGAAAGCAAAAACCATGTTTGTGAGTTCCTTGAGTTATGTCCTCAAGTTTCTGCCTTTGTTATGGGTTTTTTTTTGTTGTTTGTTTGTTTTGGAGACAGGGTCTTGCTCTGTCACCCAGGCTGGAGTACAGTGGTGCAGTCCGCTCACTGCAACCTCAATCTTGCAGGCTTAAGTGATCCTCCTGCCTCAGCCTCTCGAGTTGCTGGGACTACAAACACAAGCCACCATGCCTGGCTATTTTTTTTTTTTTTTTAAGTAAAAGGAATCTGTACTGTTAGAAATTAGAATTGTGATTACCCTTGGGGGAGGCAGGTAACTAGAAGGGAGCATGAGATGGGCTTCTGAGATGCTGGCAATGTTCTGTTTGTTTGTTTGTTTGTTTGTTTTGAGACAGAGTCTCGCTCTGTCGCCCAGGCTGGAGTGCAGTGGCGCAATCTCGGCTCACTGCAAGCTCTGCTTCCCAGGTTCATGCCATTCTCCTGCCTCAGCCTCCCAAGTTGCTGGGACTACAGGCGCCCGCCACCTCGCCCGGCTAATTTTTTGTATTTTTAGTAGAGACAGGGTTTCACCTTGTTAGCCAGGATGGTCTCGATCTCCTGACCTTATGATCCACCCGCCTTGGCCTCCCAAAGTGCTGGGATTACAGGCATAAGCCACCACACCCAGCCTTAATGTTCTGTTTTTTGATCTGAGTACTGGTTACTTTGGTATGTTCAAATTATGAAAAATCAAGTGAGCTGTATACTTATGACAGACATTTATATATATATATATAATATAATATATATATATATATTAGTTCTCACACTGCTATAAGAACTACCTGAGACTGGGTAATTTATAAAGAAAAGAGGTTTAATTGACTTATAGTTCCACTGCCTGTATAGGAGGCATGGCTGGGGAGGCCTCAGGAAACTTACAGTCATGGCTGAAGGGTGAAGGGGAAGCAAGCATATCTTCATATGGCGGCAGGAGAGAAAGAGAGAGAGAGCAAAGGGGAAAGTGCCACACACTTTTAAACCATCAGATCTCATGAGAACTCCCTCACTATCACATGGGGGAAATCCGACCCCATTATCCAATCACCTCCCACAAGGTCCCTCCCCCAACACTGGGAATTACAATGTAACATGAGATTTTTGTGTGTGGGGGAACACAGAGCCAAATCACATCAACATATATATTATATTTTGGTAAGAAGTCTAAAAATGTTTTAAAAGGCTATGAGAAATGCAACAAAGAGATTAATTCTGTCTGAGGGGCTCAGAGGAAAAGACTTGATAGAAGGAGAGCTAGTAACTGAACTGAGCCATGAAATGTCTAGGTATAGTGAAGTGGTGAGGTGAGAGTCAAGTGGGGAAACAGAGCATTTCAGAGAGGGGGAGAACTGCCTGAGCAAAAGCACTGAGCCACATGGATAAGAGAAAATAGACTTCTTTGGCCAGAGCATATTGTGTGAGTAAAGATGAGGCTGGAAAAGTAGTTTAGAGACAAACTGTGAAAGACCTTGAATGCCAAGGTAAAGAATTTGGAGCTGATTTTCTAGAAAGCCTTTGAAGGTCTTTTAAACCTATGAGTGACCTGGTAAGGGTTGTAGGGTGTTTAGCATGTTGAGTAATTATATATTTTCATCCTCTGTGCATTAGTGAGATGAAGGTTAGTCTCATTCGTAATTGTTAATTTAGGGCTATTTCACATCATTGCATTTACTGCCTGTCTCGTTCTGTCAAAAACTTTCTTTCTTTCTCCCCTTTCCCTGCCAAAAACAAAAAACCAACATACAACCTTACCTTGTAGTATCTCTGGCCATATCTCTTAAGGGGGCCGGCAGTCGGTATCTTTTTCATTATAGGCAAGAAGAGAGGCGGAGGCGATCCTTCCAGGATTACACTGGGCAGAAGATCACCCTTGAGGCTGTCTTGAACACTACCTGCAAGAAGTGTGGCTGTAAAGGTAGGGTGAAGCCTCTGCCCTTTCCACGTTTCTCTCCTTGTGGATGGACCCTTTTCTGGAAGAAGGAGGCAGCCCAGTGTGAGTTTAGTTTACCCTGTTTTTTAGCCAAGTGATGGCCTTTGCTGTTTTTTCCACCAGACTCACATCAGAGTTCATGGGGTGATACATTTTCTGTTTTCTTTTCTGAGTGCTGGCCCTACCAGATACTATACCACTACCACCACTCCTCCCACCCCACCCACAGCATATGCCTTGTCTGGGCAAGACCCCCATGAACTATGCCAGGAGGAGTAAGAGTGTTGGATTATGATTAACACTCTAATTTTATCTCCAAGGATGATGATTCTGCAAAAATTAAGCAACTTAGACATATATAACTTAAAGATCCAAGTCAGACTCTCATCTTTATCTCTTTAATGTCAGAGTTCTGAATACAATATCTTTTTACAGGATATTGAATAAAGAATACAGGATAGTCACTTCTTTTTAGCTCTATTTCCTCAGGTTTCCTCTACTCTTACTCAAATTTTAAAAGGTCTTTCAGCCTGATCCCTAGTTGGAGCTATAATGAGAGAGATTGCCAGCTTCTCATTTTCAGGTTGACCTCAATTGTCACCCCTTCTCCCTAGTCTTCCGTCTACCCTACTGTGTGATTTTTCTACAATAACTGGTAGCAGATTTGTGCCCTGGTTGAAGTTGTGGGGTTTTAAGCCCCTATTTATCATTAGCATAGAGGGGAGAAGGAAAAAATAAAATTGAGAGAAAGAATACCTCCTCAGGAAAACTGTGGGAACATTCCAGGTATTTGGAAAACTCTGCTATATTTCCCTGCCAGGTGCCACCCAGCTGTTGGACCCAGAGGTACAGAGTACTTTACAGATAGCTTTTTTTGTTGTTTTTAAGGTAGGGTCACCCAGGCTGGAGTGTAGTGTTATGATCATGGCTCACTGCATCTTTGACCTCCTGGGCTCAAGCAATCCTACCTCAGCCTCCTGAGTAGCTGGGACCACAGGTGTGTACCACCATGTCCAGCTAATTTTTAAAAATTTTTTGTAGAGACGGGGTTTCCCTGTGTTGCCCAGGCTGGTCTCCCTGGGCTCCAGTGATCCTCCTGCCTCAGCCTCCCAAAGTACTGAGATTATAGGCATAAGCCACTGTGCCCAGCCCACACATAGCTTTTTGATTATCTCATACAATTCCTCTGTGCCCCTAAGACAGGATCTACCACAAACTCAGACACAACTAGCAGTGTAGAGCATAGCATCTGTTAAAGGGCCCCTCAGTACCACTATAGGCTCAGTGAAGGTGGGGGTCTTTTAACCTTAACCGTGTCCAACAGGCATTACATAAAGAAGAGAAGAATAATGAGAGGTGGAATTTGTCCCAGTTAGTAAAGGTCAGGTCAAAGGTAGTTGGTTTTGGTGCAGCAGAAAGCACAGGGCAGGGAGGCATGAGACCCAGGATAAGTTTGAACTCTGCTTCTGTCTATATGACCTTGAGCTACTTCTCAAATCTGGGCTTTCATCTTCTACAAATGTAGGATGGATTTAATGATTTCCAAGGTGCTTGCCAGACCTGACAGTCTGTAAATGTTCAGTGCCCCTAGGTGACTGTGCCTATTTCTCTGTGTGTTAGCTTAGATGTGAGTGCCCACTTGCTACCAGCTACCTACAAGCTATATTCCTTTAGGGCTTGGCCTGCCACTCAGCTCCTTCTGCTAAACATCCTGCTCTCTGGAGCAGTCTTTGATTGTCAGGAATATGTTCCAAAATAGATCTTAAAAAATTAATAAGCCCCATTGTTAATGGAGGGCAGTAAAAACCTGCATCCTCATATCCTTTGCCATTTCGAGAACAGTACCAGTGTTCCCCACAGCCCTGAGACCAGCTGCTAGTCTGGCTGTGGTTGAGTGAGCAGTGTCATGTTGAGGTGGTAGAAAATCTACCCTGAATCAAACAGCTGCTTTGAATGAACTCAACAATATTTCCTGAGCCAGCTAGCCCATTTCAGGAGACTTGGGGAAAGATTCACTTGCTGAGAAGAGAGACTACTTCCTTTTTCTATACCTTTTCTACTTTTCTTCTGCAGGCCACTTTGCAAAAGATTGTTTCATGCAACCAGGTGGGACTAAATACTCTCTGATACCTGATGAGGAAGAGGAAAAGGAAGAGGCAAAGTCAGCAGAGTTTGAGAAGCCTGACCCTACAAGGAATCCTTCTAGAAAAAGAAAGAAGGTGAATGCTACTTTGCTTTTATTTTATCATGTCTTTTTCAAGTTTTAAGATGAAAATCTGAAAAGCCTCATGCAGCAGTACACACCTGTAGTCCCAGCTACTTGGGAGGATAAGGTGGGAGGATTGCTCGAGGCCAGAAGTTTAAGGCTGCGGTGCGCTATGATTATGCCTGTGAATAGCCACTGCATTCCACTCTGAACAACATAGTGAGACCCAATCTCTAAAAAGAAATTTTTTTTGTTAAAAAAAAAAGAAAAATGAAAATGTGCTTTTTGCAGAAATTTTAGAAATACTGAAAAACATAATGAAGCAAACCAAGATCTTCTGTAACCTTTCTACCCAAAGAGACTCTTATTGGCATTTTGTGGTATATTCTAATCTTTTTTCTTTTTTTGAGACAGGGTCTCTTGCAGTGGTATGATCTTGGCTCAGTGTAACCTCTGCCTCCCAGGTTCAAGCGATTCTCATGCCTCAGCCAACTGAGTAGCTGGAACTACAGGCATGCGCCACCATGCCCGGCTAATTTTTGTATTTTTAGTAGAGATGGGGGGTTTTGCCTTGTGGGCCAGGCTGATCTCAAACTCCTGGCCTCAAGTGATCTACCCACCTCGGCCTCTGAAAGTGCTGGGATTACAGGCATGAGCCACGACACCCGTCCACTTTTTTCTAGGTAATAATAAATACAGATATATATAGCTACACATACATGTAAATACAAAATTGTGGTCATACTAGCTATAGTTTATACCTTTTTTTCATTTCACTTATCAAAAGCATTTCCTAGTATCCTTAAGTGTTCAAAAACTTGATTTAAGAGCAACATAATATTCTACCCTATGGCTGTATGATGATATATTTAATTATTTTTGTATTACTGGATATTTTTTATTACTTCCAACCTAAATTTTTGGCCACATCTCTTATTGTTTTCTTGGATAAATTCCTAAGTAAGATTACTGAGTTAGGGCTTTAACGCTCTTGATACATTTTATCAAATTGCCTTCCAGAAAATACTTATCTGTCCCTAGCAGTGTATCAGAGCACCTGTCTCACTGAATTCCATCTCCTATATCTACTATTTATGGCAGAGCAATTCATAAAACAGATATTATTGTGGTCCAGAAAGAAACAGTGCATTTGTAGCATGCTACACAGACAATAAAAACTATTCTGTAGGTTGATCAGGAAATATTTCTTCTATCGTGTAGGATTTTTCTAACTATGGCCAGTATATTGACTTTTGTTTCGTTTTTAAATCTTTGGCAAACTTTTGTTGAGGGGTCATTTTGTACCAGGCATTGTAACTCTAGGAATACAAAAACTGATGAGGTCCTTGCCCTCAGTGGTTATTATCTATAGATTAAGTATTATCTTAATTTTCTGGGTGAGGAAAAGTTCTCTATACCATTACAAGAATTAGCCAAGTATATGAATAATAATTTCCCAATCTATATATTCTCTTTCTCGGTGATCCTATCCCTCCTGAGACTTTAGCTGCATTATTGACTTCCACATTCTTAACTAGGATGCCATGGGTACCTCAAACTTTGGCTGGAGTCAGTCAAATCCAGACTTGAGGCTCTTCTGTGCTATTTACTAGCTGTTAATTTGGGGCTTTATTTTTGATTTTCTTTTTGTTTTTTGAGATGGAGTGTCATTCTGTCTCCCAAGCTGGAGTGCAGTGGTGTGATCTCGGCTCATTGCAGCTTCCGCCTCCCAGGTTCCAGCAATTCTCCTGCCTCAGCCTCCTGAGTAGCTGGGACTACAGGCGCAAGCCACCATGCCCGGCTAATTTTTGTATTTTTTTAGTAGAGACAGGGTTTCACCATGTTGGCCAGGGTGGTCTCAAACTCCTGACCTCAAGTGATCCGCCTGCCTTCGCCTCCCAAAGTGTTGGGATTACAGGCGTGAGCCTCCGCGCCTGGCAAACTTCCGTTTTTTCATTTTCGAAGTGGGATTGTTGTGATCTTTGATGACAATGTTCTTGCAGAGGGATGCCTGACTCCCAAAAATAAGATATAAAGCACTGACAAGTAAGTTCCTAATTAGAGTTGGCTGTTATGACAGCCCTAATTATCTTTTTTAGTCCTCCTTCCTAAACATACACACACACACTACCACCATCACCAGTACCACCAAAACCCTTGTTTCTACCTTTCTATCATATATTATTACCTATTAATGTCAGCAATACTCTCCCAGTCTCCCAAGAAAGAAACCAATGTCATTTATTTTCCTCTCCTTTTCCATCCCACATCTAGTCAGTCACCAAGTCCTGGCAGTGGTGCCTTTTAAGTGCATATCTCAAAATTGTTTATCCCATTCCCATTCCCACTGCTACTGTACAGTTTATCCCCTCACTTCTCTTACAGTCAGACTATTGAACGCTGTGGCCTAGGGAGTTTTAAAAAATACATATTTGCCCTCTACCTCTTAGGTACCATGTTTACAGGGCCTAGGTCTGGGCATTTTTTTTTTTTTTAAAGCACCTTTTTTGGCTGGGCATGGTGGCTCATGCCTGTAATCCCAGCTGAGGCTGGAGGATAGCCCAAGTCCAGGAGTTTGAGACCAACCTAAGCAACATAGGGAGACCCTGTCTCTATAAAACATAGAGAAAATTAGCTGGGCATGGTGGGGCACGGACTGTGGTCTCAGCTACTCAGGAGGCTGAGGTGGGAGGATCTCTTGGGCCCAGGGGTCAAGGCAGCAGTGAGCTGTGATTATGCCACTGCGCTCCTGTCCGGGCAACAGAGCGAGACCCTGCCTCAAAACAACAACAACAAAACCACCTACTTTATGTCACTGCCCACTTCTGTTCATTGTTGATTTCTCACCCTATGCTTTAACTCTGAATGTTGGAGTGTTCCAAGGGAATCTCATCCTGTCCTATGGTTTTAAATATCATCCCTATACTCATAACCCCCAAATTAAGTGCTTGTGTCTGTATTTTATCCAAATCTGCATTGCTATTCTTGACTTTTTCTCTGGAACTCCAAATTTAGTTAATAGACTGCCTACTTGACGTCTACATCTGGTTGTCTAGTTAGCATCAAGTTTAACATACCTCCAAAACTTAATTTTCCTAGCCAAAGCTGTTCTTTCCACATTTGGCCCTGTCTCAGTGATTGGAACTCATTGACCCATTTGATAAGCCAAAATCTGCAGCCTTTTTGTATAGTGTTTTTTGTTTGTTTTTATGGTAAAATACACATAACATAAAATTTACCATTATAGAAGTGTACTGTTCATTGGCATTAAATACATTCATATTGTTGTACAACCATCACTGTCTTTGATCTCGAGAACTCTCTATACTCATTAAACAATAACGCCCCCCATTCACCCTTCCTCCCTGCACTTGCAACCACTGTTCTACTTTCTGTCTTGAAACCATGTGGTATTTGTTTTTGTGACTGGCTTATTTCACTTAGCATAATGTCCTTAAAGTTCATCTGCATCATAGCATATGTTAGAATTTTCTTCCTTTTTAAGCCCAAATAATATTCTGTTCTATGTATTTATTTTTTGAAGCAGGGTCTTGTGCTGTTGCCCGGGCTGGAGTGCAGTGGCACAATTATGTCTCACTGCAGCCTCAACCTCCTGGGCTCAAGTGATCCAGGAGTGTGCCACCACACCCAGCTAATTTAGTTTTTGTAGAGATGGAGTCCTGCTATGTTGCTCAGGCTGATCTTGAACTCCTGGCCTCAAGCAGTCTTCCCACCTTGGCCTCCTAAAGTGCTGGGATTACAGGCATGAGCCACCACATCGAGCCCCATTTTATGTATATACCACATTTTGCTTATCCATTTATTTTTGGTGAACACTTGGGCTGCTTCCATATTCTGGCTATTGTAAATAATGCTGCTGTGAACATGGATGTATAAATATCTCTGAGACCCCACTCTTCTTTCTTTTTGGTATATACCTAATAGTAGAATTGCTGGATCATATATTCTGTTTTTAATATTTTGAGGAAGCACTCTGTTTCCCATTGTACGTTCCCATCAATAATGCACAAGGGTTCAAGTGTCACTACATCCTTGCCAACACTTATTTTCTGGGTTTTGTGTTTTTTGGAGAGTAGCCATCCTAATGCGTGTAAAGTGACATCTCATTGTGGTTTTGATTTGCATTTCCCTAATGATTAGTGATATTGAATATCTTTTCATGTGCTTATTGGCCATATGTATATTTTCTTTGGAGAAATGGCTATTTAAGTTCTTTGCCTATTTTGCATAAGCTTGTTTATTTTGTTGTTGTTGTTGATATGTAGGAATTTTTTATATGTTCTGGATATCAATCCCATCAGATATATGGTTTGCAAATACTTTCTTCTAATCTGTGGATTGTTTTTTTACTCTGTTGATAGTGTCCCTTTTTTCCCTATCAGATTTAGACTTTTTAAAATAGTGGTAAAGAACATATAACATTTACCATCTTAACTATTTTTAAGTGTACAGTTCAGTAATGTTGAGTATGTTCATGATAGTATTCATTGCACAAAAAAATTTTAATCTTGGTTAAGTTAAACTTACCTTTTTTTCTCTTATTGCTGATGCTTTTAATGTCATACTCAAGAAATCATTGCCAAATCCAATGTCATGAAGCTTTTCCCTTATATTTTTCTAAGAGTTTTGTAGCTTTAGCTCTTACGTTTAGGTCTTTGATCCATTTTGAGTTTATTTTTGTATATGGTGTACAGAAAGGGTCCAAAATTTCTTTGCATGTAGATCTCTAGTTTTTAAAACACCATAGGTTGAAAAGACTGTCCTTTTCCCCACTGAATGGTCTTGGCCCCTGTTGAAAATCATTTGACCAAATAAGTGAGGATTTATTCTATCACTGGTCTATATGTCTTTATGTCAGTACCACACTGTTTTGACTACTGTAGCTTTTTAGTAAGCTTTGAAGTTGGGAATTGTGGATCCTCCAGCTTTGTTCTTTTTCAAGATTGTTTGGGCTATTTGGGGTCCTTTGAAAGATTTCATATGAATTTTAAGATAGATTTTTATATTTTTGCAAATTCTGATAGAGATTGCATTTAATCTGTAGATTGCTTTGGATAGTATGGACATTTCAACTGTATTAAATCTTCCAATCCATGAAAATTGGATATCTATTTGTATCTTCTTTAATTTCAGCAACATTTTGTAATTTTCTGTATACATGTCTTTCATCTCCTTGGTTAAGTTTCTTCCTAAGTATTTTTTTCTTTTTGATGCTACTGTGTGAATTGTTTTCTTAATTTTTTTTCTGATTGCTCCTTGCTACTGTATAGAAACACAACTGATTTTAGCATGTTCGTTTTGTATTCTGCAACTTTGCTAAATTCACTTACTCGTTCTAACAGGATTTTTTTGTGGACTCTTTAGGGTTTTCTACATAGAAGATCATGCCATCTGTAAACAGAAATAATTTTCTTGCAGATTTAGTTTTTTTTTTCTTTTGAGGCAGAGTCTTGCTGTATCACCCAGGCTGGAGTACAGTCACATGATCGTGGCTCACTGCTGCCTTGACGTCCTGGGCTCAAGCCAGATCTAGATTTTTAACTGTGATTCTATTTGTATGTTCCAAGCATTATTCTTTCTCTTTTAACCTTTTAGAGGTAAATGGTACTTGTTACATTCCTAAAGAGGGTATATGGATATCTCACTTCTGTGGATCTTTGGTTGAGTTCTTTTTGCTGAATATATTGAGTATAATTTGTTATTCCTTTGTTTCTAAAGCTGCTTTGAGATATGTATTTCAGTTCACAAAACCAATTACTGAGGCTCTATCTGCTAGGTATGAGGCTCTTTATGACCTGCTTAGTCAACCTACTACCCAGCCCTCCATTGCCTTTCACTTAGTAGAGGAATGGTCTGATGAACAATGGCAGTAATAATCATTATACATTATTATTTCTTAAAAGTATCTTTGGCCGGGCACGGTGGCTCATGCCTGTAATCCCAGCACTTTGGGAGGCCAAGGCGGGTGGATCACTTGAGATCAGGAGTTTGAGACCAGCCTGGCCAACGTGGCAAAACCCCGTCTCTACTAAAAATACAGAAATTAGCCAGGCGTGGTGGCGAGGGCCTGTAATCCTAGCTACTTGGGAGGCTGAGGCAGGAGAATTGCTTGAACCCAGGAGGCGGAGGGTGCAGTGAGCCGAGATTGCGCCACTGCACTCCAGCCTGGGCGACAGAGTGAGACTCCATCTCAATTAAAAAAAAAAAAAAAAAAAAAGTATCTTTGTGTATATGAACTTCTAACTCATGAGTCCTCTTTGATTAAAAAGTGTTCTAGGGAGTGTAGAAGGGTAAAACTTTCCTCTTGATGCCCACTATTTCTACCAAGATAGCATTTAGCATCGTTGTCTTTTCACCTCATTGTTAATCCCGTCATTACCTTTTATGCCTCATATTTGTTTAGTGCTTACAGTTTATAAAATACATTGCTGTTTTTGTTTCTTTTTATCATTATACAATTCTATGAGATAGCCAGAACAGGAATTATTATCCCACCATTTTACACATGAGTAAAATGGAGCTTCAGAGAAATTGACGTAACTCACCGGAAGTCACACAAATATAAGAGATAATGCTGAAAAAATAACCCATGTCTTCAGATTACTAACAATATTCTTTTCTGTATATCACACTTCAACCATTTATTTAACTCTTCAATTATTCATTTACTGAACAAATATGTATTATCTGCTTCATAGGTATCTAGCATTGTGTTAGGTACTTGACATATCAGGACTCATCAAGTCAGTTTTTGGTGGGTTTTTGTTTTGTTCCCAGCTACCGTTAGCCATCATGTGATGTTATCTATTGATTTGTTTCTGCTCACAACTGTAAATCAAGATTCCAGCCCTCCTGTTTCCTTTTACCCTCTAAATCTTGGATTCCAGCAGGAGGTTGGTTTTCCTTAACAGTAAAATCTTCTGTCTGAGATGGCTTTTTTGGTGTGTGAGTGGCAGATTTGGACACTTGTTTCAGGACTAGTCAGCTCTGGGAGCCAAATATGGAACTGAGTAGATTTGTGAAGGAACATGCCTTTAGCAGTCCATGCTCCTGAGTTGGACAGTGGAGAGTAGGAATGCCTGGCGTGTGGAAGGGCATATATGATAGTAACTCATGTAAGTTCAGTTAATGCATTTCTAACAGTTAAAAAAGTAACTCATGAAATAAAGATCATATGGTACCTACACTCAAGCGGCTAATCATATAAGGAGAAAGATAAGCAGCCAAGCTATGTATGGTGGTAAAGGATAGAAACACATTCCAAGGAGGTTATTTGATTTTATGGACATCCAAGGACAGGAAATGCAGTGTAGTCAGGCCACCTAGGACTAGAACTGGAAAGTCTCATTAGGTTCTCATCTCCGTTTCTTCACAAGTCTGTTTCATTACCTCACTTTTTATAGTCTAGTGGAAGACAATGCAAAGCCTCTAAGAAGACAGAAAATGGTAGACCTGTTGAGGAACCACCAGAAATAGCCCAGGATAAGGAAAGGATGTCACCTTTTACAAATAATGCCTGGTACTTAATAGGAATACATGCACTAACTACCTGTGAATAGATAGACTTCATAATCTGTGCTCTCTGTCATTCCTTGGGTGTCTTCACTCAGTGAAACCTGCCCTCAGATTGCAGAGTAATAGGTATTGACTCCTGCTGCTGGCAGTGGGCGATAATGAAAGGAGCAGGGGCAGGAGTAAGAATAACAGATCTTCCTAACCTTGAGCCTTCCCACGTCTTTTCATTAAAACATACATGTATTGAATGCCTTTTCCCACAAGTCCAGGATGCATTGATTTAGTTGTGTGCATCTGGCACCATGAACAATTTTTGTCCCAGTGACTGAATGTTATAAATAATTTTTGTTGGGCATAATTAGAATAAAAGGAAACTGTGTGTTGCAATTGGAAATGGGCTATGAAGTGGTTGGTAAAATAGGAATGGAGGTTTTGTAGTGAATCCCTGGATAATCTTCTGATGAACTTGTGGTCTGTGCTTTACTGGCCTCTTTCATTAATCATATGCCATCGTAGGTCTTTCTGAATCGGTGTTATGTTATGAAGAAGTAAGTGCCTTGGGGACCAAGCTGCCCACTGATTATAGTAAACTTTAGATATGTTTGATTCAGAATATAATTTTCTTTTGATTTTACCATATGATTTTCTGCTGTACCATATATAGAAGAACAAGAAATAGGAATGTCATTCTTTGGCTGCAGTGTTGGCTCTGTCCTGCTGTCCAGAGAACTTCTTCTGGTGCCTATATAGAGAAAGGTTGCCAGTCCTGAGCCCACTCAGGGACACATTCTCTGCCTATTCAGATACAGCAGAGAGCGTTGCCCAGTGTTGCCTACTCAGAAGCCTTCAGTGGTTCGCTTTCTTCTATGACATAAAGTCTAAGTTCCTTTAAGACTCTTCACAATCTGCCCAGCTTCCTAGCATCATTTCCCACCAGTCTCTTCCCACACACTATACTCCAGCTTCATTCATTAATAGAGCTTCTACTGTGTGCTAAGCTCTGTTCTGGCCATTGCAGGTAAAGTAGTGAACAAAACAGGTAAAATCCCTATCTTCATGGCACTTAGATTCTAATGGATGGGGTCGATTGACACAGATAATAAACTGGTAAACAAATACAAAATAGTAAAAATAATGTATCAAGTAGTGATAAGTGCTATAGAGAAAAATTAATTTGATTAAGGGAGATAGGGAGTCCTAGAATGAGGATGTGGGGAGCAGGTGACTTTCATTTTAGATAGGATGGTAAGGCCAGGCCTTTCTTTTTTTTTTTTTGAGACGGAGTTTCACTCTTGTTGCCCAGGCTGGAGTGCAATGGTGCGATCTCAGCTCACTGCAACCTCTGCCTCCTGGGTTCAAGCAATTCTTATGCCTCAGCCTCCCGAGTAGCTGGGATTACAGGCATGCACCACCACGCCCAGCTGATTTTCTATTTTTAGTAGAGACGGGTTTCTCCATGTTGTTCAGGCTGGTCTTGAACTCCCGACCTCGGGTGATCCACACACCTCGGCCTCCCAAAATGCTGGGATTACAGGCGTGAGCCACCGCGCCTGGCCTGGGCCAGGCCTTTCTCATAAAGTGTTGTTTGAGTGGATATCAGAAGGAAGTGAGGACACAAGCTATTCAGGTAAGTGGAGAGAGAGCATTTCAGCAAATGTAACAGCTGATGTTGGGAAAGAGTGTGGCATGATTAAAGAACATTAAGGACGCCAGTGTGGCTACAGTGAAATGAATGAAAAGAGAGTGGTAGGAGAGGAAGTTAGATCAGAAGGAACCCAGATCACTGGGGCCTTATAGGTGATTGGGAGGATTTCATCTTTCACTTGAGTGAGATGGATGTTATTAGAGGTTTTGAGCAGAGGAATGACATGATCTGACTTCCTTTTAAGAGAATTATTCTGGCTGCTATGTAGAAACTTAGATGGTCAGAAAGCAAGAGTAGAAGCAGTGAGTTGATAGATAATCCAGATGATGGTGGCTTGGACTAGAATGACAGTGGCAAAAATGATGAGAAAGGAGTTGAAGTGTGTATATATTTTGAAGATATAAGAGCAGGTGAGGATGGCATCAAAATTTTTGGACTGTGTAACTGGAAGATTTGAGTTAAGAGAAGGAATGCAGGAGAAGTAAGTGTGGGAGTAGGGAGCAGTCAGGAGTTTAGTTTGAGTTGCTGTCTACACAGATGGAAAGATAGCTGGGAGAGTCTAGGTTTGGGAGGGGGCGGGGCATAGAAATTGAGTTGCCTATCAGATATTCAAGTAGACCATAGAGTAGACAGTGGATATATAGTTTGGAGTTCAAGGGAGAGGCCCAGGTAAGATATATAAATTTGGGAGTCATCTACATATAGATGGTATTTATGTTCATGAGATCACCTGCAGAGTAAATATAGGGAAGAGACTGAGCCCCAGAGTGCTCAACACTTAGAGGTTATGGAGATGAGGATGAACTAACAAAGAAGACAGGAAAGGAACAGCCAAGGAAGTTTGTAGAAAAGTAAGAGAATGTAAAATGTGGTAGAAATACCATGAATGTGTTCTAGGTAAGATGGTCTGTATCCATCTTGACTGACCAAGTAAATAAGACCCAATAATTGACCACTAGATTTGGCCACGTGGAGGTTACTGGTAATTTTGTTTGTTTGTTTTTGTAGAGACAGGGTCTCACTATGTTTTCCAGGCTGGTCTTGAACTCCTAGGCTCAAGAGATCCACCTGCCTTTAGAAAATTAAGTACTGGCTGGGTGTGGTGGCTCATGCCTGTAATCCCAGCACTTTGGGAGGATGAGGCAGGTGGATCACTTGAGGTCAGGAGTTTGAGACCAGCCTGGCTAATATGGTGAAACCCCGACTCTAGTTAAAAAAAAATACAAAACTTAGCTGGGTGTGGTGGCATGCGCCTGTAGTCCCAGCTACTTGGGACTACAAGCGATTCAAGGAGAATTGCCTGAACCCAGGAGCCAGATGCTCCAGTGAGCCGAGATCACACCACTGCACTCCAGCCTGAGTGACAAAGCAAGACTCCATCCTAAAAATAAGTAAATAAATAAAATAGAAAATTAAGTACTCAATAAATGTTCACTGCTATATTCTCTTTTTTCAGTTTTTGCTTTTATTTTTGTTTTTCTGTCACACTGGGCTGCTGCTATCCTGTTTCAGAACTATAGTGAAAATGGGTAGACTAGCTGCTCTAACAAGGGATATGTGCTTTTCCTAGAGAGCAGTCTTTGAGATGTTTGACCAGTGGCTTCCTTCCAGTGCCCCCTTGACCTGCGCCATGGGCTCACACTCCTATGCCATTTAAAAACTGTTTTATGTTTAATTTTCTATTTCCATCTGATACTTGAATCCATGTCATTTTTTTTTAACCCATTATCTTCTGTTTCCCTTCTCACTTGAATGAAGTTGAGAGAGCAGAAGCTTGGTTCATCTTCTGGCTCTCAGTCTTCCCCCACCCCAACTCCCAACTTTGCTTTTGAACTACAACCTTTTTTTTTTTTTTGAGACGGAGTTTCCATCTTGTTGCCCAGGCTGGAGTGCAATGGCACAATCTTGGCTGACCCCAACCTCTGCCTCCGGGTTCAAGCAATTCTCCTGCCTCAGCCTCCCGAGTAGCTGGGATTACAGGCATGTGCCACCACGCCCGGCTAATTTTGTTTTTGTGTGTGCGTGTTTTGTTTTGTTTTGTTTTGAGACAGAGTTTCGCTCTTGTTGCCCAGGCTGGAGTGCAGTGGCGCGATCTTGGCTCACCAAAACCTCCGCCTCCCACGCTCAAGCGATTCTCCTGCCTCAGCCTCCCGAGTAGCTGGGATTACAGGCATGTGCCACCACGCCCAGCTAATTTTGTATTTTTAGTAGAGATGGGGTTTCTTCATGTTGGTCAGGCTAGTCTCGACCTCCTGACCTCAGGTGATCCACCCACCTTGGCCTCCCAAAGTGCTGGGATCACAGGCGTGAGCCACCGCAACCAGGCGAACTACAACTTCGGATGTGATTGTTCTTTTGTTCTGTAGCTCAAGGCTAGACACGTAGGGAAAATGACGCCATTTGCTGGAGGATTGGATTGTCTTTGTTCAGGCTGCAAAACAGCTTTTGCATCAAAGTTGAGGTCTAGGAGAAGGCCACCTCCTTGAGCCCTTCTTGCTAGCTAGAGTCCATGTTCCAGCATGCCAGGACTCTCCAGTGATTTGTTTTTATCTTCCCTCCTCCTGAGCCTTCATCTTTGAGAGAGAACAAAGTGGAAATAGTGCCAAACTCTGTGTTATAAAGTATAGTGGTTTTGCCGCTTTAGCCTTGGTCGACTCACTTTACATTTCTGAGTTGCAGTTTTTCCATCTGTAAAATGGGAATAATAACTCATGAAGTTTGACTCTACAGACTATTATTGTAAGATAAGGATGCAAAAAGCTTGATAAACTAAAGCACTGTTTAGGTGTAAGGCAGTATTATTACTCTCCTCACTTCTTTATCCAGGCTGGACCAGGCTTGCAGGGAACTGGTGCCAGACTCTGTATTTTCATTTTTACTTTCCCAGGATATTCACCTATATAAGGGGCAGAACCCAGTGAGGCTCCTGACCCCATAATATCTTGTGATGGACTTCCATGGTCTTGCCATCCAGGAAGGTTCAGCAACATAGCTAAACTATTGATTTGCCAACTCTCAGCTCCTCCCAGCCATGGTTGTTATAGCTCGGTAATGTGGGTCTGAGAAGCTTTGTTGCCTTCTCTCTACTCCATTGGAGATGCCAAGGAAGAATTGTTATTTCATCTTCTCTTAAAACTTTGACTTGTCTCCTGTAGATGCTTGGCCAGGCTGTCAGAACATCCTGGGAGTTAATGAGAGAAAAATACATATAGCTCCCACTAAGTGCCTATAATGTGTCAGGCACTATAGTTAGTGCTTATCTTGTTTAAACCTCATAGCATCCTTTGAAATAGGTACTTATTATTTCCAGTTTACTGAAAAGAAAACTGAGGTTCAAAAAAGTTAAATCCCTTGTTCTAAGTCACATAGTGAGTTAAGTTGCAGAGCTAGAATTTGAACTTAATTCTATCTTATTCCAAAATTTGTTGTTCTAATGACCATACCATGAGGCCTCCTGTTACCATACAGAAAGAGGGGCCATGTGCTACATAGGAAAACTCAGGAGATTTCCATTCATATGATCTACATGAAGATCCCAACTGCGCCTATGCGATCTGGGACAAGTGGCTTTCAACTTGTCCAAGCCTTAGATACTATCTCATTAACTTGTCACCATAGGTGTTTTTTTTGGGGAGAGGGGGAGATTATTTATTTATTTATTTATTTATTTATTTATTTATTTATTTTGAGACAGGGTCTTGCTCAGTTGCCCAGCCTGGAGTGCAGTGGCAGGATTATGGCTCACTGCAACTTCCAGCTCTTGGGCTCAAGCGATCCTCCCACCTCAGCTTCCTGAGTAGCTGGGACTACAGGCCCGCGTAACCACACCCGGCCAATTTTTGTATTTTTAGTAGAGACAGGGTTTCACCATGTTGGCCAGGATGGTCTCGATCTCCTGACCTCATGATCCACCTGCCTTGGCCTCCCAGAGTGCTGGGATTACAGGCATGAGCCACCGCGCCCAGCCAGTAGATGTTATTCTTATCTCCAGTTTACATTTGAAGGGAACAGGCCTCAGTGAGTTCAGATGACTTGCCCACGGATGCAGAATAGTAAATGGCAGAGCCAGAACTCAGGTCCAGGTCTATCTAACACCTGCTTCAGTGTTCTTTCCACCATTTTTCACAGCCAGCTTCTAAGACCTGGTGTATCATTCAGCTAGATTTATAGCTCTGAGGCTGCTGGTTGGAAGCTGGCATCCTTTTCTGCTCTCTTTCTCCTCCCATACTTTCTCCCTCTTCTTAGAAACCTTACAGAGGCAATATAGGTATTTGAAATTCAAAGAAGAGATTTATGCCGTGCTTAAAATCTGCTCATACTGCCCCATTAGACACCTGGGAATCTGCCTCTCGTCTTTTGTATGGGTTTGTACTGTTACTTTGGTAGCATGATGTGGTGGGTATAGTTTTGGGAATGTTCTTTCTCAGCTCTTTTCTTTATGAGTATAATCTTGTGAGGTGGCTGTAAAGTTAGAGATGATGAATATTCAAGGGTAGCAAGTACAGGCTTATTATTTGATGGCAGTTATTTCCCCTGGCACCAGGATCTAATAGAAACCAGAATAGCAGTCAGGAGTTCTAAATCTTTTACTCCTATTCTTTGACCTTGGATATGTGAGTCACTGTTTCTAGATAGACTGGCTAGTCTTTAGGGGCGCCTTTCAGCTTTAATGTCCTGCACTTTAAAAAATGAAAGTAATAAGATACTTGTTTAAAAAAAATCAAATTAGACAGAAGTATTTGAAGGAAAAAGTGAAAGACCCATATCCTTTCCCCCATTCAGTTCATTCCCAATGTGTAACACTTATTACCAGTTTGATGTATCCTTTTCAGTGTTCTCTGTGTATACTAAATATACACAAGTATGTGTAACATACACAGTTTATATCATGTGCATATATATATAAATACACATGTATATGTTATACGCACTGGAACCTACAATACATATTATGTCTTGGTTCTTTTACTTAACATGTTTTAGCTATTTTTTTCTTGTTGGCACTTAAAGATTTACTTTATTGTTTGCAATGTCTTATACTTTTTTTTTTTTTTTTTTTGAGACGGAGTCTCGCTCTGTCGCCAAGGCTGGAGTGCAGTGGCACAATCTTAGCTCACTGCAAGCTCCGCCTCCTGGGTTCACACCATTCTCCTGTCTCAGCCTCCCGAGTAGCTGGGACTACAAGCACCTGCCACCACGCCTGGCTAATATTTTGTATTTTTAGTAGAGACGGGGTTTCACCATGTTAGCCAGGATGGTCTCGATCTCCTGACCTCGTGATCCACCTGCCTCGGCCTCCCAAAGTGCTGGGATTACAGGCGTGAGCCACCGCACCTGGCCACAATGTCTTATACTTTATTAAGTGTTGGCTGGACATGGTGTCTCACACCTGTAATCACAGCACTTCGGGAGGCCAAGGTGGGCAGATTGCTTGAGCTTAGGAGTTTGAGGCCAGCCTGGGCAACATGGAGAAACCCAACTCCATAAAAATTAGCAGGGTGTGGTGGTGCATACCTGTGGTCCCAGCTACTTGGGAGGCTGAGGTGGGAGGATTGCTTGAGCCCAAGAGGTTGAGGTTGCAGTGAGCTGTGATCGTGCCACTGCACTGCACTCTAGCCTGGGCAACAGAGCGAGACTGTCTAAAAGAAAATTAAGTGGTCCCCTATTGATTGTGTGCTATAATTTTTCTTTTTTTCTCTTTTTAGAGATGAGATCTTGCTATGTTAGCCAGGTTGATCTTGAACTCCTGGCCTCAAGCATTCCTCCCACCTCGGCTTCCCAAAGTACTAGGATTACAGGTGTGAGCCACTGCACCTGGCCAATTATGTGCTATGATTGTTAAAAGCAAATATACACATACAGTGTTGATTTTTAAAATTTTCTTTTCAGGAGAAGAAGAAAAAGAAACATAGAGATAGGAAGTCATCTGACTCTGACAGCTCAGACTCTGAGAGTGATACAGGCAAGAGGGCAAGGCACACATCAAAAGACAGCAAGGCAGCAAAGAAGAAGAAAAAGAAGAAGAAGCACAAGAAGAAGCACAAGGAGTGAGAGTATAAAGAGTGTAGGGGGTGGTTGAGAGTAAGAAACCAGGAGCCTTGTGCCTTGAGACTCCTGGAAAGACTCAATAGTGAGAATATAGCCTCCCACCCCATTAACTTCGCTCCCATGGGAGATGGCTTCCCCTCATGCAACAGGCAGGTTTGGGAGTTAGAGGTCAAAAGCAGCTGCCTGAATGAGTTGTTGTTTCCTTATCACTCCTGGTCCCTTTGCAAGTGAACCCTGCAGCTCACCCATTCATTCACCCAACTTCCTTCATTCAGCAGGAGGTCCTATTACCCTCTCCAGCTGCCACTGCCAGAGCTGGATTCCTGTAAAGGAGTCCAGGCTAGAGCCACAGAGACTGTTGTGGAGGTGAGTTCGGCTGTAGTTAGAGTGATTGGACCCTTCCTATTGGTCTGTCCTGGGCCAACTGGTGGGTGATCTCTGCTGCATCCAACATGGGAGCAGAGACTGGCAGCAGGAGGGGGGAACATGGTGAGAAGTGGTGCTCACTTTTCCCATTCCTCCTAACATAGTTCTACTATGCTAGAAGTGGCATCCAGCGGCCACAGCTAGAAAACAGTCTGCAGTGTGACTTAACTTGTGTATTGCATTCCAGCAGACCACTGAACCAGACAGCGAAGCCAAGATCATTGTTCTACTTTGTATTTACTACTGTGTGAATCAGTTGATTCTACTTCAGGTCCTTGCTTAAATTCCTGTCACTAAATGGAAATGTGTTTGGTTTTAAACTTACTGAGTTATTTTTCCTATAATCCTTCTTCCTGGGTAACTTACAGACTTAAAGTCACTGAGCCTGCATTAGCTGACAAAAACATTTAATATGTTACCTTAGACCTTGGAGAGATGCCCAGCAGAGGTACAGAGCCAAAGGCACTAGCAGATCACTGCCTTCTTGGGAGATCACTTATAAGCCCTCCCTTTTGTAATGATCAGATGCCCTCTTCCCTCAGAGTTGATTAGAGAAGCAGTAAGAATTTGTAGTCATAAGTACTAGCCTGGTGCACAGGTCAGCAGTCCTCTTGGCCAGTGGTCATTTTCTCCCACCACCATGGTACAAGCCTGGGTTCTGTGCCCTGAACCTGAATTCTGGAAAGGGAGAGACTACAGCATTTCACAGAGAACAGCCAGACCCAAGAGCTTTCAGTGTAGGATGGGCCTGAAGTGACAGTTCAATAGCCAAACCTGGGGAAGCCCCATCACTGACTGAACTAGGTCATTTGACCATGGAGGGGGGGCAGTGTAAAGGCAACGTGTAGGTACAGCTCTTTTATTATTAAATGTGTAAGGTGATCAGCTGATTAACAGGCTCCGAGACTGTCCATTTCAGTCTCCCATCCAGTGCTTCTTCCTCAGTAACCTTCAGGCCGTTATTTCTGCCCACTCTCTGACACACAGGATAAACCAAGACTCCCAGAGTTATGTTACCAAAGGCAAAAAGGCAACTGGGTGGCCTTGGCTCTGCTTTATTGACCTCAGAGCACCCTATGAGTGCAGTTAAAAAAAAAAAAAAAAAACCACATACACCATGGGAACTGGAACTGGATCCCGGTCAGTGGCACCTGACCCCAGAAGAATTCGTGGATTTGTACAAAATGCAGAGGAAGAAATGAGGCAATGTGGTGCTGAGTCGAGGGGTAGCCGATTGGCAGAGTAGTAGTCAGCAACAGTGCAGTCAGGTCATGCCTCTTTCTCATAAGTGCGAGTGCAAACTGCAGTGCCGTGGGTGAGTGTCTGGAAGGAAAGACAGAGTGAGATGGGGGGTGGAGCCAGGAACACCATTGCGAGCATTCTACCCTCCCTTCCTCCTGATAATTGTCACTTGAGTACCTACTATGTGCCGGCTATATGTATGTATGTGTGTGTGTGTGTGTGTGTGTGTGTGTGTGTGTGTATACATACATAATTTTTTTTTTCTGATATGCACAGCAAATCCTTAAGATAGGCATTGTAATTCTTATTTTAGAGATTTGGAAAAAACGAGCCTTTAGAGAGGAAGTAATTTGGTCAAGATCCTGAGTGTTTTTCCTTCCCTTATACCATTTGGCTTCCTTCATCCTTAGTGTCTAAGATGGTGCCTGGCATATAGTTGACAAATAGGAAAAATATCCAGAGACTCAGGAAAGGACTGTGTTTGGCTACTAACTCCAATCCTTCCCTAACTTAGAGTAGTGCCAGGGCCAGAGCCCTGTACCTCCCACTATCCGGTCTGGCATCATAGAGCCAGACCCATGGCCTCACCATAGTTCAGCTGCCACTGAGAATTTGGTCCTGCATATCACATCCCCACCAAAGCTAGGCACCTCATTCCAAACTTCAAGGGGACCCCTGTCCCACATGAGTACAAGAATGCAGTTAACAGGTTATGCTGACCCAAGAAGGTGTGCAGTGAAGATGCCTAGGTGAAAACCTGAGGCCCTGTGGTTAGGCAGAATCCACAGTTGGCTGCTCTCCCTGGGTCTGGGGGGAATTCAGTCAAGGCTAGATTCTCCAAGTGAAGTCCCCAAGCTTGAACAGATCTGCCAGCCTGGCTGTGGTACTTCCTACCCAAGCAGTAGTCAAGTAGTTTCAGTAGGCCAGACATAGAAAGCATGAAAATGGGGTAGGACTAGAATGGGGAAGAAAGGACTGTACTGTCATTCAGTGTCCCCACCAGTCACGAGCCTGTCCCTGCAAGTGACAATGCAGTCCTAGGGAGGAGAGGAAAGGGAATGCTGAGATAGGCAATGGGAGCCCCTCCTAGAGGGCCTGGGATCAGATTTGGCCCTGTTTTCTACTTCTTCCTGAGGTGAGGCAAGGTAGAAACACAGGAAGAGCAAACAAAGGACATGGAGCACCTGCTGTGTTCCTCAATCAGTGATGCTTTGTGCTGTGCATACACTGTCTCTTACAGGCTTCCCAGCAGCCCTACAAGGTTGGTATTATTAATACCCGTTTTACAGTTGCACTTGGAAAAGGTGATTTGCCCACAGTCATGTAGCCTATAAGGTAAGATTTGAGTTCCGGCCTGTGTGAGTCCAAAGCCACTACACAGAAAATTCCCACCTGATACCACCCTGACCCACAACCACTCTCTTGTCCCAGCTTCTACAGCTCTCAGGGGAGGACTTGGCTTTTTAGAACAGGCTTGGCTGAAAGAGCAGTAGTAATAACCAATCAGATATAGCTCCAAAGTTGCCCATCTTACCAGGATGAGTTTTCCATCAATTAGCTCCCGCACAAGTGTGGTCTCTTGCCCGTCCCATTTCTGCAGGTGAACAAGTTTCCCTCCATCCAGTGTCACAATGGACTGTGGAAAGAGGGTAGAGGCCTGAGCTGTGATCTTAGTCAGGAATTGAGGGGCAGGGTGGGGTCTGGACACTGGGCCACAGAGCACACAGCCTTTGACCCAAACTAGTGATGGTGTGAGGACAAGAGCTCAGGCAATCCGCCTCCCAGCTATCCCTGCAAGACATCTAGTTCACCTCCAGCCTCTGCTCCACTACTGCCTTTCTGGGGAAGAGGCCTTCAGATATTAGGCAAGGAGGGAGAGGCAGGCAGTATGGTGGAGCCAGAGAGCCTGGCTCTGAGAAGTACCACAAGCCTTCAAGACAGACACTTATCTGTACTCTAGGTGATTCCCGTAGCCTGGTCCCCTCAGATACAGGTGGGATTTACTAGTCTATCCCTGGGAAAGACTGACTGAGGAGGAGGAGTAGTCCTGAGAATCTTTATCCAGCCTTGTGGTTAGTCCACATAATGTCTAAAAGACCCTTAGTGATAGGAAGTATTGGATAATTAGACTTCCTGCCCTGTATTCCTACACCTTTTCTTGGTCCACATCATGTGACCTCTTTAGCCAACAAGAGGGCAGCAACCACAAAGTCCTGTGACTGGATGCCCTTGAAGTGGTTCCTCAGCTCTGGGTGCTGCCAGCATACATACATCAGCTGGTTCTCATTTGGCAGCTCTTCCAGCTCTCTTTCCTAGGAGTTTGGGGGCCACAAGGCCAGGCTAAGGGATCCTGATGAGCAAGGTGGTTCAGTAGGAGAATCTGAGAAGGTTCTGTGTATTGTTTAGGTGATAAGGGGTATGAGGCCTGTCTCTTAGTGTGCTCTTTTTTATCCTTACCTTACTCCTTGTTCTCATTCCCCTAGTTTTTTTTGCCTACTCAGAGTAGATATTTTTGCCCTAGGCATTCCACAGGGCTATTGTGTTTAATTGGGGTTCTTGCCCCTTGAGAAAGTAGGCAAGTCCAAGGAGGTATGAGCAGGTGGTGGGGCAGCCACCTTTATCCAAGGTAGACTGCCATCTTTGGGCACCATCCCCAGCTCTGCTGCCAGCCACCTGTGTGATCCTGTTCTTTCTGGGGACAGCTATGAGGAAGAGGAAACAGCTGATGGGGCTGAATGATAGTGTCATGATAGAACACTGCTATAGGGACACCCTATAGAGGTCAAAGCCCTTAAGTTCTCTCGCTCCCATGCCTGGCCTGGAAGGCTGAGGCAAGCTGCCAAGACAGCCACTGCAGGGTGATAGAACCCTGGGAGGAGGGGCTAAGGCTTGGTGGGAAGACACTGCAAACACATTCATGACAAGGTGAATGCCCTATCACGGAACATAGCTCTTCCTGCCTGTCAGCTGGCAACACTGGAAATAGTTTGTCAGGGTCATTGGCCATGTCTGGGAGTTAGAAGTTGAAGCGGCATCTGAGTAGGTGCTTCTAGTTCCTGGCTGCCTTTTTTGCTGCTGGAGGTCACAATGACCTCACTCAGTGGAGGGCCCTGACTTCTGGGCATCATTCCTAAAGCACTTCAGGTCACAGCCATGGCCACATAACTCTGCCATCTATGGAAGGGGAAAGAAACCTAGAGCTACTGCATACCTTGCACAGGGTCACCCAGCTGGAGCTGGAGTAGATACTGAGGTCAGAAGAACATCCTGGCTCTGTGCTGCCCATTCCGAGGCAGACAATAGATGAATCCCAAGAAGGGAGGGAAGAAAACAAGAGGACAGAACTGACATGTATTTAGCATCAGTGGCATTCCAGCACTACACAGGCTTTATGAATCTTGTTTCATTTAAATTCCCCATGATAGTCTGCCCCTCAGGGTGCAATACCAGGGAGCCAAGACTACCAGCCTATTCTCTTTTAGAGTCTCAGCACTCTCCATTCCCCACCCCTGTTTCCCTGACTTACCTTGACCTTCCTGTCATCTGCTGTTGTCTCATCGAACTCCACCCCCAACTTAAAGCTGATCTCTGTGTTCTTGAAGGTGCTGTGTGTTTTTAGGGTGAGAATGTCCCCATTCTTTTCGATGATTGTGGTAGGCTTGGTCATGCTGGCCACCTGCCTGGTAGCAAAACCCACACCTGAGGGTAGGGGGAAGGTTATGAGTATATGAGCTGGGGTAGAGAAGCAGTGTACAAGAAACTCAATGAATAACTCTCAGGCCTGGGTATGGGGAAGTGGAGGACTGTATCTTTCAAAGCCTTTGCATGGGAATTTTAAAATTCAGTCTTGCGCTTAGTTCTGTTTGGTGAACACAGATAACTGATCCCATTAGATGAGAGATACTTAAGGAACAGCAGTGCCATAGCAAGTCAGTGGCAGAGCTGGGATTAGAATAAGCTACTATTGGGCCAAGTGTGGTGGCTCACGCCTGTAATCACACTTTGGGAGGCCAAGGCAGGCGGATCACATGAGGCCAGGAGTTTAAGACCAGCCTGGCCAATATGGTGAAACCCGTCTCTACTAAAAATACAAAAAATTAGCCAGATGTGGTGGTATGTGCCTGTAATCCCAGCTACTCAGGAGGCTGAGGCTGAGAATTGCTTGAACCTAGGAGGTGGAGGTTGCAGTGAGTCGAGATTGTGCCACTGCACTCCAGCCTAGCCAACAGAGTGAGATTCCACCTCAAAAAAAAAAAAAAAGCTACTATTAAGTACTATGAGCTTTTTGTGTAGTAAGAACTGTACATGTTATCTCATTTAGTTCTTCCTGTTCTTCTGAAGACTGTTTCCACGTTACAGATACAAAAACAGAGGTAAAGCCCAGGGTCACAAATCTGAGATTGAAGCCCAGAATTGTCTGAGTCCAGAGCTTGCTTAAGTGCTCAGCTATACTACCTCCCAAGGCTGGAGCATAAGGCTGCCTTCCAGGGCACCTGAAAAGCTCTCAAAGCCTTAGGAATAAGGCTGAGGAAAGAAGAGAAACATAGACTTTCCCTTCCAAAGCCTTAGGCATAGGAGTTTTCCAACTTTGGAAGTTTTTACCCTGAAACTAAGAAGTGTTAGTGCTCTTGTCCCTTATACATGGCAACCCATCATTTTCAAAGCCTGTTATCTATGATCTAGGAGTTAGGTACAAAGGAAGTATTTGTCCTATTGTGCAGATTCAGGAGGAGCCTAAAGCGGTAGCAACAATGAGTTAGACTCAAACCCGTCTCCTGACTCCCAGTCTAAGGCTTTACAGAGACTCTCTTCCTGACCCAAGCATGGCTTCCTTGGGTACTGGGCAAAGTCCTAAGTGTCCTGCAACCAAGTAAAGAACAAAGAACTAATCATGACTGCCCCCTCTCCCCCCAGCAGCTTAACATTGAACTGTCTTCCAAGGCAAAGGTGAGGCAGGAGGCAGCCCAGTGTAGTGAGGTGGTGTGTGTAAAGTCTCCAAATGTACCTGGCTACATAGTGCTTGCTGGAAGCTAGGTACTCTGCACATGCCCTACATGGGTTGTTTTACTTAATGCTTGTAACAGCCTCGAAGCGTAGATTATCCCCAGTTTACAATGAAGAGTGCGAAGTGTCTTGTCGAAATTCAAAGAGAATAAACTACTGACATAGATTTGAACCTCGGCTCCAAAACTGTTGACTATTTTCACTGGGCGATTCTGTCCAGCACATACTCAATCCAGGCCAGCAGTTGTGCCTGTGGTCACTGGTACTAGACGGGACCTCTTTGCCCCTTGAGAGCCCTAGGTCTACAGCAGGAGGGGCAGGGGCTGCCTCTGCTGTTATGCTGTCAGCCCACCCTTGCTTGGCCAGTGAGGAACTTGGCATTGCCCCTTGGTATCAGGATGAGTCAGGCCAATCACACTCCCTTGCACAGAGCAGGACCTTGTCACGGCACTGGGAGCTCTGTTCACTTAGGATCTACCCAGAGGTATGGAGTGTTTGAAAAGGAAACCACTGCGGGATGAGTGAGGGTCTGAACCAAGAGAAACTAAGAATATTGAGCTGACAGAATTTAGGAGACTCAGGGAGATCTGGGTTCTACTTAGAAATGAAGCCAGCACTACTTACTGAGAGCTGAGGAGGGTATTTTCCCAGGCTTTCCATTCCTACGATGAGAATGCTGGCTGCCTTAACATAAGCTGCTGAAAGATAACAGGACTTCAGGGAGACCAGCCCGCTGACCCAACTCGGGGCAGAATAAGGGAACAAGAATGGTAAAGTTGTTGCAGCTCAATTCAAGACTCAGCTCTGGCCCAGCTTTGGAAGGAGGAACTAAATCTGGGCATTCCAACTTCCCAATAGCTGCTGGGCTGTGTTCGTGGGGGCTGGGGGCTGCTCCTCTAAGAATGACTGCCTGCCTAGAATTACTGGGCATAGCGCCCAAGATAGGGTAGAGGCCGTTGAGAGCTTTGACCTCTCCATCTAAGCCCAAAGCAGTAGAAGAAGGGCTGAGGTCAATCATTAGCTAAGCAGTTTCTACTTTTCTTCCCACTCGCAGGGCCTGTAGGGTAGTGGGAAGAGCTCTGGGTTACAGATCTAGAAACCTTAGATTTTCATATTGGCTCTGCTGTGGAATTGTTATAATACATTTCTACTCTCCTGGTTTCAGTTTCCCTGTTGAACTAGATGGTATGGGAATCTCCAAGTTCCTCACCTGTGAGATTCTTTGAATCCTGATTCTTCTCCATCCCAACACCACAGCAGTTCTCCACATCCTCCTAAACCAGTGATCCTCCCTCCCAGGTCTTGACCTTGCCTTGGGACCCTCTACTGCACATCAGAAGTCCAATGGCTTTCTCTGCCTACCCCTCGCACAGATAGGTGAGCCTTGGGTTGCAGGAAAGGCCCAGCTGATCATGGGCCTCTTGCCCCACCCTACCACGAGGCTCACAGACAGTGATGAAGGCCTGGATACATAGACTGCAGGACAAGGTCAGACTGGCTGGTGAGAAAGGGCATTCTCCAGCAAGAATTCTCTTCCCTAACCAAGCAGAGATGGGGATTGCTGCTTACTGCAGGTTCCTGTCTTACGTCCTTCTCATATCTGATTCACTGATCCACAGTTTTTTCCCCACTAATCTTTTTCCTCCTAGGTATTTCCTACTTGTTTACATCATTGTACACTCCCTGGCTGCCCCATTCCCTTTCTGGGTTCAGTCTCCTCCAATTTCTAAACTACCCATGCCCCTGTTCTTTTTCTCCCCTGGCTACACTCCCTTTCCTGTGATCAGTGTTCTTTATCCAAACCCTCCTCCTACCTCCAAATCACATATCCCTCTTCCTGGAAAGAGCCTCCCACACAGCTGCCTCCTTCCACCACCTCCCTACCGTGGTCTCTAACCAGATTTGGACCACCAAAGCCCCCTCTGAACAGGCCCCACCTGCTCTAGGCCAGGCTGCCATCTCCGCGCTCCCCTATTCCCCAGTCTTAACCAGGAGGGATGCGGCAGGAGTGCTGCGTGGGGCTAGGCACGCCACCAGCCAGTCCCCAAGCCAACATCCTGAGCCCCGCGGCTTGCTCACCGAGTGACTTCATGTAGTCATCGAAATTCTTGCTGTCCACTAGCTTCCAGGTGCCCAGGAAAGCGTCCACCATAGTGATGCTGGGCTAGGCTGAGAGAAGCTACAAGAGAGCAGGCGTGCAAGGGCTCCGACGGCGGCTCCCTGCCCGGGCTGCCGCTTTAAATAGCCCTCGCATCACATGAGGAGACGTGGCCCACGCCCCCGGCTCCCGAAATAGGAAGCCCCAGGCTAGGGCTCACCCAGGAGGGGCTGGTGCGCCCATCCCCCAACCCACCGAGGTGGGTGGGGACCAGCCAGTGGCGCCCTGCTAGCCTGCGTCAGCGCCAGTGCCTGGCCCCCGAGTCCCTACCCCAGGCTGGTAGGACCTTCTCCCTTTCCTGGCCTCTAGGCACTCTGGAATCTGAGAAGGAAGCAGCCAACACCAGCCCGAGAGCTAGGGCGCATGCCATGGTGGATATCTTCCCGTCCCCCAGTCCCTCTTTGAGCTTAGCGTCAGAGCAGAGATGAGACTAGAAAAGCAAAACGCCCTTGGGCTGGTGCCCACGCCGGGGAAAGCTCTGGTTGACTTCTGGCACGGGCATCTGTCCTCGTTTTACAAGTGAGGAGTCCGAGGCTCACAGGGGAACTGACAAGGTCTCAAGAAATAGGAGGGGGTGAATGGAGCTCAGATTGCAAGCTTAGTCTAGCGGGCTTCAGAGCTCGCGCTCTCCCTTCACTCTCACTGCCTGGTGGCGGAGACAGTCACCAGCGGCTCGGTCTGCGGCTGAGCTGACCTTGTCCTCTGCCTGTTTTGAGCAAAAGCCTGACCCTTCGCGCCCCGCCCGCCTCACACGTGCTTGCCCCTCCCTGCGGAATGTCTCCTGCTGGCCCTCCTCCGTCCCCACCCCACCCCACCATCTAGCTCCCCACCCGCCCCTGCAAGTGCTCTGGGCTTTTCCGGTTTCTTCGCACAGCTCCGAGCTTTAGCTCAGGTCGTTCCCAGCTCCCCTCCTGCAGAAATTCTGCCAATTCGGTCAGCTCTTCAAGGCCCATGGCTGCCTTCCCCACCTGCCGCCCTTTCTTTGGCCTGTGCACACTAGCAAGCCGCCTGCACTTTTGGGTAATTTGCTGCCTCCTTTCGAGAGCCTGTTGTGCGGTGGTTTGTCACTGTATAGTTTACTAAGCACTTTCAGTAAAAATAAGACCTGCCTTGTCTTGCTATTTATTGCATGCTGAGGGCTTTGGGTGTATTGTTTCATTGAACTTTTTATTTTATTATTATTTTTTAGAGACAAAGTCTCTCGCTGTGTCTCCCAGGCTGGAGTACTGTGACGCCATCATAGCTCACTGCAGCCTCAAACTCCGGGGCTCAGGGGATCCTCCTACCTTAGCCTCCCCAGCAGCTGGGACTATAGGCACACGCCACCACACCTGGCCTCATTGGACTTTTAAAGCAAAATCCATGAAGTAGGTGTTACTGTATTATTTTCTCTTTTTAAAAAGGTGAACAAGTTGAAGCTCTGAGGAGCTCACTCATTAATTCAGCAGTTAATAAAGCACCTACTTTGTGCCAGGCCCTGCTTTGGAGAGAGACAACAGGGAACAAGACACACATTCACCTCTGGGCAGCCAGACATAAAACTAGCGTGGTGCCTCTAAAGGGAGTCCTGTCCTGTCCTGACCTGAGGGCCCAATGTAGACTTCTCAAAGGAAGTGAGGTATAAATGAATTTCTGAGGGATGGCAGGAGGCCCTGCACACCAAGGAGTAGTGCCGAACTGAATTTCAGCCAGCAGCAGCCTGTCCAGGGTGGGCCTGCAGGAGCCAACACAGGAGCCCAGAGGCCTGCCACGTGCGTAGAGTATGGCAGGCCCTCCTTCCTGGGACTCTGTTTCTCCATGTGCAAACCCTGCCTCCCTTCCCTGGACTGTTCTGAGAACAAGGCCAGGGAGGAAGAGCCCTCTCCCCACCCTAAGATCTTGATTCCTTTGGACGGTCCAGTTGCCAGAAGACTCAGAGGCTCATTTCTGCCAAAGCTATAGGGACAGGCTTCAGGGCTGGGCATGGAGCCTTGGTGATCTCACTGTTGGAACAGGTGCCAGGAGAGGAGGAGGGGGAAAAGATGATTTCTGACTCAAGGTCGCAGCCCTCACACATAGGGCCTCCTCTCAAGGACTGTGTGGCCAGGAACTAGAACTGACTCCTTATGTGGCCCTTGTAATGCAATGATGGAGAGCTGGGGCTGGGCTAATGGCTGCTGGCAGATCTGCGTTCTGATCTGAATTTTGTTGGGTACTAGCTGTGTGGCCTTGGGCAATTCACTTAAGCCATTCTGAGTCTCCATTTTTTTTTTTTTTTTTTTGAGAAGGAGTCTCGTTGCCCAGGCTGAAGTGCAGTGGTGTGATCTTGGCTCACTGCAACCTCCACCTCCTGGGTTCAAGCAATTCTCCTGCCTCAGCCTCCCAAGTAGCTGGGATTACAGGCAACTGCCACCACATCTGGATAATTTTTGTATTTTTAGTAGAGACGGGGTTTCGCCATGTTGGCCAGGCTGGTCTTAAACTCCTGACCTCAGGTGATCTGCCCACCTGGACCTCCTAAAGTTCTGGGATTACAGGCATGAGCCACCACGCCAGCTTCAGTTTCATCTTTAAAATGAAGGGATTTTTTTTTGGAGATGGAGTCTTGCACTCTGTCACCCAGGCTGGAGTGCAATGGTGTTATCTCAGCTCACTGCAACCTCTGCCTCCCAGGTTCAAGTGATTCTCCTGCCTCAGCCTCCCAGGTTCAAGTGATTCTCCTGCCTCAGCCTCCCAAGTAGCTGGGACTATAGGCGCGGGCCACCGCGCCAGGCTAATTTTTATATTTTTAGTAGAGACGGGGTTTCACCATATTGGCCAGGCTGGCCTTGAACTCCTGACCTCAAGTGATCCGCCTGCCTTGGCCTCCCAAAGTGCTGGGATTACAGGCATGAGCCACCACGCCTGGCCTATTTATTTATTTGGAGAGAGTCTCACTCTGTCACTCAGGCTGGAGTGCAGTGGCATGATCTCAGCTCATGGCATTCTTGACCTCCCAGACTCAAGGGATCCTCCCACCTCAGCCTCCTGAGTAGTTAGGACTACAGGCGCATGGCACCACGCCTGGCTAATTTTTTGTGCATTTTTTTGGTAGAGACAGGGTTTTGCCGTGTTGCCCAGGCTGGTGTTGGACTCCTGGCCTCAAGCAATCTGCTTGCCTCGGCTTCCAAAGTGCTGAGACTACAGGTGTGAGCCACGACACCTGGCCCGAGATAATACATTTAAATGCTAAGCATGGTTGACTTACGAAAGTTCACTGCTGCTGCTCCTCCTGCTGCTATTGTTATTGTCTCCAGGGATAGTGCAGACACCTAAGACCTAGTCTGAGCTCTGCCACTACCTACTGAGTTAGTTACCTGAGGCAGATTGCTTTGCTTCTTTAATCCTCAGTTTTATTATTTCTGGGACAGGATTAGAAAGGGCTTCAACTGAAAAAGGGGCTATAGAGGTTTTTCAGAATGGGTTGGGGTGGGGTCACTGCCAGAAAATCCATTTGCTCCCTCTCTTGGGCCTGTCCAAATTGAGCAGCACGGGGCTTTGAGGAGCTCTACTCGACAAACCTCAGACCAACTACCCTCACTGCCCTTCCCTCACCTCGCCATGGTGCTCAGACCTGGGTCACCGAGGTTAACCCATAAGCCACACCCCATCTCCTTTCCTCCTGGTTTACACCCTTCTCCCTTCTAAGTATGTACAGTTCTCTCCTCATCCCTCTGATCTACCTGCATCCTCTTCCTCTGTTATGCTGACTACATTTGGGGAAGAATGTGAGCCCTGTCCCTTTTTGTACTCCTCTGTCTTGCCCTTGGCAGATCCAGATGTGGATATAACATCTGGCAGGCAGCAAGACCAGCGCCTGCCAAGAACAGCATCTCCCCAGCCCTCATCCTATGGTGAGGTCACTGTTCTATGTTTCCACGGCAACCACAGGCTGGGAAGATGGAGAAGAGGAGAGATGAGTAACCAGAAGCCAGCCAATGAGATGAGCTGCAGCACCGGATGATCCATGGGGCCATGGGGAGCGGGGACAAGGGAGGCCTGCTCAGCATGTTCAGCTGTTTCCTGGACCCTCCCTGCCATCTGGATGCCTCCACTAGAGAATGTGCTACTAGCACCAGGAAAGAGCTAGAGGCTGAAGAAGCTGAGTAGAAGCTCTGCTGACCCAAGAACATGGCCCTCCTTTTTTGCCTCTTCAGGGTCTAAGTCTATGGTTGCTGACTACCCCCGCCCCATCCCACCCCTAATATCTGCAACTGGGAACTTTTCCCATTTGCTGGGAATGATGGTGGGGCTCTTTCTGCCTCTGCCTGCCATAGAACCAGCAAGTCTTAGACATCCCTTCTTTTTATGCCCTTGGTCCATGGGGTCTTTGTTACCAGAAAGGGGTCCCAATCCAGACCCCAAGAGAGAGTTCTTGCATCTCACACAAGAAAGAATTCGGGGCAAATCCGCAGAATAAAGTAAAAGCAAGTTTATTAGAGAAGTAAAGAAATGTCTGTTTAGTAAATTATTAACCTGTTCCCTTAACTCTTAACTGTAAACATTTTGTGACTAAGAATGTTTCACCTTGTGGGAATGCATCCCAGCCAGGTCTCAGCTTCATTTTATCCAGCCTCTATTCAAGATGGAGTCACTCTGGTTAGAATGCCTCTGACATCTTCAGATGCAGTGTCTTTGGAAAGAGCCCTGATTCTAAACTCCAGGCCTGCATTTACTAGCTAGAGACCTAGAACAAGCTCCCTTTCCCCCTTCTGAGTCTTGTTTTCTCCCAAATAGAGGAAGGCCATCAACTTCTCAGGGTTGTTAGGACAATTAAAAGAGATAACAAATGGAAAGCCTACCGTGCACTAATATTGAAGGAATAGTAACTCCTTTCTCCTTTCCTCCTTCCAGTTCTTTTCCCCGGGATATTTGAGTAAGCCAAGGCCCTTTGAGACCCTGAATAAGTAGGAAAGGATTCAAGTATATGGCCAACTCCTCTTCATTGAGGTCACAGAGTGGCCTTCAGATCTTGGACATAAGTTTCCTCATATTTCCCTTTCTCTCTCTTTAAATATTCATTCATTCTACCAATCTTAATTGAGCACCTCCTATGGCCAGGCACTGTGCTAGGCTCAGTGAGGATCCAGGGTGAACAGGAGAGCTCCCTGCTCTCACTTAGCTCACAGTGCAGGGGGATTGCAGCTACAGTGGGTGGAGTGTTCTTTCTGCCACTAGGAAATCTGCTTCCTTGTTCCCCAAGAGTTCCAGATACTGTGGGCTGGAGAGAACAAATGATGGCAGAAGGTAGAGGTTTACTCAACACCAATTTGCTTCTAAGAAACTGCTGCCTGTGGCAGAATGCTCCCTGAAATGAGAACAATGACCCTCCCTGCCCTGGGGGACAGGGGGTACCTCAGTGGGGAGGGGCAATCTGCCTTCTCAGAAGCCATCCTCTCCCTGTTGCTGACAGAAGAAAGCCCAGACTGTATAGCCTGGTCTCATCTATTTCCTTGGTCTAATTTGTTGCTGAAATCCTTTTTAAGAAGAGTTTCTGGCGGAGAATAAGGTATAGTATATTGACAAGATCGGGTGCATTCAGGGTGGTATGGTTGTAGACAGGTACAGTATATTGAATGAATGAACAAATGAGTGAGTGAAGGAGAGAATCTATCTACCTCCCTAGTTTTAGGGGCTCTGGAGTGAGACTTGGGTTCCAGTCTTGCCATATGTATACAACAGCTGTGTGACCTCGGGCAAGTCATGATCTCACTGGGTCTCAGTTTCTAAATCTGCAAAGAGCATTATCACTATTCTCACCTAGCCAGCCTCCCAAGGACTCTGAGAAGCTAGGGGAGGACAAATTGAGGAATGCAGCACAAAGGATGTTTCTCCAACTCCTGGCCTCAAGCGATCCTCCTGCCTCAGCCTCTCCAGTAGCTGGGACAGGCGTACCTGGTTTATGTTTTTTCTCTTCCAGCCTCCTTCCTTGGCTGCCTGTGGTCCTTAGCACAAGACCCACTTTCTTTGACATGACCCCATAGCCACAGCCTAAGCATCACAGCCCACACACTCTAGCCCCTACCTGCCTCTCCCAGCTTTCCACACACACTGCAGCCATTCTGACCTTTTTGTACCTTGAGGGGACACCATGTTTCTCTCTTTATGTTTGCCAGCAGTGCTCTTCCTCACCCCTACAGTCTTTTCTTTTTTAAAAAATCTTTATATATATATATTTTTTTAGACAGTCCAGCTCTGTCACCTAGGCTGGAGTGCAATGGTGCAATCTCGGCTCATTGCAACCTGTGCCTCCCAGGTTCAAGCGATGTTCATGCCTCAGTCCCCTGGGTAGCTGGGATTACAGGCATCTGCCACCACACCTGGCTAATTTTTGTATTTTTAGTAGAGATGGGGTTTCACCATGTTAACCAGGCTGGTCTCCAACTCCTGACCTCAAGTGATCCACCTGCCTCAGCCTCCCAAAGTGCTAGGATTACAGGCATGAACCACCACACCCGGCCAACTCCTACTCATTTTTCAGCTTTCAGCATAACTATCCTGCTTCTGGGTAACACCATCTTCCCTGGCCTTCCCTATCCTGCTTTGATGTTTGTTTCAGAGTCTGTCTTTGCCATTACACCGGAGGCCCTTAGAGGGCTGGGACCCAGTCTGTGTTGCTTCTTGCTGTGCACAGGACCTGGCATGTATTTGTGGAGTGGACAGTCTCTCCAGAGAAAAAGAAAGCCACTTGTTCTTGCAGTGTTCTCTCTGTTTTGAAATTCTGACACCATCACCATCTCCTCCACTACTCTCAACTTTCCTCCTGCCAAAGTATCCTGTTTTGTGTCCTCTTTCTCACTCCATCCCTGAGGGCCAGTAGCCTGGGCCACTTCCTGTGTGTGGTGGGGCCCCAAGTACTCCCAGGTGAGAATTGCCCTTTGGAAAGCATGAGGGTAGCCTGGATCTCAACAGCAGCTTTTTTGGGGGGATGGGGCTATTCCCAGAAAGTGATTAAACCAGGCCCCAGACCTGGGGCTGACCCTGGCTCCCTCCTCAAACTTCAGTTTCCTTTTCTCTCAAATGAAAAAAAGGTTGCCTCTGCAAAACTCTAAATAGCCTCTAATATTGGATTAGGTAAAGTATAATTAGAAAGGTAAACCTTAGGCTTATAAAATGGCACCTCACATCACCATGAGGTCTCAAGCATGTTCATGTGCCATGTGGCCTGGCCTCCATCCCCTCTTCTGGCACCAAACACATGGTCCAGTAGTCATGCCTCATAATGCATTCTATTCAGGAACAGCTTACCCAAGATTGTGGAAGGATTCAAGCAGCTCCCGGAGACCTGACGAGCCTGGTTGGTGTGGACAGATGCCCACTGTTGTCCCTGGGTGAGGAGAGCTGGCAAGCCATGGCAGGGTGGCTGGCAGGGAGTGTGTCTTGGCCTCAGGAGTCTGAGGCCAGATGTGTTCCAGGAAGCAAGTACAAAGCCAACACTGTCAGCCTGGCTTGGGCTGAGATCTTGGGAGTTATCCGGGATGGGTTGATGGGGCAGCAACCCAGGACTCTATAGTAAACAAAGACACTGGATAGGAAAAGGAAGGAGCCCATTTGCAGGAAGGACTGGGTGGGCTGGGGGTGACCAGGACTGGAGCCCAGGGTGAAAGATTTCTCCTTGTAAAGGTTGGCGGTGGGAGGACCATGAGGTTAGAGGGATAGGATCAGAGTCAGGAAAAGATAAAGTCAGATGAAGAAGGCTGTCCTTAGAATGGGATCACCCTGTGCAGGAGTAAAAACAGTCCAGGTCATGCCTGTAATCCTAGCACTTTGGGAGGCCAAGGAGGGGCAGATCACTTGAGGTCAGGAGTTCAAGACCAGTCTGGCCAACATGGTGAAACCCTGACTCTACTAAAAATAAAAAAACATTAGCCAGGCATGGTGGCGGGCACCTGTAATCCCAGCTACTCGGGAGGCTGAGGCAAGAGAATTGCTTGAACCCAAGAGGCAGAGGTTGCGGTGAGCCAAGATCACGCCACCACACTCCAGCCTGGGCAACAGAGTGAGATTCTGTCTCAAAACAAACAAACAAACAAACAAACAAACAAACAAAAAACCAGCCCAGGCAGCACTAGGAGTCATAGTAGGCTGGTATATGTCTGGCTACCGATTCTTCTCCCACCACTGGTGAGCCAGTTTATGACCTGTCAGAGGAAATGGGGAGGAGGCATAAAGACCACCAAGGAAAGTTGGGAGACACAATACCTGCATGAACTTGGACAAGTCAGTCTCTCTGTGCCTGTTTCCTCCTCTGTGTGATGAGGATAGTAATGTCTAACCTTTCGAGAGAATAAATGAGATTGTGGGTATAGAGAAGCTTTGTGTGCTATGAGCCAGGTGCAGAAAATTGTGGCTAACATTGGTGCAGCACTCCCTGAGCACTGCACCGGACTTAGCAGCTTTTTGTCTTTCAAACTCATGTCACCCTGACGATAACCTAGTGAGGCAGGTACTATTCTCATCCCTGATTTACAGATGACAGCCAGGATTTGCACTCAGATAGAGTGGTTCTAGAGCTTGCGTGGCTTAACCATTATTCTACACTGGCTCTCCCTGTGACAGTGTTCACCCTGCCTTCTCTGTGACCTTGGGCCAGTCTCTTTTCTTCAGTGTTCCCAACTCTATGGTAGGAGGTTGGGCCAGATGATTTATTTAATCCCTCAAGCTTTGGCAGTCAGTGGTTCAGGAAAGGAACTTCCAAGTAGGGGAGAGGGCGAGGTGGGGCCAGAGCAGAGACAGGACAAACTTTTCCAGTTTGTCATCAGTGAGTAGGCTGGTAGACTCCCCTTTGCCCTATAAGTGGGGCCAAGGGAGCAGGTGATGCTCAGCCCCAGCCTGAAATATTCACTGGTCCCTGAGGATCACTGAGGTCTGACCACCAGGTCCGCCTGCCAATAGTCAGGCAAGGCCCATCTGCTTCTGCTAACAGACTCCAGAGGATTCTTCTTCAGTATTCAGTCTCTACCTGCCCATTCTGGGCCCCTGTCCCCTCACCCAGGGTCAGTTTATCTGGGCACCAGGCCTGGTGTGGGGCCTGGGGATGGGGCTATTTATAGATGTCTTCTGTCTCCTTGGCCTGGGCCTCTAGCCAGATTAGGCCATTCACACACATGCGTGTGCACACACACATTTTCTCTGTCAATCACTCATTGAACTTGACTGTCACTAGTCTGATGCCTGGCCTCATGCTGAGTATGGATAACCAACAGATGACCTAGACTTGGTCCCTGCCCTCATAGAGGGATGGGAGAGGTGGACTTGTCTACAGACTATGACAATACAGAAAGGCTATTACTATCACATAGGGCTGTCTCTATACCATGGAATACCATGGAGGGAGGGAGCCCCCCACTCTGCCAGAAAAGTCAGGAAAGGCTTCATACGGAGGCACTCTTTGGGCTGGGTCTTGAAGGATAGGCACATAGGAGTCCACTAGATGTGGGGAGGGGAATTGGGAAAGCAGAGGAGAAGGATTCATTGAGAGAGGATGAGATTTTCCTGATGATTGCCCTGGGGTGACAGCAGAAGATAAAAATGGCAAGTGATGAGAATGGAAAGATAATGTAGGGCACACAGGAGAAGACCTTGCTCATCATCCAGGAGTCTGGCCTTCCTTCTGAAAGCAGTTGAGAGTAATGGAGGATTTCGGGCAGGGGACCTTCATGATCTGATTTGTATTATGGGAAGAGTTCCCTGTCTGCTGTGTGGAGGCTGCATGGAAGATATCAGTTAGGTGGCTGTGGCAGCTGTCCAGACTGCACAGTCTGGCAGGGCTCAGCCATGCACCCACTGCAACTAGAGAGAGGGGGAAAGGGAAGAGGACACACTCCTCCTAATTAAAGGCATGGCCTGGCCACTGCACACATCTCTTCTCTCTTGGCTACATCTACATGCAAGGGAGACTAGGAAATATAGTGATTATTCTGGACGGCTTTTTACTCTAGAAAAGGGAGAGAGTAGATATCAGGGTACTGGAGGTCTCTGATACAGTGGTTAAAAGTCTCTGAGCCGGGCATGGTGGCTCACACCTGTAATCCCAGCAATTTGGGAGGCCGAGGCAGGTGGATTACTTGAGGTTAGGAGTTCGAGACCAGCCTGGCCAACATGGTGAAACCCCATCTCTACTAAAAATACAAAAATTAGCTGGGCATGGTGGTGCATGCCTGTAATCCCAGCTAGTCAGGAGGCTAAGGCAGGAGAATCACTTGAACCCAGGAGGCAGAGGCTACACAGTGAGCCAAGATCGTGCCACTGCACTCCAGCCTGGGTGACAGATCGAGACTCTGTCTCAAAAAAAAAAAAAAAAGTCTCTGAAATCAGATTTCTGAGTTTAAGTCCTGCCTTAACCACTTACCATCTGTTCAGGCAGATTACTCACCCTCTCTTGTGCCTCAATTACCTCCTCTGAGGGTACAGTGAGCTAACACACACCAAGTGCTTAGATAGATCCTGGCACTTATGAGGCCCAGAGCTATTTTCTGTTTCTAAGAGAAGTGGGGGCTCTGGGAACAGGTATTGCCTGACTCCCCAGGAATCGCTGAGGCACCCACAGTGGGGCAGATGTCTGGCTAGGGCAGCCAGGACTATGAGCTGTGCCCTTTAGCTCCATTCTCTCAATCCCCATGGCTTAGCTGAGGCAGACGATGCTGGGAGCAGGGTATGGGGGTCCTGGGAAAAGAAAGGAAGGTGGATTTTAGAGATAATTCAAGGATAGATAGCCTAAGAAATGAAGTCTCTGGATCTAGGGGCTTCAGATGCAGCCCAGCCTGGAGCCCCTTTCCCTCACAGGACAACAGATCTCCCAGGGCCATGGTGGGGCAGGGAAGGGGAGGTGGGGTGGCTAGTCAAGGTCACCTTGACTAGTGACTCCAGACTTGGCTGCTGTGTGACCTCAGGCCTCCAACCACCACTGACCTTCTCTGGGCCTTGATCTTTCCATCTGGAGGCTGGGATCACTTCTTGCCTTCCTGCAAGGTGAATGTGAAGATTAGATGTCAGTCATAGAATCAGGTTGCTCCCTGCAGGGCTGAGTGCCTTGGAGGGATGTGTCAGTAGCAGATGACAGTGCACCCCCTTCCCCAGAAGGAGAAGCACTGCAGCTCAGTCCAGCTAAGCCATGACTGCCTGTCCTGCCTTCTTCCTCATTTGAGCTATGCTCTTTTCCCTAGGCTACTGGTTGTAAAATAGGGTGGGATAAGAGAGTAATGTGGGAGGGAAAGGATGGGTGGAAGGAAACAAGAGGGAGGAGGATAGCAACATCAGGTGAAAGGCAGAATGGTAAGATTGAGGGCTCACGGCTGAGGAAAATGAAAACTTAGAATGAAGGGGGAGGTGTCTAGAATTAGCTTTGTGGGAACCCACTCTCCCCATATTCAGGCGCAGATGGGGAGCTTGCTGAGGGTAGTGCTGTGCCTTATTCATCTCTCTGTCCTCTTCTCAGGGCAGGACATAGTATAAGCCTCCACCGAAAACAGTTCTGCTGTCAGAGTTTGTTGACTGAACCCCAGACTTGGCCCCCCACTGAGCCTTCATGAAGCCTCCCCACCCAGGCCCTGCTTACAGGAGGATCTGAAAGGCAGCCTTGAGAAGGAAGGGCAGCTGGGAGACAGGAGTGTGGGTCCTGCTAGGGCTCCCTCAGTGCCTTGCTGTGCTACCTGGGACAAACCACTTATCCTCTAAAGCTCTTTCCCCATCTGAGTAATGTGAGACCATGGCTGTGGTTTGAGAGCTATTTTTACTCCATTAAATCCTATCTTCAAACAAATTCTTAGGCCAGGTGTGGTGGCTCTTGCCTGTATTTCCAACACTTTGGAAGGCTGAGGTGGGAGGATCGCTTGAGCCCAGGAGTTTGAGACCTGCCTGGGCAACAAAGTGAGACCCTCATCTCTACAAAAAAAAAAAAAAAAAAAAAAAAAAAAAAAAAAAAAAGTAATTAGCTGGGCGTGGTGGCACATGCCTGTAGTCGCAGCTACTTGGGAGGCTAAGCGGGAGGATCACTTGAGCCCAGGTCGAGGTTGCAGTTAGTCATGATCACGCCACTGCACTCCAGCCTGGGCAGCAGAGTGAGACTCTGTCTCAAAAAACCACAAATTCTTAGTTGGAAGTCCAGGAGATAAAAGGGATCTTCACCGGTGGAAGCCAGGAAGGGTGTTGGAACCCACTTATATGGTCCTGGGGGTCTGCGGAGGCCAGTTTAAAGAATGGAAGCTGTGCTCTCTGGGCCTCAAGCAGGCCTGGCTATCCCACCCCTGCCTACTATCCCATCCCCACTACCTCCACATGTCCTTTCTGCAGCCTGGGTGGGAATGGGGGTCCAGTCAACTTGCAAAGAGCAAGCAGTGCCCCTCTTGAGGCTGTCTTTCAATCTCTGGGAAATAGCACCACTCACCCCAGCCCCACCCCACACAGACACAGTGGTCTTGCCCTGGGTCACTTGGGCTGGGGGAGGGGCCCAGAGAGAGCCCTCAGATTCCAGAGACTCTGGATGCTTAGCAGGGATTGGGGTCTTTAGTAGGGGGTTGGGAAGAGAAGAAATGTGTTTCGGGGAAACCAGGAGATTGGAGCCAGGAGGTTCCTGGCTAAGTGATCTAGAGTAGCCACTGCATCTCTCTGGATCTCAGTTTCTCCATCAGTACAATGAGGGATGAATGCCCTTTCATTTGTGACTGGCAGAATGATAGGAGTGGGGATGGGGGCAGAGATTGTGTTGTGGGTGCTGAGTTTCCCGAGAGAGCATCTTGCTTATAGTTCAGAGCCAGTGATGGTGGCTGCAGCAGCCGAGCCTTGGAGGGAGGGTTGGTAGGAAGACTTGGTTGAACCTGGGCCCTGCCACTAAGTTAGTGGGTGTTGTCCCCTCCTGGGGCCACACTTTCTCCATCTGTCTAATGGGACTAGATGCTCCTAGACCCAGGAGTCAGTGACTGCACCTGGCATCAGAGACTGGGGCAGAGGCCTGCAGCTGGCCCAGGTGAGGGTCACGGTCTCATTGTGCAGAGCCAGGAGTGGTTGTCAAAGGTAGTGTAGAAAACCAAGAGTCAGGTGGGAGTGCTGAAGGAACCTCCAACTTTTTTGGTTTATAGATGGGGAAACAGGCTGGATGTGGGGAGACCAGTTGTCGAGGGTCCCAGAATGGGTTGCGGACAGAGACAGGATGAAAACTGGGACTACTGACCATCTATTCCAGCTTCTCCTCACAGGAAGCTCTGATAGAAGGTACAGGGAGTAGCCTTGTCTGGGGAGTGGGGAGATGGCCCCTCCACATCCCTTCGAGGTGCGGAAACAGATAACACAATGGGAGCTCAGCCGGCTTGTGTTCCCTTTCCTTTTTTCTCTCTGCTTGTCCTGCACTCTGCTCAGGACTTGTTAATCTCAGAAGTCTCCAGTTAACCATCCCATCTTTTCCACAAGGACAGGATAGGGGTGCAGTCGGACAGGAGCAGCAGAAAAGGGGGTTGGGATTTTGCAGTGACAAAGAGGTCCAGGTGTAGGCGCATGAGATTGGGCTAGGATGTGCAGGGAGGAACTGAGCACAGAGCTTTCCCCTGTGTCTGGGGTTGGGGTGAGGTAAGGTTTCTCTAATAATTTCTGGAACCCCTTCAGAGACCATGGTTTTCTGGTTCTCAAGTCCAGAAGAGACATCCCAGATATGCACATACCCAGGCACATCCACACAGACAACTTCACCATCCACACTCCCAGACACATCCACACAGATGACATCACCCACACCCCCAGGCCCATCCACACAGATGACCTCACCATCCACAACCCAAGACATATCCACACAGATGACCTCACCCACACCCCTAGGCACAACCACACAGACGACCTCACCCACACCCCCAGACACATCCACACAGATGACCACACCATCGACACCCCCAGACACATCTACACAGATGACCACACCATCGACACCCCCAGACACATCCACACAGAGGACCTCACCATCCACACCCAGACACATCCACACAGACGACCTCACCATCCACACCCCCAGACACATCCACACAGAGGACCTCACCATCCACACCCAGACACATCCCCACGGACGACCTCACCCACACCCCCAGACACTTCCACACAGATGACATCACCCACACCCCCAGGCCCATCCACACAGATGACCTCACCATCCACACCCCCAGACACATCCACACAGACGACCTCACCCACACCCCCAGGCACAACCACACAGACGACCTCACCCACACCCCCAGACACATCCACACAGATGACCACACCATCGACACCCCCAGACACATCCACACAGATGACCACACCATCGACACCCCCAGACACATCCACACAGATGACCACACCATCGATACCCCCAGACACATCCACACAGATGACCTCACCATCCACACTCAGACATATCCCCACAGAGGACCTCACCATCCACACGCAGACACATCCCCACAGACCTCACTATCCACACCCAGACACATCCACACAGACGACCTCACCATCCACACCCAGACACATCCCCACAGAGGACCTCACCATCCACACCCAGACACATCCCCACAGAGGACCTCACCATCCACACCCAGACACGTCCCCACAGAGGACCTCACCATCCACACCCAGACACATCCACACAGACGACCTCACCATCCACACCCAGACACATCCCCACGGATGACCTCACCATCCACACCCAGACACATCCCCACGGATGACCTCACCATCCACACCCCCAGACACATCCACACAGATGACCTCACCCACACCCCGAGACACATCCACACGGACGACCTCACCCACATCCCCAGACACGTCCACACAGACGACCTCATCCACACCCCCAGACACATCCATGCAGATGATCTCACCCACACATCCAGACACATCCACATGGACGACCTCACCCACATATCCTCACCACATACGTGGCATCAGAGACTAGGGCAGAGGCCTGCAGCTGGCCCATGGTGGACCATACACACACAGCCCCTACACAGAAGGCTACAAAATTGGCAGGATCCAGTGCAAAGTGAAAATGTGAGCCCCTGTTCAACAATTATTAAGAATTTCAAGATAAGGCCCACACCTATAATCCCAGCACTTTGGGAGGCCAAGGTAGGTGGATCACTTGAGGTCAGGAGTTCAAGACCAGCCTGGCCAACATGGAGAAACCCTGTCTCTACTAAAATTATACAGATTAGCCGGGCATAGCGGTGCACGTGTAATCGTAGCTACTCAGGAGGCTGAGGCAGGAGAATCGCTTGAACCCGGGAGGCGGAGCTTGCAGTGAACCGAGATCACGCCACTGCACTCCAGCCTGGGCTACAGAGCAAGATTCCCTCTCAAAAAAAAAAAAAAGAAAAAAAAAGAATTTCAAGATGATGACAGCAGATCATTAAACCAAGAGCAGGGCCCTTCTGAGGGCTCTGTTTGACCGCACAGGTTGGTTTCACACCAATGATGCTAGCTAGCTCTGCTCCTAACACATTCCAGCCATTCCCTTGGAGACTCACAGTCCCACAGACACCATCCTGCTAGAGAGACACACTCATCCAGGGACAAACATTCACACCCCTAGACCCATCACCACTGAGGGCACACCCACCTCTCCACCCCAGACACATACAGTCACATCAGCCCCAGTATCACAGAGCCTCACCTACAGCCAGAGTTCCTCCCAGCTGGGTGGGTCCAGGCATCCCACCAGGGCACAGGGCCATTACACTCACCCCTCTCTCGGGCTGCCAGGGTCTCCTCCACCCTCTTGCTCCACACAGTCCCTCCCCCAAATGCACACTAGCCTACCTGCTGGGCTGGCCATGGAGGATAGAGGAGAGGGCAATGCCAGCTCTTCCACCCACTCCGCAGCCAGCCTGCAGGGACCCAGCTGGGGATAAGATGCCAATAATAATACCTGGCTGGGCGCGGTGGCTCACGCCTGTAATCCCAACACTTTGGGAGGCCGAGGTGGGCGGATCACCTGAGGTCGGGAATTTGAGACCAGCCTGATCAACATGGTGAAACCCCGTCTCTACTGAAAACACAAAAATTAGCTGGGAGTGGTGGTGCATGCCTGTAATCCCAGCTACTCAGGAGGCTGAGGCAGGAGAATCGCTTGAACTCGGGAGGCAGGGAGGTTGCAGTGAGCCGAAATCGAGCCATTGCACTCCAGCTTGGGCAATAAGAGCGAAACTCCGTCTCAAAAACAAAAACAAAAACAAAAACAAAAAAACAAAAAACCTAACACTTGTTGAACATTTACCTGTGCCAGGCACTGTTCCAACACTTTATAAATACTAACTCATTTAATCCCACAACCCTATGAAGTAGATAATTTTTTTTGTTTTTTGTTTTTTGTTTTTGAGGCAGAGTTTTGCTCTTGTTGCCCAGGCTGGAGTGCAGTGGCGCGATCTTGGCTCACTGCAACCTCTGCCTCTCAGGTTCAAGCGATTCTCCTGCCTCAGCCTCCAGAATAGCTGGAATTACAGGCACCCGCCACCACACCCAGGTAATTTTTTGTATTTTTAGTAGAGACAGGGTTTCACTATGTTGGCCAGGCTGGTCTCGAACTCCTGACCTCAGGCGATCCACCCTCCTCGGCTTCCCAAAGTGCTGGGATTACAGGCGTGAACCATCGCGCCCGGCCCTGAAGTAGGTAATATTTTTTTATCCCCATTTTATAGGTAAGGAAGCTGAGACACAGAAAAGTTAAGTCACTTGAGCAAGATCACAGCTAGTAGGAGAGGAAGCCGGAATTTTAACCTGCTGTAGACAGCATGGTCTGTCAGTTGTTGATGTGACTGTACTGGGCATGCCAGGCACTGTGAACCCAGTGGTTCCAGGGTCTGCCCCTGAGGAGCTCAGGTCCTCTGTGAAATGATGAAAAAAGGTGATTATGATGCAGCGTCTTTTTGACTGGGGTCCGTGGTCAGTCCCAGGAGTCCCCAGGATGGTCACTTGGCTGGTGGAACAGATGATTTTCTTTCACTACAGTCACAATATTTGGAAGATGTCTGCATGAGAGATAGTCCTTTTTACCTTTTTACAGACAAAATTGTCAAATATGTAATAAAGGCATTTTCACTGATAGCATACACTGTCAGATAATGGACAGTCCACACGGCAGCTGGTTACCCAGCCTAGATAGAGGGCTTTCTCAATGGTGAGAATGCAAGGAAACCTGCTCTGCCGGTGTGTGTTCTGGGCACGCAGCGGGCCTCATTTATGACTTAGTTCAACATTACAAACCTTCGGGAGCCCCACCCTCCTTCTCTGAGAGTTGCCGCTCCCTACTAGGTATGGCCCCTGAGGCCATGTTTGTATGCTTTGACTCCTGCCCCTCCAGCTTCCCGGAGGGGATACCCCAAAATGAAGGCCTCAGAAGCAACTGAGACTGACTGATCCAGGAATGCCTATCTGATCCAAGTAGGCCAATCAGGTCCTTTGTCTGGGGCTTGGGAATCTGCATTCCACTGGCTGGGACTGGCCCCTGAACTGAGAACAGGTAATCTTGGGAACTGTAAAGCAGCCACCTTCACATTCACTGCGGTTTACACAGAAGAAAAGAAGCAGAAAGCTCTCTACAGGAGTAGAGAAGAATGAGGCAGTGAAGAGGGGGAAAGTGCTGAGCTCCAGAAGCCATCCAGCTCCACAAGGGGCCACAATTGCTCCCCCAATCCTTATGATAACGCCTGATTTTTCTTTCCGTTAGCCTGAGACAGTTTCTGTTCCTTGTAGTCAAAGGGCCTTATTTAAGGCACTTGAATTAGAAAACATCAAAGAGAAGAGAGTGCCGCAAATCTCCTAAATGTGTTGGTTTTATGGTCATTTTTGAATATGACAGACTCCAAAGCCGTGGAGCTTACATGTGTCCTGGAGTATCCCCAGTGGAAGCTTGAGGTTGTTTGTCTCTGTGTACATCCCCTAGTGGAGTGGAGATGGCTTTCCTGATAAGAAATGTGCTTTGAAAGGACTTTATTAAGCTTGGAATTGCCCAGTGGTTTGCTGGACAATAAATATTTGAAAACTAGTTTCTCAAAAATCCAAATGTATAGGTTATATATGGACATATATTTATTATAAATTTTACTGATATAAAGGCTGTGTAGGCCAGGCACAGTGGCTCGTGCCTGTAATCCTAGCCCTTTGGGAGGCCAATGCGGGCAGATGGCTTGAGGTCAGGAGTTCGAGACCAGCTGGCCAACATGATAAAACCCAGTCTCTACTAAAAAAACAAAAATTAGCTGGGCATTATGGCACACACCTGTAATCCCAGCTACTCAGGAGGCTGAGGCAGGAGAATCTCTTGAACCCGGGAGATGGAGATTGCAATGAGCTGAGATCGTGCCACTGCATTCCAGCCTGGGTGACAGAGTGAGACCCTGTCTCAAAAAAATAAATAAAGGCTGTGTAGCACACAGCTTAACTTACAAATGACACAATATGCAAACTCCTTTTTTTTTTTTTTTTTGAGACAGGGTCTCACCCTGTCACCCAGGCTGGTATGCAGTAGGGCGATCATGGCTCACTGCAGCCTTGAACTCCTGGGCTCAAGTGATCCTCCTGCCTCAGCCTCTTGAGTGCTGGGACTATAGGCTCGTACCATGACACCCAGATCATTTAAACAGTTTTTTTGTTTGTTTGTTTTGTTTTGTTTTGTTTTTTAGACAAGGTCTTGCTATGTTGCCCAGGCTGTCCTCAAACTCCTAACCCCAAGCAAACCTCTCACATGGGTCTCCAAAGCACTAGCATTATGGATGGGAGGCACCATGCTGGTCCATATACAAACACTTGATAGTAAATTCCATACAGCCAATTGATTCTGGCAGAATGGTTTCATTAATTTTTGCCAAACTCATATCTGTAGCCATCCTATGGTTGCAATTCAACCAAAATTTGAAATTGAATTGCATAGATACCAATCTGCTAATTATTTTCCTAATAAATTTATTGTCATTAAATGTGCTACAGGATCTACTGTTAAAATATTTTTCTTTTTTTTTTTGAGACGGAGTCTCGCTCTGTCACCCAGGCGGCAATGGCTTGATCTCGGCTCACTGCAACCTCCACCTCCCGGGTTCAAGTGATTCTCATGCCTCAGCCTCCCGAGTAGCTGGGATTATAGGCGTGCATCACCACCCCCAGCTAATTTTTTTTGTATTTTTAGTAGAGACAGGGTTTCACCATCTTGGCTAGGCTGCTCTCGAACTCCTGACCTCAAGTGATCTACCCGCCTTGTCCTCCCAAAATGCTGGGATTACAGGCGTGAGCCACTGCACCCAACCTACTGTTATAATATTTTTCACCCTTCTACAGATATATTCATTAAACAGAAACTTCTTTCAGCTTTAGCACCAGACTTGACAAACTATTAAGTTTAATTTGCACTTTTAACATTTTGTCTATCACTTTCTTTAGTCTTGAAAGTCAACAAAACAACAAATCAGTTCCTTATTTGTACCTATCAGGACTCAGACAACAATACCCCAAAATGAAGGCCTCAGAAGCAAAAGTTTTTCTTTGACCTTCTCCTGTCCTCTTGTCTTTCTGTTCCATTCTCCCCTGAGGCTAGCCATAGAAACTAGAATCTCTCTTCCCCAAGGCTAGCATCCCTTTTCCCCAAGACATTTCACGGAAAACAAACCCCTTTTCCCCCGAAGCCAGCCGTAAAACCTAAAAGCATTACTCTGGATTTTCCTCCACCTTTCTGTGTGAAAAGAAGTTATCTTACCTACCTTGACTCTAGGTCATAAGATCCTCATTCTAGAGTGGGTCCTGCCCCATATTCAGAAGGAAGGAATGAATGCTCAGAGAGGCCAGGAAGAATCCAGGCAGAAGTCCTTGCTGGGCTTCCTCACTCAGTCTATTAGCATTTGATCATAGCCTTTTCATCCAGTCATATTTCTACATGGCTGTCCATACTTTGTTGAACCTAAGCATAAAAACGAATAGTTTTCTGTTTTTCTTCAGGTCTTCATGCTGAAGGCTCCCATGTACATGTTAATAATAACTTTTGTATGCTTTGTCTCCAATTTTCTGCCTTTTGTGAGTTGATTTTTCCATGAACCTTCAGAGGGCAAAAGGGAAAATTTTCCCTGGCCCCCATATGCTGTTTACCAATTTCTGTGGTGTAAATACCCCCACTCGGCTGATTCAAGCTGCTGCCACGATGTTATGGAGCCAAGAGTTAGGAAGAGATGTGCAGAAGCACATCATTATGTCATAATTCCACTACACAGATAACAACAGATGTAGGGCTGGGTGCGGGGGCTCACGCCTGTAATCCCAGCACTTTAGGAGGCCGAGGTGGGTGGATCACTTGAGGTCAGGAGTTCGACACCAGCCTGGCCAACATGGTGAAACCCTGTCTCTACTAAAATTACAAAAATTAGCCCAGCATGGTGGTGTGCGCCTGTAATCCCAGCTACTCGGGAGGCTGAGGTAGGGGAATTGCTTGAACCTGGGAGGCAGAGGTTGTAGTGAGCTGAGATGGTGCCAGTCAGCTCCATGTAGTGAGCTGAGATGGTGCCACTCAGGCAATAGCAAGACTCTGTCTCAAAAATAAATAAATAAATAAAAATGAAAAAAAAATAAATGTAGGTAAACTCAAGAGAATAGATAATAGTGAAATATAGTAAAATAATTAGGAAGTGATGATTTTTAATATCTTTGTTTTAATATAATTTATTTAATTGTAAATGTATACAATTTAATTTTAAAATTTTTATTATGATGATATATATTTTTTGGGGACAGGGTCTCACTCTGTCATCCAGGCTGGAGTGCAGTGGCATGATCACAGCTCACTGCAGCCTTGACCTCCTGGGCTCAAGCAATCCTCCCACCTCAGCCTCCTGAGTAGCTGAGAATATAGGCATGCGCCACCGCACCCCGTTAATGTTTAAAATTTTTTGTAGAGACAGGGTCTCACTATGTTGCCCAGCCTGATATTATGATTTTTTAAGAGATGGAAGTCTCACTATTTTGCCCAGGCTGATCTGGAACTCCTGGCCTCAAGTGATCCTCCTCTCACCTCAGCCTCCCAAAGTGCTGGGATTACTGGTGTGAGCTGCTGTGCCCAGTATACAATTTAATTTTTAGCAATGACTGTTAAACAGCCCTCTTGCAAAATGCCTGAAACTTTAGCAATTTGCTCTTGCTAGCTGGTGTGAGCGGCTCTTATACACTGATGGACTTGTCCCCAGCCAAAGGCATCCCACAGGGCATTGTCAACAAAAGAGGCCCCATGATATAATATTTATAATTATAAATATTAATACTTTTTGACCCAGTCAAAATCATCTCCCAGACCTCAAGAAACTCTTCTTGGGGTCACTTGCACCTCCTCTTAATTCTCCTAAACACATTGTTGCCATTTAGACTACTGAATGTCAGAGCCAGAAGGGTCCTGAGGCCATTTGGTGCCTTCAACTTGTGAAGATGGGGAAACTGAGGCCCAGGGTAGGGCAGGGACTTGCTTAAGCTCATTAACATTGAAAACCAAGTCTTATGGCTCCCAGGTCAGGACTCATCCTATTAACTCCTTTCTTAGGGATAGGGAAGCTGGCCCAGAGAGAGGAAGGTGAGTGCAAATTCACACAGCAAACAAGCGTCAGAGCCAGAGCCTGGGGATTCTCCTCGCCCGCCCAGATCTCCTCGGAACCTTCACCTTCCTCTTGGGCCCTGGAAATGAGGCATGTGCGCGCCTCCTCCGTGCACCCAGGGCCAGGCGTTGAAGACGGAAGGGGCGATTCCTGCGGGTGTTCTTCTCGGAGCTGAGGTTGGCACGCACCAGTTTGTCCACCGGGGGGCACTACGGAGCCGAGCTAGGAGAGCGCGCGGGCTCCCGGAGCCTCCCAGCCCTGATTGATCCGCACTTGAGCCCGGCGGGAAAACAGGTGTCCCGAGAGGAGAGGAACTAGCCAGACGTCACCCTGAGAACTAGAGACAGAGCTGGCACTTGACGCGGACCTCCTGACACCAGTCAGGTGCACTCTCCCGGCGTCTAAGCGCGTCCCTCCCCCTCTTCCGGGGGCCGGGCTGCTACTTCTTTTCCTGTCAACTGGGGTCAGCGAAGGCCCTCCTGGGCCAGGCTGTGCAGAACCACAGCTCTGTCTGGCATGGCATTGCACCTCCACTGGACAGTGGCCGGTGCTGAGCGACACATGCCTCATTCCCTCTCTGTCCAGGGCCGCTCCCCACCCCGCCTTCTTCTTCTTCTTCTTCTTTTTTTTTTTGGAAACGGAGTCTTGCTCTGTCACCCAGGCTGGAGTGCAGTGGCGCGACCTCGGCTCACTGCAATCTCTGCCTCCTGGGTCCAAGCCATTCTCCTGCCTCAGCCTCCCAAGAGTACCTGGGATTACAGGCGCCCGCCACCACACCCAGCTAATTTTTGTATTTTTAGTAGAGACGGGGTTTCACCATGTTGGCCAGGCTGGTCTTGAACTCCTGACCTTGGGTGATCCGCCCATCTCGGCCTCCCAAAGTGCTGGGATTACAGGCGTGAGCCACCGCGCCCGCCCCGCCTTCTGTCATCCCGTATCAGCGCAAGTCTTTGCCGTTTACCAAACATTGTCACACCCTCTGATTACCTTCTTTTTCTGAGTAGAGAGGAAGGGTGGCGGGGGCTGGGGTTAGACCTGAGCTTCAGTCTTGGACCAGCTACTCAAACTCACCTCGTTACACAATCACTTTGTGCCTTGGTTTCCTTATTTTAAAGCAGAGATCATAGTTCTTATCTCACAGGGTTGTTGAGAGGATTAAAAGAGGTAACACAGCAAGTCCTTGGGAACTTTTCTTTTTGAGACAGGGTCTTGCTTTGTATCCCAGGCTGAAGTGCAATACCGCGATCGTGGCTCACTGCAGCCTCCACTTCCTGGCCTCAAGCAATCCTCCTGCCTCAGCCTCCATGTAGCTGGGACCACATGCGGCTCCACCATGGCTAATTTTTTATTGTTTTGTAGAGGCAGGGTTTTACTTTGTTGCCCAGGCTGGTCTCCAACTCCTGGGCTCAAGCGATCCTCCCATCTCTTCCTCCCGAAGTGCTGGGATTACAGGTGTAAGCCACCTCACCTGGCCCTTGGGAACTTTTTATCATGATTGAAACCTGCACAAGCATCGTAGGAGAGATGGAACTGCCTTCACCTTACACTGGCAGAACTGAGGCTCTGAGAGGCTCTCAGTGAGGAGTCATAAGGGAACTTTTTATTTGAGCGCCAGGTGTGATTGACTTAGGGGTATAAGAAGTAGAACTTTCTTTCTCTTCAATCCGGAGCTGTGTCTAAGCTGGGATGGGAGATAAATGTACGTGCAGCTAAGGCTTGGTAGGTCCATGTGTGTGTGTTCCCAGGCATGTTTTCTACATGGATCACCTTGCAACACCCATTGTCCTTTTTGCTCTGAGTGGCCCTTCTGGGGCTGACATCTCTCTCTCTCTGCTTCTTCTGGGCATTACTAGAAAGGCAAGAATTGTTCTGCGGAGTTGGGTTCACAGTGCGGCTCGGGGTCATTTGGTCACTGGGCTCTGGCCACCATCTGCAGAGCCAGAGGTGTCTCTGCAGTTACCATTCACTCCATCTTTCCTCCCCTGCCAGCCTCGGAAGCCTGTTGTCTGCCTAACCAACAATCTGCTTGAATTGGGAGAGAGAGAATAGCAAAAGGGAAAATACCCAGAGAGAAACAAATGAATCAATGATTTAGATACCTATTTCTGGAGTGCCTTTTATGTAGCACTGTTTTAGGCCCTGGGGTAACAGCTCTGTGCAGGCTGACACAGTCTCTTCTCCCAAAGTGACCTCCAGGGGGCAGACAGTGATTGTCATAATGCTTAATATGCATGGAGCCCTACTATGTGCAGGGCCCTGTGTCAACTCATTTACTACTTCCGACAGTGTAATGATATAAATGCTTCTGTTATCTTCATTGTATAGGCGAGGAAACAGAGGCACAGGGAGGCTCTGTATCTTGCCCAAGCTAGTAGCTAATGGAGGTAGGATTCCAATTCAGACAGTCTGAAAATTAAGCAAGGCCATGGGGTGCAGAAGGGTTGACTTCCTCAGGGAGGAAGTGGTCTTCTAGCTGAGACCTGCCTAATGAGAAGCAGCTGTGCCTAGATCTGGGGGATGAGTGTTGCAAGCAGTAAGATTACTACAGCAAGTGCAAAGGCTGAGACAAGAATGAACTTGATGTGGTCAAGAGCTGGAAAGGAAGCCTCTATGACTAGGAGGGCAGGAATGAAGAGGAGAGAATGGAAGGAGGTGAGGGGAAGGGTGGATGGACCCAGGTTGGCAATATAAAACCCTTTAAGGGGTTTGCAGCCATTGGGCTTCTTCCCTTGCTCGGGCAAGGCCAAGCCCTATGCCCATAAACCCCAAAAGGTCATTATCTTTCTGTCTCCATGGGTGGCTAGGGCATCCATTGAGGGGCTGCCCCTAATCTCCCACTGGTCCCACTGGTCCTGGGAGCCTGATGACCATCCACTTTCTGGAATGTTGGGGAGGATGCCAAGGGAGGGCCTAGGGCCCAGAGAAACCCTTTAAACTAAATGCGGGGTGGGCAGGAGGTGTTGACCCGTGAGTCAGAGGCCAGGTAGTGCAAAGGCACTTTAATTGGGGTCATTAAGATCACCAAGCTTTGATGCCCCAACCCTGAGTCAAGCCGTCCCGTTGACCCCCCTCAACTTCCTGGCCTCACTGCTTGCTACCCCCAGTGACAGGAGAAGTCCCTTTGAGGGCACTAATTAGAACTTCCTCTTCTAGATTCCAGGGCTTTCTCCCTGACTGGGGTCAGGGAAACAGCTCCTTCCAGAGATCAGCCATGGCCCCACCCCTCCCACTTCCTCCAGATTCAGGAGTTTCCACTGAGGCTGGTACAACCACAATCCCAGGGCCTCCCAGCCCTGCCCACAGTGAATTCTTGCCCATGGGGGTCATTCCCTCTACTTGGAATGCCTTTTTGACTTTTGTTTACATTGATAATTCCATCTACCTTACTCTTCAAGGAATAACAGACTCCTTCCTTTAATTCATGCCATCATTCTTTCTTTGTTTTCATCCATTCATTCATTTCATTCATAAAATTTAGGCATTCATTTGGTTCCTGCCAGGCACTGGGGATACAAGAGGGGGTGGGACTGACCCTGAGGTCAAGGGGTGTCTCATCATCTGTGGGAAGCACAAGGTAAACCAGCAGGACCTGCTACATATTTGGCAGGTCCCAGTGCAGATGAAAATGCAGAGCCCCTTGTCCAAAATGTACTATGAATTTCAAAACAGCGACAGCAGAGCATCAAACCAGTCTAGGGGCCCTTCTTAACCGTAGGGTCCCTCTGCAGAGGTCATACACCCATACAAGCTGGCCATACAAGCTGGCCCTGTAAGCAAGTGATTTCATGAGAGATGTGTGATGGAGGTGAGCCTGAAAGTCATCAGAGAGGAGGTGATGTCTGTAACTGCCAGAGCCAGGAGGAGAGAAGCCACATGGCTGTTTCTAGAAACTGCAAGTTGTCCAAACAAAAGGGCCAGGAGCAGCTGGAGTCAGGCTATGTGGGGCTTTGTGGACCAGTTAGGGAGCTGGGTCTTTATTCCCAGGCAGTAGGGAAGCATTATTAGATTTTTTTAAAAATCTAATAATTTTTAACCAAGAGCATTATTAGATTTCTTTTAAAAAATTTATTTATTTATTTATTTATTTATTTATTTATTTTTTGAGACAGAGTTCCCCTCTGTTGCCCAGACTGGAGTGGAGTGGCGCGATTTAGGCTCACTGCAACCTCCACCTTCAGGGTTCAAGCAGTTCTTCTGCCTCAGCCTCCCGAGTAGCTGGGACTACAGGCGTGTGCCACCATGCCCGGCTAATTTTTGTATTTTTAGTAGAGATGGGGTTTCACCATGAAACCAGCCAGGCTGGTTTCAAACTTCTGACCTCAAGTGATCCACTCTCCTCGGCCTCCCAGAGTGCTGGGAGTACACATGTGAGCCGCTGCGCCCGGCCAGATTTTTTTTAAAAATATCATTCTGGCACCAGATATGAAATACAAATAATAAACATATGAAAAATACAAATAATAATATATATGAATAATACAACAAATACAATGGAAAGAAGTTCAACTTCATTAGCAATTAAAAAAAATTAAAGATTAACGTGGCAAAAAGAAAAAAAAGAACAACGTAGGCAAGGCCAGGTGCCATGGCTCACGCCTGTAATTCCAGCACTCTGGGAGGCCAAGGTGGGTGGATCACTTGAGGTCAGGAGTTTGAGACCAGCCTGTTCAACATGGTGAAACTCTGTCTCTACCAAAAATATAAAAATTAGCTGGGCACGGTGGTGTGTGCCTGTAATCCCAGCTACTCGGCAGGCCGAGGCAGGAGAATCACTTGAACCTGGGAGGCGGAGGTTGCAGTGAGCTGAGATCATGCCACTGCACTCCAGCCTGGAGAACAAGAGAGAGACTTTGTCTCAAAAGAAAAAAAAAAGAACAATGTAGGCAAAATGGTGAAAAGAAAACTTTCCCACTAGCAGTGGGTCTATCAATGAGTGCAAATTTCTGGTGGCAATTTGTTTGGAAACCTCAAAAATGTGCACCCTAAGATGTTTTGGGAAGGATACTTAAGAAACTGGTGCCAGTGGTTGTTTCTGGGGAGGGGACCTGAGGGCAGGGGAAGAAAGAAACTTTACTTTTCTCTGTACACCCTTTGAAATTTTGTGCCACGTGTTTACATTTTCAATGTGTATCCCTTAACCAAATTGTTCCATCCCTATGCATTTTTCCTAAGGAAAAAAAATAATAGAGGTGCACAAATCTGTACAAGGCTGGTTATCACAGTGTCATTTATAATATCACAACATTACAAATGACTTTAATCCACATGCTACAGGCTGGCACCCTTGCCCTCAGAGGTACTGAGTTGTGTGTTAGGGTGCTCTAAGCAATATGGTAGACATGGTGCACATTCAAAGGGGGTTGGTTTTACTTGATAGCGACTAATTTAGAACAAAAACTTTATATTAAAACCAATATAGCAGGTCACACCACTAGGATGACTAAAATCAAAAAGACAGATGATGACAAGTATAGCTAAGGATGTGGAGAAATTGAAGCCCTCTTACATTGCTAGTAAGAAGTAAAATGGTGTGGTCACTTTGGAAAACCGTTTGGCAGTTCCTCAAAAAGTTAAACATTGAGCTACCATATGACCCAGTAATTCAACTCCAAGGTATATACCCAAGAGAAATGAAAACATATGTTCATATAAAAACTTGCATATGAGTGTTCATAGCAGCATTATTCATAAGAGTCAAAAAGTGGAAGCAACCTAAACGTCTAACAATTGATGAGTGGATAAACAAAGTATGGTTTATATTTGTACAATGGAATCTTGTCTGGGAAGTAAAAAGAATGAGGCACTGATACAGTGATACCTGCTACAACATGGATGAGCCTTGAAAACATTATATTAAGTGAAAGAAGACAGTCATAAAAGAAATGGCTAGAATAGGCAAATCCGTAGAGACAGGAAGTAGATGAGTGGTTGCTGGGACCTAGGAGAAGTGTGAATGAGGGGTGACTGCTAAACGAGCATGGGGTTTCCTTCTAGGGTGATGAAAATGTTCTGGAATTAGTGGTGGTGATTGCACAACCTTGTGAATGTACTAAAAACCACTGAATGGTTTCTTAACATAGGCGGATTTTATGGTATGTGAAATATATTTCAATAAAGGTGGTTTTTTTTAAATGGATATGATATGGCATAGAATTAGGGTGACCAATTGTTCTAGTTTGCCCAGTACAAAAAGTTTTCCCAGAGGCTGGGCGCAATGGCTCATGCATGTAATCCCAGCATTTTGGGATGCCGAGGCGGCCGGATCACCTGAGGTCAGGGGTTCAAGACCGACATGGCAAAACCCCATCTCTACTAAAAATACAAAATTAGCCGGGCATGGTGGTGCATGCCTGCAGTCCCAGCTACTTGGGAGGCTGAGGCAGGAGAATCACCTGAACCTGGGAGGCAGAGGCCAACATGGTGAAATCCTGTCTCTACTAAAAATACAAAATTAGCTGGGTGTAGTGGTGCATGCCTGCAGTCCCAGCTACTCAGGAGGCTGAGGCAGGAGAATCACCTGAACCTGGGAGGCAGAGGTTGCAGTGAGCCCAGGCTGGAGTGCAATGGCGCGATCTCGGCTCACTGCAGGTACTGCCTCCCAGGCTGCGCAACAAGAATGAAACTTTGTTTCAAAAAAAAAGTTTTTCCAGGACATGAGACTTTCAGTACGCAAACCAGAAAGGTCCCAGGCAAAGCAGGATGAGTTGGCCAGCCCACATAGAATGCAGACTTTACATTCATATTAATAATAACATATAAGACTTTAAAGGGATTTTCTGCTTGCAGTTCACTAGTGCTACTGCAGAGGGAACGTTTAAGAAGCACTGACTTCAATGTCCAACCACAGGAAGTAGTTTCATTGGTTCATTCATTCATTTACTCCCCATTAGAGTGCAAGCTCTATGAAAGCAAGGGCTTTTGTCTGTTTGATTCACTGCTGTCCTCCCAGGGCCTAGAATTGTGCCTGGCACCTCAGATGTTCTGTAGATGTTTGTTGAGGGGGACTGTGTGCTGGAAGCCAGCAATACATTGTTCTCTTTTGCCCCATCCTGAGTGGTCCCAGAAGTCTGGCTGAGAAGATGGCTTCTGGGTGGAGGACATCCACTGACAGCGAGTATGGGGCCATCTCAGTGCTGTTAAGAAAATATTTTAATGGCAAGGAAAAATGCTCATGATGGAATGTTATGTGAAAAAGATGGGACACAAAATTATGTAGGTAGTGTGAGTCCAGATTGTTTAACAGTGTTTAAGTGGTCAGCCATGGTGGCTCTCACCTGTAATCCCGGCATGTTAGGAGGCCGAGGTGGGTGGATCACTTGAGGTCAGGAGTTCAACACCAGCCTTTCCAACATGGTGAAACCCCTGTCTCTACTAAAAATACAAAAAGTAGCTTGAGGTGGTGGTGCATGCCTGTAATCCCAGCTACTCAGGCGGCTGAGGCAGGAGAATCGCTTGAACCCCGGGAGGCGGAGGTTGCAGTGAGCCTAGATCACATCACTGTACTCTGGCCTGGGTGACAGAGCAAGATTCTGTCTCAAAAATTTTTTTTAATTAATTTTAAAAAAGCGTTTAAGCATTAGAATAGATGAGAATGGGACATAAAGTATGTCGAAGGTGGGAATCCATTGGTGAATTCTTTTGAATTTTTAAATTCTTCTTTTTTTTTTTTTTTTTTTTTTTTGAGATGCAGTCTCGCTTTGTTGCCCAGGCTGGAGTGCAATGGCATGATCTCAGATCACTGCAACCTCCGCCTCCTGGGTTCAAGTGATTCTCTCACCTCAGCTTCCCAAGGAGCTGGGATTATAGGTGTGCGCCACCATGCCCGGCTAATTTTTCCATTTTTAGTAGAGGCAGGGTTTCACCATGTTGGCCAGGCTGGTCTGGAACTCCTGACCTCAAGTGATTCACCCACCTCAGCCTCCCAAACTGCTGGGATTACAGGCATGAGCCACCGCACCTGGCCTAAAATTCATTTTTCATTTTTTATTCAGCCTCTGCGATGCCCTGCCAGATGTAACTCTGGGAGTTGAGATCCTGTGGTGAACCAGGCAGATAAGATCCCTGCTATCGTGGGACAGGTAGGATTTTATAATTGGAGGGAATGAAACCCAGAGTAAAGGAGCAAAGTTATTTTTTTTAAAGACTGATGAAATTCCGGATGTGCTGAAGAACCAGCTGGAAGCTTGTAGTTAGGGGGCTGTTCCAGCAGTAGGGCAGACTCGGGAGTGGGGGTGAGGGCTTGTTTAGAAAGAAGCAGGAAGCCAGAGAATGCCTCTCAACCCACACCCATTGTGTGTACTCTGGTAAGTCCCTTCTTCGGTCTTGGCCTCAGTTTCTCCATCTGTTAACTGAGAGAAGGCACTAGATGTGTGTGTTTATCTCTCTATTATTCAAATCAGAGAACTTAAAAAATTTAATTGACAAATACAAATTTATACATTTATAGTGTGCAATATAATGTTTTGAAATATGTATATATTGGCCAGGCACGGCGGTGCATGCCTGTAATCCCAGCACTTTGTGAGGCTGAGGTGGGCAGATCACATAAGCCCAGGAGTTCGAGACCAGCATGGGCAACATGATGCGACCCTCTGTCTACAAAAAATACAAAAATTATCTGGATGTGGTGTTGCACACCTGTAGTCCCAGCTACTCGGGAGGCTGAGGTGGGAGGATGGCTTGAGCCCGGGAGGTGGAGGTTGAAGTGAGCTGGGATCACACCACTGCACTCTAGCCTGGGTGACAGAGTAAGACCCTGTCAAAAAATAAAAAATAAATAAATAAATAAATATGTATACATTGTGGAATGGCTAATTGGGCTAAGTATGCATTACCTCACATACTAATTTTTTTGCAATGAGAACAGTTAAAATTTACTTAGCGATTTTGAAGTATACAATACATTGTTAATAACTATAGTGACTGTGTTGTACAATAAATCTCTTGAATTTATTCCTCCTGTCTAACTGAAATTTTGTATCCGTTGACCAACATCTCCTCAATCCCTTCTCCTGGGCCTGGCCCCAGCCCCTGTTAACCACTGTTGTGCTCTCTGCTTCTATGAGTCCGACTTAAAATTTCACATAAGTGAGATCATGCAGTGTTAATCTTTCTGTGCCTGGCTTACTTCAGTTAACGTAATGTTCTCTAGGTTCATCTACGTTGTTGCAAATGACAGGATGTCCTTCTTTTTAAAGGCTGTATAGTATTCTATTGTGTATATATCACAATTTTTTTGTGTTGTTGTTTGTTTGAGATAGAGTTTTGCTCTTGTTCCCCAGGCTAGAGTGCAATGGTGCAGTCTTGGCTCACTGCAACCTCCACTTCCCAGATTAAAGCAGTCCTTCTGTCTCAGCCTCCCAAGTAGCTGGGATTACAGACACCCGCCGCCATGCCTGGCTAATTTTTGTGTTTTTAGTAGAGAGAGCGTTTCACCACGTTGGCCAGGCTGGTCTCGAACTCCTGATCTGAGGTGATCCACCTGCCTTGGCCTCCCAGAGTGCTGGGATTACAGGCGTAAGCCACTGTGCCTGGCCATCACAATTTCTTTATCCATTCATTCCGTGATGGACAGTTAGGTTGTTTCCATATCTTGGCTATTGTGAATAATACTGCAGTGAACATGGGAGTGTAGATATCTCTCTGACTTACTGATTTCATTTCTTTTGGATATATAACCAAAAGTGGGATTGCTGGATCGTGTGGTAGTTCTATTTTTAGTTTTTCAGGAACCTCCATATTGTTTTCCATAATGGTTGTACCAGTTTACATTCCCACCAGAAGTGTACAAGTGTTCTCTTTTCTCTACATCCTCACCAATACTTGTAAAAAGTATAAACACTTACAAAAAGTAAAAAAATTACTTTTTATGAGGCTGGGTGTGGTCGCTCATGCCTGTAATCCCAGCATTTTGGGAGGCTGAGGCGGGCAGATCACCTCAGGTCAGGAGTTCGAGACCAGCCTGGCCAACATGGTGAAACCCTGTCTCTACTAAAAATACAAAAATTGACCGGGCATGATGGCGGGTGCTTGTAATCCCAGCTACTCAGGAAGCTGAGGCAGGAGAATCGCTTGAACCTGGGAGGTGGAGGTTGCAGTGAGCCGCGATCGTGCCATTGCACTCCAGCCTGGGCGACAAGAGCGAAACTCCATCTCAAAAAAAAAAAAAAAAAAAAAAGATTTAAATGTTTTGTAGAAATGGAGGCCTCGCCATGTTGTCCAGGCTGGTCTTGAACTCCTGGGCTCAAGCAGTCCTCTTGCCTCAGCCTCCCAAAGTGCTGGGGTTACAGGCATGAGCCACTGCACCCAGCCAACACTTGTCTTTCATCTTTTTTTGTTGTTGTTGAGACGGAGTTTCACTCTTGTTGCCCAGGCTGGAGTGCAATGGCGAGATCTCAATTCACTGCAACCTCTGCCTCTCGGGTTCAAGCAATTCTCCTGCCTCAGCCTCCTGAGTAGCTGGGATTACAGGCATGAGCCACTGTACCCGGCCCATCTTGTGTTTTTTAATAACTCTCCATTCTGCTCTCTTCCCAGCCCCTGGCAACTACCATTGTACTTTCTGTCTCTACAAATTAGAGTACTCTGGGTACCTTGTGTAAGTGAAATCATACAGTTTTTGTCCTTTTGTGTCTGGCTTATTTACTTAGCATAACATCCTCAAAGTTCAGCCATGTTGCAGCATGTGTCAGAATTTCTTGTCTTTTTAAGGCTGAATGGTATTGTATTGTATATATATACATGAGATGGCTTTAGAGCTTTCTTCAACTTTGAGGTTGTAGGAGTCTCAATGCCAGGTCTCCGTTGTTCCTCAGTGTGGACTGCTGCCTGTAGGGTGAGTGGAGGCCCTGGCTTCAGAAAGACTTTCCTTCCTGCTTATGTCACCAGAACCTTCCCTGAGCCCAGAGGTCCTGGGAGACCCTGGGGAGGGATCCGAGGAATGAAAGGCTTTGGCTAAACACCTGCTGCCTTCTCTCTGAGGCTTCAGCAGCTGGGTCAGGGTTGGGTGCTGAGCAAGGGTGGGGGAGTTAATGATGGCCTGCCAGGGACTTGGTTGTCCAGATGAAACGGGCCTTGCTCTGAGGCCTGGCCTGATTACAGGGAGCCCTGCGCTTGCCCTCCCCAGGGCCCAGGCCTGGCCTTGCAGCAGCCCCTGCATGCCCAGCTGTTCTGGAGCAGCTGCAGAGGTAGGTGGAGCTGAGGAATTTGGGATAGCAGCTGCCAAAATGCACTGGCTTTGGGATCTGGCACAAGAGATACAACTCATGGTGAAGCCAGCAAGTTCATGCCGGTTCTCATCTGAGGGCTAACTAGTAGTAACAGTCACTGTTGCTTCAAGTTTTAATATGTTCACCGCATACCAAACACTGGGCATGAATTATCTCAGTTAATTGTCACACAGCTGTAGGAGGTTGGTATCGTTGCCCCCATTTTACAGATGAGCAAGCTGAGGCTTGGAGAGCCTTGCCTAGGTCTATGCAGTTGGTAAATGGCCCAGCTGGAATTGGGCCCTGGTTATGTGCTGAAGGCTGGTTTCTTGTCCACTGCTTCTGTGACTCGGTGGGACATTCTTTGGCCAGCTTCTTAGTGGAGAGTGGGTGAGGGGCCAAGATCCACCTGCCTTCCCCACATGGGCCAGGAGAGCTCCTCTTGTAGCTACTTAGGGATTCTGCTTCAAAACATTATTTGAAAGCCACTGTTAATAGTTCAACCTATTTATTTTAATTTATGTATTTTTTTTTTTTTTGAGATAGGGTCTCACTGTATGCCCAGGCTGGAGTGCAGTGGTGCAATCTTGGCTCACTGCAACCTTTACTCCCCAGGCTCAAGTGATCCTCCCACCTCAGCCTCCCGAGTAGCCGAGACCACAGGTGTGCACCACCATGCCTGGCTATTTGTATTTTTAGTAGAGATGGGGGTCTTGCCATGTTGCCCAGGCTGGTGTCGAACTCCTGAGCTCAAGCGATCTGCCTACCTAGGCCTCCCAAAGTGCTGGGATTTCAGGTGAGAGCCACTGCTCCTGGCCTCAACCCATTTATTTTACAGATAGAGAAACAGGCCCAGAAAGGGGCAGAGAGCTGTCTAGGGTCATTCTAACAGGGTTGGTGGCTGAGCCAGGCCCTGCCTCTCAGCCACCTGCTGTTTCTGGTGCCCACCTGTCTTCCTGGATTTTGTATGTGACCTCCCTAGGCAGGAGGGCACTCTGGGGCCTCCCCTGCTGGGTCTGCTGGGCCTGGAGCCCATTCTGTAGGACCCCTGCAGGCCTTGGCTGGTGGACAAATGACTGAAGGAGGGAGATGCAGGGCTGGCAGGCAGTAGGGGCAGAGATTAGAACCCAGGCTGGATCTCAGGCTGGCTCTGGGCTGACTTGTTGTGTGGCCTGAGTGGCTGCATTCTCTCCAGGCCTCCATTTCTCCATCTGTCCAACGATGGGGTATTGACCACTTGGGCCCACAGGCACTGAGCAGGGGAGGATGAATGGTCCCGACAGGAGATATAAATGTATGGGGAGGAAGAAAGGAGCCGCTGGGCCCAGGAGGGCTGTGGACATCCTGCCTTTGCCCCATCCTCCTCCAGGAAACAGCCTCCCACACTCTCGCTGCTGGCCGGATGACGCCGCTTGGCCTGAGCGTGTCCAAGCCTCAGGTGACAGAGTTCCTGGTCCCTTATGCTGCCCTGGGGCTGGTGGCTGCCCTTCCTCGATCCTAAGACATCCTCCTCACCTCAGAGTGGTGCTGGCCTCAGCGGGGCTTGGAGGAGGCTGAGCTCTCTGTGTGGGCACTCACATGGGTGTCAGCCTGACCCACCCACGTGTGCTCACATCCCTGACACGTGCACATACATGCAAACCCATACACGCACCCTGCATAGTAGGGGCTCACAGACGGAAAGAGCCAGGCCACTTCTTTTTTTTTTTTTTGAGACGGAGTTTCGTTCTTGTTGCCCAGGCTGGAGTGCAATGGTCTGATCTCAGCTCACTGCAACCTCCACCTCCCGGGTTCAAGCGATTCTCCTGCCTCGGCCTCCCAAGTAGCTGGGATTACAGGCATGCGCCACCATACCCGGCTAATTTTGTATTTTTTAGTAGAGGTGGGGTTTCTCCATGTTGGTCAGGCTGGTCTCAAACTCCCGACCTCAGGTGATCCGCCCGCCTTGGCCTCCCAAAGTGTTGGGATTACAGGCGCGAGCCACCGCGCCCGGCTGAGCCAGACCACTTCTGTCTTTTAAGGCTCCTGCTAATTTAAAAATGAAGAAAGTCCTAAATAGGATGTTCACAACTGTGGTATGTTTTTATTTAACAAATTAATGTTTTTTAACACACACATGCACCCACACACATCCAATGCAGTGCAACTGAGAGACTCACAAGATCGTCACAAGAATTATAAAAAATGTGATTTCACATTGCTGTGTGGTCCAGTGATGGGATGTAAGTTTCAAATGGCATGAAGAGCATTCTGTTCTTCCCATCTCATCCATAATTCTCTGGGGCTAGACATCCAGCCCACTTTGTGTACTCGTTGTATTATGAAAAGTATCAAGCATCCAGAAGGGTTGAAAGAATGGTACAGTGAGCACCCACATACTCAGCACCTGGGGACTACAATGAACATTTTGCAGTATCTGCTTTATCACATATCCATTCCTCTGTCCAACCCTCTGTCCATCTCTCTGCACAGACAGCCCTCTGCCTATCCATCTACCTAGCCATCCATCCCTCCCTCCCTCCCTTCATTCCATCTCATTTTTGGATGCATTTTTGAGACTTCTGAATGTGAGGCCTGGGCCAAATGGCACTCTCTTCTCTCCTTTGCAGTAACAGGCCCTGCCACACACACAAGCATACCCCCACCTCTACATGTAAACCCCACCTGCGTACACACCATATATGACTTACCCATGTCCCCACATTTATACATGCACATTCCATGCACATATTCACATAACCACACACGCTCATCTGTGCACATATACCTAAACACCCCCCCCTCCCCAACACACACAAACTGCCCACATATACACTCACAGAAGACCCTGGACATCTGTAAGGAAAGCATCTGGAGACCTTTGGGAATCCTCAGACCTGTGACTGTCGTGGAGCCGGTGCCAGGTCCTGGCTGTCTCCTCCATACATTTCTGGCAAGTGCCAGAGGCTCCCTTGAGCTACCTACCTCAGATGTCCTACCTTTTCCACTCTTACCCATCTTCTCTCTCAACCCCTAGTCACTTCCTACAAAGGAAACGGATTCCTTCCAGAGTGTTACTGTTATGGGAAGCAAATCCCACAGACCATCCACTCCATGCAGGCTGGGACTGTGTCTGCCCTATCCACACTGCATTCCCAGCTCCTGGCCCCCTGTGGCTAAGTGTTGATTGGAAAAAAGTCACCAGAGCAGCACAGAGGCACATACACTGGGCAGCCACAGGGGTACCTCCACCCCACACAGTTACGTCCATGCACACAGAACACCCTGTGTGTGTGTGCATGCTCAAGCTTGCATCACTGTGTGCCTGCACACATATGAACACGCATCGTGTCTGCCTGTCTCCATACTTTCCAGATAGAGTCCCTTCCAGGACCTGGGTCCTTTCACAAAATCACCTAATACCACTGTGGGCTCATCTGCTGACATGTGAGATCCAGATGTGGCCCCATGACTGCTCAGGGCTCCTGGCTTGGCCCTGAACATCTGGGCGCAGGGGTTTAGAGCACCAGCTTTGGAATTGCATTCTCCTGAGAAAACCTGGGTTCCACCCTGGCTCTGCACATGATCACTGTGCATGTTCCCCGTATGATTTATGTACAAGTTACCTAACTTCTTGGAGCATCAATTTCCTTATTTGCTAAATGGGGGCAATAGTTCCTACCTTAAATTCATCTTAAAGGAGATAATCTCAGCAGAGTGCCTGGCATGTTGTAAGCTCTTAAAAATGCTTGCTATGAATATGATTATTGTTACTTTAGCCTTTGCTCTGAAATCCCATGCACGCTTTGTGAGGAAGGACAGCCTTGGTTGGGGGGTGTTTATGGGGAGAGCAGAGTGGATGGTGCGTATGTGAATACCTCTCCCCAGATGCTCCCCCAATCCCAAGCTCTCATTATCTTATATGCATATTCATAAGGGATGGCCCTGCTCTGTAAATGGGTCAGAAGCAGGAAATAGAGGCCAGTACAGACAGCGAAGCCCAAGGGATAGGAGGGCTCAAAGCCGGCACACATCTGAGTCCTCATGGACGGGAGGATGGTAAGAGGGGATGGGGAGAGAATGGATTGGGGGCACTGAGGCGGGGGCAGGAGTTCGTTCCTATGTTGCAGATTTGAAAACTCAGGCCCAGTGAGATCAGATTAGAGAACCTTGGGGTGGGTGGTCCAAGAAGTCAGAGTCTGCTTCCTTTGGGAACTGGAGTTGAGCATCTGTCTGGGCTGGGTGATGGGCACAGGGCAATGGACCAAATGACCCCTACATGTTTATTTCAAGGGACATGGTTTACATAGCATTGGGTGGAGAAGCTGAATCCTGAATTCCAACCCTCCAGTGAGGCTCAGAGTGGTTGGGTGACTTGCCAGTATCACATAGCTGCTGACTGTGACTGTGCTTTTGGGGGTGCAAGAGACAGAGCTACTCTGGCCCCATGCAGGAGGTTCAAATCTGGGAGTAAAGGCTGATGGGCTGGCCAGGACACCAAGAAATGAAGCTCTTTATCCATGTCCTCACTTCATCTCCTCAGTAGTCCCCTCAGATAGCTGGGGTAAAAAAACTTATCTTTATTTTACAGATGAGAAGCATGAGGCTGAGAGAGGAGGAGTCACCCGGACCCAGCCACACAGTGAGTTATGCCTTCCATGCTGGGCGTGTGAGAGCCCAGCCGGCCTTGGTCTTGGGCAGGCAGGAGGCCAGGACAGTGGCAGCATATTACCTTGCTCTGGAAAATTTTAGCCTGAAGTCAGAGTGGCTATCCCTTTACACATACAGTCATCTTAATCCCTCGTTCCTTGCAGATAACTGCTTATTTCTGAGAGTGTCTTTGCAGATGCTCACACATGCTCTGTGAGGTTAAACAGAATAACCCTACCTATTTCCGGGAAGGGGATGGACGGACACCCCTTGTGGGGTGAAGTGGCCCCCCAAGGATGGCATGGGGCATGGTCATCTGTGGCAGAACAAGAATCCCAGGGGTTGATCCTCTTGGTCTTGGGTGCTTTCTACTGTTCTAGGTCATGGATAGGGAGGGGTTGGGGGTGAAAAATTCAGCTCTTAGAGCAGAAGTGTCCAAGGGAGCTGACCCTGGGACGGGAGCATGTGAGGAGGGCTCACTTGAGACTGCTTGGTGGCATTTCAGTCTAAAGGATTTCCGTGCAGAAGATGACTGTGTAGGGTATGTTTTTGGATCAGACTGTCAGTCACAGAAGAAGGAGGAAAGTGGACTTATGGTAAAAGGTCAGACATTCATCCAGTAAGCATTCACTGCTTGACTGTGTGCCAGGCCCTGTACTGTGCTCTGGGTAGGAGAGGGGGTGGCCAGAGAGCAGACCGTTCTTGGGTGGCTCACAGTCCCCTAAAGGCCTCGGGTTAGGGAAGGACTGAAATATTGCTGGACAGAAAAATAGGAAGACTAGATATTGTCACCTCTACTTTTTCAAGGGAAGCAGTAGGACATCAGGGTGAAAGCCAGGCCAGGTTGCCTTTCAGCTCTGTTTCTTCTGAGCTGTGTGGCCTTCAGCAATAGTAACAACAACCACAGTGATCACAGTCAACGTTTATTCGACGCTTGATTTACATTTCGCGTGTCACTACTTCTTTGTTTCTCGGTTTCCTCATCTGTAAACGAGTGGGTGGGGAATTAATCGACTTCTCAGGGCTGTTGTGGGGCTCAAATGGTACCACGGGGGAAAGTTGGGCATGTGCTCGGGTTGTTTGTGAGGCCATAAGGGAGGCCCATATTGTTTGGAGGCTTGGGGGAATCAGGAGGATGTTCATTCCTAATGGAACCAGGTAGTGGGTTGGGGGTGAGGGTGGTGGCTCTCTTCACTGAGAGGTATGGCATGTGAGCAAGCTTCAAAGGGGAGAAAGAGGGATAAGGAGAAGGACCTTTAAGAGGAGGGCATCTGCCAGGTGCAGTGCCTCACATCTGTAATACCAGCACTTTGGGAGGCCAAGGCAGGAGGATTGCTTAAGCCCAGGAGTTCGAGACTAGCCTGGACAACATAAGGAGACCTCATCTCTACACAAAATTTTTAAAAAATTAGCTGGGTGTGGTAGTACACACTGGTGGTCACAGCTACTTGGGAGGCTGAGGTGGGAGGATCACTTGGGTCCAGGAGGTTGAAGCTGCAGTGAGCCATGATTGGGCCACTGTGTTCCAGCCTGGGTGACAGAGTGAGACCCTGTCTCAAAAAAAAAAAAAAAAAAAAAAAAAAAGAGGAGGGCATTGTGTGGGCAAAAGTGCGGAGGAGGAAAAGTATAGGGTGTGTTTGTGGAACAGTCCTGGTGCAATTAATGGCTAAGCCTGGCGCCCAGTGAATCAGCCAAGGATGCAGTCAACCAGCTCTTTGGCCCTGGGGCCAGCTTCGAGGCACAGAGACTTCTTTCCCTAACATTATCTTGTCCAGAGGTGGCTGAGGACAGGGCTAAGGGTGAAGGGAGACTAATTACAGAGCCCTACTTCTGGGTCTCTCACACCTACCCCTGGAAAGCCATCTGTCAGGAATGTGGCCGCCCCTCCCCACCTTCTGACCTCCTTAGCTAGGGACCAGTTTGGGCATCCCTAGGGAGTGATAAGCCACCAAGCAGGGGTGGCTGTAGGGAGTGTGTAGCTCCCAGCAGGCTGTTGGGAGTCAGTGGAGTTTGAAGAACAGATGGAGAGAAGGGAGGATGGGTTTAGAGTGAGAGGCTGGGGTCTTAGAAGAAGCAGTAGGTGGGCATGGTGGCATGCACCTGTAGTCCCAGCTACTCAGGAGCCTGAAGCAGGAGGATCACTTGAGCCCAGGAGGTCGAGGCTGCAGTGAGCTATGTTTGCACCACTGCACTCCAGCCTGGGTGACAGAGCAAGACCCTGTCTCTTAAAAAGGAAGAAGAAAACAGTGACGATGGGGGCTTACATTTGTCAAGCACCTACCATGTGTTGTAACCACCCTGTGAGGTATGTATCCTCACTTTACAGACCGGGAAACTGAGGCTCATAGAGGTGCAGTGACTTGCCGAAGTTTCTTTATCCAGTCATTCAGCATTCAACCTCAGCATCTACGTATTGAGCAGAGGCCCTGCGCCAAGCACTGAGGAGTCAGCGGTGACCACCTCTTGGCTTCTGTTCCCAAGGGTGACAGTGTCCTGGGGTCACACGGGCTCAAACCGAGGTCGATTTCCGAACGCTCACTTTGGAGCAGGATGCGAGCCCGGGCCACGATTGGGTCAGGTTGCGCCGCTCGCGTGGCCGCGGGAATCCCCGACCGGCCCCTTCCCTAGGGTCCCTCCTGGCGCACCTGCCCCAGGTGAGTCTGGGGAGGCCCCGAGCGCCGCCGGAAAGCGTCGAGCGGCTTCGGTAGGTGGGGCGGGGCCGGGGCGGGGCCGGGGCCGGGGAGGGGCCAGGCCCGGCACCCGGATCCCGAGGTCCGCGCCCCGCGCCCGGCGCCGGGCGCCCGAAGCCGGGAGCCGCCGCCATGGGGGCCTGCCTGGGAGCCTGCTCCCTGCTCAGCTGCGTGAGTCCCGACCCCGGCGCCCGCCCGCGCGCGCCGCCCGTTCCTGCTGCGGGCCCTCACTTTCTTCTGTTCTGCTCCGAGTAGTTTCTTCTTTTTCCTTCCTGCAAACTTGTCTTTCTGGGCCGGTGCCCCGCCTGCTCGCCCTCCTGGACCTTCACTCGGCACCCGGATCCCGCTGCCCCCGTCCCCCTGCTCAGTCCTGGCCGGCAGGCGCCGGGCAGCTGCGGTCCCGGCTCGGGTTTCCGCGGGCAGGAGGGGAGTGCCCTCGGCGGGCGCCCTCCTGGGACCTGGAGAGACTAAGCCTGGAGCCCGGGGTCGGGGCAGCTCTGTGGGCCCTCGTCGCCCCACTTGGGGCGGTCCTCGGGGTGGCCTCTGTCCCCGTCCCGGACGCCCTGGTTCTCTGTGTAGGTCGCCCGGGCCCCGTCCCTCCTGGCGAGTGCCCTGCCCTACCCCTCTGGCCGCCTGCCAGTCCGCCTGTTCCTGTCGCTCGGGCTCCGCCTGTCCGTTCGTATTTGTCTGGTTCCTGTCTGTGTCCGTCGTTCGTCCGACTGTCTTTGTCCGTCTGCTGTCTTCTGTCCGTCTGCCCGTCCGCCCGTCCGTCCCTCAGTCTCTCTGCGGTCCCTTTACCGTCCTCAGTCTGGCTCGCGCTGCCTCTCAGGCACTTCCCCAGCTCGCCCCGGATCATCTGGGCCCCAGCGCGGAGACTGGGATGGGAGCGGAGGGAGCCCCGGACTTTCTTAGCTGCCCTCGAGTGAGGCGGGTGCGGGTCGTCACGGACCACCGGGCGGAACTCTGGGTTGGGAGAGCAGGAATCGAGGGAGGTTCGGGTGTGCGCGGGGAGTGCCCGGTCGCGGGTTCGGGACCTGTGGGGAGGCCAACCTCTGTTCTGTAGCTGCAGCCGCAGAGGGGAGGGGCTCCAGCAAGACCCCGGCTGGGAGGCCCGTTCTCCCTTCCCTTTCCCCAGCCCCCCTCTCCTTTCCTCTTCCCCTCATTAAATCTGAGGTTCATTCAGGCAGCCCCCTCCCCCTCTGGCCCCACACAAAGAGGCCCTGAGAGGGAGAAGGGGCTGCAGCGGCTGCTGAATCTCGGGACTCGCTTTCCTTTGTCCCTGACGGGTTGTGTGTGTGTGTGTGTGTGTGTGTGTGTGTGTGAGAGAGAGAGAGAGAGAGAGGAGGGGGTGTAGGGGAGAGCTGAGGGTCTAGAGATTTACTTTACAGCCTTTTTCTGAGAATGAGATCAGCATAGACAGCACAGAGAGGCAAGAGAGCCTCTCGCCTCATTAGGCCTCCATTTTTCGTGTGTGTGTGTGCGTGTGCATGTGCGTGTGCAGGAGGAGGAATCAAGCTGGTGCCTGAAATCCCTCCCAGCCCAAAGAATTCAAGGTTTGGGCCAGGTCTCTGCCAACAAGGGTTTGCTTCCTGGTGAGGGAGGCAGAGCTTCCACAGTGGACCTGATTTCCATCGGTTGCACCTGGTGAGGCACAGGCCCTGCTGGGCTGGCCTGGGGGTGGAGATGTTGAGGGGCAGCCTGCCAGCCCTGTGTGCCTTGGTCACCCCATCTGGCAGTTGACAGTAACAGGGCCTTTCTCACAATGCTGTTGGGAGATGAGGCACAGTTCCTGGCATATCGTGAGTGCTCCTTGTGGGAATTATTGCTAACATCAAGGAAAGGTGGGTGGAGAATTCCATTTGGAGACAATGCAAAGCCAAGTGCTGGTCTCTGAGTTACAGCATTCTACAATGCTGAGAGCAGATAGGACTGCTCAAACCATCTGTTTACAGATGAGAAGACTGCCACCCGCCCGGAGAAGATAGCTGACTTTCCTAAGGTTGCACAGGGAAAGGATGAAGAACTGCATAGTTAGGATCAACATCTGATTCCTGGTCCAGGCTTCTGCCCACACCTTCCCTCCCTTCCCCACATCCTGGCTGCCTGAGGCACAGGGCTGGTCCAGGGAAGAATTGGGAGATAACTTAGTGAGTAATATCAGCAAGGGACCCGGCCCTCCCTTCAGTGCCATCCCCTTGGGGTTCTGGCCTCCGACATTTACTGAGGTTCTGGCCTCTGACATTTACTGAGCCAGGTACTGTTCCGAGCCCCTCACCATGCCATCTCATTGGCTCTCCCCACCTCCTCTACCCTATGACATCGTTAGCCCATTTTACAGATAACTATCCCAACACTCGCAGCGTGGAGCTGTCCAGGAGTGGCCTAGGCCCCATACAGTAGTGAGCAGTATGTGTATGTGTGTGTATATATATATCTCCTTCCATTTAATCCTCACAAAGACCCCACTGGGGCAGTTAATATTGTTCCCATTTCACAGATGAGGAAACTGGCTCAGAGAGTGAAGGTGACTTCTCCACAGCCACACAACATTAAGTGGTGTAGTTGGGCACTACTGGACACCAGTACCATCCTGTTGCAGTGAAGAGTTGCTGCACAGGAGTGAAGTTCTATGTGGGGTTTCTGGGCAACTTCAGGAGGGATTTTTTTGCATGCATGGGTCAGTGGGGAAGATTTTTGTATCCTCCCAGGTGTGACTCATCTGCTGATTGTGCTTCTCAGCATTGGAACTGGGCTGAAGGTGAACTGGGCTGAAGGTGGGTCCTGCTTTGGATGGGGAGGTAAGATGGGTCCACAGGGGATGGGGCCACCAGGCAAGCCGCCGGCACATGATGACTTGGCTGTCTGCAAAGATTTCAGGAGGGTCTTGCACATCCTAGGGAGTGTGAAAGGCCTTTGGGTCAGACCACTGGACTCGGATCCTAGCTTTGCCTCTTCGCATCTCTGTGACTGTGGGCAGTCACTTTGCCCATCCCCTTGTCTGTAAAGTGGAGAAAACAATGGTGTCTGCCCCTTAGCCTGTTGTGAGGATTAAATGGGACTGAGGTTAGCACAGCTGCATATTTAGCACCAAGCTGGTGTGCAGTGGCCGGTCCATAAACACCCCACAGTAGTACATGACTCAAGACTACATGCAAGGAAGTGCTGAAGCCAGTGAGACCCAGGGCTGCCTAACTATAGAGCCTGGGCTCGGAGCCCCTGTACTCTCCTACCCCAGGAGATCATTTTACAGATGAGGAAACTGAGTCCCATGGAGGGGAGGAGAGACTTGCCTGAGGTCAGATTACAAGCTGTGGCAGAGCCAGCATTAGGACCTGCATTCTTGGCACTGCATGGGGGAAGTAAGTGCACCTTGGGACATTTCCGGCTGACCTCTTCTCTGCTGTGTTTTGACTAGCCCTGGGGCGGCTCAGCCAGTTACGGAGTTGTTCATGAAGGCGGCAAGGTGCATGCTTGCCTGGGCCAGTTTTGCATTTTTTAAACTGTGACGAAATACATGTTAAAAAATTTACTCTTTTAACCTTTTATTTTAGTCTTCAAGGAGTTTGTATGTTATTTCATTTTATTTTATTTTACTTTATTTTTTTGAGATGAAGTCTTGCTCTGTTGTCCAGACTGGAGTGCAGTGGCACCATTCTGGCTCACTGCAACCTCTGCCTCCAGGTTCAAGTGATTCTCCTGCCTCAGCCTCCCGAGTAGCTGGGATTACAGGCGTGCGCCACCATGCCTGGCTAATTTTTGTGTTTTTAATAGAGACGGGGTTTCACCATGTTGGCCAGGCTGGTCTCGAACTCCTGATCTCAAGTTATCCACTGGCCTCGGCCTCCCAAAGTGCTGGGATTACAGGCATGAGCCACCACACCCAGCCTGTAATTTATTTTAGAAGACATGTATATTAAAATGGAGATCTAATAAATACAACCCTAATAAAAATTAATCCCAAACGAATGGCATTGTCAGAAGGAGTAGTGCCAACTAAGGCACACGGTAACTCCAGAACATCTTCTTACTGTCAGCCCTCATCTGGATTACTGACAACAGCCCCTGACTCTCCTCCCTTCCCCCAAAGATACCACACACTACCCCATGACCTGTCTTTTTGTGATCAAAGTGATATTTCTAAAATGCAAATCTGCTGTCATTCCTCTTCTTTCGCAATCATTCCCCATTGCTTTCAGGGTGAAGTCCAGACTCCCTGGCATGGCATACAGGGACATTGACCACCACTTCCGTGACCTCTGTAGCTTTTCTCACCCTTTCAGCTGCCCTGAAAATACAGTGTCCCTGTAGCTCTGCATGTGTCATTCTCTTTGCTGGGAATACCCTTCTCGCCTCTTCCTGCTCTTCTTTGAAAACTCCCTGCCCCCTCCCTTTTAAAAAAATTGAGGTAAAAGATGCATAACATAAAATGTACCATTTTAACAATTTTTAAGTGTAGCATTAAGTACATTGACACTGTTATGCAACCATCACCACCATCCTTCTCCAGAACTTTTTCATCTTCCCAGACTGAAACTCCCACTAAACAGTAACTCCCCAGCCCCTCGTAACCACCAATTCACTGCTTTTCTCTATGAGTTTGGCTACTCTCTCCATCTAAGTGGAGTCATACAATATTTGTTCTTTGGTGTCTGGCTTATTTCACTTAGCATAATGCCCTGAGGGTTCATCCATGTTATAGCATGTGTCAAAATTTCATTCTTTTTTTTTTTTTTTTTTTTTTGAGACAGAGTCCTGCTCTGTTGCCCAGGCTGGAGTGCAATGGCACAATCTCGGCTCATTGCAACTTCCACCTCCCGGGTTCAAGCAATTCTCTTGCCTCAGCCTCCCGCGTAGCTGGGACTATAGGCACACACCACCATGCCCAGCTAATTTTTTTGTATTTTTAGTAGAGATAGGGTTTCACCATGTTGGCCAGGCTGGTCTCGAACCCCTGACCTCAGGTGATCCGCCCGCCTTGGCCTCCCAAAGTGCAGGGGTTACAGGCATGAGCCTCCGCACCTGGCCTCATTCCTTTTTAAGAACAAATAATATTCTATTGTATGGATATGGATATACCACATTTTGTTTATCCATTCATCTCGTCCACCAATGGACATTTAGCTTGTTTTCACCTTATGACTACTGTGAATAATTCTGCTATGAACATGGGTGTGTAAATATGTGAGTCCCTGCTTCATTTCTTTTGGATATATATCCAGAAGTGGAGGGCCACTTTATTTTATTTTATTTTATTAAATTTTGAGACGAACTCATGCTCTGTCACCCAGGCTGGAGTGTATTGGCGCGATTCAGCTCACTGCAACTTCTGCCTCCCGGGTTCAAGCGAGTCTGCTGCCTCAACCTCCTGAGTAGCTGGAATTACAAATGCCTGCCACCATGCCTGGCTAATTTTTGTATTTTTTGTAGAGACGGGGTTTCACCATGTTGGCAGGATGGTCTCAAACTCCTGATCTCAGGTAATCTGCCTGTGTTGGCTTCTCAAAGTGCTGGGATTACAGGCATGAACCACCACGCCCAGACAGCCAGTTTGTTTTAAATAGAAAAATTCATCCAGCCCTCAGCTGCCTCCCTTACCCACCCAACACCCTATGAGTGGTTCTAAGAACTTCTGTCCCTGGCTCTGAGGACAACCAGGAGACAATGTGAATGACTCAGTGACAGCCTGTTCACATAATGCCAAACGACTCATGGCTCCAGAGCTGTCTGCCTTGCCTTGGGAGGTAGTGAGCTCCTTGTCATTGGCAGTGTGCAAGCAGCAGAGGATGGCCAGATGCTTTCTGGGTGGTTCTTCATTGGAAAGAGAATGGATTGGTTGAATGCCAAGGAACCTTGCAGCTGTAAGGCTCTGAGGCCTGGGGCTTCTTAAATTCTGAGTTCTCCATTCTGAGAACCTGGGCTGGTACTAAGATTCAGCCACTGTAAGTGTTCTGGGGCTTTTCTGTTGCTGCCCTTGAGTGCATCTGCAGGAAGAGGGGAGTGGTTGTAATCGTAGTGTGGGAACAGCTTTCCAGTCTGCCTTCCTTTCACACTGCATCATGAGCATTATTCCATGTGGCTCTGTAGCCAGGGAATTCATCTTTCTGGCTCTGTAGCATTCCATGGAGTGAAAGGGCCACGGCTGTCCCCAGGTGTTAGACATTTAGGTTTTTTGTAGTTTCTTGAGACTCCAATAGGCTCACAAAACCTAAAGCTTATTTAAGTTTTTTCTTTATATAAAAATCTTTATTTTTATATTTGTAAATTTAACTTAATTGAAGTATTATTTGTATACAATGAAATGTACCCAAGTTAAGTGTTACCTACATATTTGCCCCATTCAGCAGAGAAATCCGTTTTATGGAATACCATGATGTATTGATGGGCGTTTTGTTATTTTCAATTTTCCCCTAATGGCCAGGCATGGTGGCTCATGCCTATAATCCCAGCACTTTGGGAGGCCAAGGTGGGAGGATCCCTTGAGCCCAGGAGTTCAAGACCAGCCTGGCCAACATGAGAAAACCCTGTATCTACCAAAAAATACAAAAATTAGCTGGGTGTGGTGGTGCATGCCTGTGGTCCCAGCTACTTGGGAGGCTGAGGTAGGAGGATCGCTTGAGCCCAGGAGGTTGAGGCTTCAGTGAGCTGAGATCACACCACTGCACTCCAGCCTGGGTGACAGAGCCAAATCCTTTCTTGAAACAAAAACCAAGAAACCAAAAAGAAAAATTAGCTGGGCATTGTGGCTGGTGCCTGTGGTCCCAGCTACTCCGGAGGCTGAGGTAGGAGGATTGCTTGAGCCCCGGAGGTGGAGGTTGCAGTGAGCCGAGATGGTACCACTGCACTCTAGCTTGGGTGACAGAACGAGATCCTGTCTCAAAAATTTTTCCCCCTATTATTTTCCTATTATGATCAGTGCCACAATGAATTTCCATGTGTTTGTATATATGTGCACACATCTGCCCTTACTCCAATGGTCTGGCATTTCTGTAGGAAGAGATTTAAATATATATAAAATGACATTTTGGTCAAATGGAAGAGGTTCTTGTAGGAGCCATTCTGGGGTGGGGTGAATGGAGCAAGGTGGACAAACATTTCCAAGGATGCTCTGGAAGCAGTGTGTGTTTTTCTCTTTGACCTGGTCTCTCTGGCTGCTGATCAGGCCCTTGGAAATCCTGAGATTTCAGGCATTAGGAACACCTGGATTTTGATGTTTAAGAACCAGAGCGAACTGAAAGGCCAAGCTCTCTGAAAGCGGAACAGCTTTCTTGTGTCTCAGATGTCTCAAATTGAAATTAAATGGTAACAAGCCAGCATCAGGACCTGACAGGGCACCTGGGCACCTGGCTCCTGAGATCAGTACCCACTGGCCTCCCTTGGTTTTCTGGTATTGGGTTTTTTGTTGTTTGTTTGTTTGTTTTTTCATCACTGGGATGTATTTAAATTAAATAAGATGACCATCAGTGAATTAGCGAGCTGGAACTAGTGTAGTCCTGTAGGCAGAGCCTGGCCCTTGGTGCACACAGATCTGAATTTGCATCCCAGCTCCTCAGCTTACTTGCTGTGTGACCTTGGTCATGCCACTTCTCTGTCTCAGTTTTCCCATTTGAAAATGGAAAGTTACCACACAATTCATAGCATCAGTGAAGCTTAATGTAGATAAAGTGCTTATCACAGTGCCTGGGACTGAGTAACCCTTCGTAAATGGTAGCTGCCACTAATACTACTTGAATCTCAGTGCTGTTATCAACTTGCTGTGTGACCTCTGGTAAGTCTCTTAGTCCCTCTGGTCTCAATTTCCACGTCTGTAAAATGGGACTAATAAGCTGCTCTAACTGATACCCAGAATGTTCTTTATAGCAGGGGTCCCCAACCCCTGGGCCATGGACTAGTATCTATCCATGGCCTGTTAAGAACTGGGCCACACAGCAGGACGTGAACAGCAGGTGAACAAGCATTACCGCCTGAGCTCCGCCTCCTGTCAGATCAGTGGCAGCATTAGATTCTCATAGGAGTGCGAACCCTATTGTGAACTGTGCATGCGAGGGATCCAAGTTGCGTGCTTCTTATGAGAATCTAATTCCTGATGATCAGAGGTGGAACAGTTTCATCCCAAAACCATATCTGCCCCCTGCCAGCACCCCTGCTGCCATCTGTGGAAAAAGTGTCTTCCCTGAAATTGGCTCCTGGTACCAGAAAGGTTTGGGACCACTGCTTTATGGCCTCTAAAACATTTTTCAGGCTTTTCTTATCCTCTCACCCACCAAGGACAGCCATGGATAGGAGGCAGGTCTTGGGGTGGCAGCTGCAAGATGTAACCAGAAGTTGCTGGACAGGTGGACTGTTTCAATTTAGACCATGAGGAATAGTTTCGTTTCCAAAGCATTTTGTTTAGCATCTGTGTGAACGAGAGATAGGCGAGGAGCATTTCTAGTTTGGGGGAGAGTAAGAGGGGAGGCAGATGCCCGCCAGCAGGGTGTGCTGTGTGCCTTGTGACCAGTCCAGAAAGAAAAGCAGAGGTCTCTGAGGAGCAAGGGGCCCCTGCCAGCCTGCTCTTTTCAAAGCTCATCTTTCAATTCCTGACCCTTGGCTCCAGCCCCTCGAGTGGGTGCCCACCGCTCTTAGGATGAAAACCAGTGTCCTGTTCCTGACTGCTGGTGCCTATGTGGTCTGGCCTTGCCAGCCTGTCTGACCTCATACTCACCGCTGACTGTCTGCTCACCAAGCTTTGGCCACGAGGGCCTTCTTAAATTCCTCAAATGCCCAGCCCCTACCCACCCCAGAGCCACCTGTCTAGAACTTTCTTTCCTCCCTTTGGTCTGGCAGTGTCTCCTCATCCCTCTGCTCTCAGCTTATTATTTTATTTTAAAATATTTCTTTTTAAAAGGCCAGGTGCAGTGGCTCACGCCTGTAATCCCAGCACTTTGGGAGGCTGAGGTGGGCAGATTGCTTGAGCCCAGGAGTTTGAGACCAGTCTGGGCAACGTGGTGAAACTCCGTCTCTACAAAAAATACAAAAATTAACCAGGCATGGTGGCGTGTGCTTGTAGTCCCAGCTACTCAGGAGGCTGAGGTGGGAGGATGGCTTGAGCCCAGGAGGCAGAGGTTGTAGTGAGCTGAGATTGCGCCACTGCACTCCAGCCTGGGTGACAGGGCAAGACCCTGTCTCAAAAAAAAAAAAACAAAAAAAGAAGAAAAGAAGAAAACCCTTCTTTTTAAAAGATACGGTCTCGCTATGCTGCCCAGGCTATTCTCTAACTCCTGTGCTCAAGCGATCCTCCTGCCTTGGCCTCCCAAAATGCTGGTATTACAGGTGTGAGCCACTGCACCTGGCCTGCTCTCAGCTTAAAAGTCACTTCTTCAAGGAGGGCTTCCCTGACATGCCACCCTCAATCAAACCTAGGCTGCATTAGCACTTTTCTGGCAGTGGGTACGTGTCCTTCTTAGCGCTTGTCACGATGTGAGTCATGATTTGTTTAGTGTTTTTCCTGCTTGTGTAAGCTCCAGGAAGGCAAGGCCTATGTCTGTTGCTCTCCAGGCTCTTAAATCCCTGGGTGAGGAGTAGGGGCTGTTTGGGGGAAGATAAAGTTTACCAGAGGTATCTGGATGTGGGGCCTGTTTCTTTAAAGGCTGGGCTGTGGACTGGGCTCCCAGGAGGGTGAGTCTCCTTTTCAGGTGTGGCATAGTGTGTCATCACCAGCCCCTGAATGATTTCAGCCAGGCCAGGGGAAGGGCTGACCGCAACTGGGGCAGAGGACCCTGGAGAGGGAAAGGGTTAGACCGCCACCTGCTGTCTAGTGCTGGTATAGCCTCAGAGCCGAAAATCATTCCGTTTATCCAACTGGTGTTTATTCTGCACTTGCTGTTTTCTGAGGTCTTAACATGTGACTGGTACTATGCCAAACACTTCATATTCCTTCAACAGATAGCCTGTAAGCTCCTGCTGTGTGACAGACACTGTTCGAATTTCTAGGAATACCACAATGAACAAAACGCAAAAATTCCTGCCCCGCTGGAAAGCGGAGGCCGACAAAACATAAAGCCTCGCTGATGGCAGAAGTCCCGCGGGGAAAAATTAAGTGGGGAAGGGGAAAGGGAGCCCAAGGGGGCTACAATGTGGAATTTCTGTTTCACTCTCACAACTGCTTTGTGAGGAGTACATACCACTATGTTACAGAAGAGGACACTGAGGCACAGAGAGGTTGAGTGAGTTGTATAAGGTCACGAAGGTAATCGGTGACAGCTGGCCTTGTGATTTTTTTTTTTAAACTACTCTCCCTCCCTGTAAGAAAGAAACAGCGTGACCTCGGCTAGCTCTCGCTTTCAAGCCACAGTATCACTGGAGATAGACCCAGGTTTGAATCTGGGTTCTGTGGTTACTGGCTGTGTAGCCCTATATGACCCAGCCTCCCTCTCGGACCTGAAAGTTCAATGGGCTGGTGTCTGGGGAACAGTGTGCTCCTGCCTAGCGCAGCACAGATGCGCCGACCTCTGGGCAGGTGGTGAGAGGTGCGCGCTTGGGCGGTGAAGGGGAGAGGGAAGAGTGACAGTGCCCTCCCGCAGGCGTCCTGCCTCTGCGGCTCTGCCCCCTGCATCCTGTGCAGCTGCTGCCCCGCCAGCCGCAACTCCACCGTGAGCCGCCTCATCTTCACGTTCTTCCTCTTCCTGGGGGTGCTGGTGTCCATCATTATGCTGAGCCCGGGCGTGGAGAGTCAGCTCTACAAGGTGAGTGCCCCAGGGGAGGCAGGGCGGCCTCCAGCGAGGGGCGTCAGTGGCTCCAGGATAGAGGGCCCAGGCTTGGGGTCACAGCTTATCCAGAAGAGGAGGCAGGGTGTTTGGGTGCACTGATGATCTGAGGTTGGAAATGAGGGGAGGAGGGCTTGAGCCTCTTGGGGGGATTCTTCTTTCTCTTAGGCCACAGTCTCCTTGGAAAATCTTATTAATCATTATCGCCCCCTGGACACTGGCCTAGGGGATGCTCTTCTCCCTCTTAGTGCTTAAGCCCAGGTTGGGGCTCCTAACTCTTCCCTTCATCTCAGTGTTTTACAGCCTAGCACAGACCCAGGGGGACGTGGGCATCACCGTAGGTGCCTTATACACATTTTAGTGTGTATAAAGATGAGATTCCCTGGGGAGTTTGTAGAAATGCAGATTCTCAGACTCCACCTTGAGGCTCTATTCCATGGGAGAGGGGCCACAGAATCTCTGTTTTCCCAAGCATCTCAGATGGTTCTGATGTAGGTGGTGGGTGGAGAACACTTTGGGAACCACTGCTTTAGACAGCGCAATAGTTTCTGAGGCTGTGGGAAATAAACAATAACAAGATGTAACTGGGGAGCTCCCTCCCAGGGCTTCAGGCCCAGAGAGGGCTAGGAATGGAGGCGGAGGCAGTGGAGATAGAGGTGAGGGGCTCCCCTCCCTGTCTGGTCCAGCCCCTGCTGGGAGAGCCTCTTTCCTGGCCGGCCTTGGGAGACCAGGGCTCTGGTTTATAAAGGGAGCTGCCAGGGTTCTGTGAGAGGTGGGGCTTTGACGCTGCTCTGTCTGTCTCCACAGCTGCCCTGGGTGTGTGAGGAGGGGGCCGGGATCCCCACCGTCCTGCAGGGCCACATCGACTGTGGCTCCCTGCTTGGCTACCGCGCTGTCTACCGCATGTGCTTCGCCACGGCGGCCTTCTTCTTCTTTTTCACCCTGCTCATGCTCTGCGTGAGCAGCAGCCGGGACCCCCGGGCTGCCATCCAGAATGGGTGAGAGAGGGGTCCCTGCCTGCACCCTGGGACCTTCCCCCAGTGCCTTGCCCGCTCCTCTGCCTGTCCAGGGATCTGCAGACCCTACCCACCACTCAGGAGCCACGGGAGGGCACAGCATGGAGAACAGCTCTGAGTTATATCCATTTCTCAGATGAAGAGTAAGGCTCAGAAAGGGTGGCAGCAAGCCTCAGGCCCCGCAGCACTTCAGTGACACAGCTGGGGCTGGACCTGGGTGACCACCCTCACCACTGCTTGGTCCTTCCTCCTGCCCCTTAGGGTTTTTTCCAGGGCCAGGAGAGACTTTCTGTGCCTATCAGACCACCAGAAAGCCCACCCTCACCCCTCTCAGCACCTGCTGTTTGTGGGTGGGGGCTCTGGGGCCAGGCCCAGTCTGGCTTCCAGTTTCCCTGCCTGCACTCAGCTTCCTTGTCCATTCCCCGACCCCTTCTGTAGGTTTTGGTTCTTTAAGTTCCTGATCCTGGTGGGCCTCACCGTGGGTGCCTTCTACATTCCTGACGGCTCCTTCACCAACAGTAGGCGGACTTGGCAGGAGGCATGGGGGGCTGTGGGGAGGGAAGTGGGGCGGCAGGTTGGAGGAACGTGGTGGGGCTGCTCTTTGCTGGGGCACACAGACCCCTGGCTGCTGGCTAGGTCCTCGCTCCCCACCCGTGAGACAGCACTGTGGTGCTTGGCCACACGGCCTTTGTGCAACCCAGGGGTAGGGGGAGCTGTCTTGCCCCGACCCATATCCTGCCCTCTGTGCGTAGCTAGGGGCTCCCTGAGGGCAGGGACTCTGTTCTTCTCAGTGTCCCCGGTGCAGGGTGTAGCAGAAAACGCTTGTTGAACGAGTAGATGTGAGAGAGGGACCCTCCTCGCCTCACTCCCCTCTCCCCACCCAGTCTGGTTCTACTTCGGCGTCGTGGGCTCCTTCCTCTTCATCCTCATCCAGCTGGTGCTGCTCATCGACTTTGCGCACTCCTGGAACCAGCGGTGGCTGGGCAAGGCCGAGGAGTGCGATTCCCGTGCCTGGTACGCAGGTCAGTGCTGCCACCCTGCCTCCGTGTGGGGACTCGAGCCTGGGCAGGGCTGGGGCTGCCTGAGAAATCGAGGGTCCTTGAAGCTAGATAAAACTGGGGGGCATCCCTAGCAGCCACTGCCTTAGGTCAAGATTCCAATTGTCCCAGGGAGATGGGGGGCACCAGCTGATCCTGGGATGACTTCAGGGAATCCGAGGAGAGCTGACCTGGAGAGGCCTTGGAGGGGTCTTGTTTGGGGGTTCCTGCAGGGTGGGCCACACACAGCCAGTAGTGTGGGACGCCCTTTTGGTGGTGCCCAGGCTGAACTTCAAGTGACACCTGGTCCCTGAAACCCCAGTAGCAGGGTGAGTCCCTGGTCCTTTCAGTTCTGAACACAACGAGGAGAAAGGCTCACCTGGGTGCTGTTTGGTTTCCACACCTCCCTAGACTTGCCAGTATCTCTCAGACAGGGAGGGCAGGTCAACAGCCTGTACCTCGTTCAGTTTTTGCAAGACTGTTTTGAGTTCATTGTATTTATTGTTACAATTCCCTTATTACAAGGTAGCAAGTGAATCATGTTAGCTCAGGGTGGGGCAATGACTCACAAAGGTGTTGGTGAAAGGCAGTGACGTCATTCTTCAAGTGGGGAAACTGAGAGCTGGAGAGGGGGAGAGCTGCCAACAGGGTCCCTCGAGGGAGTAGGGATCCCTGTTCCTCCTGCCCCACCCACTGCCTACCCTCTCACTACCCCTCTGGCCCAGGCCTCTTCTTCTTCACTCTCCTCTTCTACTTGCTGTCGATCGCGGCCGTGGCGCTGATGTTCATGTACTACACTGAGCCCAGCGGCTGCCACGAGGGCAAGGTCTTCATCAGCCTCAACCTCACCTTCTGTGTCTGCGTGTCCATCGCTGCTGTCCTGCCCAAGGTCCAGGTGAGCCTGCCTGACCCCCCCTGGCCTGAAGCCCGGCCCCTTAGTGGGTGGGACTTCTTGTAGGAACCTGGGTCCTGGGGCTAGGGCTGTCATCACAGAGGCACGGCCTGAGTGTGTGGGCTCCCAGGTCAGCCTCCCCAGGTTATAGTCAGGCTCTCACGGCTTCATGCTGGGTGTCTTTAGGAGGTGCCCTAACCTCTCTCTGCCTCTCAAATATTAAATGGAGATAATAAGACCTACTATTGGAGTTATTCTCAGGATTGAGATCCTATTTGTAAACACTCCATGCCTGGCCTGTAGATATCTCTCAGACATTAGCTATTATTGTAGTTATTATTGTTGTCATTTTTGTTTTTATGCAAATCAGTAGAACATTAGGGGCAGTCCCTGAGTGGTGATTCCTAGACACCTCTGGAAGTAGTGTAGGAAGGTGCAATTTCACATTTCCAATCCAAGACCATCTGGAATAATGGGCAGGAGCTCCCAGAGGAACTGCGTGTTCTTCAGAAAGTACCGCTGGAGCCCCTTGTGAGTACAGTGGTGCTTTGTGGTTTGAGATCTCAGCACACCGGCAGCTTCAGGGGGCTTAGGTAGTCTTCAGGGGTCTTTAGCAGAAAGGCTGGGAACCTCCCTTCTGGTCAGAGCCTCATATCCCAGTAAGAAAAGCTGAAGCCCAGAGAAGGCGATGTCTGTGTCCCAGGTCACACAGCAATCAGTATTTATCCAGCAAATACCTCTTGAGCACTTCCTGTGTACCAGGCCCTCTTCTAGATGTTGGGGATATGGCTGTGAGGAAGGGGAGGAAGAATAATGATGATAGCCAGTAGTTAGTGGCCTCGGACATGTTATTTGATCCTCACACCATCCTCATCCTCACTTTGCAGATGAGGAAACAAAGGCTTAGAGAAGAGGCCTAGCCAAGGTCACATGGGGAGCTGGGATTCAAACCCAGGCAGGCTGGCTCCAGAGTCTGTGCTCTGGTTTTCTTTTTTCTTTCTTTCTTTTTTTTTTTTTTTTTTTTTTGAGACAGGGTCTGGCTCTGTTGCCCAGGCTGGAGTGCAGTGGTGTAATCTCGGCTCACTGCAAGCTCCGCCTCCCAGGTTCAAGTGATTCTTGTGCTTCAGCCTCCCAAGTAACCAGTGAGCTGCTCACCTCAGCCTCCCAAAGTGCTGGGATTACAGGCATGAGCCACCACACCCAGCCTAAAATTTTTTTTGTTTTTGTTTTTTTGAGACAGAATCTTGCTCTGTCACTTAGGCTGGAGTGCAGTGGTATGATCTCAGCTTACTGCAACCAACCTTCGCCTCCCAGGTTCAAGCAATTCTCCTGCCTCAGCCTCCCGAGTAGCTGGGATTACAGGCACCCGCCACCACACCCAGCTAATTTTTGTATTTTTAGTAGAGACAGGGTCTTGCGATGTTGGCCAGGCTGGTCTTGAACTTCTGACTTCAAACCATCTGCCCGCCTCAGCCTCCCAAAGCGCTGGGATTACAGGCATGAGCCGCCATGCCTAGCTGCCTGTGCTCTTAATCACAGAGTTCAGGTTCATGTTTTTATGTGCATGTGTGGTGAGGGGTGGGGAAGGACAGGCAACAGGGGACTAGGCCCAGTGAGGTGATTTTGGGTAATATTGCAATGTGGAACATGAAAGAGGGTGTGGGCTGAAAGGTGGGTGGCTGGCAGGTGCAGGGCTGCCGTAGTTCAGGTTCCCAGGGCTCCGCAGGAGTCCTGTCTGAATACTGAAGAGGCGCTGCCTGTGCGGAGATGCTGGGAAGGAACTTGTCAGAGGGAGGGCACAGCGACGGCAAAGGCCTTGTGGTGGGAGAGGCTGGGCAGACTCTCCAGACGGAGAGCAGGGAGGAGGGGGACAGTGGGCCAGGTGGAGATGAAGGAATTCAGTGTGATGAGATGGGGTTTCAGCAGGGGAGGAGGGCAAGTAATCTGAGGGGTGTTAAGAGAAAGAAGAATTAGGACTCAGCCTTTGGTTAGTGAGGTGGGTGGTAGGTGGCCTG